>NC_000005.10:63859807-64484807 GCF_000001405.40 Homo sapiens
TAAGAACAGGGTAAAGGACTTGAGTTGTACATAAAAACAACTGCAATGAGCCCATAAGCCTATTCAGTAATGTCTTAAATATATATTGTCTGTCTGTTTTCATTTTAGCCATTCTAGCATGTATGGAGTGTTACTTTATCTATAGTTCTGAATTTCATTCAAGTTTTGATGTTAAGCATCTTTTATTTCGATTGCTGAACACTTATTTGTACATCCTCTTTGGAGAAATGTTTATTCAAATCTTTTGTCCACCTGTTAATTCGATTATTTGTCTTTTTATAATCAAAGAGTTAAGGTTAGTTTATATTCTGGAAACAGGTCCCTTATCAGATATATGATTTACAAATATTTTCTCTCATTCTGTGGGACATCTTTTCACTTTCTTAATAGCATCATTTTCCACAAAAAAAGTTTTTAATTTTTCTGAAGTATAATTTATCTATTTTTCTGGTGACATACCAAAGAACAAACACATAAACAAACAAAAAACATTTTACTGTCTTTTATATTAATATTTACCTATATAGTAACCTTAACTAGATTCAAGTTATGGAATATTGTGCTTTCATTTCAGCCTGAAGGAATGCTTCTATTTAGTATTTCTTGCAGAGCAGGTCTTCTAGTAATACATTCCTAATTTTTCTCTTTTTCGGAATTGTGTAATTTCTCTTTTATTTTTGATGGATAGTTTGCTGTACATAGAATGCTTGGTTGGTAGCTTTTTTCTCTCAGAGCTTTGCATTTGTTAATCCACTACCTCTGACTTCCATTGTTTCTGATGAGAAGTCAGCTGTTTATCTTATTAAATATACCTTGTAAGTTATAAGTCATTTTTCTCTAAGTGCTTCAGGATTCTCTGTCTTTGTCTTACAATAGTTTGATTAAGATGTGCCTAGATGTGCCTCTCTTAAAGTTTGTCTTATTTGAATTTTGTTGGGCTGCTTGGATATGTAAGCTAATGTTACTAATCTTATTTAGAAAGTTTTTGGCCATTTTTTTTCAAATATACTTTCTGCTCTCTTCTGTCCTCTAGGATTACCATAATGCACATGTTGTTTCATTTGATGGTATCTTATAGGTCTCTGAATGGTTCTTCATTTTTCCGCGTTTGTTTTTTATTCTTTATTTATTTTGTTTTTCAGACCTGTCTTCAAGCTGATTCTTTCTTCTGCTAGTTTAAATCTGCTGTTGAATCCCTCTAGTGAATATTTCATTTCAAGTGTAGTAATTTTTAACTCCAGATTATCTATTTTGGTTCCTTTTTTATAATTTCTGTCACCTTAGTACTATTTCCTATTTAGTATGTAGTCTTTTCTCATACTTTAATTTTCCTAGACATAGTTTGCTTTTGTTCTTTGAGCAAACTCATAATAGCTGCTTTGGAGTCTCTGTCTAGAAAGTTTTACATCTGGGATTTCTTAGGGGATGTTTCTATTGACTTTTTTTTCTGTTTATGGGTCACACTTTCCTGTTTATATATGCATCTCATAACTTTTGTTGAAAATTGAAAATTTGAATAATATAATGTGGAAAGTTTGGAAATCAGATTTCCTCATTCCTTAAGGTTTGTTGTTGCTGCTGTTTGTTGTTGTTGCTGTTTATCTGTTTATTGATTTTCCTAGATTATTTTAATAAGACTCTATATTCTTTGTCATTTATAAACACAGAATTTTCTTCTTAGTTTAGTTGTCAGTTAATGATTGGACATAGGTTTACTTGAATGTCTTGAATCTTTAAGTACCCCACCCTTTGCCAAGGGGATCTGTGTGTGTGTTGGGGTATGCCTTTAATATTCCAGTCACTTAGCACTTTGAAATGACCTTTACTGTCTATTGCACAGAGCTTCAAGGTCAGTCATAAGGGAGAGATTGGGTCTTTTCAGGTCTTCTCTGAACATACACACATTCCTGCACATAACTGCATAAATCCCTAGAAATATATTGGAACTTCTCAAAGTCCCCTATGTACACCTCATTCCTAAATTTTTATGTTGTTTTTTGGCAGCTTTTTGTTTTCCCCAATTTGTATTGCCACCACAAGTGGCTGCAATGTTAAACAATCACTGCTGAATGTTTTTAACAAATTACTTGGGGATAGGATTTCCTCACTGATTGAGCTTTGAATCAGATCAAATAAAGGCAAGACTGCTATCTTTTGTAAATGGGCTTGACCAAGAGCTACCAGACCGATCAAACAGTAATCATTCTCTGGAGATGGGGCTTTTTGGGGAGCTCCAAATATTTTCTACCCCTACAGTGGTTATTAGATTGCTGATTTTTACATCTGCTTGGTACCGAGTCTGATGGTTTTTAAGGCTACAAAAGAGCTAGGGAGAGGGGAATACAAAGGAGGCAAGTCAAAATGCCACAAAGCTCACAGATCTTACAAAGATTCAGACGTTTTTCCTATATAAATGTTTCTCATATTGTTGCAAGACTTTGGTTAATTTCCAGCATCCTAACAAACATTTTGACACCTTTTGCTAGTATTCTTATTGTTTTTATGGAAGAGTTTGCTTTTGGAAGTCCTTACTCTGTCATTAAAGAAGTGCTTCTCAGAGTATTTTTTTAATTAAAAAAAGAATAAATTAAATTATCTGACTCATAATTTTACATAGTCACTTTGTATGTCTCTCAAATATTTTTCACTTCCAGAAAAGTTTTCTGTTTAAACAGTATTATCAACCTTTATGCTATTCCCCATGAGTCATTACATTGTTCACATTTAGAAACAGGAAAAGATTGACTAGCAAAACTTCATCTCACTGGAAAGCAAAAACTGTGATATATGAAAAAATTTTACTCAACTCTTTCCAGAAATCCAATGTAATATATTAAAGCTATCACTTAAAATATTTAACACTAAGCTATTACTTTTAATATTTATTCTCTCATTCATACTTTTGTCAAAGCAATTTTAGAAGGCAATGGTTTCTCTGGAAACCTGCCACCTGTCTAAGATGAAGCGTTTGCTATATGAATGAAAGGCTGTACAGAATATTATTTTAAAAAATTAATTACCATTCACATGGAGAAACTCTTGAGAAAAAAAATAAAAGTATTATTACTACTTATTCTGTTTCAGTCTTGACTATGATTATTATCATGGCTAATGTTTGTTAAGCATTTATTTTGTGTAAGTAACTACACTGAGTGATTTATATTTAATCATCAAAGCATTAGGTGTTATTATTTGCATTTTACTGCTAAGGAAATTGACGTTTAGATGCCTTAAGTGACTTGCTTAAGGTCATAAAGGTGGTAAGCAAAAGAACCATCCCCATTTGCTGCTGAAGGCCACTACCGTCACCACTGCTGTAATTCTCAGTATACCTCCTGTTATGTAATTAATTCTAATTATCTTCATCTTAGAAAATCAATTCAAAAGTAAAAAATTAACATTGAAGTAAACAATTTTGGTTAGCCAATTTCAAATTAGATGTTTTTGAAAGACACCCTGGTAATAGTGGAATGGTTATTAAATTGACATGTTGCCTTTCTGAACAGGAAGCAGTAGCATTCACTGAATATTTTTTCATTCTAACATCCAAGACAAATCTGAGTATTAACAGACAAAGCTTAAAAAGCATTGTAATTTTTGTCCAGACACTTATTTGGAAAAGTGGGCATAAAATAAGTTGGAGGAATTGTGTATCTGTCATATCAATTGTTACAATGATGTATTATAATTGTTCTTCTTTGGAAAACTGTAAATTATACCAGCTAAGATGTATCAAATATCAACATTGTGCTACTGATTATTATTGATGCCTACCCTTCTGCAAGACATTCAAGTATGAGCAAGAATAAAATGGCATAAGGAAATAATTATATAGGCATACGTACATACAGCCATACTCAGGCATACCTTAACCATAATCAGTTTCAGACTACTTCAATAAGGGAACATTGCAATAAATCCAGTCACAAAAAATTACATTAGAAGTGCATATAAAAGTTATATTTGCACTATTCTGTAGTATATTAAGTGTGCAATAGCAATGTCTAAAAAAATTACATACTTTTAAATACTTTATTGCTAAAAAATGCTAACAATCATCTAAGCCTTCAGCAAGTGATAATTTTTTGGCTGATATAGGGTCTTACCTTGATATTAGTGACTGCTGATCAGGATAGTGGTTGTTGAAGTTTGGGGTGATGGTGGCAGTTTCCTAAAATAAGAAACAATGAAGTTGACCTCATTGATTGACTCTTCCTCTCATAAAAGGTTTCTTTGTAGCATGTGATGTTGTTTGATAGTATTTTACCCACAGTAGAACTTCTAAAATTGGAGTCAATCCTCTCAAAATCTATGGCTGTTTTATCAACTAAGTTTATGGAATATGCTAAATCCTTTGTTGTCATTTCAACAATGCTTACAGCATCTTCACCACGAATAGATTGCATCTCAAGAGACCACTTTTTTTTTGCTCATCCATGAGAAGCAACTCATCAGTTCAAGTTTTATCATAAGACTGGAGCAATTAAGTAAACTCTTTAGGTTCCACTTTTAATCCTATTTTTTTTTTTTTTTTGCTATTTCCACCCCATCTGCAGTTACTTTTGCCATTAAAGTATTGAATCCCTCAGTCATCCATGAAGGCTGGAATAATCTTCTTCCAAACTTCTGTTAATGTTGATATTTTGGCCTCCTCCTGTGAATCATGAATGTACTTAATGGCATCTAGAATGATGAATCTTTTAGAAAAGGTTTTCAATTTACTTTGCACAGATTCATCAGAGATACCACTATCTTTTGCAGCTGTAACTTATGAAGCACATTTCTTAAATAATAGTACTTGAAAATCAAACTTACTCCTTGATCCACGGGCTGCAGAATGGATGTTGTGTTAGCAGGCATTAAAAAAAAAACAATTAATCTTATATATCTCCATGAGAGCTCTTAGATGACTAGGTACATTGTCAACGTGCAGTAATAGTTTGAAAGATGTCTTTTCTTCTGAGCACTAGTTCTCAACAGTAGGCTTAAACGTAGTCAGCAAATCATGCTGTAAATAGATGTCCTGTCAGCCAGGCTTTGTTGTTCCATTTATAGAGTACAGGCAGAGTAGCAAATTTCTTAGGCGCCCTAGAATTTTTGGAATGGTAAATGAGCCTTGGCTTCAACTTAAAGTCACCAACTGCACTAGCCCCTCACAAGACAGTCAGCCTGTCCTTTGAAGATTTGAAGCCAAATATTGACTTCTCCTTTCTAGATATGAAAGTCCTAAATAGCATTATCATCCAATAAATGGTTATTTAGTCTTCATTTAAAATGTGATGTTTAATGTAGCCACCTTCATCCATAATTTTCTCTTGATCTTCTGGATAATTTATTGTAGCTTCTCCATCAGCACTTGCTCCTTCACCTTGTAGTTTTATGTCATGGAGATGGCTTCTTTCCTTAAACTTCATGAACCAACCTCTGCTACCTTCAAACTTTTCTTCTGCAGCTTCCACACTTCTCTTAGTCTTCACAGAATTAAAGAGAGTTAGGACCTTGCTCTGGATGAGCCTTTGATTCAAAGGAGTGTTGTGACTTGTTTGATTTTCTATTCAGATGACTAAAACTTTCTCCCTATCAGTAATAATGCTGTTTCTCTTTATTATGATTTGTGTGTTCACTGGAGTAGAACTTTTAATTTCCTTCAAAAACTTTTCATTTTTATTTACAACTTGGCTAACTATTTGATGTAAGAGGCCTAATTTTTGGCCTGTCTCAGCAACTGACATGCCTCCATCACAATGCTTAATTATTTCTAGCTTTTGATTTCAAGTGACAGACATATGACTCTTCCTTTCACTTGAATACTTTGAGACTATTGTAGGTATTGTAGACTTGTTATTGGCTTAATTTCAATTTTATTTTGTCTTAGGGAATATGGAGGCCCCTAAAGAGGTAGAGAGATGGGAAACAGCTGGTCTTTGGAGCAGTCAGAATATACTGAATATTTATCAGTTACATTTGCCATCTTTTATGGTTCGTGATGCCTCAAAATAGATACAATAGTAACATCAAAGATAACTGATCGCAGATAAACATAACAGATATAATAATAATGTTTAAAACTTAAAATATTGTAAAAATTACTAAAATGTGAACCAAAAAAAAATGAAGTGAGCACAAGCTTTTGGAAAAATGGTGCTTATAGAGTTGCTTAAAGCAGAGTTGCTACAAACCTTCAATTTATTAAAAAATGCACTATCTATAATGTACAATAAAGTGAAGCACAATAACAAAAGTGCGATATAATGAGGTATGCTGGTATACTTTCTTTCTTTGATTTCATGGAACTGATTTCCATGCTATCATATTGTCACTAATATCCAGTTGTCTTCTTAGTATTTACCACAACACTTGGTATTAATCCTCTTTTTAAATGGAAATTTTTCAGAAAAGGAAATGAATTTTTTTAAGTATTCCTACCTGAATAATATGGTTTGATTAAGCTCCTTCTTTCTTGTCTCTAATCTCATCCCATGCCTAATATGACCCAAAATCTATCCAAAGGTAATTCCTAGTCCTAACCGAAGGACTTCTTTCTTAATCCTTTCTCAAAAATTCCTACTTTTTAAACTCATATGCATTGACTCTTTATTTTAGGACTGTGAATTTGTTATTTTTTCTCATTTACATAGTGTACAATTTATTAGCTTTTATAAATAAATCTGGTATGCCATTATTTCACCTTTGAAACCATAAACTTGAAATAATCCAATGTTGAATAGTAGAATGTTTACCAAATGTCTCTCTTCAGTCACCTTCACAATTTTTTCAAAATGTACATATTCCCTAGATTTAATAATTCTCTTTAAATAGGGTTACTTCTTTATATAAATATTATAAATGGAAACTGTAAATAATTACCCAATATTACTTCCCATAAATAGAAAGTAACCACAAAAATAAGCACAATGAAAACAAATAAATTATTTAAGTCTACTTAGACACTGGTTATTTCCTGTAGTTTATTCTTCTCTTAAAAGGAGAGTTTAGCAAATGTTGGCAGGGGGTGTTGACTAGTACTAAACTCAACCTTTCTCTTTGATTTAATTTAAATAGAAGTATTGAAAGAAAACTGAACAGAAAAACACACATTTAGTAGTTCAATGCAATTTGATCTGTGGTTCAAATAGACTTAAATCAACTCCATTGCCAGTATGGTAGGCACTCACCTTTTGCGGTCACTGATCTAACCTGCAAGTCTCAGTGTACAGTTGAAGAACCATAGACCTATAGGCATTGAGAAACTTGCCCAGGGAATGCAGGTCATCTAATTCCCAGAGTGGAATTCTTTCCAATACTTCATGCTTTCTCATCTAAGTGTCAAAACTTGAAGCTGGTCCAATACAAAACTGTATACCCTACATTTCAGTTTATTTTATTATATTGAATTGTATCACATGAAAAGAATATTCTTAAAATAGTAATAAGCAACATGTATTGAGTATTCTTGCTTTGCAGCCCTCACATAAACTCTACAGAGTAGTTGCTATCATTTTCTTCACCCACTAATGAGGCGACCAATACTTAAAAATAGATTAAATAACATGCTGAATTTTCTTAGCTCTTAGCTTTTGCTGCACAGTAAATGAACATTGAGGTTGGAGATACAGGGAGAAGAGATACATGGTTGAATACGTGTATAAATCTCAGCACCCAAGTCTGAGTTCTTAACCACTACAATATACTTAGGACACATTTTCATTTGGTTATTGGGATTTTTTTTTTAACTGAGGAATGACTATTTATGTTAGATTGCATTATTACAATCCACTTTGTGCTCTTCTTCAGTGTGTAATCTGAGGTTGAAGTTTAAAGTAGGAAAAAATAAACTAGGTTCTAGAATTTCCCATCAGTTACAACCATGCCCATATTTCCCTTGGGACTTTTGAAGAGTAGTTTGACACAAACCATGGTCAGTCTCAGGAATCCTTGAGTGTGCCCCATTTATTGTTTGTTTGTTTGTTGTTTGTTTATTAGAGACAAAGTCTGGCTCTGATGCCCAGACTGCAGTGCAGTGGTGCAATCACAGAATCATAGCTCACTGAAATCCTCCTACCTCAGGCTTCCAAGTAGCTAGGACTACAGGTGTGCACCAACACACTCAGCTAATATATATATATATATATATATTTTTTTTTTTTTTTTTTTTTTTTGTGGTATACAGACAGGGTCCCAAACCCCTGGCTTCAGGCAATCCTCCTGCCTTTCTTCTAAAGTGCTGGCATTATAGATGTGAGGCACCACACTGGCACCATTCATTGTTTATTTGTTCCAAACCCAAGAACTTTTTCCCTACTGACAAAATCTCTCAAGTAACTCCAGAAATGCTCCCATTGCTCTGATTCTGCAGGTATGCAGGTATCTCACTATAGTGAGATAGTCCTTAAAATCAATCCTGTGCAGGACAAGTCCAACTTGCTTCCCACCCCTCTCAAGGCAACTCCAAGCTATAAACAGGCATTCACTTACTAACCAGGAAATGCAATTTCACAGAGACTAGCGCTGTATTAAACCCGGGGAAACACCCCTTTTCCTTATCTTAGGTGACTTCACATTCTGTAACTTCTCCCCTAACATAAGGAGAGGAACTTTGTCATTGAAAACTACTCAGTTCCATAGCAATGAGAAATCTAATCCCTAAGACCTCCTTACTTATTGTCCCAGGCCCCCAAATTCATTTGCAAATGACTTCTAGGCAAATACAAAAACATCTTATACTCTTTCTGGTATAATCATTACGAGTATTTTGCATACTCTGTCCCTTTGGGGTCTTTCCATAGTAACCCTTACTCTGCTCTGAACATGCCCCTCAAAATTCATGTGTTGGAAACTTAATTCCCAATGCAATAATGCCAGGAGGTGGGTTCTAATAGGAGATGTTTAGGTCATGAGAGCAGAAAAATGGAAGGGATTAATGCCACCATATAAAGAGTTTGGGAATGGGTTTGTCCCTTTACCCTTCTGTTATGTGAGGATCCAGCAAGAAGGGCTCCCCAGATGCCAGTGCCTTGATCTGGGACTTCCCCGCATCCAAAGCTGTGAGAAATAAATTTTTGTCCTTTATAAATTACCCAATCTGTGACACTGTTATAGCACCACAAGCAGAATAAGGCAACCCTGAAGCCCTAAGTGTGTGCTGCTTGTAAAACTCTTTCTAATTTTCTAAACTCTGTGCTCCTTGTAAGTAAGCATTCACTTAGAATATTCTCCTTCTTGGAAAAAAAAAAAAAGATGGATGCACTTTATGTCTGAATTACCATTTCTGATTTCTTCTAGAATCCCTTGGGGATTTTTAGCTAAGAATTTCTCCAAAAATGTTTTTAGCAGAAGTTTTACTAAGCCCCTTAATTTCCTAACTATATGTAGGTCACTGTCAAATATGCTTTGCTCTATGCTAGTTGGAAACTGAATAGACTAGGGGCCATACTGACTTTTTAAATTGCTTACAATGACCAGTTTAAATCTAGTAATTCTTGAATAAGGTCCAATCCTGCACACGGTAGAATCAACTCTTCCATTTAGTACTTTCTTTGTAAACCAGGGAGAATGGATCTATTCTTAGTCCACGATCCAAAAGATTTATGACCAGGTTTTTGGGCTATTTGTATTCATTCAAAAATTCTTAATCTGCTAAATAAAAAGGGAGTTCCTAAAATCGAATAACAAAAAAAAAATTGCTATAAAACAAACTGCTTAAATAAGACTACAATAAAATAATCTCTTTTGCACAGGAGGTTTAAACACTTAGATTAAGCAAACTAAGCAACATGAATAGGAAAACCTTTGGTTAACTAGAGTGGCTATTACTCAATTATTTTAACAAATATTGACTGAGTACATGAGTATTATCTGCAAGGTACTATGTTAGAAATTATGGGTGAGAGATGGGTACAAAATAGCCTATTCTCTTAAAGAGTTTGCAATCAAGTTAGAGATATATGAGCCCTTCATTAATGCCTGTAATACAAGGTGTCATTGCCTTAGACATGTGACCAGCTAATGGCTTTGAAAGCTTAGAGGAGAAAAGGATTATTTCTAGCTAGGGAAATAAAAAGGTACAGCAAAGCAGATAGCTTCGTGGTAGATAGGCCATGATGAATAAGGGTGGAAGGAAGTCTGTAACAAAACCAAAACAAAACATAGATACATAGTGCTATTTTAGGAAAATGGAATGTCATTTTAAGTCTAGAGATGGCGGAAGCAACACCACAGAAATGGAGTCTAAAATTTGTGTCAGAGGCAGTGTCAGTTAAAAGGTTATACCCAGATGGCAAAGGATATTCATTTAATTCATCTATCCATTCAAGATATATGAGTTATGCAGTTCTTATATACCAGGCATTGTACTTGGGAATACAGCAACAAAAAAATTAAATGGCTCCATCCACAGAGCTGATAAACCAGAGAAAACAATCCTTAGAACATGCTATTTTTACTTAGATCTAAAGGATGTGTGGCAAAGGAAGGATGGGGTAGGGGACAGAATAGAGAGTGCCAGGCTGAGAAAATTGCTTGGAAAGGACCCAGAGCCTAAATATAATTTGGGACCTAAAATAAGATTTAAGATTATAGAGGCTCAATATTAAAATGGATTAAAATTAAGTTTTTCACCTACCTATTTATCATACTTTTCTTTCTAATTCTACCTGTTTGTTTAACAACTCCCATATTTTCCTTGCTTATAACTTTTTAAAAACACTGATAGGAAACTTTATTATGAAAGTTTGGTAACTTGAAATCTCAGAGGAGAAAAAAACACAGCAAGCAAGCAAGCAAGCAAGAAACCCATCATGTCTCTAGAAAGGCTAAGATAGTAGGACATGAGAAAATCTGACCTAGTTGCAGGGTTTCTCAGGAAACAGAAAGAAGGTAATATTCTGAAAAAGTTGAACATTAATAAAATCTCTTATTCTCATGCACATTAGGGGGGAATGGGAAGTCATAAATCTGGATCAAAATATATTACTTTGAAATAAGATTAAGAGATGACTTTGATCTATTATTCAAATTCATTCTAAAAATATTTATTAAGTATGACTATTTTTGACCAAGAGCTGCCCAGGACTCCAGAAATAAAGTAGTTCAAAAAAATAGATCTAGCGCTTCCTCTAACGAAGCTTACAGTATCATGGAGGAGGCAGATACTATCCAAACAGTCAGAAAAATGCATTTAAAAGGTGTTACTGTGAAAAAGTGCCATGAAGAAGATGCACACAGAGGTGAAAGAGAGTACAAGAAGGGCATTCGATGTAGTCAGAGAGCTCAAGGAAGACTTTCCTGAGGAAGGCCTAAGTGACTTGAAACATAAAGGATGAAAATGAGGTAAGTAGGCATGAAGGGGAAGAAGCAGCCCTTGAGACAGAGTGATCAATAAATACAAAGTCTCCATGGTAGGAACAAGCATGACAAATGCACAGGACTGAAAGAAAACCAGGAGTAAGACAGGAGTGGATGTAGGTAGACCAAAGGGAAGGCATGTAGTTAAGATAAAAAATAATGGTGACTTGGACTAGGGTGTTGGTGGAGTCAGGATGCAGAGAAGCAGCAGATTATGAATAGTTCTTTCTGCAGTCAAATCCCTTGGCTTTTGAGGATGGTACAAGTTCCCAAGTTACCATGAACTGGCTCTGTCTTCTTTACATTTCCTTAGGATCCTAAGTTTTAACCATGGAAAATTGTGGAGAAGGTCATAGCACTATATCAAAATCCAGGGCACCTGGGGTGTGTGAGCAGAACAGAGACACCCACAGTTAGAATGGTAATCAGGAATAGGTCAGAGAGAGCTAGATGGCCATGTTTTAAGGCATTCGGACTTTATTCTAAGAGTGATTGGGAGCCAAAAAGGTTGCTAAGCAGGGGACTGTCATAATAAAATTTTAACTTTTAATAAGTTTATAAGTTTTTACTGCTGGAGAGTGAGAATTACTGAATGTTTTTCAGCATGCAAGTAGCTAGTTCTTAGGAAAATTAACCTGACAACATTGTGCCAGGATGGTTTGAAGCTATAGAGAAGAATCTGGAAATAAGAAAATCAATTGAAAAGCTATTTTGATAGTCTAAGAGTGGGGCAATAAATGGTCAAAATTAAGCACTGAAAATGAATTTTTTTTTAAAGAATAAGGGATGAAGATTCAGGAAATAGATCACTAGTTTTTCTTTAGAAGCTTATATAACTGTTTGGCACAGTGTCTTACAATCGACTTGCTAAAATGTGATTCTGATAATTGAGGAAGTTTAAAGTCACATATTTAAATGAAACTTACATATCATTTCTTACAACTACATTAGTTTGTCAGCAAGTCCAAGAGTATGGAGTAAATTTGGCATCTACATACTTATTAATATTGATGTTGTATGGGTATGGAAATGGACTAGGGTAAGTTGAGATGGGTGGCAGAATAAGTTAGATTTCTGTGGATCCAGCACACTTCCTCCATGTCAGAGAAATGTGAGTCCATAATTCAAGAGTAAGGTGACTTAGTGACATTACTTCATGAGTAAGAACAGCTTAATGAAGGGCAAAAGGTAAGTTCTTCAGAGCCTACAAAAGGACTGCCTTTTTTCCATCATGAGACCTGAGACAATCACCATTCAGCATTGCGTTGCACCACCTTTCCACTGCCAGTCAAAAGGTACACTTGAAATTGGAGGTAAATGAGAAGTCCTTTCAAGTTTTAATTTTAGAAATGTAGGACTCCCTGTATACTACAGGAGTAGCAGAGAATCCAAGTCTCTTCATCCAGATATGTACAAAGTGTTGCGATAACACAGAATCATTTACTCACTGGGAATGTGAGACTTTGAAAAGGATAGCAAACTGAGCTGTCTTAAACAATCAAATCATCTTTGGATAATTTCAGCTTCTTCTTTTGTCAGGTAATGATTAAAAACTTGACAGGAATAATGAGTTTGTGTTAGGATAATCAAATAAGAATTGTTATTTCCAGTATTCAGAGAAAAATAAAGCTGCTCCACGGCAATAGTGTTGCTCTAATGTATAGTTCAGGCTTCAAATGACATTGATTCGAAGATCTATATGATGCAAACTCCTCAAACAGTACCAAATGTTGACTCCAAGAAATCATAGCCCCACCCGTGTAGTGGGCTTCACACTCTTTCTTTTCCATAGCAGGTGGCCTCCTGAGAACCATGAGGTAACTTTACTGATGTTCTAAGGACAGAGGAACTTGCCTTTGACAAGGGTTCTTTGAGGAGTTCAATGTTGGACAGAACATCCCAGCAGGACCCCTGGTCCTACTTTCCCATCCACTGTTGCACATCAAACAAGGATTTGCTTAAGATTATCTTGGCAGGCTTTCTCTTTGTTAGATATTTTTAAAATCTTCTTTAAAGAAATATAAAATTATATTTGTGTGGAGAAAATTGTTATACCACAGATTCAGTAATTGCTACACATTTACAATGCTTTATTGCTACGGGAACTCATGATAAAAATGATGGGGTATTCATTTCCAGTGGAGAGTTGAGTGAATTTCCTTTGCACTCCCTTTTCACTAAACACTCAAACAAAGAATATTAAAGCAATATTTTAGGTGTAAGCTGGGACACTATCATTCTAAACTGGGAAAGAAATTTCAAATGTCCAGAATGGAGACAAATCTTTGCCAAGAATTACATTTGCAGAGAAGTATGTGGTTTTCCATAGTCAAGAAACACTAAATAATATTGTTTGAGCCTGTTCTCTATATTAATGATATTCTAAAATAATATCTAGTTAAAATAGTTTTTAAATAATTAACATAGCAAATATATAGTTTTTACTAAATATATGATATAAAATATGCTTTCAGAGATATGCAATTAAAAATCAAGTTATAGTCATGCATTGCTACTTCTCCAGGCACAATCTAGTTTTATCAAGACATCAGTGTTCTTGTAGTGGGCACTACTCCTAGCAGATAGAATCCATTCAAAATTTCTCACAGCCAGATGTCCTATTAACCCTTCCCTATTTAAAAAGTGCTTTGATCAATTTTCTGATGATTTTGCCCACATAGAAATGGAACTATGTCCAATTTTATAACATAATTGTGATACAAAATTGAATTTCATATATATAATTACATATGATTTAAATTTAACTTCAAAAATATATCAGTGTTAAAGTGATTGATAACTACATGAGATGAGAGTGATAGAAATGTTGCAGTCTCTAGGTGGGAAACAAATGTAAATGTAACTTCTGGTTTGTGGTAAAATGATTGATTAAAATCTCGCTTACAATAGACCTGTCCTTAATAAGATTGGATTAAATCAGCTTTGCCTTCTTCATATGGGGAATTGCTTTTGCTTTTCTTTTGCAACAATTCTAATTAGAATAACCACCCTCAGATACCATTTGTTCAATAGCTTCCCTTTCATTGCAGTCACTAAAATATGCACCCTTTCATTAAATGGCTATGACATTTTTGAGCATTTATGATCCTAATTTAAAGGAGAAATAGATTAAAACTGTTCCAAAACACTGAACATTTTTTATTTACATTCTTTGCAAAGGTGAGATTGGAAAGAAGATTTTGCATTCTTTTATAAAAGGCTAACTAAAAACAGAACTGAAATTACAATGACATAAAACTTGAATAAGTTATTCTTTCAAAAGGAGGACAGAAATTATATTTTTGGATGATTTCAGCTTCTTCTTTTGTCAAGGTAAGGATTAAAAACTTGACAGGGATAATGAGTTTGTGTTAGGTTTTGTGTTAATTTTAATAGGATAATCAAATAAGAATTGTTATTCACAGTATTCAGAAAAAAACAAAGCTGCTCCATGGCAATAGTGTTGCTCTAATTTATAGCTCAGGCTTCAAATGACATTGATTTGAAGATCTATATGATGCAAACTATTCAAACAGTACCAAATGTTGAGAAAAATTCATCCTAAGTCACCTCTATCCCTCTTAGTTTGGAAACCCAAGTCATCATTAATAGAATGGGCCATTTGTTCATTTGTTCATTCAAGCATTCATTCATTCAGAAAGCAGCTCTCAAGGACCTACATGCAGTGATAGGCACTGGAACATTAAAATGGCAATCAGGAAACGGTTTCTACCCTCAAAGTCTATAGGAGAAGGTAGGCTTAGGGGAAAAAGCAACAACATATTATGAAAAGTACCTTCATCCAGATAGGTACAAAGTGTTGCCAGAACATAGAATCATTTACTCAGTGGGAATGTGAAACTTTAAAAAGGATAGCAAACTGAGCTGTCTTAAAGAATTGCCTCTCAAAAAAGGTATGTTGTGCCTCTTTAGAATGTAACAGGGGTTATAAATTCAAGATTCTACAGTAAGCAGGTAATGTAAATGAGTGAAGACCATATTCTGTCCTGAAGGGGCAGTGATATGATTATTGTGTAAGAATGTCACCCAAGCAATACTAGATCTTTCAGTTTTCCAAAAGAAACTTGAAATCCAGATTTTTAAATACCGGTTAATGATCAATATTTTGAAAAGCCCTATTTTAGTTCGGGCTACTATAACAAACACCATATACTGGGTGTCTTATAAATAATCGAAATTTGTTTGTCACAGTTCTGGAGGCTGGAAGTCTGAGATCAAAGTGCCAGCACAGTCAGGTTCTGGCAAGGTCCCCTTCCAGGTTGCAGACTGCCCACTCCTCACTGTACCTTCACATAGTGGAAAGAGTGGGAGAGAGTTCTCTGGTGTTTCCTTTGTAAGAGCAATAATCCCATTTATGAGGGTGCCATTTGCATGGCCTAAATTACCTCCCAAAAGTCCCATCTCTACCTAATACCATCACCTTGGGGGTTTAGGATTTTAGGGACACAAACATTCAGTCCGTAACACCTTGTGTTAGACAAAGGAAATGACTATGGGACAGATGATCCTGCTGGCCAGTTGTTTGCAACCTCTAGTTTATCCCTTCTGACTAATAGCACCCTAAGGTGCCACATGGATAAGAGTTCATGCACTGTTATTTGCAGACTGTTTCTTCCATAAAAGCTCTGAGTTATAAAAAAAAATTACTCATCTTTTCCATATTTGTGGGAACTTCCTACGAACAGCCGAGATGCTCCAGCAATGCAAATTTTGGAAATACATGGCCCGGTGGAAAAGAATTATGACTCTTTTGGAGAAGCTTCAACCTTCTAATAGAGTACTATTTCATTTAAAAAATAATATTTTAGTTGGTCTATATAGACTTTGGTAAGCATAAAGAATTAAAGTAACTCCTAAAGCTAAGCAATTGACTTATTTTAGAGCTACAACTGTGAGACCCACTGGGAGCTATTCATGGGCGCAGCAGGCCGGGTCTTTGTCAGTCCTACACGGCCACCTGATTCACTCTTCTTTTCTATGAAATAATCTCCCCTTGGGAACTTAAGCATGGCTTCAGCACAGGAGTAAGCAAGAAACATGCCATTTATGAACAATGCGTCTTCATGAAGAAAAGAAATTACCTGAATTTTCACCGTTATAAGCAAAGTAGATGGAGTGCAAATTCATAGTTGAGATGCTCTTAAGTGCCTAGCCAGACAAAAGGCCACAATTTTGTGGTTCCAACCTTACTGCTATTATTAGTTTTTCAGTTTTTAGAGAGTTAGCATAAGGGAAAAACAGAAGCAAAGAATTGAAATGGTATCAAATGAAGCATAATTCTAATAATCCTATGAAGCACAATTCTGCAGTTCTTGCAGAATGTTCTAACATCCCACTCACACAGATGTCACTGAAAGTAACCAGTCAACAAGTGGAGGTGGGTTCTGTGGTGAACCATATGATCAGCCAGAAACAAAATTGTATTAAGGCAAAAAACAATTTCAGATCCAGCTATCAAATTTTGGAAAGCTGTGAATATATTCAACATTGGCAGTGCGTGGAATTATTTTGTTTGCTTCTCCCATTAATTCTTAGGTTTTAAACCTGAAGAGCTATTCGGAAGGGAAGAAAAGAGGAAAGAGAAAAAGAAAAGAAAAAAATTATTATTCCATTCTGTACCATTGGACTGTCGTATTTCTGGTTATGACCACTGGAAAGTAAACTGAAGTGTATCCCTTTGTGAATGAATAAGTACTTGATAGACAAATAATATTCACTAGATTTTGAAGTGTATCCCTTTGTGAATGAATAAGTACTTGATAGACAAATAATATTCACTAAATTTTTGACAATAAGGTGAGGAAAGAGGCCCTCTTTTTATTGCTAGTGTACATAGATACAAATTTTGGAAAGGAAATGTGGCATTGTATATCACAAAATCCTTTAAGTCTACACTTTGGATACAAGTTCACTGAGAATTTATCCTAAAGATATAATAAATTATTTATTATCACTAATGATGGAAAACAAACTGTCATAAATAATGAATTGGTTAGGTAAATCATAGCACATTCACACAATGATGTGTCCCTACAATGAGGTAGATCTTTACAGTTTGTAACATGAAGAGCCGATGATATGTTGTAAGATACCTATTGCATATAGTAAAGTAGTGAAGAAAGCAAATTTAGTATAGGATGTGCAGTATTTCATACATATATACACACACACATGTATATGCATGCATATGTATACACACACATATATATACATGCATATATATACATGCATGTGTATATACATATATATATAATGCATATTTTTAAAAAAATAAAAGGGAGAACAGAAGAATAATGTAAACAAGTAAAGCACAGCTTTCCAGAGGGCTGGGGAGAGAAGAAGAAGTGGTGAATTTTGGTTCTATTTTACTTAGGCAATGTTTGATTTTTTCTAAACCATGTGTAGTCAGCTTATTAGACATGCTGGATTTGAAAATTTGTGTCATTTTTCTCCCATCACCTCCTTCAACATGACCTATGGGATTTTCTTCCCCGTGAGAGAAAATTGCATTGTTTTTCCCATCACTTTCATGTATTTGAATAATTTTGTTTTTAATTTTAAAAGTTTCTCTCCAATATAATTGCAAACCTTAATCTCTCATCATAATAAAGCCTCTCCCTCCCCTGGTGCAATTCTAATCTCAATGGTGGGGAACAGAAGTGACAAAGAAGGGACCTAGTCTGCCTTTTCATTCCCCTTGTCTTACCTCTTTCCCTCTCTTCCCTGAACTGCCTCTCTTTCCTCCAGGACCACCATAGTGGTAGAGGACTGAGGCAGAAAGGGACAAAATGGTTTTTCTCAGCTGGCACAGGCTGTCTCACTCTCTCAGCTGTCCTGTACGCTGCCAAAGCAGGCATTCAAATGCTGCTGTATCACGCTGAATGCATTTGTGCATTCCTCACACCCTCACAAGGCAAGGGCCACCATATTGCCCTTAGTTCTGAACCCTGGCTAGCCCTTGGGAGTCACCCTCAGCCTCAGCTCTCAGTGTGCACTTCTGGCCCCTTTCTGGTGATTTCCCTCACTCCTGAAGGGGGCAGCTCTCTTGAATAAGATCTTTAACAGACCATTCAAGCCCAGAATGACTGACCATACATCCTAGTTTTCTTAGCATGGCCTCAGTTTATACCTGTTGTCCTGGCATAATTTTTAATATCACTCTTTCACTTTCAAAATTGCCCTGATTTGAATAATAAACTATATAATTAACAATTGGTAACACATAAGTAGTCTGTCAATAGTAGTCATCTATTGATGTTACATTTCTTGATTCTGATAATTGTTTTGGGGTCATGTAGGTCAATGTCCTTGCTCATAAAAATAAATGATGAGGCAATAAGAGGTAAGAGACATGACACCTGTAACTTACTCTCAAATGGTTTGAAAAAAAAAACCAAAACTTTATACATAGAAAGATAGCAGGGAATGGGGAGAATGATAAAGAAAAAACCCAAAAAACATAAGGCACATGTGGCAAATGTTAGCAGTTGATTAATCTCAGTAAAGGGAACACAGAAGTTCTCTAAGTTAGACTGCAGTTTTTTGGTAAGTTTTAAATTGTTTCCAAATAAAAAACCTTCAAAACCATTTTATGATTACCATATTCATTCCTGGCTCTCTTCTGCAGTAACCATTTGGCCAGAGGAAACAAATGCAGCTGAACAGGCTGTCTTAAAATTGCCCTCTCCTCACTCTGCCATCAAAGGCTGCTTTTTGACCTTGTCCATCAAGAGCCATCTGACTGTCCCCTTCCCCCCTATCCTCAGGGAACACAAGTCAAGCCTTCCAAGTACTTACATGGCTAGCAGCACAAGCAAGGCCTAAAACTGCAGCCCACCAAGCAGCCAGCAGGAGAATGTGAGGCCAGCCCCTTTTGCTTGCAAGTACTGTCTCTTCAATGGATTTGCTTATTAAATCCAGGTGGTGGTGGGAGGGAGAGGACGTGATGAATAGTTGAATGCCACTACTCTCTCTTCTCTTACAATTTCCCCTCAGAGAATGAATTAAAATGCTCTTCTATAAGGCTTCTGGAAATGATGCACCCTGGAGCAATCTGGTTTTTCTCAGCAAAGCCTGCACAGATATATCTAACTCCTTTTCTCAGTTGGAGCTTCAGTAAAAATTCAGCCAAAGTCAATAGGGAAACATCCCATTCTATGTCCTGCTCCATATATATGACTTCAGTGGCAGAAATATTTGTGAAGATATTTGTATTTTCTTTGCATCACTGAAGAAGGATGATGAATAAGGCTATCTGTTTTTACTTTATATTTTATTTTCTTTCATTTCAGGAAGAAAGGTAAGTCTTGCCCTGATGTCAGTGATGTGAAGTGCACCTGTCTTTCTGGCTCTCATCTGTGTGAGCCTGATCTCACTGATGAGAATCAGAAAGAAACAGGCAGGGCAGGCATAGCTTTGACGGGGGCAAAGAAATGGAAACAGAAAGAGATACAGAGGATATTACTTCAAATTTGGAAAAATATGGATTTCTGAGGGTCCTAAGAGTGGCAGAGACCTATATCCTATTGCCGTGTTGATCCTTAGAACCAAACAAAAGAAAGTCATATGATGCATCTATAGAGATTGGCCTCAAGGGATTCAATCTCCCAGCCTCATCTAAGAAAGCTTAATGTGCCCCCATTTTGGCACGTAGAACATCAGAGTCATCTGCCTGACAGTGACTAAACAGGTTTGGATAAGAATAACAGTAGTAACCCTGAAAAGCTGAAAATTAAAGACACTTTATCACATAAAATTCTAGGGTGGCCTACGTTTATAAAACAAAGATGGCCAGGCGCCGTGGCTCACCTATGTAATCCTAGCACTTTGGGAGGCCGAGGCAGGTGGATTGCCTGAGCTCATGAGTTTGAGACCAGCCTGGGCAATACGGTGAAACCCTGTCTCTACTAAAATACAAAAGAAATTAGCCAGGTCTGGCGGTGTGCTTCTGTAGTCCCAGCTACTCAGGAGGCTGAGGCAGGAGAATTGCTTGAACCTGGGAGGTGGAGGTTGCAGTGAGCCAAGATCACGCCACTGCACTCCAGCTTGAGCAACAGAGCAAGATTCCATCTCTACAAAAAAAAAAAAAAAAAAAAAAAAAAAGACATTTTCTTCCATCACTCTCAGCAAACTATCGCAAGGACAAAAAACCAAACACCACATGTTCTCACTCATAGGTGGGAATTGAACAATGAGAACACATGGACACAGGAAGCAGAACATCACACACCGGTGCCTGTTGTGGGGTGAGGGGAGGGGAGAGAGATAGCATTAGGAGATATACCTAATGTAAATGACGAGTTAGTGGGTGCAGCACACCAACATGGCACGTGTATACATATGTAACAAACCTGCATGTTGTGCACATGTACCCTAGAACTTAAAGTATAATAATAAATATATATATATATATATATATATATATATATATATATATAAAGACATTTTCTTTTTTGGTAACAAAATATTTATTAGTACTCAGTCACTTCAAATAGGCTTTCTTTTTACATTTGTCTTCGATAGATTTTTAAATTTTATTTTTAATTGAAAAATAAAAATTGTATGCATTGGCCAGGCACCGTGGCTCACGCCTGTAATGCCACCCAGCATTTTGGGAGGCTGAGGTGGGCAGATCCCGAGGTAAAGAGATTGAGACCATCCTGGCCAACATGGTGAAGCCCCGTCTCTACTAAAAATACAAAAATTAGCTGGGTGTGGTGGTGCGTGCCTGTAATCCCGGCTACTCAGAAGGTTGAGGCAGGAGAATCACTTGAACCCGGGAGGCAGAGGTTGCAGTGAGCCGAGATCACACCACTGCACTCCAGCCTGGCAACAGAGTGAGACTCCATCTCAAAAAAAAAAAAAAAATTTATGTGAAACAATGTGATGCTATGATATATGTTTCACATTGTGCAATCATTAAATCAGGCTAATTATTAATAACATATCCATCATATCACATACTTATCATTTCTTTGTGGCAAGAACATTTAAAATCTACTCTTCAGATATATTGGCCACATCATTATACTAGCACTATAATAAAAGACTCCTTTGTAAAGGTGGTTTTTAAATTATAAATATAAAAATATGATTCTCCATATAGGCATACCTTGGAGATATTGCCATTTTTGTTCCAGATTAACATAAGAAAGCAAATATCACAGCAAAATGAGTTACATGAATTTTTGTTTTCCCCCGAATACAAGAGTTATGTTTACATTATACTGTAGTCAAAGAGTGCAATAGCATTATGACTAAAAAGTGTATATGCCTTACTCAAAAATACTTTATTATTGAAAAAGGCTAACAATGATCTGAGCCTTCAGAAAGTCTTAAAACTTTTTGCTGATGGAGGGACTTGCCTTGACGGCTGCTGATTGATCAGGGTTGTGGTTGCTGAAATTTGGGGTAGCTGTGGCAATTTCTTAAAATAAGACAACAATGTTAACTGGTGACATTGACTCCTTTTCACGAAATATTTCCCTGCAGCATGTGATACTGTTTGATAGCATTTTACCCATAGTAGAACTTCTTTCAAGATTGGAGTCAATCTTCTAAAATCCTGCTGCTGTTTTACCAACCAAGTTTATGAAATATTCTAAATCCCTTTTTTGTCATTTTAACAATATTCATAGCATCTTTACCCGTAGTCGAGTCCATCTCAAGAAACCACTTTCTTTGCTCATCCGTCAGAAGCAACTTCTCATCCATTCTAGTTTTATCATGAGATTGCAGCAATTCAGTCACATCTTCAGGCTCCACTTCTAACTCTAGTTACATTGCTAATTCCACCACATCTACTGTTACTTTCTTGACCGAAGTCTTCAACCCCTCAAAGTCATACATAAGAGTTGGAATCGTCTTATTCTAAATTCCTGTTAATGCTTATCTTTCACTTCCTCCCATAAATCAGAAATGTTCTTAATGACATCTAGAATGATGAATCTTTCAGAAAAGGTTTTCAATTTACTTTGCACAGATCCATCAGAAATATCACTATCTTTGGCAGCTATAACCTTATTAAGCATATTTCTTAAATAATAATACATGAAAGTCAAACTTACTCCTTGATCTGTGGGCTGCAGAATAGATGCTGTGTTAGCAAGAATAAAAGCAACATTAATCTCCTCAAACATCTCCATCAGAGCTCTTATGACTAGGTTCATTGTCAATGAGGAGCAATATTTTGAAAGAAATCTTTTTTTTCTGAGCAGCAGGTCTCACAGTGGGATTAAAATATTCAATAAACCATGCTGTAAACAGATAGGCTATCATCCAGGTTTTGTTATTCCATTTATAGAGTATAGGCAGAGTATATTTAGCATATTTCTTAAGGCCCTAAAATTTTTGAAATGATAAATGAGCATTGGCTTTATATAGAGTCACCAGCTGCATTATCTCCTAACAAGAGAGTCAGCTGTCCATTGAAACTTGAAGCCAGGCATTGACATCCCCTGTCTAGAGATGGTAGATCTAGATAGAATCTTCTTCCAAGAAAAGGTTGTTTCATCTACATTGAAAATGTATTGTTTAGCATAGCCATCCTTATCCATCATCTTAACTAGATATTATGGATAATTTGCTGCAACTTCTACATCAACATTTGCTGCTTTATCTTAAACTTTTAAGTTATGAAGATGGTTTCTTTCCCTAAGCCTCATGAATGAACCTCTGCTGCCCTCAAACTTTTCATCTACAGCTTCTTCATCTCTCTTAGACTTCATAAAATGAAGACAGTCAGGGTCTTGCTATGGACTAGACTTTGGCTTAAAGGAATGTTGTGGCTGGTTTGATCTTCTATCCAGACCACGAAAGTTTCTCCATATCGGAAATAAGACTGTTTCACTTTATTATCATTCATGTGTTTACTGGAGTAACACTTGTAATTTCCTTTAAGAACTTTTCTCGGGCATTCACAACTTGGCTAATTGTTTGTTACAAGAGCCCTAGCTTTCGGTCTATCAGCTTTCAACATACCCTCCTCTCAAAGCTTAATTTCCTAGCTTTGGATTTAAAGTGAGAGATATGAAATTCCTCCTTTCACTTGAACACTTAAAGACCATTTTAGGGTTATTAATTGGTCTGATCTCAATATTGTGTGTCTCAGGGAATAAAGAGCCCAAGGAGGGGAAAAAGATGATGAAACAAGGCATCAGTGGAGCTGTCAGAACACACACAGGATTTATCAATTAAGTTTTCCATCTTATATGGGCGCAGTTTGTGGTGCCCCCAAACAATTACAATAGTAACTTCAAATATCATTGATCACAGATCACCAGAACAGGCCTAATATTAATGAAAATGTTTTAAATATTGAGAGAATTACCAAAAATGTGATACAGAGACATTGAGCACATGCTGTTGAAAAAATGGCAGCAATAGACTTGCTTGCTTAAAGCAGAGTTGCCAGAAACCTTCAACCTGTAAAAAACAAACAAACAAAAACACAATATCTGCAAAACACAATTAAAGGAAAGCACAACAGAACAATATCTGCAAAGCACAATAAAGGAAAACACAATAAAACAAGGTATGCCTGTGTATTGTTAAATGTGTTAAATCCTGTAATGAGTCTGTACGCCTAGACGTAGATGAATCAGCCTCCTAAGAACCTTAACTTAAATTTAACGACCATGAACAGGTAGCCTCTGTAGCAATTTGAATCAGCACCAATGGCTAACCACCTTTGGTCTAGACATTAGCAGCCATCATCCACCTTGAAGGATTAGATGGTGGTCATCGGGGCAGGTACGGGGATGAGCTAAAGTTCTTATCTTCTGCAGGAAACCAGAGAAGGCTTAGGAAGCAATTACCTTGTGATTATTGAAACTTGCTCCCAATTCTGTGTATAGTAAGTCTTCTACCTAAGTTTCAATGGTTTTTTTGTCCTTTGTTTTCTCATTAACTTTACAATAATCAGACTACATGTTTTATGCAATTAATATTTTGGGCCCCATTTTGAGGATTATGTGGAGATTTAACTGTATCATGCTAGAAAGACTAGACCACTGAATTGAAGTACACTCTGTGCCTATGGTCACTAAGTAAACTTAACCATATGATTGTTACACTAGCCTTCCCATTGGCCTGTCTGCATCTGCTCTTGCCTCTCATTTTATTCTTAACAGAGCATTCAGCGTAATGCTATTA
Organism: Homo sapiens; assembly: GCF_000001405.40. Taxonomy (NCBI): domain Eukaryota; kingdom Metazoa; phylum Chordata; class Mammalia; order Primates; family Hominidae; genus Homo; species Homo sapiens. The sequence goes on from NC_000005.10 coordinate 63,884,324, forward strand.
AAATATAAATTCGATTTAATCTGCTTAAAACTCTCTAAAGGCATCTCATCTCACTCACACAATGATAATCACATAGTACCTGTAAGGTCTTCTGTGATGGTCACCTCCACCCCATCTCTGGGAACTTATTTCTTTTTTTTTTTTTTTTAGACACAGTCTCCCTCTGTTGCCCAGGTTAGAGTGCAGTGGCATGATCTCAACTCACTGCAACTTCTGCCCCCTGGATTCGAGTGATTCTCCTGCCTCAGCCTCCTCAGTAGCTGGGACTACAGGTGCCCACGACCATGCCTGGCTAACTTTTTGTATTTTTAGTAGAGACAGGGTTTCACCATGTTGCCTAGGCTGGTTTTGAACTCCTGAGCTCAGGCAATCCACCCACCTTGGCCTCCCAAAGTGCTGGGATTACAGGTGTGAGCCACCATGCCCGGTGGGGCCTTATTTCTTATTATTCTCTTCTTCATCACTTTGTAAACCCATGCTGGAATTCTCTGACCATGCCAGGCTGTCTCTGGCCTCAGGCTTGGGTATTTCCTTTTTCTTTTGCTTTAAATGCTTTCCCCCAGACATTTTATGAACAAGGCTCTCACTTCCTTTAGGGTTTATTCAAAAATATCTTGTCAGGGCAAACTTATCTGACTCACCTTCTATCAAAATTTTGACATTATACCCAACACAGCACATATCTTTCACATCCTGTTTTTTTTTCTCCTTAGCGCTTACCACCAGTGTATTATATATTTTATTTGTTTATATTGTTTACTCTTTGTCTTCCTCAGTATAAAATGTTTGAGAATATAGATTTGTGTCCATTTTGTTGAATGCTGTGTCCCTAGCTCATAGAAGAGTCCCTGGCACACAGTAGGCACTAAGTAAATATTTGTAGAATGAATGTATAGATGGGGAAATGCTCTACTCACTGGTGTGGTAGCCAAATCAGAAACACTGGCATCACTGGGAACTTGTTAGAAATGCAAACTGTTAAGCCTCACCTAGACCTACTGAATCAGAAACTCTGGGAGTGGCACCCAAAAATCAGTGTTTAAACAAGCCATTCAGGTGATCTGGATGAATATTAAAATTTAAGAACCATTGCTCTAGATTTCTGCCTCATCTGTGCTGCCTTTGGCACTGGATACACACACGGCCTCTCTTCAAATGAAGTAAGGCTGATGGCTTTTTCAATAGCTAGATATTTACCTGTATATTTGAACTATTTTTCTAATAATCAGTTTCTTGAGAACCAAATCAGTTGTTTTACTTTTATTTATAAAAGATGGAATGTATCTATTACTTTAGGATTCAACCAACTCAATAAAGTAATATATCTATAAAGAAAATGGAACAAACTCAGATGTCATTTGTAAGTGGTGAATCCTCAAGTTACCTACAACTTTCATCTGACTTGGCTACAAATCAGAGGTTTCCATGATGCCCTCCTTGGGTTTGAAAATTTGCTAAAATGTCTCACAGAATTCAGGAAGACACTTACTTACAGTTTCTGGGTTATTATAAAATGAAGGCTACGATGAAGGATACAGATGAACAGCCAGATGAAGAGGTACATAGAGTGAGGCTGAGAGGAGTCCCAGCCACAAGAGCTTTGTCCTGTGGAGTGGGTTGAGGTACGCTATCTTCTGAGCACATAGCGGTGTTCATCAACCCAGAAGCTCTCTGAACTCTGTCATTTTGAATATGTATGGAGACTTCATTACATAGGAATGATTAATTAAATTATTGGCCATTGGTGATCAACTTACCCTTCAACCCCTCCTCCCTGGAGGTCAGGGAGTGGTGCTGAAAGTTGCAAGCCTCTGATCATATAGTTGGTTCTTTTGGCAACTAGTCCCAATCCCAAGGCTATCCAGGAGCCCACAGTCATCAGGCAGCTCATCAGCACACAAAAAGACATTCCTCTGGAAATCCCAAGGGTTTTAAGAGTTATATGCCAGGAAAGAGGAGGACCAAATATATATTTATTGTTATAAATCACAATATCACAATTATATTTCAAAGAGATAGTTCCCAGGTCCCTGAGAAAGACACTCCTGGTTTGTAACAGTAGTAAGAGGATTATTGAGCTTTTGAAAGATTTACCTACATTTCAAAAAGATAGGGAAGAACTTACAAGTTTTCTAAAGTAAATGCTTGAAGAAAAGGAAGAAGTTTCTTCCCTAGTTTTCAACAGAAAGAATTAGACCTCTTATGTTTAATTTGCATTTGCTTTTACATGTGCAAGTATATCTGTGACCATTTCAAAAATCTCAGGTTTGAACAATATTAAATATATTACAGGAGATTTTATTAAGGCTATAAACTTAAAGTGTGTTTTCAAAAAAATCCTTTATCCCTGATAAATGAAAATAATATTTAATTCTATCAATCTCTGTAGTTAACAATAGTAATGGTGATGACAATGATGATGATGATGACTGCTGGTGTTTTTGATCTCTGTGTTAAGTGCTAGGCACAGTGTGATGTACTTTACATGTTTTCATTCTATAAGGTAGGACCTATTATTGTATTTACTCTATAGATGTATAATATTAGGAAATGTGCACAGAAAGAAGTAAGTTACTTGCCCTAAATCAACAAGTGGTTAAGTGTAACACTGAGGTAGTTTAAACTCCAGAGTCCATGCTTTTAACCCAAGTTCTGCTTCTTCTCACAGAATGTATGTGTCTTAACAGTAATAGAGATAATGGAGGTCATTGATTTTTAATAACGGCTCATGAGAACTTGGTTTGATCACCAATGGATAACAACAGTAGCAAAAACCTGATGATCTGGTGTAAAAAGTAAAGTAGAGATTCCTCTTCAAAGACTTTCCTCCCCATCTAATTAGGAATAAATAGTAACTTCTCTTAGAAGCAAATGTATTCAAAGACCTATGCTAACATTCTTAAATATCTGCTAGCCATAATAAAGAAATCAAGGTACTTTATGTTCTTAGCTCCCACAATTTAGCCTAAATATTTGAACTGGCATGCTTATACTGGTCCAAGCAAGCATTAGGTCATAACCTGTTTCTCTTCCTTATTTGCAGGTGTTTTTACCTTTCTGAGCATTCCACAAGTTACTTCTTCCTTCCTTTGTTCTCCTCTGCCTTTGCCTCTTTTAAAAAGTTCTAAGTTGCTAGCCAACTGGGACAAATACAGAATGTGAAGTCCCATTCCAGCCAATGGAAACCGGACACAGCAGTAGGGTGTACGCGTCAGGTTATGAATGACCCTGTCTCCTTTGTTTGGTGTACTCTCGTGGCAAAACTGCTGACGAGTGTACCCTTTCTGCAGAAAGTAGAAATGACCTTGCTGAGGAAATTAAATTTATGTTCAAGTGCTATTTCTTTATGGCACCAGGGAACAAGCATTTCTAAGATCTGGTCTAGCCCATACCCCAAGTCTTCAGTCAAGAAACACTACTGGCAGTGACAGCCAAGGACAAGGGAAGTCTACAAGGCTTAAGGAGCTGCTATTTTCCTTAGCTTAAGAGCTATACACTTATATGTTCTGAATGGAAACTAAGTAATTTAATTTTCACAACTAACTCACCCTTAGTGCAAAGTTTTATTTTTGAAAATCTAGATTAGAAAATGGAGTAAGGGGTAGAAATCTTGGGATTTATTGATAAGATTGTTGTGCTTGCCTCAGAGTCCCTAGGTAGAAAGTGCATTGCTGAATTGTGTTAAGAACGAAACAGAGAAAGCAATAGTAAAGCTCCTTATTGCTGACAGCCAAAAGCCTGCTGACAATGACAAACTATGGGAGAAGGAGTCTCGTGGCTCTTTTCTCTGGCAATATGATCAGCTACTGGATAAACAATATTAAAGGCAGAAGCCTACTTCCAGGGCTTCTCTAAGAGGACAGCTCGGGTCTCTGATTGTGTTTCCTTGCTCCTTTGGTGCCTCTGGTTAGATGGGGCTAGAGGCTGAACAGATTTAGTAGCCTTTTCTTTCGGAATACTGACAAAAGATATAATATTTAAGAGGTTCACATTCTTATAGCTGCTTTTTTGGAACAATGTCGATGTGAAAAGTTTTGGCAAGAGAAGGGCCTTTGCCTTTTCAGGAGAAGAATTCATATGGCTATTATTCATAATTTTAAGGGATAACAAGAATTTAAGAAGCACTTCCCCAGAGTCTCAACTGAATTTTTGAGCTCATCTCAAATAGTAATCAATCATTTTCCAGACTTAGTTTTTTCTGTTTCACTCAAGTCTCATGGATTTTATTTCCAAATGTGAGTTGGCCTGAAGAAATAGCCATACATTTGTGCTTACCTAGAACATGGCCCATTATACATTACCTTATGTGGGATGAAGAATGGTAGGCTGGGTTTCTAGGCTTTAGGGTCTTATAATATCTTTACTGCAGTAGGAAATATCTTTGCCTTTTAGTTTTTGGTTCAGGAAAGCTAGTGGGACTCTGATTTAGGCATATGATGTCAAGTTCTACAACCTATATACATATGCTTTATGTGAGTTCAACAGTAATTCAGGGACTTCAGCAGGCATTGTTATTATCTCCATTTGCTAACTGGAAAATTGAGGTTTATAGAATTAAGGTGACTCAGTGACTTGGGCAAGATTGGTCTGTAAGTAAGTAGCAGGAATGAGAATCCATGGACTTCCCTGCCTGTGCCGTTTCTGCATCACTGAACCAAAGTGCCTTAGGCCAGGGGTGCCCAACCCCCGGGGCTGAGGACTGGTACTGATCTGTGGCCTGTTAGGAACTGAGCTGCACAACAGGAGGTGAGTTGTGGGGGAGTGAGCATTACCACCCGAGCTCCTCCTGTCAGATCAGCAGCAGCATTAGAATCTCATAGGAGTGTGAACCCTATTATGAACAGTGCATGAGAGGGATCTAGGTTGCACACTCCTTATGACTGTAATGCCTGATGATCTGAGGTGGACTAGTTCCATCATGAAACCATCCCCACACACCCCATCTGTGGCAAAATTGTCTTTCACGAAACCGGTTCCTGGAGCCAAAAAGTTGGGGACCACTGCCTTAGACAGAGGACATTAGACCTGTTGGTGAATGGTTCTTTTGCCCATAGCTACCAATTTCTTAAGACTTCTTCTGCAGCAGGAAATATAGGATGCTTTTCAATCCCACTCAGTCAGGGCAGAGGTCAGAAGCCAAACTGCCAATCATAGTATAGCCAAATTTACATTGGGACATTATCATGAAATAGCATTGCTTTTTAAAATCTTTAACTGATCAACGAATTCAATTTGTTTTTGGTATAGCAGGAACACTCAGCACAAATTGGTCTACATGTATAAAGCATTATCTTTTTTATTTTATTTTATTTTATTTTGAGACGGAGTCTCTCTCTGTCGCCAGGCTGGAGTGCAGTGGCACAATCTCAGCTCACTGCAATCTCCACCTCCCCCAGGTTCAAGCGATTCTCCTGCCTCAGCCTCCCGAGTAGCTGGGACTACAGGTAAACGCCACCACACCCAGCTAATAATTTTTTGTATTTCTTATGCTCTAAAACAATGCCTTTAACAAATTTGATAAAATCAATTGTTTTTGTAATTTTCAATGGTCACAGAGACATGTTTTTTTATCCTTTGAGTACAAACTCCTAACTACAACAAAGAACTTATCAAGAAAAACATCCTCTTTAAGAAAACTGTCTTTTGATGTCCTCATCAACCTCCTGAATTATAAACGTACTTATCTCATGAATTGTCAGAAAAACATGATAAAGCTTCCACTGAGGATCTAATCCCAGTGTTATATTTTCCATTTCCAATGTACCTGTTTTTACTTATTTTTTGCCTATAAATGAGGCTTCTTTTCCTAATATGAAACTTAAGGAAAGTAAATCTGTAATAAGGCTTCACAAATATCACACACCTAAGATATCCAAGCTTCTATATACACAGTAAGTGCTGTATGTGATTTATTACAGAACTTGATAGTTACAAGGATAGAGTATATCTCCTTTCTTCGCTTGAATATATATAGGAATTTGGAATTGTTTTGCACTCACCTGTCTCTATTATCTCCCAAAGTCCTACCGAATGCCCAGTTAAATTTGAATTTCAGGTAAACAATGAATATTCTTTCAGTTGCAATGTGCCCCCAAATATTGTCTGGGATATATTTATACTTAACAAATTATCATGAGTTTAAGTTGAACTAGACATCTGTAGTTTTACTGGCTAAATCTGGATACTCCACAATTGAGTATGTTGCTGTCTCAACAGTTTCATAGTCTTTGGTCTGAACCTGCCTCTTAGCAGAAATAATGCAAACCGAATGCCTTTCCACTGCCGATTCTCCCTTCCTTTCCATTAAAGGGTACCGGTCAATGAGCTTTCCTCTCTACTGTTTCTCATAGAAGATTCGCTTAGTTCTTATAAGAGTAAAAAGGATAGCTAAAGTTTAAAACTTGAGTTTAAGGCCTAGTGCTGCCATTAATTTATTGTGAGACCTACAAAAAGTACTCTGCAAGTTCTTACTCACTTTATATTGACGAAAAATGGGTTGGGTTTGATCTGTGAACTCTTCCATTCCAAACATTTTTTGGATATGAGATGCATCTGTCCATTTCATAAGATTCAGAGAAAATCAAGTTTCTACAGTAATTACTTTAAAAAAAAAAAACCAAGGACCAGTTTGTATCACTTGTAAGGATACATAGGCATTTCATCATATTCCATAGAAACTATAAGGGCTCCAACTAGTCGAAAAGCGATAAAAATCAACAATAAGAAAGGACATAGTGAATTTGAGTAATAAAGTCAGCAAGCTGTAATATATTACATTTTAACAAATGTCAGGTGCAAAGAGAAATTGCAACCGATGCTTGTTAAAATGACAAGAAAAACTTTATTCAACGCTATTGAAATAGGGGAGCAAGATTGAACTCAACTCCACTGAAACAAAAAGCAGGAGAGTTTTTAAGCACTAGAATGGGCTAGTGGAAAAGGGATAGGGGATATTAGGCAGAAGGTTAGTCAATGTGATTAGGCCATCTGTGTTTATTAATAAGTATTGATCCAAAATAGGCTCCTACTCTCTCACAGGAATTGAATTTCTTAATGATTACATTTCAATGGGATAGCTTATATATATATATGTATACACACACATATATATATAGTATATATATATGCATATATATGAGAGTGAGAGTTTTGTATTTTTCAGATAATATACATTGTTTCCTTGTATTGATATAACATTTATAAGATTTATCTTGTAACAAAAAACTATGATATATTCTTCAAAATTTTAAACTTAAAGTTGTATTTCCTGATTATCACTCAAAGGAATTATAAATATACAATAAAAAGTGCAGTCAAAATATGCCAACTTAGCCATGCAAAAATTATCACATCATCTCTTAAAACTCCTGGATAAAAGAGAAAATCAAAACAAAAGTAATCTAGAAAGTAATTTTAAAAGATAATAGTTTAGACAATTACAGACACCCAAAAATGTTTTTATCACTTACAATAAAAACGGAAAATAAATAAGCTGAGTGTTCAAGAAAATAGGAAATGAAGAGCAAAATATATCAAAAGCAAGTAAGAAGACATACTTGAAGATAAAAGCTTAAAGTTTCAAAACTAAAAGGAAGTATAAATTAAACCAAAAGGAACTTATAAATAACTGATTTATAGCAAACTTAACAGCAAAACACCAAGAATAAAAAACATGCCAAAAGAGATGAATTACAGTATTATAACAAAGTGATATCAGCAATTCTATTGCAATGTAAACCAACATTTGAGTGCTTACTGTGTACTTACTATTCTAAGGCCTTAGCATATTACTCATTTAATTATCAGCAAAATAAATATTCTTGAAATAGATAACCGTTTACACATCAGAAAACTGCAGTAGTTACACAATATATTTCCATAATAAATTGGAAAATCTAAAGAATAATTTCTATCAAATTGTAATTTTTTAATATTCTCTAGTAAGGGATAAAATATTAATAGACCAATATCCACAGAAGAAATTTATATGGTAATTAAGCACCAACAATAATATTTTTAAATACCAGGTACTGTTAGTTTTGTATAAGTATTATCTAACTTTTAAAGAAAAAAGTTTTTCATTGTCGTTATGAAAGATAGAAAGTTTTTAACCTTCATTTTATATAGCTAATGAGTTCTTAATACCATAATCAATTAACCTAACACAAAAAAGAAAACAAGAACAGCTTTGAAAACAATTTTGAGAAAAAAAACAGTAGAGGCCTTACTACTTCTCAGTTCAAGACTTATTGTAAAGTCCCATGTAATAAAGAGTTCAACTCAATTTTTTTAATGTTTGACTGCTGACATTGTTTAAGCCTCTTTCTCTTCTGCTTCACGTCTGGGCAAGCTGATAAGAAACCAGCTCCCTTATTTGGAAGGCACCACAAGAAGATTCAAACCAGCAAGTCCTTGCTAATCCCATCCCCTAACTACAATAAAAGTCCCAAGCCGGTCTCTTTTCTTGCTCTATTGAGGCATTTTTAGACAATCTTAGGCCAGTCTTGTTCTCCTCAGAAAGCCTCCTTATGTAAGTAATAAACATATTTATACTCTTTGTGGTGTATGCGTGTGGTGTTATCATCTTGACATTTGAATCAAATCTTGAGTTGTGGTCCATCTATTTCAAATCAAGACACCTCAGTTTTGTCATAAGAACAGAAATAGATCAGAACAGACTTTTTTTTAATTTTAATTTTACTTGAAGTTCTGGTATACGTGTGCAGAACGTGCAGGTTTGTTACATAGGTATACATGTGCCATGGTGGTTTGCTGCACCTATCAACCCATCATCTAGGTTTTAAACTCTGTATGCATTAGGTATTTGTCCTAATGCCCTCCCTCCCCTTGGCCCCCATCCCCCAACAGGCACCGGTGTGTGATGTTCCCTTCCCTGTGTCCATGTGTTCTCATTGTTCAACTCCCACTTATGAGTGAGAACATGCAGTGTTTGGTTTTCTAGAGCAGACATTTTTAATGAATTTAGTTTTCTGGCAAAAACTTTCAAGGAAGTTCAGTGGTAAAATGATTGTCTTTTTAAAAAATTGTGTTGTGACCATTGATTATCCATCGGTCCTTAGACCATGAAGAAGTTTATGGAGACTTGATGGAGAAGATTACACATAACTTGGAGACACTAGACTTCACATATAATGTGGAAAATAAATGAGAGGTGTCTTTTTTCCCCTTTGAGGCAAGGAATGAGTTATTTCATGGATATATAGCTATTTACTAAAGTGTGTTATAGAATGCCACTTGAAAATAGATACTGAGTAGGCAACTACATTTATTACATGAATAGAGTGTCATGCCAATGTGAGAAAGAGAAAGACAGATTAAAAGAGAGAGAGAGAGAGAGAACCATGTGTTATAGATCTATACTTTTAGAAGAGTCTAGAGACCTATGTGGAAAGACATATACCAGGCTGTAAACACTAGTTACCTCAAAAGGTGGGAATAGGGGCTTAAGTGGGGAGATTACTTACTTTTATACATTTTTGTTTGTAATTTTAAAAAGTTTTTATAATATGCATATGATACATTTTTATTTTAAAATAACTAATAAAGAAAATTATTAAATGCTTTTGGCCAGCAAAAAAAAAGTTACAACTAAATGACTAATGAATTTCAAATATCTATTCAGAACTGTTCAAGAGACAAGAAGAAATGTCGGCATGCACATTCTAATCTCTCTATATATAATGGAAATTCATGCTTTAACTGAAAGACAAAAACAAGATTATTGGCCAGCATACTAACGGTCTTCAACAAATGTGAAATCAACCTGCTGCCCATTAAAATAAAAAAATCTAAGTTGCAAGTGACTTCCAAATATGTCCCAAGATGTTCTTTCTTGACTTCAAACTTTGTGCTCAATCTCCATCTTCACCCTCTAGGCTTTCCCTTTGTGGCAAAGGCATTAAGCAGTAACAGAGCCATTATTTTTGATGCTTAGGTCTAACACAATAATTTCAAATAGGAACTAACGTTAGTATAAGAGGTGGAAAGCCACTCTTCCCTGAAATCTCATTATCCAATTCCAGAGACAGAAACAACTACATTATCCCTCAAATGAAAGTAAAATCCCATAGATATACATCTCAGGTTAATCAGTGAAGACAACAGCTACCTTCTTCTTCCTAAGTGCTGAACAGGTTATATTTGGGTTCAGCTTCAGTTTTAATAGCTGAGATATGTTTGATATTGAATATTAGTACAGCAGTAAAAACAAGAGGGGGAGAGCTCACTCTGGCTAGAAGCAATCCATATATAGATGGTGATATCCTCAGCTCAGTATATGGCTGATTATCTATTACTAAAAGCTGGTCTAAAAATGCTTTCTTCTCCTTTCCAAATGCCTCCATCATAAAGCAATTCACTTCATATTACAAATGGGAAACATTTCAAGATGATAGTGAGTGCTTCATCTCTGTAAAGAAAAAGCACTTTCCACCTAGAAGCATCCTGTTCCCACCCTGGCAGCAAATGACCAGGTTATCAGGACAAAAAGGTCAGGGAAGAAAGAAAATGTTTTACATGCAATCCGTCACCAACTACAGTTTGACAGCAGGAGAACAGATGTGAAATGAGTTTCCATCTATTGGTATTCCCTGGGAATAACCCAGTGAAACTGAACTCAGAATGAATGAATAAGTAAAAACCCTGCTATGCCATTCCTCTGCAACAGTTCAGCTGTTTGGTGACATGATCATTAAGGATCCTTTCTTTAAAAGAAAAAAAGTTTTGTATTTTTTTTTCTAATAAGCCAAATTTCTTTCTCTGTGCTGTGGATCAAAGCTCAGGCTTTTATTCTGTTCTGCTGGCATTATTTCAAGGTTTGTAAAGATTAATATCCTAGATGGGACCATATTTTCAACATCTGATGAACTCATCACTGGGGAAAATCTGAATTCATGTTGGGAGTGCTGAAAGTAAGAACCAGGATACAATAACATTCTTTAAGTATAGATTTTCACTAAAGTAGAGTTAGATATGTTTTTAAAAAGTCTTGATTTGTTGTACTTAGTAAGTACTAAAAGAGAGTTTGTTTTCTCTAAGTCTTGAATCCAATGTAGCCAGTCAGACACCAACAGATGAGTATCCATTTAATAAGGTAATTTTTCTTAAAGTCTAACCCTTGGTTAATAACAGGCCTTCCTAAGAGTCAGTACACAATCACCTGGAACACAGAGGGAGCTGTCACTGAAAATTAAAGATAAATATAATCCTCCAACCAAAACTTCTAATCACTCCAGTGGCAATAATACTGGGAAAGTGTTCTCTCATCCCTTTGCCCCAGTGCTATATCTGTGTGTGCAACCATCTTCCATTAGAGCTCTTTCAGGCACCGAAGTCAGGGTCCCACAGCAAGGTGATTCCTGACAAGCTTTTGGCTGAGACACAGATCAGCTGTTATTTAAATAGTCAATATTTATTTCAATCTGTATTAGAAAAATAGATACAACTAGCACATGGTCATATCAATATTGTTGTTTAAGATAAACATTTATTTAAGTCACACAAGTGAATAAAGAAAAATATTCAGCAAATAATAATCCAGGTGGCTTTTAAGTATGGAATACATATAAGATGATATTCAGATGGCTCAGTTGAGAGAATCATGACCAAAGGTACACACACTCTGTACTTAGGCTACCAAATACCTCTGAACTTAAGAGTCAGTAATGTTGATACATCTTCTCTAACATCTCATAAAACTGTGATGGTTAATATTGAGTGTCAACTTGATTGTATTGAAGCATGCAAACTGTTGTTCCTGGCTGCATCTGTGAGGGTGTTGCCAAAGAAGATTAACATTGGAGTCAGTGGACTGGGAAAGGCAGATCCACCCTCAAGCTGGGTGGGCACCATCTAATCAGTGGCCCACGTGGCTAGAATAAAAGCAGGCAGAGGAACATGGAAAGACTAGACTAGCTGAGTCTTCCGGTCTTCATCTTTCTCCCACGCTGGATGCTTCCTGACGTCGAACATCAGACTCCAAGTTTTTCAGCTTTTGAACTCTTGGACTTAACACCAGCGGTTTGCCAGGGGCTCACGGCCCTTCAGCCACAGACTGAAGGCTGCACTTTTGAGGTTTTGGGACTCAGACTGGCTTCCTTGCTCCTCAGCTTGCAGATGGCCTTGTGATCGTGTAAGTCAATTCTCTTTAATAAATTCCCCTTCATATATACATCTATCCAATTACTCCTGTGCCTGTAGAGAACTCTGGCTAATACACTGTCCTTCATCATCTTGCCAACTTCAGTCTGGTAGACTGTGCTCCATACTTGATTCCGTGACTCGCTTACTATGTGACTTTTGGCAATTATTTAATTCCTCTGAAACACAATCATTTTATTAGGAAAACAATTCCAAAACCTACCTTATTGTCAGTGTGGTAAGGAGTAAATGCGACAGTGTAGGTGAAGGGTAAGTATAGTTCCTGCACATAGCAGGCATTCACAATCATTCAGTGTGTCGGGGATGAGGGGGTGTGGAAACCTTCATTTCTTATGCAGAGATAACACATCCCTGCTTCCGGTCCACTCCTTTGCAATTTGTTCAGAGGATGATAACTGAGATTATCTTTGTGCTATTACAAAAATTTTCTAATCAAAACCTTCACAGAAATTACTTCCACTTCTGGGAAAGTGGAATAGATGTATTTTTCTCTATTCCTACCCCTAAACACAACTACAATCTCTGGACATTATATATAAAAAATGATTTAAAAAATTTAAACAGTGGATAGAGACAGACTGGCTAGGGACCTCAAAATATGAAGAGCAACTTATGGTCCTTGGGTTTTTCTTTTCTTACATTAATATCTTAGACATAGAGTTTATGAAGCCAGCAACCTGGAAAGGCCAATGGGCATAGATAAAAACTGCCCCACATCCCCAAGTAAAAGTCTGCTCTCTCTAGGGAAAAATTCAGGAAAGAAGCATCCAAGAAGAGAAAAAAATTTTAGATAATAACTACTCAATTTAGCCAAACATTGGAAAGAAAAAACAAAGTATTCTGTCCCCTGCCCCACACCAGCAAAGACCATATGAGTAACCTAGACTTTCACCCACAGCAGCCTGAAATAATCTCCTCCAAGCCTCTTAGAGGTGGTATTAAAAAAAGTCCAAGTAGGAAAAAACATGACTTTATCCTTCCTAGGTGGTAACAAGACCCCCTCCTGATGCAAGGTCAGTGGTGACAATTTAGGGAGTATGGGCTTCTATCCCCCACCCATCAGTAATAAGGTGCTCCTCCCCCTCCTCCCTAAAGTGGTGTGAGAGGAGGCACAGTGGAGAGACAGAACTTTTACCAACCACCCAGCAGTAATTAGGCCACATTCCCACCCCAGCCCTTCATGGTATCAGTGGAGGGTGTGTAGGGAGAAGTTAACAAGGCACTCTTAACGCTCTCATCCAGTAAGGTCTAGGGAGAACCTGAAACTCCACCCACATCCAGCAGTAGTGATGAAAGGGACCACGTCCAAGTAGGAAATTTAGACTTCTGCCCCATAGGCAGCAATAAAATAGAGGTCCCTTTCCCCTGCCAGAGTGATGTCAAGAAAAGTCAACTAAAACAGAAGGTTTTAATATGTTTTAGAATCTAAAAACACAACACCCAAATGTTGAGGCTTTAATAGAAAACTACTTGTCATATCCAAATTATTCAAACTGAATGAAAAAGGCCATTAATAGGTAGACATACTGAGATAATAGATATGTTAGAATTATCTAACAAAGACTTTAAGCATTCATCATAAAAATGCTTCAAAGAGCCATTATAAGCACACTTAAAACAAATTAAAAATACAAGTCTCAGCATAGAAATAGAGGATGTAGAGAAGAACCAAACGAAAATTTTAGAAGTGAAAAAGACAATAGCCAAAAAAATAAAAAAAGAATAAGCTCAACAGCATGAGGGGGACACAGGAAAAAATCACTGGGCTAGAAGATATAACACAATTAACCAATTCGAACAACAGAAATACCAAATTGAAAAATAAAAGTGAACAAACCTTCAGGGACCTGTGGAAATGTAAGAAAATATCTAACATTCAAGTCATTGGATTACCAGATGGAGAGGAGAAAGAGAAAAAGGCTGAAGATATACTGAAGGAAATAATGGCTAATAACTCATACAATTTAGCAAAAGACATAAACTGACAGATCCAAGGAGCTAAGCAAACTTAGAATAAATTCAAATAGATCTCCAAGACATATAATAGTCAAATTTCTGAAAACCAAAGGCAAAGAAAATACTTCAAATAAAGAGAAAACAGAACATCGTATCAATAGAAAAAAATGCATTATAGCATATATGTCATAAGAAATCACAGAAGACAGAAAGAAGTGCCACTACATTTTAAAAGTGCTAAAAGAACAGACCTATCAACCCAGAATGTTATCTCAAGTGTAAATATTCAAAAAAGATGAAAGGAAAATCAAAACATTCTCAGATGAAAGAACTCTAAATGAATCCTTCACCAAAAGATCTACCCTTAAAGAATGGATAAGTGAAATTATCTAAACAGAGGGGAAACAATAAAAGAAGGAATCTTAGAACAGCAGGAAAGAAGAAGGAACACAGTAAGCAAGCAAAAAAAAATGTATATGGATAAATATAATAGATGACCTTTGGCATCTAAAGTTTTTTTAAGTGTATTTGATGGCTGAATCAAAAGTTATAACAATATCTGATATGGTTCTAAAGGTATATTTAGGAAATATTTAAGACAATTATAAAATGGCAAGTATAAAAGGGCCTAAAGGGGAGTAAAGTTTCTACACTAACTCAAGCTGGGAAAATGATACCGCTAGTATACTGTGATAGGTTATGTATATATAATACAGTACCTAGAGCAAACACTGAAAAAGCTATACAAAGAAATACACCAAAATCACTATAAATAAATCAAAGTGGAATTCTAAAGAAAAAAAATGTTTAAGTAACCCACAAAATGTCAGAAAAAAGAAAATGGAGAAACAAAAAAACAGAAAAAAAGTCAGAAAACAAAAAATTCCAATGATAGACTTAAGTCTAACATATTAATAATTACATTAGTGTAAATGGTTTAAATATAACGCATAAAAGGCAGAAATTGGTAGATTTTATAAAAATATGACTCAACTATATGCTGCTATAAGAAGCTCAGTTTAAATATATGACATGGGCAGAGTGGATGTAAAAGGATATATTACGCAAACATTAATCAAAAGAAAAGAGTGGCTACGTTAATATCAGTCAAAGTAGACTTCATTTCAGACCAAAAAAATTTACCAGATACAGAAAAGGATATTATATAAAAATAAAAGAGTTATCTGCCAAGAAGACATAGTAATCATAAATATGTATGCATCAAACAACAGAGATGCAAAATAAATGAAGCAAAAGTTATTGAAATTAAGGCAAAAACAAATTCATAATTATAATTGGAAACTTCAATAACCCTCTCTCAACAATTGATAGAACTAGACAGATAATCAGAAAGGATATATCAATAGAACTCAACCCACTAACCAACAAGATCTAATTAACATTTACAGAAGATTACACCGCAGAACAGCAGAGTATTCATTTTCTCCAACTGCCTACAGAACATGAAGCAAGATAAGCCATATCCTAAACGTTAAAATAGAACTTGGCTGGGCACAGTCGCTCACGCCTGTAGTCCCCGCAGTTTGGGAGGCTGAGGCGGGCGGATTACCTGGGGTCGGGAGTTCGAGACCAGCCTGACCAACATGGAGAAACCCCGTCTCTGCTAAAAATACAAAATTAGCCAGGCATGGTGGCATATGCTGTAATCTCAGCTACTTGAGAGGCTGAGGCAGGAGAATCTCTTGAACCTGGGAGGCAGAGGTTGCAGTGAGCCAAGATTGCACTATTGCACTCCAGCCTCGGCAACAAGAGTAAAACTCCATTTCAAAAAAAAAAAAAACTTAAACAGTTTGAAAGAATTGAAATAGAGTGTGTTCTCTGCCCACAATGGAATCAAATTAGAAATCAATCCCAGAAAGAAATAGAAAAATCTTCAAACATTTGGAAACTGAGTAATATATTTTTTCATAATCCGTGGGTCAAAGACAATTTCCAAGGGGAAATAAAAAACATACTGAACTGAATGAAAATAAAATCATGACATACCAAAATTTATGGAACACAACTAAAACAATGCTAAGAGGCAAACTTATGGCCCTAAATGCATATGGTACAAAATTGTAAATGTCTCAAACCATTAAACCAAATTCACTTCAAAGGAACCTAGAAAAAGAATAAGGACAACAACAAATTCCATCAAACAGAAAGAAGAACATAGTAAAAATAAAAGCAGAAATCAATTAAATAATGAAAACAGAAAAACATTTAAGAAAAACCAATGAAACAAAGGGCTGATGAGCCAATTATTTGAAAACATTAATGCAATTAATAAATCTCTAGCATTACTGATAAAGAAAGTACAGAAGACACAAATTATCACTATCAGGAATACAACGGGAAATCACTATAGACCCTGCAGACATCAAAAGAATAATAAGATAATATTATGAAAAAATCTACACTCATAAATTTGACAGATTACATAAAATGGACCAATTTACCCCAAAATTCAAACTACAATTCACCCAATATAAAATCAAGAATCGGGATAGCCCTATCATTATTAGGGAATTTGAATCCATAATTTAAAGATTCTTTTTAAAAAAGAGATCTCCCAGTCCAGATGGTTCTACCAAATGTTTAAAGAAGTAACATTAATCCTACACAATATTTTCCAGAAAATAGAAGAGGAGGGAACACCTCCCAATGTACTTTATAAAGCTTATGTTACTGTGCTCTCAAAATCAGAAAAAAGGAGGTCCAAATAAAACATTAATTAAGCCTTTATTAAGTACCAGGCTCTGTACTCAGTACAGATAACTCTATTGCGAGTGAGACAGTGGGGATTATGTTCAATATTTGTGGATAATGGTACAACTTTGAACTGGTTTCACTTCATAAAGGAATAATTAGAGAACTAAAAATTTCATGTGGCCCATGACCCTTCCCTTCCCTCAGGATCAGGCTTTAACTAGAATGTTAACTAAGAAGGGAAAATGCCCCACATGATGAAGGGCAATGATGAAAACCTCACAGCTAATACCAAATTGAATGTAGTTCCCCAATGTCAGGAATATGACAAGGATCCCTGCTATCATCATTTCTGGTCAACATTCTAGCTTAGAGAAATCAGGTAAGAAAATGAAATAAAAAGAGCCCAGAAGGAGATAAAACTGTCTTTCTCCCCATTTTAATCATCTATGCAGAAAATGTGATGGGATCCACAAATAAACTACTAGAAAAGCTAAATGAGTTTATCCAGGTTACAGGATACAAAATCAACACAGAAAAATAATTGTATTTTTATACACTAGCAAAGAACAATCAGACATGAAAACTTTAGAAAAAAATAACACTTAGAATGGCATTAGAAAATATTAAGTCCTTAGGGATTAATTTGATAATACGTGCCCAATATCTGAACACTAAAACTATAAAACATTACTGAGAGAAATTAAAGTAGATCTAAGTGAATGAAGAAATATATAGTTTTCATAAGTCAAAAGACTCCATATTTTTAAGACGTCAGTTATTCCCAAATTTATCTATATATATTCAATGCAATCCCAATCAAAACCACAGTGGGTTTCTTTTTTTAATTCACAGTTGATTCTAAGATTCATATGGAAATAGAAGGGCCTAGAATAGGACCTTTTTCCCCCCAGACAGAGTCTCCCTCTGTCACCCACTCTAGAGTGCAATGGCGCGATCTCGGCTCACTGCAACTTCCGCCTCCCAGGCTCAAGTGATTCTCATACCTCAGACCCCTGAGTAGCTGAGATTACAGGCATGTGCCACCACACCCAGTTAATTTATGTATTTTTAGTAGAGACAGGGTTTTACTATGTTGACAAAGCTAGTCTGGAACTCCTGGCCTCAAGTGATTTGCCTGCTTCAGCCTCCCAGACAACAATTTTTAAAAAAACAAAGTTGGTGCACTAACTTATGACCTGATTTTAAGACTTTTTACTCTTCAGTAATTAAGACATTGTGATATTGACATAAAAATAGACAAATAGGTCAATGAAGCATAATAAAGATGTGGAGGTCCTAAAACTCTCTAAACTGTTAGTGGGAACATAAAATGGTACAACTACTTTGGAAAGCAGTTGGTCAGTTTCTTAAAAAGTTAGTCATTCATCTAATATTCGATCTAGCCATTCCATTCCTAAAGAAATGAAAGTATGTATCCATACAAAGACTTGTACATGAATAGTCATGGCAGCTTTATTTGTAACAGCCAAAAACTAGAAACAACTCAAAGGAATGTGTAAACATTTTGTGGCATTTCCCTGCAAAGGGATACTAATTTGCAACAAAAAAGAATGAACTACATGTAACAATATGGATAAATCTAAAAATTGCTATGCTGAGTGAACACAGTAGACAAAAAAAGAATACAAACTGTACTATTCCATTAATAAAAAACTCTATAAAATGCAACTAATCTATAATAAGAGAAAGAAGATCATGGTTGCTTAGAGAGGGAGTAAAGAGAAGTGGAGAGGGAGAAAGAGGGGATAAAGGGGCATGAGCAAAATTTTTGTGCTGTTGTGTACATTTACTATCTTATCTCTGGTGATGGTTTCATGTGTGCACACATTTGTTGAACTTAGTAAATTGTACATTTTAATATATACTTTTTATCGTATGTCAGTTAGACTTCAATAAAGCTGTTTTTAAAAATACCGATCAAAAAATCCCAATATTATGGCCACACCTCAGACTAATTTAATTAGGATGTTTAGAAATGAGACTCATCCAAGCAGCCCCAAGCATTAATATTTTTTAAAGCTCCCTAAGCCATTCTAATGTGTGTCCAATGTTCAGAAACCCTACAATACCGTAAGGCTCTGGTAATTATTAAAGGGAGAATGTAATCTGCTGTGTACTATGTACTAGAGAATCCAAACAATGGGAAACTAAGAGGAATCCACATAATCACTTCAGGAAGAAATTAAATTGATCTTAGAAAGATAAGATGTAAAAAAAAAAATTGAGCCACTATGTGATCTACAACATTAGCTACTCTGGGTTTAACTAATCCTTTATTTGGAGAAATACACAGAAAACCTTCAGGCAAGACTCGAAAGGGGAGGATTCTATTGACTCTGTGACATGGTGATGGATGACTTAGGTTCTGTAACAAATTTTCCAACTGGGAAAACATACACATACATACACTTTGTCTTTATTTTAGGTTTTTCCATGGAACTCTTACAAGAAAGGAAAATCACGGTTTAAGATTAAAATAGTTCCTTCACATAACTCAAGTTGCCATGGCTTTTAATTTTTTAATTAAAAATTATTGCAAAAAGCATACATTTTTATATCTCTTCTTCTGCTCCTACAAACTTAGTCATACATTTGCGGAGGCCAACGCACATATACAGATATCTTCTATTAAAAAACCTTGGAATTTTGAAGGATGATAAATGCTCCTAAGACATCAAACAAGGTTAGTAGAGGCTTTCTGTCTGTGCTCTATGGGTGGGCTTCAGAAAATTACAGACAACTTTACATTGCATGCATATGTAAATTTTGCAAAATAAAGCAGACAGAGTTTTTATACAAAGGGCTTGCTGATCTAAAAGGATAAAGAACAATTACCTCAAAACAAACATATCTAAGCATATTTTTATCCACCAGACTATATTCTCCAATGGGAAAACAACTTCTCTAGAGTGTGTGGAGGTTTGGGTCTCAGGTCACCAGAGTGCTTTTATAGAAAATTGACTGCAAGGTTAACCAAACCTACTGAACAGCTCTTATTACCTACTTGTATGAGTTCCATTTAATATATTGGCAAATCTTTCTTCCTCAATGGCAAGGTATATTTGAGGGATGATGACAGATCATCAACTATTCTTACTGACTACCCCCTATGTATAGTTATCTGCTGGAGTACTTGGATGAAAAGCCAGGAGTCACAAAGTTGGAAATTTTCTGAGTAATTTTAAGGGACCAAGTGTTTTAAAAGCCTTTTTCAGTCATTTTCCCACAGGGCTAATTCCTCTCTCAAGCAAATGGAAAATATACTTCAATGAGAAGGATTATGAAGTGATTATAAAGTAGGTTGCTCTGATTCCACTGAGCTCAGGGGGCATCACAGACAAGTACATATAGAAGGAATGTGAGGGCTGGAAAAGACCACAGAGATGGTCAGCTAGTGAGAAAATGAAAACGTAAGGGTTTTGGAAGGAAGTTGAAAAAGCTAATCCCGCTTTGAAAGGAAAATATGAACATGTTATATTTTTAGAAATACTGTGCTTTCTGTCCATAAAATTCACAACAGGAGAAATTTACAAAATATTTTTGATCCCCAAGCAACATATATTATTTCTGTATAAGGAAACATCGAAGGTTGCAGTCAAGCTTGCATTTATTGTTCCAACTACAGGAGCCTCCATAACAAATAAATCTCTCTGCATCAACACTTTTATTCCATTTCCTTGTAAATTTCCTCTCTCTCTCTTCCTCAAGTTTCTCTGATTGACTCAGCAAACACAGTAATTGTCCCACCGCACACAAGCTTTTTCTGTTAGTTCCACCTAAGTCACAAGTATTAAGACAATTTATGCTTTTCTGTTATGAAATCTGCTCCAACATTCATGGTCTTTACTTCTATATTTATTTTGGTTCTTTTATCAAATCCCCACAGGACAATATTTTTTTAATTTTATTGAAGTTCCCTGTAATGAACACTAAACTCATGGAATTGTCTCACCAATATTGAGGTTCACAAAAGGAAAATCACATTAAATAGGAGTGGTGAATTTCTAGGCTTGTGACTTATGATGATGATAAGTTGAATAAAAGAAGATGATAACAGATAAACAGTATAGTTCTTAAAGGGTTACAATTATAAATGTGCTAGACAGATTTAAAGAATTACTTGGATCTGTGGTTTTAAGGCAAAGATTAAATGATTTCTTGAGAATCACAGGGGCAATGTCTTAGGATTTAGGTAGAAAGAATCAAGGGTGATCTTACAAAAACAGAACCAGAATATGTAAGCTAAAATAAACCATGGTCTAGGCCAAGTTAAAATGTATTGGGGGAAAAACGTCTTGAGCGAATGGGAGTAAGACCCATCAATTTAATTGTGTAACTCCCTTAGTCACTACAGATCATGATAGAATGCCTCTACTCAAAACAGTCATATTGAAAACTATTGTTTAAAACAATGATCAAGGACAGTGGTTCTCAAAGTGTGGCCCTGGGATAAGCAGCAACAGTTTCACCTTGACCCTTGCTTGAAATGCAAAGTCTCAGGCCCCACCATACATTCACTGAGTCAGAAATTCTGGGGGTATGTGTTACCAACTGGTGTTTCAATACACTCTCAAGGTGATTCTGATATTCCCTAAAGTTGAGAACCAATGGCCTACAAAGATCTAAATCACTTTTCTGGTTTTTAGTTGATTTCCTTATTGGTTTTAGCCTAAAGTGGGGATTGAAGCTATGTAGAGACTGCATTTTACAAATGACTGTGCTTGAATACTATATTCTTTCCCCATATTCCCCTTCTTATTATAAGAAATTATAGCTATTGAAACCATATTGTCCATTCAATCCTTGTTATTTCTTTCTTGAAAACTGAGGAGAATCTGTCATTTTTGTCTTTGCTAACACTGACTTAATTCAGGCCTTCACTAACTTATTCAAATGTTCATTCCCACCAACTGATCTAAGCCCTTTCCCTTTTGTTCCCTCCTACTCCCTGATGATCAGAACAATGTATCTAAACATAAATCTCATCATTGCTTGATCCTCCAAAGGCTTTCTCTTCCCTGTTCTCTTATCTACAGGACAACCCAAACTCCCTGGCCTGTTTTCTAAGGGCTTTTATTACCTAGCTGCATCCTAACTTTGGGGCTTAACTCTCACCTCACCTCATCAATTATCCTGTTCTTCAGGCACCGTCAACATCCTAGTTATTTTCAGAGCCTCTCAAAATCCCTTAGGTGCCAAAGCCTATGGTTACTCTCCCTGGCCTGGACAAGTAGAGTAATAACTAATACACACTCGTGAACTTAGGGTTCCACTAGATTCTCTCCACTTTGCAGTTCTCTCCTGTATCTCTCTCCTTGCATTCAGGAACTAAAGCTGGATCAGCTAATCAGATATACTGAACTGGGCCAAAGGGAAAAGGCCACAGGAAACCTCTCTAAATCATATGTATACTTTAAGAAAGACCTTCTGAAAGAACTGTTTCTGCTCCTCTGCTAATCCATCCATGACCCAGCAAATTAAAATTTCAAGTTCTTGAGGCAGAAAAGTTAGTAGTATAATAGCATGCTAGACAAGTGGGGAATATTTGAAGCTCCAAGCATAAACTTTAGGATAACATCATGTCAGCAGAATACAGATAACGCCTCCTGCATACAGGTGCATTGATCATGCTTTCTAAACTACCTGGAACAGTTCTAATTTCAGAATTTTTTTCACTGTCACCCTAAGTTACTAATTTTAACATTCCATCATATAAAACATATCCTAGGCCTCTTATGTCACCTAAAAAAAGTATCAAAATTTTCTGACCTATTGTTTTAATTTTCCATTAGGAAAATGTGGTATCTAAATCAAAGGTCATTTGCCCAACACATAAATAACTCTGACCCAAATCTGAGATGCACATAATGTCAGAATTAGACATCTTAATTTCTCCATTGAGAATAATCTCTCTGTGACATTTTTGTAATATAACCACAATTTGGACAGAATAACTCTTATTTGCATCTGACCAACCAATACTAAATATGCTGAAAGAGGGACTTTTTAATTTGCAACTAAAAAGAAACCAGTGCTAAATTCAATGATTAGTGTCACTTCCTTTCATTCTGCCTCATGTAAATATGGAAGTTGGCAAGGGTTTTATTTCCTGCTACAAGCATTTAGACTTTTCAATTTCACAGTGATTTTATTGACACAGTCTAATGCCAATTCTACCAGTTCAGAAGAGCCTAGTGAAATAACAGCGGTGTCTGAAAAACCACCATGATTGAAAGGATGTTTCCTCTGCCCACTAAGTTCCTTTCTTGCCTGGACAATTATTGTTGATATCCATCAAACCAATGATAATAGTTCTTGGGTCAATGGCCATTGTTTATTGTTGCTTTTGAGTCTAATTGGCCTTTTAATATAAAAGGAAGTTTTCTAAGAGGAAAATTAAAATGGTGACAGAGGAAGTATTGAAAAGAGATTATGAAGAATACATTCTCAGTATTCCTAAACCTATTTGAATTTCTGGGCCTGAATTTAGAGACCTTTTGATATAATTAGAGTTTAAAGTAATAGTCCAAATTAATAGTCTGGATTCTATGAACCAATCCAAATTAATAGTCTGGATTCTATGAACCAAGCATTTCTCATCAGAAGAAATCATAATTTCAGAAACTTAAAACATCACCGTCACTTGATTGGAAATCTACTATGTAAAGTGAAGAACTATGTCAAATACATTTCACAATTTGTGAAGATTTCTCACACATAAAAGCTTTTTTGTTGCCATTCCAGAGAGTATTAAAAACTTTTGAGTATGCATAAAGATCAAAAAGGAATACAGCTGTAACAGCTCTGTAATGCATGAAAAAGACTGCATATATCATGTGATTAACATATTTCTCCAACATAGGTGATAGAGATGATATAAAAAGAGGAGGTAGCTTTATACTTCTGAAGGCATAATGCTTGTGAAGCCTGTGGATCTACAATGCTTATGACCTTCATATACATGATATTATACCAAGACACCTAGCAACATCTTAGTCAAAGAAAAAAAGTCAGCAAGCAAAAAATAATAATAATAATTTTTAAATAACTCAAAACTTTACTGGCATTTCTCAAAAAATTATAGCTATGCGTTGATGAGGCCCACACTTTTTAAAACCCCTTTCCTTTTTTTCTTGCCCACCCATATCCCACAAATACCTCACTCAGCTTCTCCCTCATCCATCTCTCCTACTCTTCCCTAAATTAATTTTGCAAGTTATCACCCACACATTTATTCTTCTTCACTGCTTTTCTCCTGATTATGTCTGTATAAACAAAAACTCAGAAGATCTAATCTGGCAAGCCAAGAAAGACCCTTTTTGAAGAATAAGGTAAGAGAGGAGAACAAATCAGGCCAAGCCCAAATCTTCTTCGGAGGTTCAGAGATTTGTGTTACTCATTTCCCTTTCATATGGATCTAACAAATTATCCAAAATACCCTATCACTGCTTAATTTGACACTCTTCAGCTTAATTTCATCTGTAACAGAGGAAGTTTACAAAGTTACTAAAATGAGGCTACTTTTTGCTCATTTTGGGTTAAGAATATAGGTCAAACCACTTTTAGAAATGGAGGAAAAGGTATTTCCAATTTAAACAATCAGAAATGTTTTACAATTGAAAAATTTTAGGAAATTATTTGGCAGATATTTCCCTTTTTCCCTCAATGCCTTGCACATAATAGTTTCTCAATAAATATTTCTTGGTTAATTAAACTTTTAGAGTAGTTTTCTAATTTCTCTTAAGGATCCAATCTTGTTAAATTTATAAGATTTAATAAACTTGGAATTATTTATTAGCTCTACTTCCTTTCTATGGTACCTGGGTATTTCAAAGGAGATTTTCTGAGACATAAACATTGGCAATAGTATTTCTAGTGCATCCTTACCATAGGAAGTAGAGCAGCTATCCAACAAATCCATTAATGACACATCAGCTGAGAGTTGATGAGGTGCTGTCAGAACATCATGTTAGTAAACACATTCTATTCTACTCTGACTCTTCAGAGAACTCATCCATACTTTAACTTCTACTGCCCTTCTCAGGTGTGCCTGCTTTCCTGTTCCCACCCAGACACAAAATGACTTACTGATTTTCATTTGTCCAAAACTGAGTATATAGTATAGCACATAAAAGGAAAATCTCAAAGCTATAAAGCATTTTGTTACACAGTCATAAGGGGAATCCACTTCCATTATTCAGAGGAATACATTCAAGCTGTTAATGACTAATGCAACAAATTTCTTTTTAATGTGGAAAAGAGGAGGTGTTGACATCATATCTTGATGAAGTTTCAAGTTCTCTTTCTCCCCTTCCCTTTTCTGTAACTTGTTCCATGTCCCCCTCTTCATATTGATATGTACATTTGTTTCTAAAATATAATCAGACTGAATGTGAATGTCTGCTTTTTCTGTGTGTGGAGAGTAAGATGCACTATTCCCTGCCATTCCTTCACACAACAGGAATGTTCCAAATGACTCTTATGTGCCAGGATCTGTGTTGTAACCTAAGGATACATAAAAAAGTAACCAAAATTCATAGCACTTATAGTCTCATCGAAGAGTTAGACCAGAGGTTGACAAACCCTGTCCCATGGATTAAATCTGGCCCACCACCTCTTTTAGAAGTGAAATTTCATTAGAACACAGCCATATTTGTTTGCTTGTAATAGCAGGGTGGAACAGTTGCAATAGAGAGCGTATGACCCACAGTGCCTACAATTTCTACTCTGTGGCCCTTAACAGAAAATGTTTACCAACCTTTTAGATAGAGAATAAACAATATATGATTGCAAATAGTGAGGTAGGCACTATAAAGAAAACAAACAGTTATGATGAAAGACAGTAAGGGCTGAGTGGATACAGTGATCTCTCTCAAAGGGGGATGTTTAAGCTGGGATTAAATGGTGAAAGGACTGACAACATGAAACACAACAGGAAAGAGCTGATATTTAGGGACCATGATGCTTAAACAAGCAAGTGGCTCTGGAACAGATCTCCTGGCTTCCAATCTTGGTTCCAACAGTTACTAGAAAATGACCTCGGGTATCTCTTTGTGCTTTGGGTTTCTATCTATACAATGGACATAGCATATATGTCTATATTTCACCGTGAATAGTCTATATTTCACCGTGAACACTAAATGAATTAATATGTGTACTAAATGAACAGGGCCAGGTACAGAGTAAACATTCAATAAATGTTAGTTATTGATATTTTTGTTCATTGTGTTATTGCTATTACAATTATTTCAAAACCCTGTGACTAAAAATATCTCGGCACATTCAAGGAAGAAGTACAAGAAAAATATTACAGACTGAAGCAGACAAGAAAGAGAGTGACAAGAGATAGCATACATAAAATAGACATGGTAATGTCTATTTTTTAAAGCATAATGGGAAGTCATTGAAGGTATTTTGGTCTGATAGTGATTGATACTTATGGTTTACACAGAACTCCTGGTTGCTTGTGGAGAATACCCTGGGAAAAGACAGGAGTTGAAGTGGAAACACCAATTAGCAATCTACTCCAGTAGTCCATGAAGAAGTGATGATGTTCTAGGTTGGGAGCTGTGCAGATAGAGAAAACTGTGTGAATTCAAGGTGTTTTTAAGAGGGAGATTCAACAAAACTTGCCAATGGATTTAATATGGCAGGTGAGGTACAGTAAAGAATCAAGAATGCTCTGTCTTCTAGTAGAGCCATCAGGCGGATTACACTGTGAATGTGTACTGCTGTACTATTCAGTCCTATTAAGATAAGAAAGAATGGGAATAAAAGGCTATGGGGGTGAAGTCAAGTTTTCAGCTTTGGACATTTTAACTTTTGAGTTGCTTGTGAGGCATCCAAATGGAAACATTAACAACTTAATTGGATATATAAATCCTAGTGTCTTATCACAACAGGTTGACTTCATGCTCATAGTGTACATCTAATGTGGGATGGCAGGGGCTTTGTTCATTGTGTTCACTCAGAGTATTAGTCAGCTAAGGCTGCTGTAACAAAATACCATGGACTGAGTGGCTTAAACAACAGAAACTTATTTTCTCACAGTTCTGGAGGCTGAATGTTTGAGATCAGGGTGCCAGCAAGGTTGGATTCTGGTGAGGACTTCTTTCCTAGTTGCAGATAGCTGCCTTCTTAAGGTATCTTCACATGGTAGACAGAGAGAGAAAAAGTAAATTCTCTAGTGTCTCTTATAAAGACACTAATCTTTTCAGATAAGGACCCCACACTATAACCTCATTTAACTTTAATTACCTTCTTACTCCAAATACAGGTACATTGGAGGTTAGGGCTATGATATGTGAATTTTGTGGGGGACACATTTCAGTCCATAGTACTCAGGGGATGAGTCGATTAAAGCTCAATTTCAATGTGTGTTTGTACAATCATGCCAGCCATGAAAGAAGAATGTAGCCAATCCCACATTAGCATATAAAGCTTGTGCTAAGAAGTCATGGATGCCAATTCTACTCACACATCATTGGTCAAAATATATTACATAGTCATTCTTAATTTCATAATCAATGAGAAAATAAAATCCTATCATATGCCTGGAAGATGAAGAGAAGATTCTATGCACATCACTAGTGCATACCATGTTCTATCTTTCCGGACACTAATTATTTGGTTAACTCTTCTTCCCACTCATAAAATACATTTATCTTACCCCCAAAGGATACAGTCTCATAGTCCAGTACATTGCATGGCAGGTGCACCTGACAGCAATAACTTAACTTAAGGATAACTTGAGGATGACCCTATGGTCTAAGAAGAATGTGTTTTCAGAGTTCCAAGCTAAGGAATCCAAGAGTGGCCAACCCAGAGATTCACTTCTTATCTGTGAAGGAAATCTGAACTCCTGACTCATCCCTTGGAATGCAGGCCATACAGGGGATTTAGGCCCTTTCTAGGGGGGTAAATGGAGGTTGCTAGGTAGACATGCTAAGTGAAGGTGCTATACACACTGCATGCTTTTTACAACCAGTAGCGGTTCTCCTGCCCAGCCCACCATGCAGACCATCCCTGTATGTAAGCTCCCTTCATAAACCCTATGTGTTGCTTACTGTCTCTGGATCTCTTCTTTGGCCTCTTAAAGATAGTGCCATCCCTATTGGAGTCAGGAGGGGTCTGGCATGACATCTACAACTAGCACCAAACTCAAAATTTAAGATCTAGGGTGATGTCATTTTACATCAAGTCCATATATGACTCCTCTCGATCTGGAGACATATACTTAAAAGAAAATTTATCTGTCCCAATGCAATCAGTATAAGATGGTATAAAGGGGACAGAAAAAACTCAATAAGCATTTCTATACAGAGAAAAATTAGAAAACACACAGGAAATATAATGTACAAGTTATTATATATAATGTTCTTTTTAATGGATGTATAGTATTCCATGGTATAGAGTTATCATAATTTTTAATCATTCATATATAGATAATTTTTCAGTATTTTCTATTGCATGTAAAAATTGTTAAATATATTTTATAGTTATTTTTGTCCACATTCAAGTTTTTTTTTACTTTGATTTAAGCTTCAGGGGTGCAGGTTTGTTATATAGGTAATTTGCATATTGCAGGGGTTTGCTGTACAGATTATTTCATCACCCAGGTAATAATCATGGTACCCATTAGGTAGTTCTATGATCCTGTCCTTTCTCCCACGTTCCACCCTCAAGTAGGCCTCGATGTCTGTCATTTTCATTTTTGTGTCCATATATTCTCAATGCTTAGCTCCCACTTATAAATGAGAACATGTGGTGTTTGTTTTTTTTTTGTCCTTAGATTAGTTTACTAAAAATAATGGCCTCCAGCTCCAACCATGTTGCTCCCAAAATACATAATTTCATTCTTTTTTATGACTGCATATTACTCCATGGCATAAACGTACCACATTTTCTTTGTCTAATCTACCATTGACAGGCATTTAGGTTGATTCCATGTCTTTGCTATTGTGAATAGTGCTGCAATAAGCATACAAGTGCATGTGTCTTTATAGAAGAATGATTTATAGTCTTTTGAGTATATACCCAATAATGAGATTGCTGGGTTGAGTGGTAATTCTATTTTAAGATCTTTGAGAAATCACCCTACTGCTTTCTACAATGGCTGAAACAATTTACATTCCCACCAGCAGTGTATAAGCATTCACTTTTCTCCACAACCTTGCCAGCATCTTATTTTTTATAATAGCCATTCTGACCTTTGTGAGAGGGTATGTAATTGTGGTTTTGATTTGCATTTCTCTAATGATTAGCAAAGTTGAACACTTTCTCATATGTTTGTTGGTCATGTGTGTGTTCTGAGAAGAACTTTTAATTTTGTTTTAATCAAACTTTCTGCCTTTGGTAATGGATTTTTTTTCAGTGATTCATAGTCATTATGCTAACAGAAGTATTAATTGCATCATATAGAAAATGTAGAAGATTGGGCTGAATGTGTATTGATTTCCTATAACCTGAAACTTGTGCTTTAAAAAAGCTTTCATTTTCACACAGTATTTTGTACATAGTAAATTAGTATTTGTTTTTAATTTATAAACTTATTTTCTTGAGTAAAATATAAGTCATTTTAATTTGGTAATTTTGTTATTTAGCATATGATTTTAAAATATTAATTATTTCTAACCCACACTTCAAATATATTCACTAAAAATTTTGTGCAATATACAGAATTGTTAGAGGGCTGCTGGAATGATTGAAATGACCAAAGCCTCATGAATTTTAAGAAATTTCTAATTGTAAGCTCTTTGAAGTCAGGAGCTGTATACTATTCACTTTATTCACTTTTTTCTTTTTTGCCTTATTCTATTTTTAATTGTTAAAAACTTGGAAATTTTTTAAATTTATAAAGTTTCACATTATATATATGCATTACAGTTAATTTGATTCTTACAGAGTGGCTAATATATAGTCTTGCACATAACAAGAATCTAACAAATGTTTGTTAGGCTTAATTCTAAAGAAAGTTTAGAAAGATGGAGGTACAGTTCATTGGACAGGGCTAAGAGTAAGACATGAGATATATTCTGACAATGAGCATAAGTTTTATATAATCACTGGCAATCAGAGATTAAGGAGCTTGGGTTTTGTTTATGCCAACCACCCATCTCATACTTGAATCCCCTCTACAAAATCCCTACAATTCAATGCCCCTGTAGTAGGAAAACCCTTCACCTCTAGCCCATCCTTTCTATCTCCAGAAACCTGTTACCTGACAAGAAAACAGAAATGAAAATACTAGATTTTGAAGCACACAGGGAAAGTGTAAAGAAGAAGTAATTAATCAACACAAACCCAAAATTAGGAGTTAATATCTATGGATACAAATTTTGTGATGTATTTCACCTTTGTTTTTCCTCTTATTTTAAGAAAGAAATAGTGTGTTATAATTCAACTCATAGGTACAGCAAAGAAAACATAAGAAAATTTTAGAAGAATGTTCTCATATTATAAACTAAGGAAGATAAAATAATTTCAAGATTTAACACAATTAATACTAATACAATAAGAGAGTTGTTCCATACATAAAATGAATGTATGTTTCCATGGAAAGACAAATTCCTATTTATTATCAATTGTGTTCCAGTTTTTGTCATTATTCTAATTAAACCACTATCCATAAACAGAATGTTCAGTTTAATTTTCCAAAATGATACACAACCTAATAGAAAAACATTTGCCCGGTAAAAATTTTTCCCCTATTAGAGTACTATCAAATGTGAAGAAAAACCTACAGCATCACTAGTCTACATTGTATTTGTGTTCTCCTACTGCACTGACTTGCTTGTGGTGATACTAAGGAAACTACTGTTTAAGTAAGCCTGAGCTGAAGCTGTGCAAGATTTATTAAAACCTCTCGCAGTTGCTGTCTTTCTTACCTAAATTTAGGACCAGGTGCTGGGAGAAGCAGCGATACCATCTGAGAGCACGTCTCGCTGCAGGCTAGTATCCTAAAGTTGCCTGCAAAAGGGACTCCAGATGTCTTCTCAATGGAAAACAAAAAGGCAAATTTCATAAGCTTGAAAGTTAAATGGATGTTGCAGCTCAAAAATTTGAGAATTTGTCATCATTTCTCCCCTCATAAATCAGCATAGTAAGCAAACAAGTTATTCAGCATGGCCACTACTATTGACATATATTAATAAATAGTAATTTTCCAACATATACAAAGTTGTAACTCACCACTTCCCTCAGAAGTTTCATCATCTTGGTTTTGCCATCTGGGCATCTCAAACACATGCCTATATCCCTTTATGAGCAGCCAGACACCCACCTTAGGTGACAGAAAAGAGTGAGGAGCCAGGGGAATGGTATAGAGGAAGAAGTTGCATCTAAATGTTGGGGCAAATATTTTTGTTCCTCTAAAGACTGGGGCAAATGTTTTTGTTCATTTGCTAAAACAAGAAGACATTAATTGAATGTTCACCTTGTACCATGAAATCCATATATATTACTGTATTCAGTCTTCAAAATAATCAAGTAAAGCAGGAGTATTTTTAACCTCTTTTTTTTTTTAACAAAAAGAACCATGGTGATTAAAGAACAGGAATTAAAGCCAGGTTTTAATACTGATTCCAATCGCAGGCCTCTTGTTCCATTGTCTCCAGCCACTAAAGTCATAGCTGACAGTCTCAGAGGGAAAGATACAGATTAACCTTCCCAATAAGAGAGTAACTGGATGCAAAAATGAAGTTTCATGTATAGTGGCAAAAAGCTGAAATCTGGTAATGACAATTAATCAGGCTTCATGGTGAGTCCATGGTAAACAAATTGACTAAAGGTTTTGCATCTCCAAGAACTACTTCACTTTATGAAGACATCAGTTTTTAGAAAAGAGGATGCTAAACTGTATGCTCTCGATGATGGTAATAATAAATTATTCTCTTTATTCTCTTAGTTTACCCCCAATTGATATTCCCAGTTTCTTTCATGTTCTTAGATAATGGTAATGTTGATGTCAAGGGTATTACTGCACCCTTAGCCTAGCCACACACTTAAAAATGAATGTTTTTGCTAACAAGAGAATCAAGCAAGAGAGTGTAGATATATTGAGTGAACCTCTATCACCTGGACTAGATTACAAACATGTTTTCTATGGATGGTAATTGAAAGTACAACCCTGTTTCCTGATGAAGTTTCCAATGATGTTAATCTATAATGTGCAATTTTCCTTCCATTTGCTCTTTTAAAAAGTCTTGCCTATTAGCACTATATGACTTAATAAGAGTTTAATAGGTGATATGGTTTGGCTGTGGCTCCACTCTAATCTCATCTTGAATTGTAGCTCCCACAATTCCCATATGTTGTGGAAGGGACCCGGTGGGATGTAATTGAATAATGGGGGCGGGTCTTTCACACACTATTCTCATGATAGTGAGTAAGTCTCACGATATCTGATGGTTTTATAAAGGGGAATTTCCTTGCACAAGCTCTCTTCTCTTGTCTGCTTGCCATGTGAGATGTTCCTTTCACCTTCTGCCATGTGAGGCCTCCCCAGCCACATGGAACTGTGAGTCCATTAAACCTCTTTCTTTTGTAAATTGCCCAGTCTTGGGTATGTCTTTTTCAGGAGAATGAAAATGGGCTAATACAATAGGTTTTGATTTGAAATGAGAGCATTTCTTAAAGCATCTACAATAGCTGTGTTTAAAATAACTTCTGTATTGTGGGCAGCCATGGGAATGCATTGCTCAGATGTCCCTTCAGGAGAGCCTGTCATGAGGAATGTAGCTGAATGACAGCCAACAGCAACCACATCTTTGGATCCATTGCCACATTCATGCTAAAGTTCACTCCCCCAGGCTGTGCTCAGCCAATGACTAATAATCTAGTATCCTAAGCACATCAGGATACTAAAGCCAGACTTTTTCTGACCAACACATTTCTCTGCTATCTCTCCTCTGAGACTCCACTGGACATGAGTTTCTCAGAGCTGCACAGCAGACCAAGGCCCTTCCTCCCCCATCCTCCCCCTTCCTACTCTCCTTTCACTGGTGTCAGACCTGTTTACTAGTCTGAAGGCTCTCCACGGCCTCCTCCTGCTTCCTCTCCTCTCTGTCCTTCACAGATGTTTCTTTCAATAAATCTACTGTATGTCTAATGCATGTCTTTTTCTTGGAGGACCTAAATGAACACTTGAAACTATTAACAGTTTTGTATTTTTGTTTTTATCTAAATTTTCACTGATTTTAAGCTTTAAATTTGTTGCACTTGAAATTTACAAGTTTCACCTCTGACTTGGATGGTATACCAAGTTACTGAGACTTATGTTAGAATTCCTTCCCTATAAACTGACTACCCTTTAAAGATATTAGTCATCCAAGTGAGACAAGAAAGAATAAAAAGTTCTGTACAGTCAAACTCTTCCTTCCACTGGGAATTGATGGTTTTAGTTTTGATCTCCTGTTGGCATTTTTGCTTTGGCTTGCAGTTTCTTAAGCTCTTTTCCTGAATGGCTCTGTAAGCACCGAAGTGCATAATTTGTAGTAATTTAGACCTTGCTGTTGCAGATGAAAGAACTGGTAATAGAGGGACCAGTAGGAGATCAACCACAAAATACAGAAGAACAGGCCTTTAATGGTAGGCTCAGACATTCTTTTAAAAAACCGTTGGCCAGGACAAACTCTAAATGTGAGCTTAATATTACCCCTCACAAATAGAAATGTGAATATCCTTCAAAAACCCTAGCTGTAAGACTTTTAAAACTCTTGGACATCTTGATATTTACATATTAGTTAGGGTCATTTTCTGTGGGTATTTTTTTTCTATTTATTCTATGAATCTAAGATCTATAAATACAAGACATTTGGGGATGGAGGGTGATTCCATTTCCTGATTTAGTAAATATTTATCTATACCCATACATACTCAGCCCCAGACTATCACTGGTCTGCTTTCTACCATCATAGATTAGATTTCCCCTTTCTAGAATATTACATAAATGGATTATACAGTCTACAGTATTTTGTGTCTGTCTTCTTTGGTTTGGTTTAATGTTTTTGAGATTTATCCATGCTATAGCATACATCAGTAGTTTGCTCCTTTTAATTGCTGACTAGAACTTCATTCTATGAATATGCCGTAAATTGTTCATCCATTCACCTGCTGATGAACATCTGGCTATTATATTTTTGGCTATTAGGAATAATGCTGCTGTGTATGTGTGCAAGTCGTTATGAGAAATATGTTTTTATTTATCTTGAATAAATTTCTAGACGTAGAATTTCTGGGGCTTTTTATTTTATTAAACAATCAAGTAGACCAAATTATTTACTTTTGTAGGTGCCCTAGGTCATTCTACATTTATTTTCTCAGTTGTTAGAATAGTTCTTTGAAGTGTGTTTCCAGAGAAGCTATTTAGCATGGTAGGTCTTCTGAGGCCTTATATACCAGTGAATATATTTATTGTGCCATCAAATTTTAATTATTTTTGCTGAATATAAAATTCTAGATTCAAATTTTTCTTCAACATTTTAAAATTATTACTCTACGCTGTCTTGCCATCACTGTTGAGAAGTCAGCTGTTGCCCTAATTCTTATATTTTTTGAGGCGGTCTGCACTTTCCTTCTGGAAAGGTGTAGTATGTTCTTGTGTGTTTCTGTGTTCTTAAATTTTTCTACTTAAATGAATAGTGTGTTCAGCTGTAGCTTTTCCTTTATCTTTCCTGCTTTACACTCTTTGAGATATTTTCAATCAATCTTCTATTCTCTTAGCATTCCTTTAATATATTACATATCTAATTTCCCCCAAATGTTTTCTAAGAGTTCCTCAGTTATATTCATTCTGCTATTTATTATATCCTTTGCATTCTTTATTTTTACTATTATATTTGTCATTCCCCATGCTTCCTTTTGGCTCTTTCTTACAAATACATATTTCTGCTTTACTTTACCAATCTTCACTTTCATATCTTCCAGGATATTGACTACACTCATTATAAAACTTATAATTTATATAATCTTAAGCATGTATAATGCACACAGTCAATATCCTAGGAGACAGAAAAGCAGCTGTGTTGTTCAGATTTTTTTTTGTCCCATGTGTGCTAATTTTGAGAGTATTAGAAACTTTGATTAATAATATCTAACAAAGGGATGGTTCAAAGACCAGTCTTCTGTCATGTGCCATGCCTGGTGGGTTTTAGGGATGGCACATATTTCAGGGTTCACCCACGCCTCATTCTGGATTTGACCACTATGCCCTTACCAGACAAATCAGCTTTACATTATACATACATCCCTATATGTCTATCATGGCATCATCCTAGGTATTTTTTCTCTCTTCATTACAGCCACCTAACCTCAGGGGTATAAAGGGAAGGATGTGAGGAAGGAGAAAATTCTCAAGATCTGACCAATAACTTTGCCTTTGTTATTCGTTCTTTGCCCCAGCCAAGGTCTCTAATTCCTTCCTAATATTGCCAGTATAGTCCCTATGACATTGAGCTGGTGCTGCTGCTTTTCTGATTTGCAGTAATCATGGTGCAGACAAAGAAATCTGGAGGAAAAAAAATTGGCAAACCCAAAGCTTTCTCAAGAGAAATTTCTATTTCTCACAAACTTATCTGTAATGAGTTTAACTAATATTTACTAATCTCTAAGGGAGAAGTCACTCAGAGAAAAAAAAAGACATTGGGCTCCATCTGACCCAATTCGATTTAGAAGAGAATTGAAGACCATCTCCCCTGTGTCTGCCACCCACCCTCCCCCTTTTGAAATGCAGCAAGCTTGAAGCAGGATGATGACAGCAGTTTGTGGGAAGCGGCCAACTCTGAGAGTGGGGAAAAAAGATAAGATTACCTAGGAATGCTTAAGGTAAGGGACATTTATTTTCCTACTTAGAGACAAGGTAAGACTTCCAAAGAGGACACTGAAAATATCTGAAGGGATAGAGTGAGGACATAGGCAGGTGCATGAAGATAAAGAGGAAGCCCAGGCCATTGCTGGTATTTTGATGATTAAGAACTGGCACAAATTAGTACCACACTCACAGTGAAAAAGGCAGGGCAGTGAACAGGGAAATGAGCCTTCCTGCTGCACTCTGCAGGGCTGATGCAAGAGGCCTTATAAATCTGGCCTGGAAAAATTTGGCCGCCAGGCTGTGAATGACCTTGGTGTTACTCTCTCCGGAATACCAACATGGGGCCGGGGTTCGGGTACGTTGGATACTGTGGGGTTCCTGCAGGTATTCTTCAAAATTTCTCAACCAAATAATGATGCAGATATTATTTACTTGTTCATAAATTATTTTCTAGACTATGGTATTGAATCTGTTTGCCAGTTGGGAATTTGGGGTAGTCCAGCAATGGTTATTTCCCATTCTACCATGAGGGCTTCTGGCTGGAGCTTCAGGCTATATTAAAGCATAATTTCCTCTTCAATTTTAGTGAAAAGGCCTGGGTCTTTCATTCCAAAGTCATTTCTGACATCAGAATTATCTCACAAGTAAAGAAAGGGATGGTCGTATTAGAATTGCTTCCTCTGCTTTTTATTCTGCCACCCTCACCATCCATCTCAGAACTCAAGCTCTGAGCATATTTTAATTTCCTTCCGCATTGCCTATGGGCATGAAGCACCAAATCAGCCTGACTTATGGGAGGGGCATATCCTCTTTTCACTAAAGCCCAGCTCTCAGTCCTTCAGCAACTGAAAGTCAGTGGCAATGCAACCTTGGTGCTGCTGTGCTGCTATTGATCTCTTTGATGAAAAGTCACTACTTCCAGATCATATATCTCTTCTACTCTCTGGCATACCACATTAATTTACAGAATACAAATAAATTTTCACCCCACTGACAAAGAAATCTCCATGGAGAGGATCTAAACTGTTCTGAGAAATCCACATTCTGTTGGCCACAATGATGTTCCAATTTCACCACTAACCTGCTTTGCTTTCCTCTTTTCCTAGCTTTATTCTAGTCTTTAATTTTCATATACTTCACAACTTTCCAATCCTCTTCCCTGCAGTATAAGCATAAAAGTTTGCCTTGTCCATAGATGGTATAAGATGTGGACACTTGGATCAGACCTATTTCAGAATCTCCCCTTAACCTGATTATCACACACACACACCACCTTTACAAAGGCACTTCTTTGTTTTCACATGCCTAGATTAGACAGAAGAAAAGGTAAAAGTAACAAAACACAAAGTAAGAAAAGACTCTGAGTTGCAAATTTTGGAAATTAACCATAGGGTCTCTATGCTTCTGACCAAAATTCCTAAATGATAAACACCCTGTTAAGAAATGTTTTGTAAATTGCAGTTTTTCCAATAACTAAATATTCCTACATTCCTGACTACATGCTGGTAAGTTTTCTTTACAGTGTCTGAGGTGTGGGGAACAATGTGGAGAACGGTCTGGAGAAGAGAGGGAACACAATGTTATGGAGGAACAGAAATTTCAGTAGAGCCAGAACACAGAGTAGAAGGTGGAAGTGGTAAGAGGTGATGTTAGAGGGGAAAGGGGGGCCAAATTATGATAGACCTGAAAACCATTACAGAAAGCCTTCAGGCAATGTAAAACCTCTGAGGGATTGCCAGTATGAAAATATCAAGATAATTAATCTTTGAATTTGGGAAAGATCACTGTGCCTTAAGTACAGAGTCTAGACTGGAAAGGGGAAGAACTGTGGCTAGGAAGCCTATTAGGAGGCAATAAAAGGGGCCCACACAAGTGGTAATGGTGGCCTGAACTAAGTATTAACAGTGGAGATGGATAGAGGTGAGCTGGTTTGAGACAAATGAGCAGGAAAAATTGAAAGGACCTTGTTATTGTGTTTCGTGTAAAGAAAGGAAAAGAGAAAAATCGAGGAATTCGCCCAGTTTTCTGGCTCAGAAACTAGATAAATAATGGTCCCATTTATTAAGTTAAGGCACACAAAAAAGAAATAATTTAGATGAAAGCACTTGGCCAGTTGAGTTTGTGGCATTTTTTAGTTTAAAATGCCTTTAAAGAGCAACTACAAGGCCTGTGGCAAAGCTTTCCCTGTAGTGGAACAGGGAACCAACAGCATTCCCTGTAGTGGTCTTTCTTCCTGAATTGAAAAGGAGCATATTTGCTGGTCCCAGAACTTAAAGCACCCCACCACTGTCACCAGAAACCCACACTGTACAGAAATACTGGCTACTAAGAGGACCGCCACACTGCATAACTTCAGGAGGCATTACAGTCTTGTTGCCACAATGTACCTCTGTCTTTAAGAAAATTATTTTTAACGGAATCTCCAACTAGGAGACCTCTGAGGCCATGTGACAGAATTCGTGTAGTGTCACCCTGCTCTTGCTGCCCTCTTCTTTAAATCTTTGTGGTGGAGGAAATAAAACCAACCAGAAAATTCTTACTTGAATACTGGAAGGAAAAGCAAATATATTGGGTTTTTTTAAAAATAAAAATCGGGTTTTTTGGGATAAAATTTGTGAATCCCAAACACAAGTCTGGTTTTCAGCAGGATTTCTCCATTCTGTTAGGCCAGCTGTAGCCAAATTGGAATATTCCTTTAATTTATTTGTCAGACCTCCTTAAGGCTGCATTTAAAACAACCAGGCTCTGATTAGTGATACTTGAGATTTACGTATGGAAAGGAAATCAAAAGTCCAGGAATTAACTGGGAAAGGTATGACATTTATTGCCATATTGTAATTGAATAAGCAGCTACACTGTCACAAACTACAATGTTCTCAGAAAGAAATAATTTGCCATATGATTTATTCAGTATTTGGACCTTAAAATCATTAGTTATTAAAGCAGAAAGGGACTTGGAGATTATCTGACCCAATTTCCTCATCTGGCAAATAATGAAACTGAGGCCCAAATAGTCTAAATGTGTCATTGAGTAATGGCAATGCTTTGTTGAGAAACGACAATGTTGTGTGTGGGAGTAAAGTCACCTAACTCCAGGCCTGTGCTCTTACCACTGATCTACACGCTTCTCCATGAAATAACTCATAGGCTAATCTACAGAACCCACCACAAAGAACCTGGAAAGCTGACAGTACATCTACCTAATTTCCTATTGTATGTATGTTCCAAGTAATGCAATCATCAATTTAACAATATGAAAACAAGAGGTTCCTGCAACCACGAATTCATTGGCCAGCTGGCTTTGTCAGTATTATTAAGTGTCCAAAGTGCTTCACATGATACCAAAAAAAAAAGGCTTATTATCAACCCACTGTCAAAATCTAGCTTAGTGGTTCTCAGCCAAGGATAATTTTGCCCCTCGAAGACATTTCATAATTTCTAGAGACATTTTTAGTTGCCACAACTGGAGAGTTGCTACTGGCATCTTGTGAGTAGAGGCCAGGATGGTTTAAAACATGCTATAATGCCCATGGCAGCCCGCACGAAGAGAATTATCCAGACCAAAATAGTGATAGTGCTGAAGTAGACAAACTTTGTTTCTATTCATTTTGCAAGCAGTAACTCAAAACCCCTCCATGCCGGGTGCAGTAGCTTACACCTGTAATCCCAGCACTTTGGGAGGTCAACGCAGGAGGATTGCCTGAGCCCAAGAATCTGAGACCAGCCTGGGCAATATAGTGAGACCCTATCACTACAAAAAAATTTAAAAATTAGCTGGACATGGTGGTGCATGCCTGTAGTCCCCACTTACTAGGGAGGCTGAGGTAGGAGGATAACTTGCACCCAGGATATTGAGGCTACAGTGAGCCCTGATCACTGTACAGTGAGCCTGATCCCAGGCTACTGCACTCCAGCCCGGGAAACAGAGCGATACTCTGTCTCAAAACAAAAAAACAAAACAAAATAAAATCCCTCCATCACTGGATACAGGTAATGGT
The DNA here is from genome assembly GCF_000001405.40 of Homo sapiens. Classification (NCBI taxonomy): domain Eukaryota; kingdom Metazoa; phylum Chordata; class Mammalia; order Primates; family Hominidae; genus Homo; species Homo sapiens. The sequence goes on from NC_000005.10 coordinate 63,924,002, forward strand.
GCTGCTTCACAAGAACTGAAAAGGGAAGAGTGGTGGACAGCTGTCTGGGAACAGAACAAATGCATTCCATAAAGCCAGTGTAACAACTCAGCTGAGCAAACACCCTTAGGAGGAAGTATGGGGCATTGGCTGGAGTCCAAGGGACTGTGTTCATATTCTAGTTCTGTGTCCTTGGGAAGTAACTGGTTGTTGATTTTTTATTTCCTTTCCACACATAAATCTCAAATGTCACTAATCCGAGACTTGTTGTTTTAAATTGTTCCCAAGGACAAATATATCCCTAAGTCCTGGTTTTCTCAGATGTAAAATGAGGGTAAAAAATAGGACACTCTTCCCAGGGTGGTTGTGAAGATTACATGAGATGATGTATATAAAGTTCCTCATATGGTGCTTTCGTCTAGTAAATGCTTAATAAGTGGCTATTGCCACCAAATTTAGAGCTTGACAGAATTAGTTGTGGAATCTAATTTTCCCATTTTATAGATGACAAAACTAAGTCCCAGAGATTTGTAAATATTATTTCTTATATTCTCACTAGTGTTCCATTTGAGGCCTAGAGAGTAGACATTCAATAAATATTATGTTAGTTTTATTTGTCACGAAATTCTCAGCATCTCAGGAAAGAAATAATAAAAATGTGGTGATACGGTTTGGCTGTGTCCCCATCCAAATCTCAACTTGACTTATAGCTCTAAGAATTCTCACCTAATCCGGGAGGGACCCAGGTAAAGGTAATTGAATCATGGTGGCCAGTCTTTGCCATGCTATTCTCATGATTGTAAGTAAGTCTCATGAATCTGATGGGCTTATCAGGGGTTCCTGCTTTTGCTTCTTTCACATTTTCTCTTGTGGCCACCATGTAAGAAGTGCCTTTCACCTCCTGCCATGATTCTGAGGCTTCCCCAGCCATGTGGAAGTGTAAGTCCAATTAAACCTCTTTTTCTTCCCAGTCTCGGGTATGTCTTTATCAGCAGCATGAAAATGGACTAATACATGTGGGTAGTATTGTCCCCTTTCACAAATGGACAATTGAAGCCAAACATTATGTATCTTACCTGAGGCTACCTTTTGGCAAGTAAGAACCCTGATCTTCAATGTAATACTCAAGTGCTCATTTGCTAATTTCACAGCAAGGCAAGTTTCAGATCATTTCTACTTCCTTTTTTCAAGGGTTTGGCCCTAATTTTATCATTTAGATATATCCATGTTTCCCTCAAAGGTGGAAGTTTCCAAAGGGAAGATGATCAATCAATTGCTGACAGCATAAATCATCCATAGGCAGTGTCTGAGACAGGGCCCATTTCATTTTTCATCTTCTTGACAATAAAGCAAATTAATCCACCAGCACTAATAAACCTTGTATCAATTTATCTAAATTGGTCAAGAATAAGAAAATATCAGTGGTTACAATGCTAATGAGCAAACTTTTTTTTTTCTCATAAGAATTCTGGGCCAGTGGTGATTTTGAAAGGGAATCTGTGAAGGAGTTCAAGATCCTCTATACAGGTGATGTGTTCTGTGTAGTTTTCCAAACTCTCAGTGAGTCAAGAGTTTATCTGAAACCCACAGAGAGAAGGCCAGACCAAGTAATAAAGCCTTCAATCCTAAGAGCAAATACAAAGACTTCCTGTCCTGCTCTACCACAAGCATACAGAGAAATGTCAGAATTGGATAATACCAGGCAGTCATTAAGATATTAAAAAATAATAATAGTAAGGTAAAAGCAGCTACACATATAATTGTCAAGCATGTCCAGTGTTAAAATCCACTGATGTGGCCCAAATTTGTAAGTGTATTCCTTACTTCCCCATTTCATTAGTATTATCTTCCAGATGTTTTCAGATCTGGAATGTCTGGTGTCTGGGACACCAAGGGTCAGGTACAAGATCTCTTTGTCAAACTGCCATTTATGCTGCAGGCCCTGAGCCCTACCCCATCCAACCCCTCATCACTGGAGGAAAACACAAGGGTAGGTAAGGCCATAGCAGCAAATCACTTGGCAGGTTTCTTTGTTATTATGTTTTAAAGATTCCTGTTTCCTAATTCTAGATTCTGCTTTTCTTAATTTTTTTTTTAACTAGATGAATTTTTTGGAAATCAAAATGTTCTCTGTAGTTTGGAACTACAGCTTAGGTGGGAAATCATGATTAAAGCTTTTCCAATCCTAAGCAAAATAAATAAAAAAAGATGTACAGAATTTTATTGTAATGCAGGCTAGAACACACGCTCTACATTGCCATGCCATGTGAATTTCATGTCTTTGTGGTTTGGCTCTCTTGTCTAATTGTTTATTTGGTCCACTCGACCCTTTTGGATGTAGACAGGATGAATGTGTTATTATTTTTGGTATCCTAGTCATGTTTCCTACCCCATAGTAGAGCAGATGTTTGTGAGAACAAATAATGTGAATGGTCCAGAGAGAGAAAACCAAGTGAAAAAACCACTGCTAACTTTTCTTTATGCATGTGGGATGTAAAAACACCAACGTATGTTAATGTTGCTTTATTATTCAGAGGGAGTTGAAGTTCATTTTCTTTCCTTGAAGTCTTACTCTTTCTTTAGCCTTGTGGGTGTGCCTTTTGTGGGACCCTGTTAAAATTTAAAAGATAAAAACTTTAATCTTTCACAAAAAGTTGTGAAACAAAGAAATTGCATGATTAAATGAATCATTTATATTTAGTAGGACAATTAAAGATAAAAAAACTTTGATTTTTTATCTTTAATTGTCCTACTAAATATAAATGATTTATTTAAACAAATTAAAGTTTTTATCTTTAATTATCCTACTAAATATAATTCCCAATTGAATGTTTAACTCATAAATTCTGTATGATAATAAAGCCATTTAGCCATCTGTCAGTTAATTATCCATGGTTTGCCTCATCTTACAATTTTGAGGATCAAACAATTAAGACCTTAAAAGTCTGCCTGTTGGAAATTTTAATTCCAATTAAGAAAGTCTAAAGTTTCCAAGTACCTTACCTTCTGGTGATTCAAAATACTCAATTAAGAGTAATGAAACACATTTCTGTGTTAAATGACTATGTGAAAAGTCTAATTGTATACATAAATTGGTTAATATTTTAATAACTATGTTAACATATTAACTGTTTCCAAAATGAAGATTTTTAGTAAAAATTCTAGTCAACCCACATTTTGCACTAGCCCCAATAATTTTCTTTCTGAAGCCACACTTCTCCTTCCAACTAATCCAATGCCCCTAAATGATGTTGTTTCAATTAGTATACAATGCCAGATATTTAGAAGATTCTGCTTTATATAGTCCAAATCAAATCACATAAATCAGTTAAAATTAACTTAGTTACAGGCAATTTTATTGCATATAACAATTTTTTTTGTTATCTAATTATGGGAAATAATAAATAATTTTAATATTTTATATTTTGGCCATCACTTTTTTTTTAATTTGGGGGGTTTTATTTTATTTTATTTTATTTTTAAGGTTGTATAGACATAAAAATGATTCTTACAGTAAGCATTACAAATTTGTTTTTGCTATCTTATTTATTATTTTGTTTATACCCTTACTGTGTTCAAAGATACATTTGAGGCAGCTCTTAGAAATATATGTAATAGAATATAAGGAAAAATTTTTCAATACAGTAATTCAAGAGGACAGAAAAATAAAATCAAGAAAAGAAATAAAGTCACGAAGTAAAGTTAAAATAGAAACATCATTGCTCAGAGACACATCATGAACTAGGCTCTGACCTTTCTATTATCCAAAATGACAAGAAGAAAAATCATCACTTACATGACCCACAGTGTCCATAGATTAAAAAAACAACAACATAGTTGCTCAAACACACACAAGTATTCCTCAAATTAAGGCCTGAGAAACATTCTTCCCATTAGTCTGCATATAGAAGATTGTGTGAAATGTAAATAACAGCATTCTCAACAATATCTCAGTAGTAAATACAAAAATGAGAACATTCAGGATTGTTTCTACCAATGTCTCTCAATGAAGGTCAACAAAAACACAATGCAAAAACAAAATCAAAAACAAAAATCCAGTTGAATGAATGCACCCGAGAAAGAAAAACGCTAAAATGATGCAGTATAAGGCAGCAGCTCCCTCTTGTCTGACAACCCATTGAAGATATTTTAGAGGATCTGGAAGAGTACTTGGACTGTATATTCTCAGGTAATACTCCATAAACTTGTAATAAACACTGAGTACTAGTAAATTCAAAGTATTATTTTCAAGTAAAGAAATAAAAAATCACAGTTTCTCAACGGATACATATCTGGATTTTATTTAAAGTTCCTATTTATCTAAAGTGTTCCTAGATATAACTAATGTTCTTTTCAAGGGTTACCAGAGTAAAGTCCTTAAATGGGCCCCTCCACCACTCTCTGCCCACCTGCCCACCCCAGGTGTGTGAAATGACATGGTCTTTAATTCCTAACCTCTTCCCTTTCCCATCCTTCTCATTAAGAAGAAAGACAAGACTTCCTGAAGCATTAATACAAAACAAACAAAGTTCTCATTTTTTTATTTGGAATTAATCCAGAAATTAAGAGAAAAGCAACGCCATAGACTGAAGTGCCAACCTCTACTATTCCTCCATCTCCCGGCTGTTTGGTGCCAAACCTGTCATGTATCATAGTTCACAAAGCTCTGAGGCCAGATGGTAAGGGCATGGATTGCTTTGCAAATCACTAGAAAGCACTTGGAATTAGCCTGGTGTTCAATCAGCTATCCAACATTTGACCTTCTACAGACACAGACAGAAGCCCTGCTCATCAATAGCTCCTAAAATGGGCCACTATTATTTTTTTGGCCTTTCTCGCAGGCCTAAGTCTAGATCCTAATTTGACCCAGTACAAATAATTAGGCCTAAACTCACTGGGCAAGTACTACTTTCATAATGAACCAGAGGAAGAGTGCCAGTTTGTGCAGTCTGTTTTTGTAATCCACATCCTTTTCACTAAGTTCACTCTCTTTAAGCTCATAATAAACAGGCTCAATAGCCTAAGACTTTCTCTTTGAAAGGGGACTCCAATCGATACTAAAAATATTTTATAAAATTACCATTTATATCCAAGAAGGAATCTGTAAAGACCTCTAGGCTTAGAATAGTTCCAAAAGTCTATGCCCTCAACCCATCATCCTGGTATTTGGAGAAAAACCTTAGTGCTTTAGCACTAATGTATCCATTTTTTTAGCACTAAAAAAGACATGCTGGGATTTTGAAGTTAAATTCATAGAGAGACTATTAGTTTACAGAGGTGAGGCAAGAATTAAGAAAACTAACAAGGGATGCAGAAGCAGCCAGGGACCACACCAGCAAGAAACAGTTTCCACCTTCAGGCCTAAAAGAGACAAGGGGAGCAAAGCAGTGTAACCAAAGGCATGTCAGAATTGATTGGAGAGGCCGGGCACAGTGGCTCATGCTTGTAATCCCAGCACTTTGGGAGGCTGAGGTGGGCAGATTACGAAGTTAGGAGTTCAAGACCAGCCTGGCCAACATAGTGAAACCCCATCTCTATTAAAAATACAAAAAAAAATAAAAATTAAGCCAGGCATGGTGGTGCACACCTGTAGTCCCAGCTACTCAGGAGGCTGAGGCAGGAGAATCGATTGAACCTGGGAGGCGGAGGCTGGGGTAAGCCGAGATTGTGCCACTACACTCCAGCCGGGGCAACAGAGCAAGACGATGTCTCAAAAAAAGAAAAAAAAAAATTGACCGGAGTTGTAATCTGAAAAGGAAAAAGCCATTTCTGCAATTGCAACACAGAAGTCAAAGCGAAGTAGAGGAGACCAAGAAACACTAGGCCCTCTTTCTCCTCTGTGTTAGAAATAACCCTCAAAAGCCTAAAGAAATTGAACACTCGAAAAAAAGGATTCTTAGCAAAGCAATTTTACTTCTGCGCAGAGTGGTGTCTCCTTGGCCAGTCACCATGAGAGCACACCTGAACAAAGGGCACGAGAGCCTTTATTCCTGATGCAAGTCCTGCCCCTGTACCCTTTCCCCATTGGCTGGGGTCGGGTCGTACAATCTAAACTAATCCGCTTGGCTAAACATTTGATTTTTTTTTAGATAAGGTGGGCATGTAAAAGAAAGTGGAGAGGAAGGGGAAGGGGTGTCTGTTATGAGCTAGAAAGTTAGTCCTCTTTCCAAATAAGGAAAGGAATGTGAGCTGTTACTGATAATGCCTGGTATTGTAGTGTGCCTGAGCATCTAACAAAGTCAAAAAGGAAAAAAGGAGAAAAAGGAAAAGTTGGGGGGGTACTATTAATTAAAGAATAAAAGATTAATCAGATTATCTGAAGAGAAACCTCATCATATCCCACAGCTGGCTTTCTCATCTGCTGTGGAAAACTCCCACTGGCTGAACCTAAGTAGAAGTCAAGGCAAGGGAGCCTGCTGGCATAGCCCACAACAGAGAAGAAAGGAAAATGAGGCAGAGGGTGGAGAATAACGAGTGCAATGACCTTGCAAAACAATGGCATTTCTGGACCTTCCATGAAGTACTTGGAACTCACGTGAATGCAATTATTGTGGGATCTGAGGCACTCAGCTAACTGGTGCTGTGTAGAGGCAGGTCTCTCCATGAGAAGAGCTCATAATCATTCTTGGTTTCATCCTCTCAAGGGAAAAAAAATACCTTTATACTATCCAACAAATAGAACTTTTCACTTATGTTTTTAAAATATTTGCTGATTTCATAAAATTTTGCCTGATTAATGGCATTTCCAAAGGCAGCATTTTTATTTTTCTCCTACAATGACAGAGCATTATGTGGAGATAGTGGAGATGTGTGGCTATCCAGCAACGTGTCCCCCAACCCTATGCTTATGGAAGAGAAAGAGAGAAGCTTTTTTTTTTTTTTTGAGACAGGGTCTTTTTCTGTTGCCCAAGCTGGACTGCAAGTGGCATGATCATAGCTCACTGCTGCCGCAACCTTCTGGGCTCAAGCAATCCTCCCAACCTCAGCCTCTCTAGTAGCTGGGACTACAGGCACAGGACCACCACATCTGGCTAATTTTCATATTTTTTCTAGAGACAGGATTTCACCATGTTGCCCAGGCTGGGTGTATTTAATCCAGCTGTACCCTGATCTTCATTATAGACTCAAGTTTCAACTCCTTTATAATTGACAATGCACAGAGAATCTCATTTCCTAATTGTGGGAGAGAGAATATAACGACGATATAAGAGAATACAAAGACAAAGGAAAGAGAAGCTTGATGGCAAAGTGCTAGCAAGAACTCTTCACATATGGCTATTTTCACATCTTAAATGTAATTTGCACATATTCAACAAGTAAACGTTTCAAAAGGTAATTTAATCTTAAGCTAAACACCTCGTCTAAGTCAAAAGACAGACGTCAAGCTTTTTTTATGTTAAATGTAAAGCTTGGAAGAATACTTCCTAAAACACTCCCACGACACACATTTCTCATGAAAATTATACCTTGCAATGAAAATGGTGACATAGCCTAGCATGCATTCACTCAATACTGCTCCATACAGAGAAAAGGGAAACTAAGGTCATCAACAATAATTTAAGGTTTCTGAATTATTCCAGAAAGTTTGGCATTCCCAGACTGAAATTTTGACTGGAAGCTGGAATGTTCCACTTGCCAGCAGATGGCTTATTAGATGAGAATACCTTATGAGCTGTGTAAGAACCTCTTAACCCTGGGAAGTCCTGATGGATATAACTGCAGAAAACAAAATCATAATTACATGAGGCTTAGATTGCTCTGTAACATACAAGGTCCAGGTTATATTACAATCCTTTAATTTTCTTCAAATTTAATTAGAAGTAGCTCAAGTCCCTTCCCACTAATATTAGCAAGAACACTGATATTAGTCAGTTTGTGCTCTGCACACTCCTTAGAATCACTGAGATAGATAGATTGACAGATTAATAAAAACTGACCTTCCAGCTTTCCAGTTCTTGAGCAGGGAAGAGCCTCAGTCTGTGGCTGCCACCACTGCCATTTGCTCTTTGAGGCCATACCAAGCTACTGTGGAGCACTTGTCTCTCACCATCTGTCCAAGCTGTTGTGCCATCTGTGGTCTAAGCCAACAAGCACTATTTGTTGATGGGCAGCTCCCTAGCAGCTTCACTCATTTTTGGGCAAAGTCTGGCAATGGAGAGGCTTTTCCTGACCCTAAGGCCATAGCTCTGTCCTCACAGGCATCTCATCAGGCTCCTGACCCTCAGAGTTGCAGCGTCTAAGTGAGTTCAGACCTTTACCTTCCAAGAGACTTACAACCCTTTCCTCTTCCCACTCTTTGTGGATAAAACCAAGGTTACACATTTATTCTCCTTTCAACACTGTAAACTTGGATTGGCTCCTTCTTCTCTCTTTTGAGAAAATTAGATCTCATTGCTTCAATTGCCTTAAATGGGCACGCAAATACACACACACACACACACACACACACACACACACTAGGCACACAAGACTTTTTAATGGCTTTTTCTTTTAAAAGGTTACATGTCAGCCTGCCAATATCATCAAAGTGGAAAACATCTATGAGTAAGAAAACCTCAGCCTAGACACCCTCTGAGAGAGGAAAAATCCCATTTCCTTCCTTCCCAATGAGGTTGCTATAAAGGAAAATGAAGCACATAATTTCTCAGAAGATGACCCTCATATACAAAATGTGTAACAAATTTATTTGTTCGTGTATTAATTCAAAAAGTATTTTTGAGCTCCAGCTGTCTCAAGCAGCTCAAATGTCACTGGAGATAGAATAATGAGGAAAAATGTATTGTCCCAGCTCTTATGGCATTCAGTCTGGCCATCATCAACAAAAAGTGATCAACAGACTACAATGGTGCAAACCACTGCCCTTACCCCTGGAGAAACAGGAAAAGCACAAGACTCTATCCCTGTATTTGAAGGGTATTTAGACATAGCTAAGTACATAAAATGATTAAACACCATGCCTCATGCTAAAAACCAAAAGTACAAATGATAGTTTCCATACACAATCCTAAAAATGACTGAACAACTGCCAGATTTAGGGAAAACAGAAATAACTTCAGGAGGTGTAAGCACTTTAGCCAGGAGCCAAGGAAGGTAAAGGACACTGACAAATGGTAAAGAGGAAAAAGAAAATTCCCAAGTCACATTAGAAAGTGAGAAAATGTTTGAAATCTTAAGGAACTCAAATAACTTTTAAGAGGACCAAAAATGCTTAGTTTAGTTTTATTTTTAAGTGAATGTTTAAAATAATGCAGACTCTCAAATCTTATCTATCATTTTACTCATAAAGCTGCTGTCAGCTGTGTTTTCAACTAGGAATTATCTGATAGACTCAAAACCCATAAAACTGTCCCTCAATCTTCTTTTTCTCATAAAAAGTATTTCTCTCTGTTACTTCTTCCTCTAGCCTCCTTTATGATGGTGAAGAATTAGGTAGAGAAACTTTCCTTTCAGAAACAGAAACTTTGTGTAATCTCAATGGAAAAGTAAATCACATGATCTTTCTGAAAGATTATTTAGCAATAAGCATCAAAAGTCTAAAACTGAGCAAACCATCTGGCCTCATAAATCTACTTTCTAGGAATTTATCTAGAGACATAATCATAAATTTGCACAAAGAGTTTGATGAAAGATGTTTATTGTAATGATATTTGTAGTAGTAAAATAAATTTAAGGCAACTTAGCTACATAAATTATAGTATAGGCATATAAAAGAATTATCTTGAAAATATTTAAGGATATTAAAAAATGCTCAGAAGGTGAAAAAAATCATGTCACGAACTATGAACATATGATCCCAAGTATCTAAAGCATTACATAGGAGAAAAAGATATTAAAATGTTAAGACCTGTTATCTCTGGGTGGTAGTATTATGAGTGAAATGTACCCTTTCCTTATGCTTTCTGGTATTTCAAATTTTTACAATAGAGATACACACATACTCACACACACTCACACTCACACATACACACACATATAAACAGCTAGTTCTAAAAGGGATTAATCTCATGTTTTTTAACTGTCAGGGGAGTATTTTGAGACCCTGAACCCAGTTTCTAGTCAATTTTGGATTTATTAATATTAACCATCTTCCATAACCCTCCTGCTTCATTATCCATTTACCAAATGGCATGGAAAGTAAGCCATGTACACTAAGCCTGCCTAAGATGAGAAGAAAACACTGGCGTCCGCCAGTAACATTGTTTTTCTTTCATGTCCACTAAGCCTTACTCAGCCACTAACCACCATGCCTTGGGCAGGGAAGCCCATTTAGAATTTTACACTCATTTTTAAATCCTAGATTTTCTCTACACCACTAAAGAAAGTATGGCTTCCAACTTCAGGAGCCCATGCCCATCACTCAAACCAAAATCAGCTGGGGGGGACTGACTACCCTGCTCTCCTGCTATGCTGTGACTCTGAGGCAGCCTCTCTAACCTGACTCTGAGGCCAGAGTGAACCAGGTTGGGAGCACAACTTAGAGAACTGGCTCCATTATAGCAAGATTATCCTGGAAGGGAAGCTTCCCATTCCACATGAGGATACAGAGAGCCACAAAGAGCATCGCTCTCACACTCACAACAGCAACAAAAAAGTAAGGTAAGCTATAATCATACGTCCTTTCTTAAATCCATAAAAAAGCTGAAGTCATAAGGCAGTCAACTAGCCTAAAATCTAAGGAGAGACAAACGCATGTAAGGGAAGGAGAGAACATAAATATTTTATTACGCAGAGCAGATGCAGCTGAACACCTATATGAAGAAGTAGCTAGAATAGTTAATAAATCGTTGGAGGCAGATTGTGACCTGGCAAGAGTATGTAGAACCCATGGAGGCCACAAATTTGGGGGAATTTTGTACCATATTGCAGGCTTTTTATACACAGACCTCAACAAACACTTATTAAAAAAAAATTAACGCCTGTAATCCCAGCACTTTGGGAGGCTGAGGCGTGCGGATCATGAGGTCAGGAGTTCAAGGCCAGCCTGACCAATATGGTGAACTCCTGTCTCTACTAAAAATACAAAAATTAGCCAGGCATGGTGGTGCGCGCCTGTAGTCCCAGCTACTCCAGAGGCTGAGGCAGGAGAATTGCTTGAATCCAGGAGGCAGAGGTTGCAGTGAACTGGGATCACACCACTGCGCTACAGCCTGGGCAACAGAGCAAGACTCCATCTCAAAAAAGAAAAAAAAATTTAGTGAGACTACAGAGAAAGCATCCCTACAGTGCAAGCACTGAATATTGCCTTCACAGTTACAAGAGGGAAGACAGATCCTCCCCATGGAAGAGCACAGTGGGAACACCCAAAGCTGAGAGTTAAGCAGCACTGAAACAAATCCATTGGCAAATGAACCCCACCCTAAACACAAGGTATTGCATTGCTAAAGGCATTTGAAGCCTGTAGTGCATAAAGAATATCTATAGCAACAACAAACCTCAAACTAACTTAATTTGTAATCAGATTAATGGAAATCCTCCTGCTAAAGCCACAGCAGAAGGAAAATCATCATCATTTCCAGACACAAAAACTGTTGACCACAATCACTACTGTCCTACACAAGGTGTCCAGTTTTCAGAAAAAAAAAAAAAAAAAAAAAAAAAAACCCTATGAGGCATGTGAGAAGACAAAAAAAAAAAATCATGCTGACAAGAGACAAAGCTATCAACAGAACCAGACTCAGACTCAGACACAGATGCTGGAATTATCATATAGGGAATTTAAAATAACTCAGATGTTAAATATTCTAAAACAGGGTTTCTCAACAATATTGACATTTTGCGAGGGATTATTCTATGTTGTAGGGGCTGTTCCGTGCATTGTAGGATGTTTGGCAGAATCCCTAGCCTACACCCATTAGATGCCAATAGCTTTCTCTAATCATGACAACCAAAAATGACCCTGACATTGGCAAATGTCTGCAGGGAGACACTCCCAGTTGAGAACCACTGATCCAATGGAAAATGCAGACAACATGCAATCAAATTTCAGCAGTGAGAGGGAAACAATCAAATGGAAATGCAAGAAATAAAAGACACAGTTACATAAATGCAAATGCAATAAATGAGATCATGAGTAGATGCTACATAGGTGATACTATAACTTATAAACTTGAAGACATGTCAAGAGAAATTAACCATACTGAAACACAAAGAGGAAAAAAGTGGGAAGTAAAAAGCCATAGAACCCATGAGCTGTGAAACAATATCAAATATTTTAACATATGTATATTTGAAATCTAGCAAAAAATAGAGAAGAGAAAGCAGAAGAAATATTTGAGGAAATAATGGCCAAGAATATTCCCAAATTAATGACAGAAAAGCCCACACATGCAAGAAACAAAAAAACACAAAGCAGGATAAATGAAGAAGGAGGAGGAGGGGGTAGAATGTAGAAGAGGAGAAGGTGGGGAGAAAACAGAGAGAGTAGGAGGAAGCAGAGAAGGAGAAGAAGGAATAAAGGGAGGAAAAATAAACCTAAACATATCATATATAAACTGCTAAAATGCAAAGAAAAAATCTTCAAGGTGGTGATAAGAAAAAAACACACTGAGAAACAAAGATGAAAATCACAACAGACTTTTGCCAGAAGACAATAAAGTGACATACCAAAAGAAAAAACTTTCAAACAGAATTCTATATCCAGCAAAAATAAATTTCAAAAATAAAAGAGAAATAAAACTTTCTCAGAAAAACAAAACCAGAAATAATTCATTGTCAGAAGACTTAGAAGAATTGTTAAAAGAAGTTTCTCAGGCAGAAGAAATATAATGCTTGACAGAAACTTGGATCCACACAAAAAATAAAAGATGCTAGTAATGGACTAAGGTATCAAAAATTTACTTGTTCTTATTTTTAATTATTATAAAAGGTAACTGATTATCTAAAGCAAAGATATTAACAATGTATTATGTGTTTATAGTATATGCAAAAGTAAAATTATGAAAAAATGGCATGAAGGATGAGAGGAAAGAATTGGAAATAAATTGTTGTAAGGTTCTCCCACTAAACATAAAGCAGAATATTATTTAAAGGTAAGATGTGATCAGCTAGATTTGCATATTGTAAATCCCAGACACTCACTAAAACACTTTAACAAGGAGTTATAAGTAATAACTGAATAGTGAAGGTAAACTATAATCATTAATGAAAAGCTCAATTAACCCTAGAGAAAAGAGAAAAAAAGGGAAAAAAGAAACAAAGTACAGATGGAAAAAATAGAAAACAGCTAGAGAGGCAGTAAATTTTAATTCAACTATTTCAAGAAACACAAAAATATAAGTGGTCTAAAAACATTAATTAAAAGAAAACTTTAGATTGTGTATAAAATAAGATCTAACAGCTGTGTACAATAAACCTATTTTAAATGTAAAGGTATATAAATGGATGGAAAATGATGCATATTACTATCACTAGCCAAAATAAAGCTTTAATAGTTTTATTAATATGAGAAAAAATATTCTTACAGAACAAAGATTATGATCAGGAGTAAAGACAGATATCTAATAAAAATGGAAACTTTAATTCTTAAAAAAGATACAGCAATCCTAATTGTGTAAGCATATAACACAGAACTTCAAATTACATAAAGCAAAAAGTGACAGAACTGACAAATCAACAATTATAGCTGGAAAGTTCAAGATCACTCTTTCAGTAATTGATAGAATAGGAAGTAAGAAAATCAGTAAGGATACGCAAGACCTGAACAACACTATCAAATAACTCAACACGATTGACATTTATAGAATATTTCACTGTACAACAGCAACATACACATTCTTTTTAAGTGCATATGAAACAGCCACCACGATATTAAGGGCAATACATCAAATGTCAACAGATTCAACAGAATGGAAATAGTAAAAAATATGTTCTCAGAATATAATGAAATTAAATTAGAAATCAATAACAGAAAAATATCTAAAAAGTCTTCAGATAGTGGGAAACTAAACAAGATACTTATAAAGACCAATGGGTAGAACAAAACAAAAATCAAAGGAAATTTACAAATACTTTTAACTGAATGAAATAAAGTAAAACACATCAAAAATTGTGGGATAAAATTCTACCAGTCTCTAGAGGGAAATGTATGGCATTATATGTTTATATTAGAAGAGAATAGTATCAAATCAGTAATCTAAGCTATTTCCTTAAGAAACTAGAAAAATAAGAGCAAATAACACAAATCAAGCAGAAAGAAGGAAACAATAAAGAACAGAAATTAATGAAGGTAGAAAAACAAATCTATAGGGAAAAATCAATTAAAGCAGAACTAATTATTTTAAAAGATCCATAAAATTGGTATACCTCTAACCAGATTGATGAAGAAAAAGAAGAAACAAATTGCTAATATTAGGAATGAAACAGGGTACATCAGTACAGACCCCACAGACATGAAAAAGGGAAATAATGAAATACTATGAACACTATTACCATAAATGAAGCAACCTAGTTGATACTAACCAATTTGTGGAAAGACACAAGCTGCCAAAAAAAAATAAAGATAACCTGAATAGGTCAGTAGCCATTAAATAAATTGGAGTCATTGTTAAAAACCTTTCAACAAAGAAAAACCTAGGCCCAGATGATTTCCCTGGTGAGTTCCTCCAAACGTTTAAGTATAATAAAAATATTAATACAAATTCTATACAATCTCTTCCAGAAAATATTTAAAAAAGAAACTTTTCAATTTATTTTATGAAGATAGTATTATCTTGATACTAAAACCAAAGACTGTAAAAATGAAAACTATAGACCTACATCTTTCATAAACATAAGTGCAAAATCCTCAATAAATATATTAAAAAATTGAATCAAGAAATGTATAAAAAGAACAACTCTCTATGACCAAGTAATACAAAGCTGTTTCAATGTTTGAAAAATCAAATAACGTAATTTGCCATATTATTAGATTAAAAAGGAAAAGCTACGTGAGCATCTCAATAGATGCAGGAAAAAAATGACAAATTTTGACACCAATTGTGAAAACGTGCTTCACATCATTAATCATCAGGAAAATGAAATTAAAACCACTGTAAGATACAATTTCACATTTACTAGAATGGTAAACAAACAAACAAAAATTCTGACTACACTAAGTGGTAGCGGGCTATGCAGAAACTGGAGCTCTAATATACTGCTGATAAGAAGTCAAATGTAAAACCACTTTTTAAAAACAGTTTGGCAATTTCTTATAATAAACTTCAACATACACTTATCAAATGAACTAGCAATCCCCAATCTAGGGCATTTACCCAAGAGACATGAAAATTTACGTTCAAGCAAGAATCTGTAAATAAATATTTATATCAGTTCTATCCTCAACTGTAACAAACTAGAAACGATTTAGATGTTCCTTCACCAGTGAATGGGGTGGCAAACTGGTTCACACATTCAGTGGAATGCTACCAAGTAATATAAAGAAACATCTTATTGATTCCTGAAACAGCATGAATGCATTTCACATAAATTTTGCTAACTGAAGAAAGCCACACCCCCATCACATGCCCTGCGAGGGGGACCAGAAAACTTTTTCCATTTCAATAAAATATATCATCATCATATGCATCCTGACCTACACCAAGAAGGGCACAACAACACTTTTTTGGTATTCTGGCCAAAAATTGATAACTTTGATTTAATCATGAAAATATATGAGACGAATTCAAATTGAGGGACATTTAACAAAATAACTGATTGTTCTTTGAAAGTGTCATGGTCATAAACTACATAGAAAGACTGAGAAAGTGTCACAAATGAAGGAGACTCAGGAGAAATGACAGCTAACTGCAAATGGAATTCTGGATTAGATTCTGTAACAGACAGCAGTGAAAATACTGATGAAATGGGAATAAAGTCTGTAGTTTAATTAATAGTATTGTATCAGTGTTAATTTCTTTATTTTGTTATTATGTTTATATGAGATGCTAACTTTAGAGAATGCTGGGTGAAAGTTTTAAAAGAATTCTCTGTACTATTTTTGCAACTTTTCCATAAGTCGAGTTATTTAGGAATATATATATATTGAGGTGACTGCAAAAGTAATTGTGGTTTTTGCATTGTTGGAATTTGCCATTTGATATTGGAATATATTCTTAAATAAATGTGGTTAGGTTATACATCATTTTAATGGGCATTTCTCACTTTATTTTTTTTTTTGCTAATGATTTATTACTTGCTATTTATTTTATGTTTATTTTAGACTATGGAAATGATGTTAGACAAAAAGTAAATTTGAGCAATTTTCTTATTTGAGTTCAAATGTGTTGTAAAGCAGCAGAAACAATTCACTACATCAACAACACATCCGGCCCAGGAACTGCTAATGAATGTACCTTGCACTGGTGGTTCAAGAAGTTTTGCAAGGGAGACAAGAGCCTTGAAGATGAGGAGCATAGTGGCTGGCCATCAGAAGTTGACAATGACCAATTGACAGCAATCATCAAAGCTGATCCTCTTACAACTACATGAGAAGTTGCCATAGAATTCAAAGTTGACCATTTTACGGTCGTTCAGCATGAAGCAAACTGAAAAGGTGAAAAAGCTAGATAAGTTGGTGCCTCATGACCTGACCAAAAATAAAAAAAATCACCGTTTTGAAGTGTCATCTTCTCTTACTCTACACAACAACAACAAACCATTTCTCTATTGGATTGTGACATACGACAAGAAGTGGATTTTATACGAGAACCAGTGATGACCAGCCCAGTGGTTGGACAGAGAAGAAGATCCAAAACACTTCCCAAAGCCAAACTTGGACCAAAAAAGGTGATGGTCACTGTTTAGTGGTCTGCAGCTGGTCTGACCCCCTATAGCTTTCAGAATCCCAGAAAAACCATTATATCTAAGAAGTATGCTCAGCAAATTGATGAAATGAACCAAAAACTGCAACTGGCACTGGTCAACAGAAAGGGCTGAATTCTTCTCCATGACAACACCTGAACGCATGTCACACCATCAATGCTTCAAAAGTTGAACAGATTGGGCTACAAAGCTTTGCCTCATCTGCCATGTTCACCTGACCTCTCACCAACTGACTACCATTTCTTCACTTCTTCAGACATCTCAACAACTTTTTGCAGGGAAAATGCCTCCACAAGCAGCCGGATGCAGAAAATGTTTTCTAAGAGTCTGCTGAATCCCGAAGCATGAATTTTACGCTACAGGAATAAACAAACTTGTTTCTCATTGGCAAAAATGTCTTCATTGTAATGGTTCCTGCTTTGATTAATAAAGATGTGTTTGACCGGGTGCAGTGGCTTACGCCTGTAATCCTAGCACTTTGGGAGGCCAAGGTGGGTGGACTGCCTGAGCTCAGGAGTTCGAAACCAGCCTGGGCTACAGGGTGAAACCCTGTCTCTACTAAAATACAAAAGAAATTAGCTGGGCATGGTGGTGTGTGCCTGTAGTCCCAGCTACTTGGGAGGCTGAGGCAGGAGAATTGCTCGATCCCAGGAGGCGGAGGTCGGAGTGAGCCGAGATTGCACCACTGCACTCCAGCCTGGGCAGCAGAGCAAGACTCTGTCTCTATAAAAAATAAAATAAAATAATAATAATAATAAAATAAAGATGTGTTTGAGCATAGTTATAATGATTTAAAATTCACATTCCAAAACTGCAATTATTTTTGCACCAATCCAATAAAACTGGGAAGTAAATGATCCCGGGTAGCCTAGTCCCCAAATCCAGAAAGGAGACAGCATCTTCGGTCACAGTAGCCACATTTGCACCTTGCTGGATAACCTTGTTCATGAAAAGTGAAGGCCAAGTTAAAGAAGGATATCAAATACCATATAGTGAATTCTGTGACTCAGATCACCAAACTAAGGCGTAGGGAATGAGGGACAATAAGCGCATGAGTGATCTGTGATTTAACCTAGTAACACAAAATGTATGCCAATGAGTTGACTCCCCAGATAGCTTTAAAATATCCCTTTACTGATCTCCTGATGCCAATTGTAACACCTATATTACTTATATTGGGTGATTTATTTTCATTTCATTCCATCTAATTGTTTCCTGTGTATATACTCTTGTCTCTACAGCTAACATATTACGGATATAAAATTTTAATGAATTATAGCTGCATATAAAATGTATTCCACATGGCAAAAATATTTGCTTCATATTCTCAAAGACTAAAACAAACACAGTATGAATTTTCTATAGAAATAAGAGATTTCGAATGGGAGTTCACTCATGATTTGGCTCTCTGTTTGTCTGTTGTTGGTGTATAAGAATGCTTGTGATTTTTGTACATTGATTTTGTATCCTGAGACTTTGCTGAAGTTGCTTATCAGCTTAAGGAGATTTTGGGCTGAGACAATGGGGTTTTCTAGATATACAATCATGTCATCTGCAAACAGGGACAATTTGACTTCCTCTTTTCCTAATTGAATACCCTTTATTTCCTTCTCCTGCCTAATTGCCCTGGCCAGAACTTCCAACACTATGTTGAATAGGAGTGGTGAGAGAGGGCATCCCTGTCTTGTGCCAGTTTTCAAAGGGAATGCTTCCAGTTTTTGCCCATTCAGTATGATATTGGCTGTGGGTTTGTCATATATAGCTCTTATTATTTTGAAATACGTCCCATCAATACCTAATTTATTGAGAGTTTTTAGCATGAAGGGTTGTTGCTTCAAAGAGAATAAAATACCTAGGAATCCAACTTACAAGGGATGTGAAGGACCTCTTCAAGGAGAACTACAAACCACTGCTCAACAAAATAAAAGAGGATACAAACAAATGGAAGAACATTCCATGCTCATGGGTAGGAAGACTCAATATTGTGAAAATGGCCATACTGCCCAAGGTAATTTACAGACTCAATGCCATCCCCATCAAGCTACCAATGACTTTCTTCACAGAATTGGAAAAAACTACTTTAAAGTTCATATGGAACCAAAAAAGAGCCCGCATCACCAAGTCAATCCTAAGCCAAAAGAACAAAGCTGGAGGCATCACACTACCTGACTTCAAACTTTGCTACAAGGCTACAGTAACCAAAACAGCATGGTACTGGTACCAAAACAGAGATATAGATCAATGGAACAGAACAGAGCCCTCAGAAATAACGCTGCATACCTACAACTGTCTGATCTTTGACAAACCTGAGAAAAACAAGAAATGGGGAAAGGATTCCCTATTTAATAAATGGTTCTGGGAAAACTGGCTAGCCATATGTAGAAAGCTGAAACTGGATCCCTTCCTTACACCTTATACAAAAATCAATTCAAGATGGATTAAAGATTTAAACGTTAGACCTAAAACCATAAAAACCCTAGAAGAAAACCTAGGCATTACCATTCAGGACATAGGCATGGGCAAGGACTTCATGTCCAAAACACCAAAAGCAATGGCAACAAAAGACAAAATTGACAAATGGGATCTAATTAAACTCAAGAGCTTCTGCACAGCAAAAGAAACTACCATCAGAGTGAACAGGCAACCTACAAAATGGGAGAAAATTTTCGCAACCTACTCATCTGACAAAGGGCTAATATCCAGAATCTACAATGAACTCAAACAAATTTACAAGAAAAAAACAAACAACCCCATCAAAAAGTGGGCGAAGGACATGAACAGACACTTCTCAAAAGAAGACATTTATGCAGCCAAAAAACACATGAAAAAATGCTCATCATCACTGGCCATCAGAGAAATGCAAATCAAAACCACAATAAGATACCATCTCACACCAGTTAGAATGGCAATCATTAAAAAGTCAGGAAACAACAGGTGCTGGAGAGGATGTGGAGAAATAGGAACACTTTTACATTGTTGGTGGGACTGTAAACTAGTTCAACCATTGTGGAAGTCAGTGTGGCGATTCCTCAGAGATCTAGAACTAGAAATACCATTTGACCCAGCCATCCCATTACTGGGTATATACCCAAATGACTATAAATCATGCTGCTATAAAGACACAAACACACGTATGTTTATTGCGGCATTATTCACAATAGCAAAGACTTGGAACCAACCCAAATGTCCAACAATGATAGACTGGATTAAGAAAATGTGGCACATATACACCATGGAATACTATCCAGCCATAAAAAATGATGAGTTCATGTCCTTTGTAGGGACATGGATGAAATTGGAAATCATCATTCTCAGTAAACTATCGCAAGAACAAAAAACCAAACACCGCATATTCTCACTCATAGGTGGGAATTGAACAATGAGATCACATGGACACAGGAAGGGGAACATCACACTCTGGAGACTGTGGTGGGGTGGGGGGAGGGGGGAGGGATAGCATTGGGAGATATACCTAGTGCTGGATGACGAGTTAGTGGGTGCAGCGCACCAGCATGGCACATGTATACATATGTAACTAACCTGCACAAGGTGCACATGTACCCTAAAACTTAAAGTATAATAAAAAAAAAAAAGAAAAAAAAAAAAAAGATTTTGCTTGGACTACTTTAAAAAAAAAAAGAAAAAAAAAAGAAATAAGAGATTTCATACCACCAATTAAATTTTTCATTTTTTATCACACAAATTATTAAAATTCATGGGATAATTTTTTAAAAAATAAAGAAATCATCCTTAGTTCACCACAGAGAAATAATAACTGCTAATGTGTAGGTAGATATTCAAGACTTCTTCTTTATAGATGGACAAATATTTATTTATATATGAATGTTTTGTAACTTGCTTTTCTCATTAACAATATATTTCTACTATAATTCAAAGACAAAACATATGTGCTTATATATCATTTTGAAATACTAGGTAGTATTCCATTGTATGGATTGCCACAATAAATTCACCCAAACCCCTAATATTGAACATTTGACCTCTACCTAGTTTTTCTGTATTAAAAGTGCTGTAATGAATATCTTCATAAATGCATCATTGATAGATGACAGTAATCATCATTCTGTGATTACTTTCACAGAATTTTCTGAAAGTAAAATTAGTAAACCAAAGATATCAAACATTTGAAAGTCCATGATACATGACAACAATTTTCTTTAAGGAAACTTTGTACCAATTTACATTTATCAACTGTATGTATGAGTGTTCATTGTTATAACACTTTCACTAATAAAGAATATTATCATTCTTTTTTAAAAATCTTATCAGCCTTTTATGTTGTGGTTTCATTCACTGATACATTTTTCAGATTCATAAGGAGGACTAAAATTCCACTTCCACTTTGTCCACTTCTTACCCAAGACTTCAGTTTGGATGTGGAAGGCTATTTTTTAGAGCTGCTGTTCAGGTTTTTCACAGATCCCCTTCTTTCCACCTCCACTGCTGAAATAATAATCTTTGATGATCTTTTGTTTTTCTTCAGTTTTCCTATTTCTTAGCAATTTTGAAAGGTGAGAATTAAATGTGGGAACTCAAATGACCATTGGAAACTCAAAAATTATTTTACAGTTTTAAGGTTTTCCATTTTAATTTTAATCAATTAGATTTTAGGCATGATAGAAACCATCTATAAAAACTTTTAACAGCAAATGTATTCATGTGGATAAAAGAGAAAGGGCAGTTACACTTCAACAAAATTAACATCATCATCATACAGTTCTTGCTCTAATCATCTAACTCCTTTAAAACTAGTCTTCAAACTTTTTCAAAAAATGTAGCTTTGTCAAATAGTTCACATATCTAAGTATATTACTATTAAAATGATGGCAGATTAAATAAAATGTCTCACTTATGTCAGCTCAGTGATTAAAGATATATTTATCAAAGATTTAGGACAGCAGGAGATCAAAACTGAACTTGCCAAAATAATGACTGTCCTATCTTCCAGCTACTTGTGAATATTCCCTTTGTGTTCTTGAGTTATTACATAGATCAATCATCTTCTTTATTCCATACACCCAGGATTGTAGTTTATCCCTTATAAACTCGGATTTGAAAACATTTTTACCATGCTGTAAATGTGATCTCTGCTGTGTGTGTGTGTGTATGTGTGTGTGTGTGTGTGTGTATTTGTGTGTGTGTGTGTGTGTGTATCCTTCCTGAACAGTGAATGTGCTGTCATTGATAGGACCTTGTTCTGGTTGCCGAGGACAGCATCTACCATTGTATTTTAAGTCCATTTGCAGTTAGTTTCTATTTATGCTGAGTTCTAACTTGTTGCCTCAAAAATACCTTAGTCAAGAGTATTCCCTAAAGGTGATGCAGTAAATTAGGGAACACTGCGACTGGCTCTTTATTGTTAACACTCTATGTCTTTCTTAATCACTAGGTCCCATAGGGCTCCCTGGGATAAGTAGGAGACCAAGAGTAAACAAAGTTTGATTGGCTTTTTCTTATTCTTTCCCACAGGGTAGGCTATAGCCCAAATGTCATATATCTCTTTGTAAAGTCTCAGACCCATATAGTTATTACCATCAAGCATATACCATATTTCCTATGATGAGGTTCACGAGATGCCATCAGATATATTCTAACCCCTTTGGATCCCTAGTTTCCTGCATTTTAGAAAACTCAGGGAGTTTTCTTTGTTTGCTTTGTTAACAGCAATTTCTTAGGCCTAACTCTAGACTCAGTGAATCAGAATCTCTAGATGGGAGTACAGCCTTCCATGTGTTTAAAAGCTCCCCCTGGTAATTCTAATGTGCAACCAGGATTGAGAACAATTGTTGTAAGTGTTTACAAATAATTTCTAAATGCTCAACACACTACCTCAGTAGGTAATGTAGGAGTTTTGATCGCAACTCACTTTTTAGTCATTAAACTAAATAACAAGCTTTGAAATACTGCTTTGGGATAATTTCACCCCCTGATCTTTCTCTCAGCTTTCTGCCCACCTACTACTAAGCTGTAAATTCCTAAGACTGTCTTCTTTATATTTGGTTACTGATCAATGACAGTCCTCTCTGCTGCTGTGCCATCTTCATCTCCCCAGGTTTACTCCAGAATTTACCAATCTACTGCCTACCTAAAAAAAAGTTTAACTGCAGAAAACATGTATGAAGCCACTGTGACTCTTTGGTGTATTCCCAGTGCTAGACATTTAACAGAAACTCGGTAAGTATATTGAGAAAAAATCTTAACTCTAATCCTTGGACACCAAGTTTCAGAAAACCCTTGATTGACAGGTGGGGAAAATGTTAAGGTAGGATGGGTGGCTTTGTAACTTGTCCTTATGCATTCACTTTCAAAGGTTTGTACAAGTTGTTGGAAGACATTCAAATAGAATTTATTCATACAAAGATAGCTTAAATGATCACTTACTTTCTTTAAAATTAATTACCTCAACCATTAAAACAGAATAAATTATTTCATAATATTAACAGTCTCCAAGTAGAGCTTAAGGATCTTAGTGCCTGGCCAAAATAGTAGCACAGTAGAAAGAAATTTGGGGATGGAAATACCAGTAAATTTCTCCTCTCAGTTAACTATTCTGAAAATCACTGATACCAAGGTTAACACTGCAGTAATTAAGTACCAATATTTGTCCCATTTCTAATTTAAATCTCTATCCTGGTTATTGGCATTCTCTCATAAACTCATTTATTGTTCAACAGTTAAAAGAGGAGGCATGAATTAGAACTTGCAGAGGAAGAACTTGAAAACTCCATATTGCTTGACATGTTTCAGTTTCACAACCTGATTAGCAGAACTTATAGAATCAATTCGAGGTTTAAATTCCTCCCATATTATGATTAATGCTAAATGTAAATTTCAAGTTAACATAACTAAATTTAATTCTACATCAATAAAGAAATACGCTCTAATTGAAATGACGATATGAGATTATTCAGTGTTTAGTAATAGAATGGTGAAATTATTCCCCTAGGATTTTTACATTACTGAGGAGGTGGAAAAGAAGGAGAAAAGATAGAGCAAGGCTTTTTGAACACTGGCGTTATCATCCTGTTTCTCTCTGAGGAACATATAAGTCAGCCTTTTATGCTTTTACCATCAGACAAGGAACTGTGATCACTAATCAACCATGTAACCTTAAGATAATCACTTAAATTCTGTGTATGTTTTGCATCTGTAAAAAAAAAGCATATTTATTTGGCAAATCTTCCATTTCTATATCCCAGAAATAGCATAAGAAGTATATTAAATTCTATGTGTGAAAGTCCCTGGAGAAGTTAACAAACATTACAAAAACAAGGTGGAATTTATAGCAATTTTTGTTTTTGAAGTCTTCCTAAATGCATGCATTATTCCTTTGCTAGTCATAAAAGTACCTAAAAATTTTTCATTCCAAAACATGAGAAGGCAATTTATCTAGAGAATTTTTTAACCTCAACACTATTGATATTTTGGGCCAGATAATTATTTGTTGTAGGGGTTGTCCTGTGCATTGAAGATGTTGAGTGACACCTCTGGCATCTACCCACTAGATGCCAGTAGCACCCATCCAACTGTGATGACAAAAAATGATTCCAGACATTGCCAATGTTCCTTGGGGTGGAGGTCACAAAATTATCCCTGAGAACCACTGATATATTGCTTATTTTATACATATGAACATAAAAACTATTTTGCTGAGTGCATCAAACTTTATAAAGATACACCTAAGTATGTAAAATATGTCATATTGTATACATATGTAAATATTCATGAAAAATCAGATAAAATGATCAATCCCATTATTAGCACATTATATGTTTTTAAAGTATGACTAAATGGGTAAGAGGCACATTAAACCAAGCATCATGGAAATTTACACATCAGAAAGCCAACAAGGTAAGAACACATTATTAAAAATTCACACCAATTGAATAAACAAATATGATCAGATACTGTATCATCAAAACATAAATGCAAGATAAGAAACAAAGTCAATTTAATATTAATATATTTCTAATTTGTTAAAGCAAAAATTGTAGTGCCATCAAATGACACCAATCAAGTGTGTGTATTTGAGATGATCTAGGCTTAATTATTTAACAATGAAGAATGAGAACAATGGCCCAGACTCTAAATAATTTGTGAATTTCACAGTGAGCTTTTGAAGTTCTCATTATTTAATGACACTGTCACGATTGAAATACAATAAAAAAAAGAAAATATCTTTTCTCCACATTTTATGGGTTTTATTGCTACTGTTTTGGCAACTCAAATATAGCAGCCATCTGGTTCCTCTGGTAAGGCTTACAAGTGGTAACAGGGTGGTCCACTGTGAAAATCATTACGAACTGAAAGCAATGAACTGAAAGCATTGATAAGCTCTCCCCCACACAGTAGAGGCATAGATTAGTGGGTGTGAATGGGTGTGCACATACACTTGACTGAGAGAGAGAGCCACACAAGGTCACAGGTAAAACAAAGACAAGAAGAGAGAAATGTGAATTTCTAAAGTACATTTTTTAGTATTTTACCACTTATCAAGTTCATTCCTCATTTTTATGTCTTATTTTAATTTCCTTAAAATTAAAGTTTTATCATGTGGACAATGCTAGTTTGTAAATGTCCTCTTATTTCTTTCTGAGGCATTCTACTTAACTGTTGAAATGCTTTGGTTGTGTCTTCACCCAAATCTCAACTTGATTAGTTCCCATAATCCCCATATGTCAAGGGAGAGACCTGGTGGGAGGTAATTGAATCATGGGGGTGGTTTACCCCATGCTATTCTCATGATAGTGAGTGAGTTCTCACAAGATTTGATGGTTTTATAAGGGGCTTTTTCCTCACTGCACTCTGCACTTTTCTTTCATGCCATCATGTGAAGAAGGACATGTTTGCTTCCCCTTCTGCCATGATTGTAAGTTTCCTGAGGACTTCCCAGCCATGCTGAACTGGGAGTCAATTAAACTTCTTCCTTTATAAATTACCCGTTCTCAGGTATGTCTTTATTAGCAGTGTGAGAACAGACTAATACATCTGTCTTCTGTTTTATATGATTAAAAAATCAGGAATGACATTTAATATTTGATGTAACTTTTCTCCTTGCTCTGCAACTACACAACCAATGAAAATCCAATTACAGGTGCTTCCTTGAGCAAATATTAAATAACATTTGTTAAGTAGTTAGTATATAGCAGAGTTTTTGCTAAATATTTCCTGAAATTATTTCATTTAATCTTAAAAAATCACAAAAAGCACATAATCATCTCAACTGACATACAGAAAACATTTGATCAACTTCAACATCCTTTCACAATGAAAACACCTAATAAACTAGGAAAATAAAGAAACTTTCTCAATCTGATAAAGAGCAGCTGTGAAAAACCCACCATTAACTTAACACTCAAATGGTGAAGAACTGAATGCTTTTCCCATAAAATCAGGAACAAGACAGGATGTCCACTCTCATCACTTTTATTGCCCCTGATGGTAGAAGTTATAGCAAGGGAACTGGTCAAAAAAAAATATAAGACATCCATTTTTTAAAGTAAAACTATATTTGCAGATGGCATAATATATGTAGAATATCTTAAGAAATTCACTTAAATACCTACTAAAATAATTTTAGCAAGACTGCAGAATACAAGATCAATATACAAGAATTAATCATATTTTTATACACTAATAATGAACTATTTGAAAATGAAATTTTAAAGCAATCTCATTTACAATAGTGACTAAAAGAAAAAAAATGCCTACAAATAAGTTTAACAAAATAAGTGTAAAACTTGCACCCTAAAAACCACAAAATGGTGTTAAGATAAATTAAATCACACTTAAATAAATGGAAAGGCATTCCATGTCCCTGAATCAGAAGATTTAATATTGGTAAGATGATAATAGATAATACTTTCCACATGGATATTCAGATCCAATGCAATCCCTATTAAAATTCCAGTTACGTTTTTTTCTGAAATTGACAAGCTTATGTCAAAATTTATATGAAAATGCAAGGGATCTAGAATACTTGAAGTGATCGTGAATAAAAGAACAAAGTCAGAGGAATCACATTGCCTGATTTCAAAACTTACTACAAAGGTACAATAATGAAGACTCTAGTACTGCTGTAACAATTGACAAATAGTTTAGAGGAATAGAATTGAGAATCCAGAAATAATCATTTACATTTATGCTTAATTGATCTTCATCAAGGGCATAAAAAAACTCAGTGGAGAAATAATATTCTTTTCAACAAATAGTATTGAAAATGGCATTGGCAAAAAACTGAATTTGAGCCCCTTCTATGTATCATACATAAAATAACTCACAAATAAATCAATTACCTAAATGTAAAACCCTTAAAAGAAAACATCGGAGTAAATCTCCCATGACTTTCTTAGATACAACTCCAAAATACAAGCAAAAAAAAAAAAAAATTGCTGTGATGCAAATGATAATGTTAAGAAAGTGAAAAGATAACAGAATTGGAGAAAAGATTTGTAATTCATAAGCTGATAAGAATCTAGTATCCAGAATATATAAAGAACTCTTACAACTCAATAATAAAAAGACCACCTAGTTTAAAAATGAGCAAAGAATTAAAATAGATATTTCTCTAAAGAAGATATGCAAACAGTCAATAAGCATATAACAAGATGCTCAACATCATTAGTCATTAGGAAAATGCAAGTCAAAACCACAATGAGATAACACTTCAGATTCACTAGGATAGCTATAATCAAGAAGACAGATAATAACAAGTATTGGGGAGGATGTGGAAAAATTGGAACCCTCTTACGTTGTTGGTGGGAATTTCAAATGATATAACCATTATGGAAAACAGCTTGGAAGTCCTTCAAAAAGTTAAACATACAGTTATCATATCATCTGGCAATTCCATCTCTAGTTTTATACCCTATATTAATGAAAATGTACAGTTAGGTAGAAATTTATAAACAAGTGTTCACAACAGCATTATTTATAATAGCCAAAAAGTGGAAACAACCACAATGATCAATTAATTAATGGATAAATTAAATATGATAGAGCCTTAAAACTGAATACTATTTGGCAATAAAAAGACATAAAGTATTGATATATGCTACAACATAAATGAACCTTGAAAACATTATGCCAGATAAAAGGATCTGGTTACAAAAGACCACATGTTAATTGATTCTATTTTGATAAAATGTCCAGAATGGGCACATTTATAAAGACAGAAAGTAGATTGGTGATTGCCTAGGGCTCAAGGATTAGTGGGAAATAAGGAGTGACTGATAAAGAGTACAGGGTTTATTTTGGGAGTGAAGAATATGTTCTAAAAATTGGTTATAATGATGACTGCACAATTCTGTGAGTGTATTTACAACCTTTGAATTATACACTTTAAATGGGTTAATTGTAAGTATGTGAATGAAACCTCAGTAAAGCTGTTTTCAAAATAAAACTATACCATATACCAAGATGACAGTGGTAGCATAGTCAGAAGTAAAATTCAGTAACATTGACCTGGCTTGCCAAGGCAGCTTCTTTTTTCACCATGTAGAGCAGTGGTCCCCAAACTTTCAAAAACCAGGGACTGATTTTGTGGAAGACAATTTTTCCACTGACTGCAGTGGGCAGGGGTATGGTTTTGGGATGATTCAAGCACATTACATGTATCATTACATTCTCATAAGAAACGTGCAACCTAGATCCCTCACATGCACTGTTCACAATAGTGTTCGCACTCCTATGAAAATCTAAAGCCACAGCTGATCTGACAGGAGACAAGGCTCAGGTGGCAATGCTGGCTCATATAACTGTGCGGCCCAGTTTCTAACAGGCCATGGACAGAACAGATTCATGACCCAGGGGTTTGGGACCCCTGATGTAGATTATATGCCAGAGTTTCAGGGTCATAGCAATACCTACGATTTGGTAAGATCCCACTCGGTGTTTCCCATTAGCTGACTGAGTCTTATCCTGAGCAAGTTGAATATTAATACCTTCAACCTAAGAGGTCTCCAGTCAGGAAGTGGGAAGGCCTTAGAATTTGAACACACAAATTTCCAAATCTGCAATTTCCTGCCATTTCCTTTGTTGGAAATACATCCTTTGTAGTTTCACAGTAAATTGCCTAAGATTTCTTAAGATATATTTATCTGAGGGCTCATTTTCACCAAGCTCCAAACAGTTGCCTCTGATAACTCTTTCGAGGTCACTATCCAAATGTCACCTTATCAGTGAGCAGTCACTTAAACACCAATAAAAAATAGCAACATCCTTTCCCCTTCACCTTAGCACCCCCTATACATCTTACTTCAGCTTATTTCATTTTCCAGATTGCCATCTGATATACTACATATATATATGATTTTGTTATTGTTGCTTATTTTCTCTGTTCTCTCTGTTGTAAATTCCTTAAGATCTGAGACTGTATTAGTTAGCTTTTCCAATATAACAAATTATTCCAAATTTTAGTGCCTTAAAATAACAACCATTTATTTAGTTCAAAAGTCTGTGCTTTGATAATTTAGATTGAATGAAGCTGAGAGTTTCTTCTGGTCTAGGCTGCCCTCACTCTTGTGTCTACCGTCAGCTGCCAAGTCTGTCGGGCTTTAGCTGATCCAGAATGGCCTCAGCTGGGATGACTCCTCTGCTCCATCTGGTCTCCTTGTCTCCAGCAAGTGAGCACAGGATTGTTCACATGACAGTTGGGCAGGGTTACAAGGAAGCAAGTGGAAGACAACAGAGCCTCTTGAGTTCCATGGTCAGAACTGGTACCACATCAATGCTGCCCCATCGTACTCATCAAAGCAAGGCATAAGGCCAGCCCAGATTCAAGGTATAAGAAAATAGCCTTCATATCTTTTTAAAACATATTCATTACTTCAAATACCTATCATTTTTTTTGTGTGTTGGGCACACTTAAAATCTATTCTCTTAGCAATTTGCAATCACATTGTAAAAGAGGTGAACACATGGAGAAAAATAATGGTGGCCATTTTTGCAAACAACCTGCCAAAAGATTTTACCTAGTTTTTTCACTGCTGTATCCCAAGTATGTAAAACAGTCACTGGCCCATCAGCATTCCAGAAATCTTAGTTGAATGAACAAATGAATTTTATGCCCATTACTCCTGAGTCAGAGCCTCTCCCATAAATTGCTCCTTCTCTGCAGTAAATACTTAGAATAAACTATATTTTTGGTGAATATTTGCAATTGAAGTCCTGTATCTACTGTTCTTTTAAAGTTAAAAATCAGCTTTCACCGTTTGATTTCTATCTTCTTTAGTTATTGCAAAGTCAGGCTAATTATTTCCAAAGACTATGAAGCACACCATATTTCACAGGGTACTTCCTCTCCAAGGACTTTGGAGGAGTTTGAAAACACTTTCTCATCTCCGCAGCTATATAACAAAAGTGTGTCCTGTTATCTCCCCTGTCTTTTCCTCTCCCTTCTGCTCCCAGCCAGCTTTTTTCCCTTGCATTTCTTCAAAGATGAAACTAGCTTAGACACAACAGAACAATCACTTTCCAATACAAAACAGCTCCTTGAATTACTGGCCTGGACAACGTTCTCAAAGGCAGGGCAATTGCGCGGGGTTATAGGCAGTTGGCATGATAATACTTGGGATAGTGTCAGATATGGAAATGTCTGTGGATTCTACTCATTTCCCTATTCTTGCCATTGCCACATAAGCAAAGTAGATGGAAAAATAAAAGAAATTCACTGGATACATTAGCCTCACTGCTATGGTCTGAAAGTTTGTGTCCCCCTAAAATGCAAGTGTTGAAACCTAATCACCAATGTAAAAGTATTACCAGGTGCAGTATTGGGGAGGTGATTAGGTCAGAAGGAAAGAGGCTTCATGAATGAGATTCATGCACTTATAAAAGAGGCTTCAGAGAGGTTCCTGTCGCTCTTGCCATGGGAGGTTACAGAGAAAAGACAGCCATCTGTGAACAAGTTAGCAGTCCCTCACCAGACAACAAACCTGCTAGTACCTTGATTTTGGACTTCCCAGCCTCTACTACTGTCAAATACATTTCTGTTGTCTGTAAACTACCCAATTTATGGTATTTTGTTATAGCAGCCTGAACAGACTAAGACACTAATGGATCTAGATTTTCTAGTAATATAAGGATCAAATAGGTCTCTTATGGTTCTTAATAAGCGAACTCAAACAGCAAAACTGATTTCCTCTGCTCTCCACTTACTTAACTAGACAGACACAACCTTTAGGCTTCATGTACCATTCTTAATACACTACTTAACATGGTATTTTTGGGTTGCTCTTCCTGAAAGGCTGTTCTCTCTTGGAATTGTGCCCTCTTCAAAAAACATTAACATCCCCTACTAAAAAAGAAATTAATATTAATCAGGGAATTGATCCAATCATTATGTAGTAGCATTCCTCATATACTCATCCAAATGGCAGATTGTTCTAATGCTGTGATATGTATTTATACCTTTTCAGCAGGCCCCTGCCATCTGGATTTGGAATTCTTTTAGCAGAAGACAAAGCCTTTTCATGTTTACCGATGAAGCTGCAAAAGGAAAGACCCACAGGAAAAACAATCCCTGACTTTCCCTTTCTGTCATTCGCCCAAATCTCCCTGGCTCAAAACCTCATCAGCATCTTCTACTCCCTCTCTCTTCACATCCAGACACCAAGTCCTGCCAGTTCCTTCTTTGATGCATTTTTCATCATCTTACTTGTTTTCCATTCCTTCTGCCAGCTTCCCATATTCAGGCCTTTATTGCTCTACACCTGCCTCATTGAAATCACCTCCAAAGAGAACACATCTGCTTTCGTTATTAGTGGTCTCCACTGGCTAAAACCACAGTTTCAGCTTTTTAACCTGGCATAAGTACCTCCATATACAATCTCTAGCACCTTTTTCTGTACTTAACACTACTCTGTGAACCTTCTGCTTTAGCTAAAATGTTCTAATTGGTATTTCTAACCAGATCTGCTACTTCAAATTTAAGTGGCACATTATGTGTAAAAACCAGGTGGCAAAATTATAAACATTATATAAGTTTGAATTTTTTGCCTTGTACCTACCCCTGGCCACCCTGTTGCAACTCTTTAATGGTTAATGATTCTCTCCTCATTCTGATGCTCTCCTCCTTACTCTGCTCAAAACTTTCTTCCTCTCATCTAGCCATTCCTTTGGCTTTAGACCCATCTTTTCCTCTCTCTTCCAAGACCCTTTCGGGTTAATACAACACATGGGAGGTTTTGAGTCTGCATCTTTCTCAAGGATCAACATTTGCATAATCAACCCAGGCAATTAATCAACATCCAGCAATCAGATAGAAATTTCATACTAGGCCCTCACTTGCCAGGAAGAAGGGATCAGGGTGTTTCCTGTCACCTCATAAGGAATGTCTGCCTTTTCATATTACCTCCCGTCGGCCCAGAGCTCAATCCTACATACAATATACAGCAATATACAGTGTTCTCTACCCACTCTTCCCTTCCCACTATGAGCCCACAGTGATCTTTGTCTTCTGAATTCTTATAGAGCCAAACTCCTGTGATTCATCCTGTTTATATGACACTTTGACCCTGTCATGAGTAGTTACTTGGCCTTATCAGTTTATTTTTATATATTCAAATTGGTTGAAAACTACTTTAAGGTAACAACAGCATCTTATATTAATTTATAGTTTTATATTTCAATATTATCAAGCAGTAGCTGACACATGATCACTGAAAATGGGTTAGTAGGGCTTCTTAGTCACACTGGAAGTGACTAGTAACTAACAATTCCTTCACTTAGTTGAGGTGTTGATAGAGGCCACAGGAAGGCCTGTAGAAAACAGAAAGCCATTGTCCCTAGAGGAAGAGATGCCAGAGGAAGGAGCAAGGGTCGAGAACAGTAATAGCCAAAATTCAACTGAAAAATGTGTCCAATTCAGCATTTTACTCAACATCAGGAACACATTTAGGTAACATGTTGAAAATGACAAACTTCAGATAGTTCTTATTCTATCAATTCCTCTAATTTTACTCTTTTTTTCTTTTTTGGAGATAGAGTCTTGCTCTGTCACCCAAGCTGGAGTGTAGTGGCGTGATCATAGCTCACTGTAACCTTGAACTCCTGGCGATCCTCCTGCTTCCCCTAGGCCTCAAAAAGTGTTGGGTTACAGGTAAGAGCCACCACTAGCACCCTGATTTTATTTTTCACTCTTGGGATAATATGTGTATGTACATACATCGCCTGAACCAAGCTTCATGAGCTTCAGAGTGCTCTCTGCTCTGGCAATAATGGCCATGACCTTTGTTTACTGGAGGTTTACCCATGCTCACTTTGCCCTGCAGCCATCATTCTGACACCAGAAAGCAGCAGAATGAACAAACATAACAACAGAAACAAGAGGTGTTTTTGACTACTTAAGTAGGGAAATAATAGAGCATAATAATTAATTTTAACATAGTAATACGTCATATATACAAAACCCTACTATGGAAGAAGACCCAGCCAGAAAATAAAATGCCCCTCTACTTTTAATTGATGAACCCCAAAACAATCAACTGTTTCTTTTGAAACAGGGGAGGTTATTTTCCTCCAGCTGAATGTTGCAGGGTAGACAGAGGAGGGATCTCAGCACCACCCACTGTTTTAAAAAGGCAGATTGGACCCCTGTTGCTTTCCCCAGAGACTGTAGTTTTCCTCCATATATCTTCAATTCTGTCCATGTTAGAAAGAAACCTATATGTTACCTGCAGGTGCCAGTCATAGAAAATGCATGGTTTTATGCCTAAATGATATGTGACTTTCTTTTTCCAGAGGCAGATTTTTTTTGAAAGAAATCACCTATCTAGAATGAGTTTTACTGTTGAAAACTACACTTATTTCCCTAAGTCAGATCCCTGACCTGTAAAGAAGGATCTTCTTTTAATCACTGTATTTTTTAACTTTAATTTTAAAATTATACAAATAAATACAAGTAGGTAGAGATTTTGAGTGAAATAAAGATGCATGTGTTACTGACATCAGTTAATTCTAGCATTACCATTATTAAAGTCTTTTATTGTCACGAGGAAAAGTGAAGGCAATTTTGATGCATCAGCACTTTACCTTAGTATAAATACTTTAAAGTAAAAAGAAAGCATCAGGCACTCTTTTGAGATATGCAGCTATTTTATTTCTCTAAATTCTCTATTGCCTTGACAATTATGCTCCAGTTGGATGTTCCTTCTCCATTCTTGTGTAAATATTCCAAAGCCGAAAGAACAAATGTCCAAAAGTCATTGTCACACAATTCTGTAAAAGACACAAATAAATGGAAGTCTCAAAACTTCTAATGTAAAACTTGCTGGCCAAGACATAATTTGGATGAGCAAATTTGGGGTTTGGATTATTTTAAATATAGACTTTGTTCTTAAAATTTAGTGTAACATACAGAAAAACTTGGTTTCTGATATGGCTTTACTTAGATTATGTGAGCAAAAATGAAACTGAATTATCAAATGAGTAATAGTTGTGCTGGAGAAGTCTATCTTATCTTCTTCACTGCAGACCCTTCTCAGCATTATACATGCATAGACAAACTATTCCCAAAGTTCTAAAACTTTCCCTGTTTAGCTGGGATATGATGTCTACTTCCAGTTTAGAATACAGAAGCAGACACCAAAGGAAAGCTTTGTTCAGTCTGACAAACAATAAAATGGCTTCAACTGACAGAGCTGTCCTTTCACTTTCTTAATTATAAACAAATGAACTTTTCACTGGCAATTTTTGCAATCTGTAAATGTAATACGGTTCTCAAAACAGCAAATGAAAACATTCGAAAGGTACAGCTGAAGAGAGAAAAGAGTAGGGATCAATTACTTTGTGAATTTTCTGGAAAACAAGACCATTATTCATAAGAAAATTGGAGGCTAGATCAAACAATGACAAACCTCTAGATCTCCATCATGTAGTTGGAAATTTACATCCAGAGTACCTAAATAACTTCCCTTTCTGGGGCAGCAAAGATTTTAACCAGTTTCTCGGCAGGAGTGGCAAGGCTTCAAGAATAACTGAAGGAGAGAAAGCCTGGAATGCTGCACAATTCAAAGGGCAAAAAGGTGGTTTCCGCAGACCCTTGGTACAGCAGAATGGTCACGCTAGGGAGCAATTAATCCCATAAAAGACTCAGCCTCCCCAGGAAGACCACCTCCTAACTAGTCCTTTAGGACCCTGCTATTTAAACTATCTGCCTGTTGTCACAGATAGTGCTAACCTATGGACTATCTGGGCATTCCATTGAAAGCCCAGAATTCCTATTTGGAAAACAAAGTTCTGCTAACTTTGTGTCTTGGATGTCCTGTAAAGCAAATGCAGCGAGTGTTGGGACACGCTAAACAGAATTATTCCCCGATCCAAAAAGGACAAGAGCGTGAATTAGGAGGAAAAATTCTACATCGTAAGGATAAAATTGCTCTTTCAGGTTTTACTGGGGGAGCCAGCTGGAGCCTTGGGCACGCGCGCCCTGGGGAACCTTTCCTCTTTGCCGCCCCTGCGTGTCGCCCCTTTAAAGCCTTCTTGGTCTCTCCAATCCCAAGAGTTCCGCGGCATCTTGCGCCACTGGCTAAGGCAAAAACCTCAGGTGTCTACCCGCGCTTCAGGGCGCCCCAGAGCGTAGGCGGAGGAACCCAGATCCTGTAAGTCAGCAGCCGGGAGCGCCTAGCGCGCTGCGAGAGCACAGATGGCTGGGGAGGCGCGCGGATTCCAGGCCTCTCAGCTTCCCCAGAGCGCAAACAGCGGCCGGCTGGCGCCTCCCGCAGTAAGTAAGTGGCGATGTCAGGTCGTACACACTCGCCAGCTACCTGTACAAACAGCGTCCGCTCTCTCCACTGTATGATTGTCAGTTTCTTTGGTGAGTGCTGACACCAAGGCAAGCATAAACAAAGTGGTCTGCACACCCTCCTCCTCCTTGCTCTCCCCCACTGGCCCGGCCTTGTACTTACAAGTCCACTCTAAAAGATACCTTCTAGCCACTTGCTTTGAGTCCAAGGAAACAAAGGAAATAGGGGTTGTGCACTGCACGAGAGAGTTAATCTCAAGTCTGCGAGAAGACGGGGAATCCCGGGGGCACCGCTGGCACGGGGAAAAGCAGCCTCTTCCGCCTCTCCGGACCAGCAGATTCGTGCATAAGGATGGGCGAGGGCAGAGAGGGAAGCAATGAAAAAAAGAAAAGATAAAAATGGGGAGAAAAAGGTGAATATTTCAAGGGCCACAGGGCGGGAGAGATGGAGCAAATTCCCAAACCTCAAGTCCAAGTTCTAGAAGTTGGGTGATGGGGTGGAGCCCCTTAGTGGGCGCGGCGGCTGTGTGTACAGTTTATTTATTTTTTGGATTTTCTGCCTTGAACTAAGCATTAAACATCCACCGCAAAGATTTAGGAGATAGAAGAGAGAAGAGGCAATTACTGGGATCAAAACTGATGATACAGGCGAAGTCTGAGCCAATGTCGCTTCTCACAAACTCTCTGAATTTCCTGGGCTCTCAACGCTCCTCCGCTGGGTCTCCTTTGCACAAAGGGCCCTGCCGTGGAGCAGGAAGTGGGGAGGGGACCAGGTCTGCAAGCCGTGAGCGGAGCAGAGAGAAAGAGGAGAAGTGGCGAATTATCTTAAGTGTTGATTCCCTAGGGTTGGGGGAAGCATAGTGAATGGGACGGATCCTGTAGCCTCGACTGGCCGGCTACTCCTCCGTCATCACTGGCGGCAGAACTTACACTTAATGATCTTCTTAAACGCGTTTTGAAAGTCCTTGTTGAAGTATGCGTAAATGACGGGGTTAAGCAGAGAGTTGGAGTAGCCCAGCCAATTGATTATGGCGCCCAACAGGGTGGGCATGTGGCAGCTGCTCTCGCAGAAGGGCAGAACAAGAGCCACGATGAAGAAGGGCAGCCAGCAGAGGATGAAGGTGCCCATGATGATGCCCAGCGTCTTCACTGTCTTCCTCTCTCGGGCCAGGGCCATCTTGCGCTTCGCCTCGGCGTTGCGCTCATTTTTCCTCTCGAAAGAGGCGGGGGCACAAGGGGTAGGACCAGCCTCGCTGGGCAGAGGCAAGTGCTCTTTGGAGTTGCCCACTCGGTGCACCTCGATCACCTCCAGGGCGGCGCCATCGTCACCTTGCCTCACCGCGCCATTGGCGCACAGAGCACCCCCAGCCTTGCTCTCCACGCCCAGCCTCCAGTTCCTGCTCCCCGACTCTCCATTCACACTCTTCTTGGGCTGCGGGGCGGGAGATGCTCCATGGCGGGTGTCCGCTCCGGTCTTCTCCACCTTTTTGACCGTCTTGCGGATGCGGAAGCGCGCAGCTCGGAATATGCGCCCATAGAGAACCAGCATGAGCAGCAGCGGGATGTAGAAAGCTCCAAAGGTGGAATAGATAGTGTAGCCATGATCCTTGCTAATGGTGCATGCGTCGGGGTCCGAGCGGTCTTCCGGGGTGCGCCAGCCCAGCATGGGCGGGATAGAGATGAGGAAGCCAATAAGCCAAGTGAGCGAGATGAGCGCAGCGGCGCGCCGGGGCGTCCTCTTGTTCACGTAGTCGATGGGGTCCGTGATGGCCCAGTACCTGTCCAGCGCGATGGCGCACAGGTGCAAGATGGATGAGGTGCAGCACAGCACGTCGAGGGCGATGAACAGGTCGCAGGTTACCTGGCCCAGTGTCCACTTGTTGAGCACCTGATACAGCGCGGCCATGGGCAGCACCAACACCGACACCATGAGGTCGGTGACCGCCAAAGAGCCAATAAGATAATTGGCCACGTTCTGCAGGGAGCGCTCCAAGGCGATGGCAGCCACCACGCACGCATTGCCCAGCACCGCGCAGAAGATGAGCGTGCCCAGCAGCAGAGAGGTGATCACTTGGTAGCTGACGGTCACGTCGGAGATACCAGTAGTGTTGCCGCCGGTCTCAAAGGGAGCCGGTGGTGATGTGGTGTTGTTGCCCTGACCAGGGCTGAGCACATCCATGCCTGCGCGCCCGGCGCGGGAAGGGGGAGGGAAGAAAAAGCAGCGCGAAGATTCGCCTCGCCCCTTCCCCTGGGGTCTTCCGCCCTTCTCCTGGGAAGTTTCGGAGGAAGGGAATGCAGAGACCCAAGCAGGAAGTTCTTACTGCTTCGGCGAAGGGTATCTCCGAGGAGCAGCTTTCAGGCGCTCCCTGGGCTCTCGCAGTCCAGCGCGTTCAGAAGCTCCAGCTGGGAAACTGGAGTTGGCCTGAAAGCAGCTCCAGGATCTCCCGGCGGCGGAGAGGTGGCTGGAACGTCTGTCTGTCGCTGTCCATTTTACTTTGCCGCTCCCGAACTGGCTGCCGGAGCTGGAGTCTCCCCACTAGCAAACAGTCTCCAATCCCAGAAATATCTAGAACCGAGAAGCCCCATCCTCCACGGTCACTCTGTGACCCTCCTCTCCCTATTTCCTTCCTTCCCTCTCTCCCCCTCTCTCCTCCTCTCTTCTCTCTCTTCTGCCTCTTTCGTCCCCCTTCTCCCCACCTGCCTTCCCTTTCAGTCTCCCTCTTCCTCCTCACTTCCCTTTATTTATCCCTCTGTGAGTCGCTTCGAAAGCCAGGCTCCTTCCCTCCCACTCTAACCCTCCCCTCCTAATACTTCCCCAACCCCGAGGAGTGCCTCTTTCCTCTGGGTCCCCGCCCTCCTCTCCCTCTAGCTCAGCGTCTTTGCATTCGAGTCTCTTTTTGTCAACAGAGACTCAGAACTCACTTACACACACCAGATCCCTGCCGGTCAGACCAAGGTTGTAACAAATAAACTCCGCCTCCAACCCAGCAAAACTGGGGTTGGAAAAACTTGGGGGAGGGAATTCCAACTACTCCTTGCCTCATATTATCTGCCAAATTCTTAAATCGTGTCAGCATCCCAGAGTGGCAATAGGAGATGAGAAAAGGAAGCATAGGGAGCCTGAATGGGAAGGTGAACAGTCCTGGGTCAGTCTCCCAATTATTGCTAATTGATGGAAGAAGACCGAGTGTGTCTTCCTTTTTAAAAAGCTACCTCCGTTCTCGCGCCATTGCACTCCAGCCTGGGCGACAGAGCGAGACTCCGTCTCCAAAAACAAACGAACAACGACGACAACAACAACAAAACGGTACCTCCGTTATCATCTAACAGTCCAGCCTTACTCCCTCAGGGAGAATATTGCCTGTGACTTTTTTTTTAACGTTGGGGAACCGGGAGAGAACGAAATTATAAAGGACGTGTCAAAGGACAAGGAGAGGTAAACAACTGCATCTCGAAATGAAGAACAAAACTCAGTGTGATATATATTCTAAACACACACACACTTTTCCATCACTACTACACTTGTAATTTCAGTGACACTGCCACTTCCCATAGCTTTGTGGCTAGTAAATTCAGGGATGGAAATATTTTGCATATGTGTTCTAAGTGAAGCCTGGCATTTCACATGGCCTTTTGCACTTCTTACCAGAGCCTGCAAACCTCTGGGGGAAACTTGGTGGAATCCCGGTTCGCTAGCCGGCTAGCCTCTCTTAATCTCAGAAACTGGGTTCAGCACCTGGGACAGTTCTAAGCAATGAGGTTTTATGTCGCCACCTTCTGGCAAATGTTTTAGAGTGCCATCTGGAAACCCTTATGCAGAAATGAAGCAAGTATTGAGGAAATACAACAACTTTTAGAAAGAGGAAGACAGTTATTAAAAGACAAGGTAGTATTGAGTTTTGTCTCCTTCCTATTTTCTTTAAAAATTTATTTTAGTGCCCTCTTTTGCTCTGAACCTTATATATCAGGCCTATTATATGTTTTAGCTTCCTTCGAAAGCCTGAAGTATCTGTCATTCACAAGTTCTAACTGGGAATGCCATTTTAATAAAGCTAGGCTAACACTTTCACCTGTGTTGGTTTTGTGCTGTCATAACCTGAACTTTGGAACTGACATAAATTTACCTTTTGTTGGAGAAACGAATAGTATTGCATTTTCCAAATGATTTAACATTTGGAAATGTTAAATCACTGAAAATAAAGATACTTACAAGGGTTTGTTCTAAGCTGTTTCCTTTAACAAGAAAAACAAATTTAATCACATTTGAGCATTGGTAAAGAATGGGACTTCTAAGCAACTACAGTAAACATACCACACAACATTTCACTTATACATCCTGATTGCATGCCTGAGGTGAAAGGAATGCAATCTCAAAAGCAGTTGACACTGGATAACATGAACAGATTCACTACAGATTGCAATAATCTTAATATTGTGTTCAAATCTGAGCTCTGAATTTCATAGCTCTGAATTCTCCAAGCCCAAACAAAAGAGCAATCACCAAAGCATCAAAAAGAATCCAGTTGGGCCAATGCATTACAATACAGGACAGTGTGTTTGGATAAGGTTTTGTTTGTTTTTTTTTTTTATAGTTCAGTGCTGGGCACAGTTCCCACTCAATCATTTCAGCATGCCACCACAATGAGCCTGCCATTTGTGATGATTCATGGCATTGAAAAGAAAGAGATAAGTATACATGGTAATGCTGTTTACAGACTCTGAAGAAGTCTTTTTAAGATTTGTGAAGGTATCTATTTCCACTTCTAAAGTCTCTTCACAAATACAGAACTATATTTACAGTTAAAATAGAGTTAGAGGTCCAAAAATTATAATGGGAAAATATTTAAAAGCTGAATTATCTAAAATTAAACTTTGAAATTATAGTTGAGACTATAAACAAAGTAAAATAAAGGAAACTTAAAATTTAAGAAGCAAATATATGCATATCAAGAACATAATTAAGAATTGTGTCAAACAACACATGTAAATATGTAAATCACAAATAAATCAATAAATATGTTAGTTAGAATTCTGCTTTCATCTGTTGGATCCCAAATAGTTTAATAACTGACAAATTTATTTTTTCTCATCAAGAAAGTTAAAATGCTGTAAAATCTGGAATTAATATTCCTGAGGTATAGCATTTGTTATTCTGCTTCAATATGCTATGATGTAGAATTTATCAAAGTTTTTAAAAATCCAAAGTAATTCAAGTTTTTTCTTAGTAATAATATACATAATATATCAAACATTTTATTTCTTACAATTTAAAAGTTTTTAAAGGCACACTTATGAATACTAGGAGGGAAACAGAAGTATGAAAGTATGCAGCACTGACTATGGTTCCATAGTCTGCAAGTGACTAATAGATATTTATGTTTAACTTTTTAAAACTAATAATACTGTGATATATAATAAATGATATATGCAGAATGATATTGCGTTTCTTCATTTTCACTTAGCCAATTCTTCTATGTTTAACTCTTAAAGATACAGAATACCAAATATTTCTTAAGTAAATGCTGCAAACCAAAGCTCCTGCATAAAGAGATGAGCTCTTATTCTTCAAGGCCTCTAAAGTTAACCTAAAGAAAAGCAAGCTTTATAACGGATATTATTGATGATATCATTTGAAAAGAAAAATTCTAGTCATTCTGCCTTTATTCCTTTTTGAATTTACTAGATGCCAGCATAAACTTGTCAGGTTATGAATTTAGGGTATGATATATCATCCATCATGTGAAATTTCTCTAAAATAGTTTTAAAAAGATAAATATTTTTAACATTTTCACAGGAAATTTGATACACACCCAGCATTTCAATGTAATTCCTTGACCAGGGACACAAACTAAAAAGATTTAAGCTGAAGTTTTGCTGTGAACCTTGAAGCCCTATCATTACTGAAGGCTGATGGTTGGAGTTTCTCAGTAATTGGTATGTTTGTCCATTATCCCCAAACTACGGCTGAATTGTTTTTATTACTGAAGAAAGAATCTATACAGTAAAGAGTTGAATATTTGCTTATGAGATTATAAAAGTTGTTTCTAAAAGCTCCTACTGAAAAAAAAGTTTTTACTTTTTTTTCATGTAATTGAAATTAGAATCAATTATTTTGTTAGGTTAAAAATATTATTCTAAATTTAATTCTTCCCAATCCCCAAATACTGTAGCAGTAGGGCAATTGTGTTTTGTTCAGAACTATGAATTTTGATTGGAAATGACTAGGAGAAACAACTTATAGGAAATTTTCCTTACATAATTTGGGAAATGTGGTCTTCTGATTATCACTGAAAAGATTCAAGAAATGCAACCAAAATGCCAAGAAAATAATTTTTCTTTAAAACAACACGGTTTGTTTTTGTATTGTTTTCTTGACTTTTTTGTTGTGTTTTGCTTTTTTCTTATCTAATCCTCACCATTTACCTTCTCTAATAATATCATTTCTTCACTGCTTTTTATCCCTGTCAGGCACTTGCAGGCCTGGAATTGCACTGGGTTTTCAATGATAAAACACAAACATTGGAAGCTTCAATCTCTGCTTTTGAGAATTGTATGGTTGACTTAGTGCAGTGAGTACACATACTAAAAGCACAGTACATAAAGAGTGAAAAATATAACATGTGTTCACTATGTGTGTGACTTGAACAAATTAATTAACCCTCTTATTTCCTCAGTAATAAAACGAGTGTAATAATAGACTTGTGAAGATTAAACCATTTAACACATTTCACTGGCTCATAATAAACACACAATAATGATTAAACAATAATAGTAATAATACAGATGCAAAGTAAAAATATTAATTCTCTCTCTACTGATAATCGCTCTAAAGTATGGAAAAAGAGAGCTGGATGGCCTTAGAGAGTGAAGACTGAAAAAAAAGTCTCTTTCATGGGAGGATATATTAGGAAAGAGATTTGCATGTGGATGTTACATTCTCCCCATTCTTTAAAGTATTTGGTAAGCTTCCAGTTCTCTGGGAAATTCTGAGTAAAAGACAAGTAGAAAACAAGATGTGATTGCTGCATTCTGAGACTTCTTTACATAATCAGAAGTTAGTGAAGGGAATAAAAGAACATGCCAATGAAAGTTCAATGATCAGTATTGAAAACGACCCTACTCTTTCCCTGGAAGTTCATGCATTTGTTCAAAAGCATAAAATAAGTATTTGAAATTTGTAAGTCCTAATAAAATATTTAAAGTTCAGTAAAAACCCAAAAAGAGTATTTTTATTGTGAGAAATTATCAGATTTATAGTGACAAGCATTAATAAATGTACTTTTACAATGCTGTCCTTCTGTCAATATTTTTATTGTTCACTTTTGAAAGAGTAAGAGCATAGTCGGGGTGAGAAAAATGCTTGGAATGTTAGTTCAAAATTTCCTATTAATCTAAAGATAATTGGAAATTAAATTCAATCTAACAATTATTGAAGCAAAATGCAGTTATTCTGTTTAACTTAACAGGTGGAAATGCCCACATTTTTATTTTCTTTGGCAAGTGACATTTTTGTGTAAAACTTAAATCAGTGCTTAATATTATACAGTATTTTAATGTTTCTATACAACATGCTATTATACAAATGCAATAATTGTGATTATAAAATACTGGTCTAAAACTGTGTCATTTGGTGTATTGAAGCAGTAATGTGTTGGTTGAATATAGCCACTCAGGGCCACAGTTCTATATTCAAATAACTACTCTGCAACGTACTAGCCTTGAATTATTTCCTTAATTTTTTTACATTTTATTATATATTAAATAGGATTTATTAAAAATATAAAGAATAATATAATAAATGCCTATGTGCTTAAGAAAAGCTTTTAAAAATAGCATTGATTCAATTGAAGTTCCTGTTTACTCTTGAATTTAGTGTTTATTATTCCCATGAATGTCTTTGTATTCTTATACGATATGTATGTTTCCCTAAGCAACTGAGAAATGGTATCATTCTATATACAGTCTTTTGCAACGTTTTTTTTTTTGCTCAACATTATCCTTGTGAAATTTGTCTGTATTGATACAAGCTACTTCATATAATTCTACATCATTTATTGTCACTGTTCTGTGGATTTAAATTGTATGAATAGTGCCACAGTTACATATCCATTCTCTGGTTAGATTCTGCTCTTATAAATAACACTTCTATGCACATTCTCGTGTATGTCTTTTTGCATCCATGTATCTTAGAGTAGACTAGATTAGCATGTTTCAAATAAATTACATGGGGATCTTGTTTGAAATGCAGATTTCCACATAGTAAGTCTGGGGTGCAACCCAAGACCCTGCATCTCTACTAAGCTCCCAGATGACACTGATATTGCTGCTTTATAGACTATATTTAGAGTAGCAAGGATCTAAATATACCAAGTGGAATATCGAGTCCTAAGGTATGACCAAATTCTGCTTGACTAGATAAAACCTAATTCTTCTCCAAACTGGTTATATAAAATTTCATAACCACTGCTGTGGGTTGAATTGTGTCCCCCAGGAGGATAAAGGATTCACGTTGTCTGTGAATATGACCTTATTTAGAAATAGGGTCTTGGCAGATGTAGCCAAGTTAAGATGAAGTCATACTGGATCAGTGGGTGTTCTAATCCAATGGTTGGTGTCCTTATAAAATGATGGAAATTTGAACATAGAGAAGAAATACCATGTGAAGACACAGAGACACACAGACACAAAAGAAGGAATGCCATGTGAAAACAGAGGCAAAGATTAGAGTTATGCTACCACAAGCCAACGAAGACCAGGGACTGTTGGCAACCACCAGAACCTAGGACAGGTGCATACGGCGGATTCTCCCTTAGAGTTGTCAGTTTGGGCTGTAACACTTTCGTGTCAGATTTACAACTTCCAGAAATGTAAAACAATGCATTCCTGTTGATTTAAGCCATCTGG
Source organism: Homo sapiens (assembly GCF_000001405.40). Taxonomy (NCBI): domain Eukaryota; kingdom Metazoa; phylum Chordata; class Mammalia; order Primates; family Hominidae; genus Homo; species Homo sapiens. The sequence continues at coordinate 63,968,445 of NC_000005.10, forward strand.
TTTGTGGTGCTTCCTTGTGTTCCTAGCCCTTGGAAACTAATACAACCATTAAAAAATGGTTTACATTCCCATTGCTTCATCAGGGTTGACTGTTTTTTCATGTTTCTTCACAGTGGACTATCATATATTCTAATATATGATCATATATTTTGATCACATATTTTGCTTATTTTTAAATTGGTTCTTTTGTTGTTTGTTGTTTTGTTTGTCTTAACTTACTGAAGTCCATTATCTATTATGGATATTAACAACTTCTCCCTGTAGTTCTGTCTATATTTGTTTAACATACTTTGAGGACATGATAGTAGGTACATACAATGTTAGAACTAGTCTATCACCCTGCTGCTTTAAATAGTTATCCTCTTTATCCCTAATAACATCTGTTGTCTTAAAGTCTACTTTGTCTATACTAATTATTTTTTGTTATTTTTTGCCTACTATATATTTTTCTATATTTTAAATTTTGTCTTTTCAGTATCTTCAAGTTTTAGGTTAATTTCTTATACAAATACAAATATGATAGTTACTTTCTTTTCAAATCTGAAAATCTTAGTTTTTAACTGGTAAGTTTAGTTTTAATTTTATTATGACTATTCTTGTATTAGAAATTATTTTTAGGCCAGGCACGGTGACTCACACCTGTAATCCTAGCACTTTGGGAAGCCAAGGTGGGCAGATCCCTTGAGTCCAGGAGTTCAATAAATACTTTTAACCATGTTATTTTATGTTAAAAAACATGAACATACTGTGTATTTGGTGCTTCTCTTATACTTACTCTTTCCTTCTATTCTACCCAATAAGTTTTAAAATTCATTTTCTTCCTCTATTGCATTATTATAGAAATTCTACACCCTATTTCTGGATTATCTTATAATTTTAACATACATAAACAAATTAAAGTATAAAGATTATTTATACTTTTCACTACTTTCAAGCTATACAAATGCCTTTAAATACTTTAACTCAGATCACCCCCATCTTCTAGGGTATTGTGAAATAATTAGTTACCTTGATTTTGACTTTTACTTCGTTAATTAAATATGATTATTTCATTATTTATTTCAGTATGAATATTTGCATTTACTTGCCCACATGTTTACTAATTTATTTGATTATCATTTCTTCTTGTAGCTCAGCTATTTCTTCTGAAATTATTTTCTTTCTGCCTTAAGAATATCCTTTGGAATTTCTTTTATAAGGGTCTGTTACAAATATTAATAAGTTCTATTTTTTATTGACTGACATTTTATTTCCCCCTCATTTAACTAACTACACAATTTTAGATTGATAGCTTGTGTGTGTGTGTGAGTGTATATATATATATATTATATATATGCTTCTCAGAACTGGAAAATATTATATAAATATTATTCACTTTGTGTTGTCATTGATAAAAAATCAACTCTCAGTTGTCAGTTATGTATAAGAAATCTTCCTTTTACTCCAGCCGCATTTAATACCTTTTCTGGTATTTATTTTGTTCTGAAATTTCACCTTAATATGTCAAGATGTGGATTTTTTTTTCTTAGTTTTCCCGGGATTCATTTTACTTGTTGAAACTGAGGATTTACACTTTTCATAAATACTGATTCACTCATTCGCAATTAATTCAACAGATATTGCCTTTCCCTCATTCTTCTATTCTCTGCTTATGCAATTGTAAATATACTAAGAAAAAGAAAACTTCTCCTGTCCTCCATGTCTCTTAATCTCTCTGTCGTATTTTGTTTTATTTTTCTTTCTTTTTTTTTTTTTCTGAGAGAGTATCTCATCCTATCACCCAGGCTAGAGTGCAGTGGTGTGATCACAGCTCACTGCAGCCTCCACCTGCCAGGCTCAAGCAATCCTCCCACTTCAGCCTCCTAAGTAGCTGGGGACCACAGGCATGTGCCACCAGGCCCAGCTAATTTTTTTTTTTTTTTTTTTTTTGAGACCGAGTCTTGCTCTGTCGCCCAGGCTGGAGTGCAGTGGCGCAATCTCAGATGACTGCAACTTTCACTTCCCAGGTTCAAGCAATTCTCCTGCCTCCGCCTCCAGAGTGGGTGGGACTACAGGCACCTACAACAATGCCCAGCTAATTTTCTGTATTTTAGTAGAGACAGGGTTTCACCGTGTTGCCCAGGCCGTTCTCAAACTCCTGAGCTCAGGCAATCTGCCTGCCTCAGCCTTCCAAAGTGCTAGGATTACAGGTGTGTGCCAGCACGCCCTGTCAATTTTTTTTTTTTTTTTTTTACTTTAAGTTGAGGGATACATGTGCAGAATATGTAAGTTTGTTACATAGGTATAGGTGTGCCATGGTGGTTTGCTGCACCTATCAATCTGTCATCTAGGTTTTAAACCCCACATTCATTAGCTATTTGTCCTGATGCTCTCCCTCTCCTTGCCCCTACCCCTCACAGGTCCCAGTGTGTGTTGTTCCCCTCCCTAAGTCCATGTATTCTCATTGTTCAACTCCCACTGATGAATGAGAACATGCAGTGTTTGGTTTTCTGTTCCTGTGTTAGTTTGCTAAGGATGATGGCTTCCAGCTTCATCCATGTCCCTGCAAAGGACATGATCTCATCACTCTTTGTGGCTGCATAGTATTCCATGGTGTATATATACCACATTTTCTTTATCCAGTCTATCATTGATGTGCACTTTGATTGGATCCATGTCTTTGCCATTGTGAATAGTGCTGCAGTAAGCATATGTGTGCATATATCTTTATAATATAATGATTTATATCTCTTTGGGTGTATCCCCAGTAATGGGATTGCTGGGTCAAATGGTATTTCTGGTTCTAGATCCTTGAGGAATTGTCATACTATCTTCCACAATGGTTGAAGTAATTGACATTCCTACCAACAATGTAAAAAGCATTCCTATTTCTCCACAGCCTCTCCAGCATCTATTGTTTCTTGACTTTTTAATAATCATCATTCTGACTGGTGTGAGATAGTATCTCATTGTGGTTTTGATTTGCATTTCTCTAATGATCAGTGATGTTGAGCTTTTTTTTTATAAGTTTGTTGGCTACATAAATCTCTTCTTTTGAGAAGTGTCTGTTCATATCCTTTGCCCACATTTTGATGGGGTTGTTTTTTTCTTGTAAATTTGTTTAAGCTCCTTGTAGATTCTGGATATTAGACCTTTGTCAGATGGGTATATTGCAAAATTTTTCTCCCATTCCGTAAACTGCCTGATCACTCTGATGATAGTTTATTTTCCTGTGCAGAGCTCTTTATTTAATTGGATTCCATTTGTCAATTTTAGCTTTTGTTGCAATTGCTTTTGGTTATTTTAACATAAAAATTTTGCCCATGCCTATGTCCTGCTGTATTAAAGAGACCCATCTCATGTGCAAAGACACATATAGGCTCAAAATAAAGAAATGCAGGAAAATTTACCAACCAAATGGAAAGCAGAAAAAAAGCAGGGGTTGCAATCCCAGTCTCTGACAAAACAGACCTTAAACCAACAAAGATAAAAAAAGACAAAGAAGAACATTACAGAATGGTAAAGGGATCAATTCAACAAAAAGAGCTAACTATCCTAAATATATATGCAATCAATACAGGAGCACTCAGATTTAAAAAACAAGTTCTTAGAGACCTACAAAGAGACTTAGACTCTAACACAGTAGTAGTAGGAGACTTTAACACCCCACTGTCAATATTAGACAGATCAATGACACAGAAAATTAACAAGGATATTCAGGACGTGAACTCAGCTCTGGATCAAGTCGACCTAATAGATATCTACAGATCTCCACATGCCAAAACAACAGAATATACATTCTTCTCAGTGCCACATGGCACTAAATTACACTAAAATTGACCACATAATTTGGAAGTAAAACACTCCTCAGCAAATGAAAAAGAACTGAAATTATAACAAACAGTCTCTCAGACCACAGTGCAATCAAATTAGAACTCAGGATTAAGAAACTCACTCAAAATCACACACCTACAGGGAAATTGAAAAACCTGCTCCTGAATGACTCCTGGGTAAATAATGAAATTAAGGCAGAAATCAAGTTCTTTGAAACCAATGAGAACAAAGAGACACCATACCAGAATCTCTGGGATGCAGCTAAAGCAGTGTTGAGAGGGAAATTTATAGCACTAAAATGCCCACATCAGAAAGTTAGAAAGATCTCAAATCGACACCCTAACATTGCAATTAAAAGAACTAGAGAAGCAAGAGCAAACAAATTCAAAATCTAGCAGAAGACAAGAAGTAATTAAGATCAGAGTGGAACTGAAGGAGGTAGAGACACGAAAAACCCTTCAAAAAATTAAAGAATCCAGGAGCTGGTTTTTTGAAAAAATTAATAAAATAGATAGACCACTTGTTAGACTAATGAAGAAGAAAAGAGAGAAGAATCAAGTAGACACAATTAAAAATGATAAAGGAGATATCACCACTGACCCCACAGAAATACAAACTACCATCAGAGAATACTATAAACATCTCTATGCAAATAAACTAGAAAATCTAGAAGAAACGGACAAATTCCTGGACACATACACCCTCCAAAGACTAAACTAGGAAGAATTTGAATCCCTGAATAGACCAATAACAAGTTATGAAATTGAGACAGTAATAAATAGCTTACCAACCAAGTAAAGCCGAGGACCAGATGGATTCACAGCCACATTCTACCAGAGGTACAAAGAGGAGCCGGTACCATTCCTTCTGAAAGTATTCCAAACAATTGAAAAGGAGAGACTCCTCCCTAACTCATTTTATGAGGCCAGCATTATCCTGATACCAAAACCTGGCAGAGACACAACAAAAAAAGAAAACTTCAGGCCAATATCCCTTATGAACATCAATGCAAAAATCCTCAATAAAATACTGGCAAACCAAATCCAGCAGCACATTCAAAAGCTTATCTGTCATGATCAAGATAGCTTCATCCCTGGAATGCAAGGCTGGTTCAACACACGCAAATCAATAAGTGTAATCCATCACATAAACGCAACCAAAAGCAAAAACCATATGATTATCTCAATAGATACAGAAAAGGCTTTTGATAAAATTCAGCATCCCTTCATGTTAAAAACTCTCAATAAACTAGGTATTTCTGGAACATATCTCAAAATAATAAGAGCTATTTATGACAAACCCACAGCCAGTGTCACACTGAATGGGCAAAAGCTGGAAGCATTTCCTTTAAAAACTAGCACCTGACAAGGAAGCCCTGTCTCACCACTCCTATTCAACATAGTACTGGAAGTTCTGGCCAGAGCAATCAGGCAGGAGAAAGAAATACAGGGTATTCAAATAGCAACAGAGGAAGTCAAATTGTCTCTGCAGATGAAATGATCCTATATTTAGAAAACTCCATTGTCTTAGGCAAAAGTTTCCTTAAGCTGATAACTTTTTTTATTTTTAGTAGAAACAGAGTGTTGCTATGTTGTCCAAGCTATCTCTGTCATATTTTCCATTTTTCTTTCTGTACTGTATTCTGATTTATTCCTTCATATTTATCTTCCAATCTATTAATTCTGTCTTCAATTATGGCTGATCTTCTATTTAACGAATCCTCTAGGTTTTCAATTTTAACTATTTATTTTATTTTTAGAAATTTGATTTATTTTTTCAAATATACCTAGTTACTGTAGTAGACTTCTGTTTCTTTCTCATGTGTATGATTCTATTATTTCTGTTAATATTTTAAACATGCTGATTTTATATTCAGTCTCTAATTATTCCAATGTTTGTGTCCCTGGATGTCTATTTGTCTGGTGATTGTTTCTGCTGAGTCTCACTCCTGGAAGCTTGCTTTCTATTGTGTGTGGTGATTTTATATCATTAGCTCATATTTGGCCAGTCTCTGTTTATGGAAATCCTGAGGATGTGGTTTAATAGAAAATTCTTCCAGGAAGATTTGTTTTTCCTTACGTTACATAAAACAGTATGCTACTAACCTGTGTAAAGGTATCTTCTCTGACTAGGTATTATCAGAGGAGATTTTATCCCTGTGTAGGATTCAAGCCAGAGAGACCCATTGTTTTTCTGGCCTACCCTTCACTGAAGATCTTTCACAGTTCTCGTTTTATGTAGCTGCTTCCATTACAATCCCCATCTCGTATATGATCAAGGATTTGTTCTGGTTCATTGAAGAGGCATTAAAACTTCAGCATTTAGGCCTCTCTGAACAGCAAATGTCCTCCAAGATATTTAAAGCTTCAGTGCTGGCTTATTACTCTGGTTTTTGTTTCCATCATTTTGAGACTACTAAAGATTTTCCTTAACTTCTAGGAAGCTCAGCTATACCTGTTACTGATAATTTATCCCTAATTTTTTGACATTTTGTAGTGAGAAAAAGTGTAGAGCAGAGAGTTTGCAATATTTATCAGAAGCAGAAGATTTAAAAATTTCTACCTTATTAGGTTGCATCAAGATTAAATAAAAAAGTCAACTAAAGAATTTAGTAGAGTTATTTGCATCATGTACTCAACAAATGTTAGTAAAATAAAAATCTTTTTTTTATTACTATGCTTTAAGTTCTAGGGTACATGTGCACAATGTGCAGGTTTGTTACATAGGTATACATGTGCCATATTGGTTTGCTGGACCCATTAACTCATCATTTACATTAGGTATTTCTCCTAATGCTATCCCTCCCCCTGCTCACCACCCCACGACAGGCCCCCGTGTGTGATGTTCCCCGCCCTGTGTCCAAATGTTCTCATTGTTCAATTCCCACCTATGACTGGGAACATGCAGTGTTTGGTTTTCTGTCATTGTGGTAGTTTGCTCAGAATGATGTTTCCAGCTTCATCCATGTCCCTGCAGAGGACATGAACTCATATTTTTTATGGCTGCATAGTATTCCATGGTGTATATGTGCCACATTTTCTTAATCCAGTCTATTATTGATGGACATTTGGGTTGGTTCCAAGTTTTTGCTATTGTGAGTAGTGCTGCAATAAACATACATATGTGTTTGTCTTTATAGTAGAATGATTTATAATCCTTTAGGTATATACCCAGTAATGGGATAACTGGCTCAATGGTATTTCTAACTCTAGATCCTTGAGGAATCACCACACTGTCCTCCACAATGGCTGAACTAGTTTACACTCCCACAAACAGTGTAAAAGTGTTCCTATTTCTCCACATCCTCTCCGGCATCTGTTGTTTCCTGACTTTTTAATGATCGCCATTCTAACCGGTGTGAGATGGTATCTCATTGTGGTTTTGATTTGCATTTCTCTGATGACCAGTGATGATGAGCATTTTTTCATGTGTCTGTTGGCTGCATAAATGTCTTCTTTTGAGAAGTGTCTGTTCATATCCTTTGCCCACTTTTTGATGGAGTTGATTTTTTTTCTTGTAAATTTGTTTAAGTTCTTTGTAGATTCTGGATATTAGCCCTGTGTCAGATGGGTAGATTGCAAAATTTTTCTCCCATGCTGTAGGTGATCTGTTCAGTCTGACAGTAGTTTCTTTTGCTGTGCAGAAGCTCTTTAGTTTAATTAGATCTCATTTTTCTATTTTGGCTTTTGTTTCCATTGCTTTTGGTGTTTTGGTCATGAAGTCCTCGCCCTTGCCTATGTCCTGAATTGTATTGCCTAGGTTTTCTTCTAGGGTTTTTGTGGTTTTAGGTCTAAGATTTAGGTCTTTAATCCATCTTGAATTAATTTTTATATAAGGTGTAAGGAAGGGATCCAGTTTCAGCTTTCTACATATGGCTAGCCAGTTTTCACAGCGCCATTTATTAAATAGGGAATCCTTTCCCCATTGCTTGTTTTTCTCAGGTTTGTCAAAGATCAGGTGGTTGTAGATGTGTGGTGTTATTTCTGGGGCCTCTGTTCTGTTCCATTGGTGTATATATCTGTTTTGGTACCAGTACCATGCTGTTTTGGTTACTATAACCTTGTAGTATAGTTTAAAGTCAGGTAGTGTGATGCCTCCAGCTTTGTTCTTTTGGCTTAGGGTTGTCTTGGTAATGTGGGCTCTTTTTTGGTTCCATATGAACTTTCAAGTAGTTTTTCCCAATTCTGTGAAGAAAGTCATTGGTAGATTGATGGGGATGGCATTGAATCTATAAATTACCTTGGGCAGTATGGCCAATTTCATGATATTAATTCTTCCTATCCATGAGCATGGAATGTTCTTCCATTTGTTTGTATCCTCTTTTATGTTATTGAGCAGTGGTTTGTAGTTCCCCTTGAAGAAATTTTTCACATCCCTTGTAAGTTGGATTTCTAGGTATTTTATTCTCTTTCTAGCAATTGTGAATGGGAGTTTACTCATGATTTGGCTCTCTGTTTGTCTGTTATTGGTGTATAGCAATGTTTGTGATTTTTGCACCTTGATTTTGTATCCTGAGATTTTGCTGAAGTTGCTTACCAGCTTAAGGAGATTTTGGGCTGAGATGGTGGGGTTCTCTAAATATGCAATCCTGTCATCTACAAATAGGGACAATTTGACTTCCTTTTTTCCTAATTGAATACCCTTTATTTCTTTCTCTTGCCAGATCACCCTGGCCAGAACTTCCAACACTACATTGAATAGGAGTGGTGAGAGAGGGCATCCCTGTCTTGTTCCAGTTTTCAAAAGGAATGCTTCCAGTTTTTGCCCATTCAGTATGATATTGCTGTAGGTTTGTCATAAATAGTTCTTATTATTTTGAGATATGTTCCATCAATACCTAGTTTACTGAGAGTTTTTAGCATGAAGTGCTGTTGAATTGTATCTGCATCTATTGAGATAATCATGTGGTTTTTGTCATTGGTTTTGTTTATGTGATGGATTACATTTATTGATTTGTGTATGTTGAACCAGCCTTACATCCCAAGGATGAAGCCCACTTGATTGTGGTGGATAAGCTTTTTGATGTGCTGCTGGATTCGGTTTGCCAGTATTTTATTGAGGATTTTTGCCTCAATGCTCATCAGGGATATTGGTCTAAAATTATCTTTTTTGTTGTTGTGTCTCTGCCAGGCTTTGGTATCAGGATGATGCTGGCCTCAAAATGAGTTAGGGAGGATTCCCTCTTTTTCTATAGATTGGAATCGTTTCAGAAGGAATGGTACCAGCTCCTCTTTGTACCTCTGGTAGAATTCGGCTGTGAATTCATCTGGTCCTGGACTTTTTTTGGTTGGTAGGCTATTAATTATTGCCTCAATTTCAGAACCTGTTGTTGGTCTATTCAGAGATTCACCTTCCTAGTTTAGACTTGGGAGAGTGTATGTGTCCAGGAATTTATCCATTTCTTCTGGATTTTCTAGTTTATTTGCGTAGAGGTATTTATAGTATTCTCTGATGGTAGTTCGTATTTCTGTGTGATCAGTGGAGATATCCCCTTTATCATTTTTTATTGCATCTATTTGATTCTTCTCTCTTTTCTTCTTTACTAGTCTTGCTGGTGGTCTATCTATTTGTTGATCTTTAAAAAAAAACAGCTCCTGGATTTATTGATTTTCTGAAGGGATTTTGTATCTCTATCTCCTTCAGTTCTGCTCTGATCTTAGTTATTTCTTGCCTTCTGCTAGCTTTTGAATTTGTTTGCCTTTGCTTCTCTAGTTCTTTTAATTGTGATGTTAGGGTGTTGATTTTAGATCTTTCGTGCTTTCTCTTGTGGGCATTTAGTGCTGTAAATTTCCCTCCACACACTGCTTTAAATGTGTCCCAGAGATTCTGGTACGTTGTGTCTTGGTTCAAAGAACATCTTTATTTCTGCCTTCATTTCGTTATTTAGCCAGGAGTCATTCAGGAGCAGGTTGTTCAGTTTCCATGTAGTTGTGAGATTTTGAGTGAGTTTCTTAATTCTGAGTTCTAATTTGATTGTACTGTGGTCTGAGAGACAGTTTGTTGTGATTTCTGCTCTTTTACATTTGCTAAGGAGTGCTTTACTTCCAATTATGTGGTCAATTTTGGATTAAGTGCAATGAGTGAGATGCTGAGAAGAATGTATATTATTTTGATTTGGGGTGGAGAGTTCTGTAGATGTCTATTAGGTCCGCTTGGTGCAGAGCTGAGTTCAAATCCTGGATATCCTTGTTAACCTTCTGTCACTTTGATCTGCCTAATATTGACAATGGGGTGATAAAGTCTCCCATTATTATTGTGTGGGAGTGTAAGTCTCTTTGTAGGTCTCTAAGAGCTTGCTTTATGAATCTGGATGCTCCTGTATTGGGTGCAGATATATTTAGGACAGTTAGCTCCTCTTGATGAATTGATCACTTTACCATTACATAATGGCCTTCTTTGTCTCTTTTGATCTTTGTTGGTTTAAAGTCTGTTTTATCAGAGACTAGGATTGCAACCCCTGCTTTATTTTTTGCTTTCCATTTGCTTGGTAGATCTTCCTCCATCTCTTTATTTTGAGCCTATGTGTGTCTACATGTGAGATGGGTCTCCTGAATCCTGACAGGTCTTGACTCTTTATCCAGTTTGCCAGCCTGTGTCTCTTAGTTGGGGCATTTAGCCCATTGACATTTAAGGTTAATATTGTTATGTGTGAATTCGATCCTGTCATTATGATGTTAGCTGATTATTTTGCCTGTTAGTTGATTCAGTTTCTTCCTAGCATCGATGGTCTTTATAATTTGGCATGTTTTTGCAGGGGCTGGTACCGGTTGTTCTTTTCCATGTTTAGTGCTTCCTTCAGGAGCCCTTGTAAGGCAGGCCTGATGGTGACAAAATCTCTCAGCATTTGCTTGTCTGTCAAGGATTTTATTTCTCCTTTACTTATGAAGCTTAGTTTGGCTAGATATGAAATTCTGGGTTGGTAATTCTTTTCTTTAAGAATGTTGAATATTGGCCCCCACTCTCTTCTAGCTTGTAGAGTTTCTGACAAGAGATCTGCTGTCAGTTTGATGGGCTTCCCTTTGTGGGTAACCTGACCTTTCTCTATGGCTGCCCTTAACATTTTTTCCTTCATTTCAACCTTGGTGAATCTGGCAGTTATGTGTCTTGCAGTTGCTCTTCTTGAGGAGTATCTTTATGGTGTTCTCTGTATTTCCTGAATTTGAATGTTGGCTTTCCTTGCTAGGTTGGGGAAGTTCTCCTGGATAATATCCTGAAGAGTGTTTTCCAAGTTGGCTCCATTCTCCCTGTCATTTTCAGGTACACCAATCAAACACAGATTTGGTCTTTTCACATAGTCCTATATTTCTTGGAGGCTTTGTTCATTTCTTTGTACTCTTTTTTCTCTAAACTTCTCCTCTCACTTTATTTCATTAATTTGATCTTCAATCACGGATACCCTTTCTTCCACTTCATTGAATCAGCTATTGAAGCTTGTGCATGTGTCACTAGTTCTCGTGCCATGGTTTTCAGCTCTATCAGGTCATTTAAGGTCTTCTCTACACTGTTTATTCTAATTAGCCATTCATCTAATCTTTTTTCAAGGTTTTTAGCTTCCTTGCGATGGGGTCAAACACCCTCCTTTAGCTCGAAGAAGTTTGTTATTACCAACCTTCTGAAGCCTACTTCTGTCAGCTCATCAAAGTCATTCTCCAACCAGCTTTGTTCCATTGCTGGAGAGGAGCTGCAATCCTTTAGAGGAGAAGAGGTGCTCTGTTTTTTAGAATTTTCAGCTTTTCTGCTCTGGTTTCTCCCCATCTTTGTGGTTTTATCTTCCTTTGATCTTTGATGCTGGTGACCTACAGGTGGCATTTTGGTTTGGATGTCCTTTTTGTTGACGTTGATGCTATTCCTTTCTGTTTGTTAGTTTTCCTTCTAAGAGTCAGGTCCCTCAGCTACAGGTCTGTTGGAGTTTGTTGGAGGTCCACTCCAGACCCTGTTTGCCCGGGTATCACCAGCAGAGGCTGCAGAACAGCAAATATTGCAGAACAGCAAATATTGCTGCCTGATCCTTCCCCTGGAAGCTTTGTCCCAGAGGGGCACCCGCCTTTATGAGGTGGCAGTCAGCCCCTATTGGGAGGTGTCTCCCATTTAGGCTACATGGGGGTCAGGGACCCATGTAAGGAGGCAGTCTGTTCGTTCTCAGCGCTCAAACACCATGCTGAGAGAACCACTGCTCTCTTCAGAGCTATCAGACAGGGACGTTTAAGTCTGCAGAAGTTTCTGCTGCCTTTTATTCAGGTATGCCCTGCCCCCAGAGGTGGAGTCTACAGAGGCAGCAGGCCTCGCAGAGCTGTAGTGGGTTCTGCCCAGTTCGAGCTTCCCAGGCCACTTTACCTACTCAAGCCTTAGCAATGGTGGACGCCCCTCCCCCTGCCAGGCTGCTGCCTTGCAGTTCAATCTTGTGCTGCACTAGCAGTGAGCAAGGCTCCATGGGCATGGGACCTGCTGAGCCATGTGTGGGATATAATCTCCTGGTGTGCCGTTTGCTAAGACCATTGGAAAATCGCAGTTTTTTGGGTGGGAGTGTCCCGATTTTCCAAGTATAGTCTGTCATGGCTTCCCTTGGCTAGGAAAGGGAAATCCCATGACCCCTTGTGCTTCCCAAGTGAGACGATGCCTGCCCTGGGTCAGCTCGCCCTCCATGGTCTGTACCCACTGTCCAACCAGTCCCAGTGAGATGAACCAGGTACCTCAGTTGGAAATGCAGAAATCACCGTCTTCTGTGTCAATCATGCTGGGAGCTGCAGACTGGAGCTGTTCCTATTCGACCATCTTGGAACTGGAAACTTGTAAAATAAAAATCTTAATTAGATTTGCACAATATTTTCTGTATTGGGCTATCTTTATCATTTCCATTTATGTGAAATATATTTGTTCTCCAAGAAGAAAATACATGTCTACTCTTCTGCATACATAGTAGTTATAATTTTTTGTTTGATATACAAACAGTTTTATATACATTAACATTTTTAGGATAAAACTGTGATATAGGGAAATTATGATAAATCATATTATTTGAGTTTATAATCAATGACTTAGAAATTATACAGAAAAGCACCTCTTCGAACTAAAATTAGTCAAAAATTGCTGTTAATATTTTATCAAAGATAATTTCTTATTGGAAATTATTCAATAACTAACATTTTGAAAAATTGTTTGCAGCTTGTCACTTGCAGTTTGTATCCATTTTTAAAGTTGATGATATCCATTTTCTAAAATTGTTTTATTCTTAATTTCCAATGCCACCTTGAAAACTAAAAACAAATAAATAGCATCTTTAAGCATGAACCACACCTTTAAATACTTTTTACTGTGAATGGGAAGTTGTTATTCCAGGCCCATCACTTACTGGGAAATAAAACAAGAACAATGAGTTTCCAAAGATATAAGCGTTCATCCTGTCACAAAGAAAGTGAGATGACTGTGCCGGAGTATCTGATTGTCACTAAATACAGTATTGATATAGTTTTAATGCCAAACACAATGATGTCAACTTTTTCTATAAGAAATCTAAAATTGAAATTTGCCTCTAGACTATCTCTTTGTTTTGGCTTAATTTTAGATTTTGCAGTTTTTTCAAATTGTTTGGGAAACACAGCTGGGATTATTAATATTCTGAGGTTTTCTAATTGAAGGAGATGACTGTCATTGTGTGAAGTTCTGAATTTCATTCTTTGGACATCATAGACAACCGCTCTAACTTCAGTAGAAAGAATTTGAATTAAATGCTAGCATTTGGGGATTAAATATTTTGGCTTCTGGCTCATGACTTGCATAATGTAATAACAGTTGTAGCCAGCATGATTGAGTGTTTATTTACATGCCTGGCACTATGCAAAGCCCTTTCTGTGTATTATCATATTTAATCTTCACAGCAGCTTAGGCATATTCAAGTTTTCAAATTAATAAATAGAGGCTTGGAAAGGCCGTTTGCTTGTTTGTTTCTTAAATGCTGGAATACATTGAGAAAATAGAATTTTCAACCCTGGAAAACTACTTCATACATGTAGCTACATTGCAGCTGTTGCTCATTCATTCAACACAACCAGCTAATGAGAAGGTGTTGCTCAGCAGTAGACAAGCAGAGAGGGAGGGCAATCCAGCTGGCTTTCTATATCCTGGGGAACTGGATTTGCAGAGGATTAGAATCTGAGGATGCTCATGTCTTTTATATATAGATGTCAAAAGTACAAACTCCAACTCCTAAAAACATGCACATAGGGCCACCTGGATAATTTTTAGTCATTATGTTTTTAAAAAGTAGCCCCTGGTCCCCTAGTTGGATCCTGGCAATAACCTGGATTACCTGCATCACAACTTCCTCAACATTCCCTCTCTGAATTTCTGTTGAAACGGCAGATATTTAAAGACAGTAATGGGCTGCAGAACTTTTCTCTACCTAATATATTCAACTTGCACAAAAGAAAACTGCATCCTCACAGTTAAATGATGTGCCCTAGATCACATAATGTGTGTCTCACATTAGCTTGACTGCATTTTAGCCTAATGCATCAAGACACTTGGCAATACTGTCCAGGTTTCAGATTAAAGTGCCCAGCTCCAGTTGAAAATACTCAAAGAACTTGAAACAGACCAAATAATTACAAGATTGTGTTCAAGAATCTATTTATTTCCATCCTTCACCCCTTCTTTCACTCATTTATTCAACAAGCACTTCTTATATGTGTACTATTAGCCAGGCAGTATGCCCTCCATTAAGACTACAAAGATGGGAAGACAAAGTATCTGCCGTAACTCATTGACTGAAGTATGTTCCAGAACCAGACTAGGGGAGGCTTCATCAGGAATGGGGATTATTCTTGCCCAGTCAATCACTGTTTCCGTCAAACTGATATGTTTATTAAGTATTTATAACTTTTTCCAGGCTTTTGGTGCATGAACAAAACATAGAAGTATCCCTGCACTCAAGGAGCATATGTTGAAATTGATTAAGACAAACTATAAATAAGTAAACCAATGAATAAATAAGTGAGGTAAGTTCAGGTGCTGATCATGCTGTAAGGAAGATAGAAATGAGAAAACATGATGGAGAGGCTGGAGGGGTCTACTCTTGTGAAAGTGGTGAAGGGAACCTTCTCTGGGGAAAAGAGATTTAAGTTGAGACCCAACTCATATAAAGAAGACAGCCATTCAAATATCTAATTGGTGGTATGCCGCAATGACACAGTGATCATCTTAGACTTTGAGCCAGCAGGGCAGAGCCTAGGGTAGTCAAAGCACCATACTAGTAGCTTCTAGTGATCAGTAACTTCCCCTCTTCACCTTAGTGTGTCGTACAAACATTTCTGTTTTCTGTGTGTTCCATGACATGAAAAGCATTGCAAAGCACTGCTTTAGTTGAAGAGACAATTCAAGCAGACAGAAAGCAAATAAGATCAAGACTGGAATGTTGGGTAAGAGCAAGAGTATAGTGCACAACAGAGAAATTAGCAGAGAATGAGGTCAGAGAGTCAGCAGGAGCCAGGTCATATGGACCTCATTGCTTAGGGATGCGTGGATGAATACATGAGTGAAAGGTAGAAGGACATAAAAGTTATATTTCTCTAATTCCCAAAAAGAATTCAATACATTTCTATGTTAAAGCACACATCAAACAGGTTATCAGAATACAGATTAAAAAGAAGTATTGAAAATAATATGAAGAGTGGAGAGAGAAAATTTTATCTGAATCCTCGTGTGTGTTTCTATAATCAAGCACTAAAATTAACATTGAGTTTCCTAATGGCCAAAGTCTAAAATAAAACACCATGGACCATATAATTTTCTTTGTCTAGATAAAGGAAAAAAGAAATTGCAGCAGGAGATATAGGCTTTTTCTTGATACCAAAAATGGAAGAAATGTATTGCAAGGCTCATTACCAAGTAATTTAGTAAATTACATATTTCCTGCCATTTGCATAAGTTCAGAAATATTTTTCAAATGTCATTTTATTAAAGCTAAAGTTTTATCACAGTGAAGGCCTTTCATCAGAAACTATCTGGTACATACATCCATGTACTTTGTTTTCTGGTGATGAAAACTTACCAAATTTGAATAAACTTACTTTCTAGACCTTACCACGTATTCATGCCTTAACGTCATTGCTTATAGTTCTCTTAGCCTGATATATGTATCCCTATCTTTTCTAACAAAGAAAATCCTACCTGAAAGCAATGCCTAAACCCAATTCCTTACACAGTGGTTCTCCCATTAGAAGTTCCCCTAGGAAGTTTCTAAATAGACAAGTACGGCTAGGCGCAGTGGCTCATGCCTGTAATCCCAGCACTTTGGGAGGCCGAGGCAGACGGATCACCTGAGGTCGGGAGTTCAACACCAGCCTGACCAACATGGAGAAACCCTGTCTCTACTAAAAATACAAAAATTAGCCAGGCGTGGTGGTGCATGCCTGTAATCCCAGCTACTTGGGAGGCTGAGGCAGGAGACTCGCTTGAACCTGGGAAGCGGAGATTGTGGTGAGCTGAGATCGGGCCATTGCACTCCAGCCTGGGCAACAAAAGCAAAACTCCATCTCAAAATAATAATAATAAATAGACAAGTACTACCCCATACCAACTGAATCAGAATTTCTAAAGAATATGGCCCAGGGATTTACTAAGCTCTCCAGGTAATTCTAATGAGTAAACATGTTTAGGAACTTCCAAACTAGGTTAGTGCTAACTCCTATTTACAGTTGGCTCCAAATACAATGCTGAGCTTCACCTTTGCTGTTTGGGTTGGATGAGTTTCCCTTCTGAAAGGCAATGAAAAGTTAACCAACCAACTGCAACAGAATATGCCACAAACAAGAAAGTCTTTGTGGTCATCTACCATGTAAAGTAAATGAGTTATTTCCTCCTTGACCTTGTATTTAATGAGAAACACTGCATAGCAAATCTGCTTTGATCCTGGCTTCACTCAAAATCCATATAGAAATAGACATTTCAGTGAGTCCTTTCCACCTTCTCATTGAGAAAAAAGGAGAAAACTATAGAAAACTTGTACAATGGAACAAATTAATGTGGCTTTCAAACCTGACTGTGCATAAAAATCACTTGATGAGCTTGGTAAAAATGCAGACTCCCAGGCCTCAACTTCCAGTGACTTTGAGTGAGTAGTTCTAGGGTGGATCAAGGATGTGTCTATTTATCAAGCCTCCTACATGATTCTGAGACCAGTGGCCCACCAGCCAATGGAAAATAGGAGTTTATGAAAAGCTGCCCCTTTTTTTGTATGTAACATATAAAAGTTCCTTTTTGATCCTCATACAAATGCAAGGGCCCTTTGACCACTTTGGAGAGAAAATAGAATTAAGAAAATATATGTTTGCAGGCAAATTTCAAAGATCACAGCAGAGTCATGACAGCTGAAGGAAAAGGACAGCAACTGAAGACAGCTGGAGAGCTGAGGGCTCTGGCATTAGAAAGGTACTCAGGCAAGGCTGCCAGATCTGGGCTGGAGTAAAGAAATGTGCTGTCAACCAGAGCAGATTCTCTGTTGTTAGCTTGCTGGAGAATAATACCACAGCTGCTCTCCTGGAAGTCAGATGTAATAATCCTGCCCTTCCTAGATGCAAGCTCTTCTAATCAAGCTGTGAAAAATATACTAACTTTGGTCTGCTATTGTGGGCCAAAGTCTAATTTGGTCGTATCCTGGGGCTTCAATTCTCACATCCCTATCAGAAACGAACTGCTTCAAGTTTAGGAAATGAGAGCCACAGGAAGTTCACTTAGAAGCACACACTGGCCTCTCTGCGAGGCAGAGAAAGGGGGAGATACCAGTAGCCTGCTTCTCTAGTAAAGCCATACAATAGGCTGTGGATTTCCAACACCCACTTCTCCACTGGAGTTAAGAAAAAGCCACTAAGTGTAATAAATCATAGGAGTGTCAAATACACAATAACCATTTATTCTTTCATTCATTACCTCATTCGTTTGTACATCATTCATTCTTTCATTCCAAAAATATTTTAAAACACCATAGTGGTTTTGCTTAGCTTTCTCAAAAGCAAAATCTAAGACAAAGAATTGGATGCAATTAGTGTCTTTGAGAGGTGATCTCAAGGAGCAGGAGTGAGGGATTGGAGACAGAATGAAAGGAATGAAAGAAAGCCAATGAACATAAGAGTATACTATTGAGGACATCACTGTGAACAAAAGGGAGTCAATGCTGCTGGGACTCTGAGGGAAGCATCAGATTCTTCCCTGGAATTATCTCCCTAAAGGCTGGGAGGAAGGAGCAATTATCTGAGGGCTTCAGTCACCCAGTGGTGGAAAGTTAACCTGTGTCTGCTAACTTCTTCCACTCTACTAAGTTCCAAATGTATGTAGGCTAAGGAAGCCAGGACCTACCCCACCAAATCCCATTTCCAGTGCCTAACCTACCCCAGAGAAGTCCAAGACAGGAAGCAAGAGGCTGTCAGCTGAAGGGAGTTGAAGCCTGTATAGGCTTCTTTTCCCTAATGAAGCTAAACTCAGAGAGGAGGCCAAGGGGATGCTAGTTGGTGCTTTGCATGTGTCTGGTATGATGTCAGGCTCTTACTAAGCCAGAAAGATGAATAAGTCTTGCTCTCTGCCCTCTAAGAGTTCGTGGCCTTGTAAGGGAGAGAAACATAAAGAAAAAGTAACATTCAATATAAAAACTGCTACAGAAATCATATCCAGACAGCTTTAGCAGGAAAAGGAGAAGAAAAACTTAGTTGGTAGCGGGGAGGTTTGGAGAAAGGAAAGGCACACTGGAAAAGGGAGAGTTGGGAGAGCTTCATCAAAATGTAAGCTGACACTCGGAGGATGAATCTTCTATGTGAGCAAAAGAACAATAAAAGAAATGTGTGTTCATATAGAAGAGCAAGGTACATTCTGGAAGTGGTATTGAGTAAAGTATGGCTGAACATGGCATTTATGTGAAAGAAGCAGAGGAACTAAGGCTAGACACATCTTTCACCCTAAAGGCATAGGGAGGGCCATTGAAGTTTAAGCAGTAGAGTGACTCAAGGGAGTTGTCTCCATTCTTGGTGAGCTTTCAGGAAAGATCACAGAACTGTAATTCCTGGAGATTTGTTCATTCAAAAAACATCTGCAATGAAGAACATATTATGCACCAGGGACTCTACCATGTGCTGAGCACACACTGGCAAATATGGTCCTTATCATCAAGTAGCTCAGTGTTTGGTAGTGGGAGAGAGAGAACTTTTATAATAGAGTACAATCAATACTACTCTATGTCTCAGTGCAGGCAGCTATGGGAGCACATGGGAAGGGCCCCTCATCCAGGCTTTTGGGACCCCGAAAACTTTCTGGGTAATTAGCAGTGTTCATATATCAAAAGTTAGAGGGCTAGATTGCCTGGCTTATGGCATTCCAAGAAAATATGCCTAAGGAGGCAGTGTCTCTGGGGAAAAAATAAAAAGCAACACAAAAGAAATGATGGTAGTATAGTGAGACAGTATCCAAGTACAATGCTTGTGGTCAAGAATATTTCCCTCCACCCCTACCTGAGATATTCTGTCTCATCATCTCACCTGGCAGCTAACTCAGCCTTCAGTTTTTATTTTGGGTATTGTTTCCTCCTGGAGGCCTTCCTTGGCCCCTCAGGTTTAGAAGGTACAACCTAAAGGTCCAAATATATTCATAAATTATTTAATCTTTTCTTAGTAGCCTAGAAAGAAAAATGCATATAAGCAAACAAAACCTAAGTCTTCTAACCCTCTAACTATGGTAAGGGCAGAAATGTGGCTGTCCTGTGCGTGCTATATAATACTATTCCGGCTTTGTGGCTGATTCATTTTGGGCTGCTAAAAGAGGAAAGGAAAAATATATATAATATCCACTTCATATATACAAGAGCTCTCTCTCTCTCTCTCTTTCTCTTTGTCACAAATCCAAAGTAGTCCTTGAATCAAGGGCATGACCTTGATTGTCCAGATATTTTCCTTTTGGGCTCTGCCCCTCAGACCAAACTTCCTGTCAGGGAGTTGGTGCCCAAGACAGCAAGAAATTCTACCTAAAACAAGAGACCAAACTTCACAGTCAGGCACTCCCCAACAACCACCATCCCCATGAGCTTCTTTTACTCTGTTCTATTTCCACAGAAGTTGGCTTCCTGGAGGTCAGACTCCATTTGAATTATTTGAGGCACGTAGTCTAGCCCTCATTTCTGTAAAGAAAAAATCTAAAACATCAGATTACAGTCCTGTTTGTTTTTAATAATCTTAAGAGTAACTAATATATACTAAATACCATGCACCAAGCACTGTCTTAAGTGTCTTTGCACATGTTAATTCTTTTTCTACTTTCAACAACTTTATAAAGTAGGTAATATTTTACTTCCATTTTAAAGAGAGGGAAGCTGAGGTAGTAAGTTACGTAAGTTGCCAACGACAGTCACATAAGAAGGAGTAGAACAAGGACCTGAGCCCCAAGAAGCCTGGCTCCAGAGAATGAACTATTGATCACTGTGCTCTGCTGGCTCTCAGGTTTCCATCTGAGGTCCATTCCTTTTGTCAGCATACCCCTGACACTCTAGAACCAGCTTGTCCAACCCACGGCCCTGCAGGCTGCATGCAGCACAGGATGGCTTTGAAACGAGCCCAACACAAATGTGTAAGCTTTCTTAAAACATAAGGAGATTCATGCACAGACTTTTTTTTTTCAGCTCATCTGCTTTCATTAATATTAGTGTATTTTATTGATCATCCAAGACAATTCTTCCACTGTGGCCCAGGGAAGCCAAAAGATTGGACACCCCTGCTCTAGAAGGTACATCTACCTAATTGCAGCTTCCATATTTAAATCATCCCTTCATCTTCTTTCGTGTAACTAGGCTAAACTCACTTCCCTAGATACTTCCTCACAGAAAGAAATTTCCATCCATCTGGAAATTGTACTGGTTAAATTATTTTCAAGAACCAGGTCATAACTATAGTTTCAGCTGTCCATGTAGCAATCCTCCTACCTTTCTTCACCTAGTCATTACCTCCTGATCAAAGCAACTTGACAGTTTTCTGTTGTGGTCTCTATTTTACCAACCTGCAATAACGTTTTACTACTGAGTCAGGAACCTTCCAGACTTCACTGGTATTTTGAACAAAGCATAATCACTGATTCATGGTCTTTAACTGAATTGGAAGGGTCAGACATTAAGGCATTATTTCATTTCTCTTCCACCATCATTTGGCTGTTACAGCTAGTTTATCACAGCTAGGGACAGTGTCAAATTACTCTCAAATTTTCTGCTTTAACTTTAAAGATAACCACTCTACCTCCTTTCTGTCTTTACTTCAAACTTACATTTTCATTTTGTACTTACGTAAACAAATTATTCAAGATTTTCCAACATTTAGAAAAGTTTCAGTGCTAACTGGAATTTAATTCCTTTAGAAAGAAAATCAGTCAGCAGCTATATCAAAAATACACTATTTCAAACCTCTGTATCTGGAGGGCTAGCAAAAAAGAATTCTTTTCCTGCCAGTAATAACAGCAACCACTAACATCTATTGAATGCTTACTATATATCAGCCATTGTTAAGTACTTTTTGCACATTATTTGATTTTAGAGATGAAGAAACAGGCTTAGCGACGTCAAGGGGCTTGTTCAAAATCACAGTGGTAGTTGTTCCCGAGTCGATGTGCCTTACCTAGGCAGAGGATAATATACAAATCACCTATTAATTAATCTACCTCAACATGTATTGTATATGAAGAAATAACTTGAAAAAGAAAAAAGCATTTTCAGTTTTTACAACGTAATCTTAGTTCTGTGGAATTTCACCATTGTATTTCATAGGCATTCTTCGTCCTTATCGACTGCTGAACTTGCTATCTCTGTTTTCTGAATGTTACTAGTAGTGGTATTGAGATCTACCACCCTTCTTTCAGCTTTGGGCTGAAAGTTATGGATAACTTTCACTAAAACTAGACTAAAAGTTAGGAATATTTATCAATTATCCTAATAAAAAGGATGGAGGTAGGGTAGGCTCCAGGTACAGGACGTTAAGGTTTAGGATCCACTTTTTTACTTTTGGTTCACTTTTGGGTTTTCTTTGTATTAGCTAATTCATCAGAATTGCTTCCTGCAGAAACCAGGGAAATACTTCCTTTTTTGTATTTGGCTTCAAAAAACAACAAAAAAAATGCAAAACAGAATTCTTCCTCAGGTATGTGCTAAAGTCTTTCCTTTAGCCCAATGGGCCAGCTTTAGTCATCTGCCCACCCTTGGGAAGAAAAACAGCATATGATCTTTTCAATCAATCCACTGAAAAAAATCTTATGAAAAAATCCAACACTCACTTGTAATAAAACAAAATCTTAGGGCTTTAGTCATAGAAAGCACTTCCTTTGCCTGATAAAATGAATCTAGACAAAATTTATAGTGGTAACCAATAACAATTCCTACTGGAGAAACTACAGGAGCTTTCTCAAAAAATAAATATTGTACTGAAGGCTCAAAGCATGTAATAAGAAAAATTAAAAAACAGGCATAATTGAAAAGTTAAAGGCAAAAGTGAAATTATTTGCAGAAAATATTATCTACACAGAAATTGTATAAGAACATCTATAAGCCATTAAACTAATAACAGGATTAAGAAGAGTTATGATTTTACACTTATACTGAAAAAAATAAGAGCATTCATATACACTAGCATAATTAAGAAATGTAAGAGAAAATATTCATAATAGTAGCAAATATTGTATTTAGGAAAAACTTTAACAAATTATAAGGAAAAACAAATTCAGAGTATTATGAAAAAAACATGAAAGGTAAAAGATATAAATTATACATATGATGTTAGATGAAAAGCCATAATATTAAAGGTGTCAACATATCTCCAAGTTATAAATCTAGTGTAATATCAATTTTTAAATCTCAACAAACCTAGACAAAAACTAAACTGACACTGAAATTCATAAAGAACAAAAGTCATCACCAAACGTAAAGCCAAGCTACAAATAGAGAGGTACATATATATCTGCCAAGTTTAGTGTCCAAAACGTGACAAAAATCTTGCAAATCAATAGAAGAAAGAAAAACAACACTCGTAATCCCTGGAAAATAGGAAAAGAATATGAACAGGCAATGCCCAGATTATAAAGCATAAATGACTAATTAATGTATGAAAAATGCTCAATATCTTTAATGATCAAGAAAATGCAAAAATAAAGCAATAATGAGACAATATGGGATAATCATATAATTGGCAAAAATGTAAATTTTGACAATACCAAATATTGGCAAGTTTCTAGGGAAATGGGCTCATAAATCATAAGTGGTGAGTATACATTTGTATAACTGGTTTGAAGAAGCATTATGTTTTTGAACTGCTTTGAAGAGCAATAACATCTAATAAACTTGACAAGTTTGCTGCTAGGAATAAATTGCAGAGAAAAATCTTACACATGTACCCCCAGAGGCATGTACAAAATTGCTAGTTACAACATTAATTGTAATACCAAAATACAAAATGGAAGAATTAATCTTTACTCATAAAGAATAATGAAAAATAAATTGCAAATGATACTATATTATGATTAAAATAAAATAACTAGATTGAAATATAGTCACATTAAACATATTCCAAACAAAAACTTAGTGAAAAATTATAACTACCGTGGTATAACTTATGAAATTTTGAATACTTACACAACCAAAATATATACTATTATTTACCTATACACTATTATGGACATATTGTAAATACATTATATTTCTATAATAGACATGGACTTAAGGAATATGTACCAAATTCAGGCTAATAGTTCTTTTGCGGGAAGGGAGGAGGGAAATGGGACTGAGGGGGATAAATGTAATCAACTTTTTAATATTCTGTTTCTTCTATTAAGAACATATCTGAAGCAAAAGCAAGAAAATGTTAGTATTTGTTATTTTGGATGGTGGATTCATGGATATCTCTTAAGCTAGTTTCTGTACTTCTCTGTATTTCTACAGCTTCCAAAAAATGTTTTAAAGTGCCAAATAGTTTAAACAGGATGATAATTATAGGCTAAATAAAAATAAAAGGCCAAAAATGAAATGTCTACTTATTTTGCAATCCTTCTTTCCCCCCAGACATGAATGAGTGAAGTAACTCTGTTAATATAGTTTGAACTTAATCTCATGTTGGATCTGGAGGCTTATAAACATATATATTTGCATCTATCATATAATGCCTTGATTCTTCCCAAAGTCAATGAAAAACAAAGTATTTGTTTTTACCAAAATATGCAAACAGTCTGAGAACCATTGCTTTACAAACTTTACTTCCAAGAGCTACTATCTCTGCTTTTGTTTAATTTACCATTAAGATTGAGTTCTATGATGCAGTAGACATGTACTAGCTAATTTTAGAAACCCCGGGATGTCTCTGATTTTTAAAAATGCTTATATTTAGCAGATAAAAATATGAGCCTCTCAAAAAACTCTCTGAAGTGTCCATGCCCAAAGAGGCCCTCACTCTCTCAACTTTTTTCCCTATTTCTCTTTAACCAAGATTCTTTCCAGGTAAGGCAAAGTCACTTAGAAGAAATTTGAAGGTACATTTTCTCTTTAAGAATAACACTACTTTATACTTGGCATTTGCAGCCAGTCACACCCCAATAACCATGACAGAGCAAGCCCTTGAAATAGGATTCCCCCAGAAACAATAAAGTTTATAATCCAGTAAAGCCTGCAGATAATTTTCTCAAATTCTTCCAGGGGCAACAAATCCCTAACATAATTAATTTGTAGCCCTCTCTTGAATGTTACTGTTGTTACTTTTTATTTTGAAATCATTTCAGATTTACAAAATATTGCAAGAAGAGTACAAAAAACTGTTAGGCATTTACCTACACACGCACACAGACACACACATATACACACTTAATTTTTCAGAGCCATTTGGCAGTAAGTTGCAGATATTATGTCTTTTTAACCCTAAATACTTTAATGTGCGTTTTCTAAGAACAAGGACATTTCACTTACATAATCATACTAAAAATATGAATATCAAGAAATTAGTATTTATCCAATGTTATTAATCTATAAGCCTTATTAATACTTTGCCAATTACCACAATAATATCCTCTGTAGTAAATATATATATTTATATTTATGTATACATTGGACTGTCTGGTACTGAGTCCAATCCAGGATCCCACATTCCATTTAGTTATCAAGTCTCTTTAGTTTTCTTTAATCCGGACAATTCCTGAGTCTGTCTTTGTTGTTTACCATTACCTTGACATTTTTGAAAATTTTGAAGAGTACAGGCCAATTATTTGGTAAAATCTTTCTCAGTTTGAGTTTGTCTGATGTTTCCTTGTGAAAACATGGAGGTCTTGCAGGAACATTTGTATCCTGTTCTCTCATTGTTTCCTGCCTCCTGTTACATGTGCACTCATCCCTTTATTTCAGCATTTCTGAATCACTTCGGTTTACATGTGTCCCTTTTATAAATTATTTAGTTGGATCTTGCTTTGCAAGCAAAGCTGAAAATAATTTTTATTTTAATAAATGAATTAAGCTCATTCATATTTATTGATATGACATATATTTGGTCTCAACACTGTCATATTACTTTATGTTCTAAATACTATATATAGTATTTACTGTATATTTTCTCAGCATTTGCTAAGAATTCCTTGAGTTCTTACATGTTTAAAATGGCTTTTTCTTTTCATCTTGATATTTGAAGGCTATCTTGGCTGGATATAAAATCCTTGGCTCACACTTTCCTTAATTAAGTGTCTTGAAACTACTGCTTCATTGTTGCTTTTCTTTAAGTCTCCAGACTTCGTAAGTCATTAGATCTTTTTGTCTGAGGATACTGGGACTTTAAAGTCCAAACATTTCACTAGACTATGCCTCAGATTAAATCATTTGATATCAATTTTTCCAAGTACTTTTTCCATGTCAGTTTTCCCAAGTAGGCCCTTTCAATATGTAAATATGTTTTCTTTTATTACTGAAATATTATCTTAGATTATTGCTTTAAATGTTAGTCCTGTTTCATTCCTTTGTTTTTCACCTTTGAGACTTCAGTTAATCATATATTGGATCTTTGCCTATTTTTCATTTCAAACACTTTCTTATGACCCTTTTTCTTTCATTTTTTATTGTGCTTTCATACTTTTGGTTATTTATCTGCTGTTCTGCATTAACCCTTATTACATTTTACCTAATTTAATCTTCATTGACACATTATTTAGTCTCTTTTTTTGTATTTCTTTTCTGAGTGGAATAAATAAATTCTCATTTCATTTCATCCATTTTTCCCCACATCTGCTCTTAGAAAATTGATTTAAGGCACATTTTTTATATTGCCAAATGTTTATTTGAGAATATTTAATTTAGTTTGTAGAGTTACACGACAATTTTCTGTTTTGTGGTTGATTTTTCTTTTAGAGATAATTCTCATCATATGAAATGTTTTGATTCTAATTCTCTGTTTTCTTCTTAGTACAGATAAAGTATGCTTGCATCTCTGCATTTAGTAGCCAGGAACGACAATTTGGGAGGCTTACAAGATTCCTAGTTGCAGATCATTCTCTTATGTCAGTGAAGCAAAGCAGATGGCTTTTTAGTGTAGGGATAAATTGGAGAAAGGTTGCATTTAAAAAAAATTATTATTTACCCCTGTATTCTAAGTTTATCCTTCTTTATCCTTTTACTGTGCATTTTCCAAAGAGCTCTTTTCCCTTGCCTTTTACTCTCATCTCCCCATAAGTATTGCCTTAAAGTTCTCTCTTAAAGCTCAGTTTTCCTGCACTTTGCTCTCTGGAAATATTGGGGTGGGAAGTTAAGAAATAGCTCTACTGAAAATTGGTATTTATTTCTTTACTTATAAGAGATTGAACTGTGTATTGTATTCTAGTTTATTGTCATGTGGAAGAATAGGATTTGTGTGGCTTTAGTTGTTATTTTTGTTGATTTGCATAGCTTTTAGAGGATACGTTGGAACATTCAGATTTAGGTAGCCACCATTCCTTGGCTATCTCCTTGCATTCTTTTTTAATAGACCAGAACTATTTTTAATATTAAATTACATGTACACATTTTCTCTACCATCTTCACATTGATGAAATAAATGACTGTGACATCTGAATTATACATTTAGTTGCCTTGGGTGTCTACTTTACATTACATATGACAACACAGTTAAACAAACATGAATTTCAACATACTCCAAGCAGGTATGATGCAGTCATTTAACACTACAAAAGCCCAGGAAAAAGTTATGATAAAATACTTCAAAAATGTGCTATGGAGAATACCACATCTTTCTTTTATTCCATGTCTTTAAGAAAAATAACAAATAAAAAGATAATTTGCTGTAATTTAATGTACTGTTCTGAGTACTTAAAAGTCTACTTAGCTCTCAAATTGTTCCTTAGAACCTGCATTGTTTTGCTTCCCCATCTGCTCTTGATGTCTTCAAATCCCCATATTGATGGAAAAAAATAAGTTTTTGAAATATTAACCATGCCAAGGAATTTCTCAAAATATTATTTTGCAGTAGATTGTACAGCCTCTTAACATTTATTTGTTAACTTCAACTCAAATATTAATACATATAATTCAATATAACCAAAATACTCAGTGATTTTCAGTTGTCAGTCTCTCTAGGTATCCCTTTTTCAGTTCCCAACCATACTTCTTCTGACCCTTTACCCCTCAGACCTGGAATGTTTCTCAAAGAAGAAAGTCTACACAAGTCCTTATCAAACATTTGCTATGAATATTTGGGGATACCCTGCAATAATGCCCAGGGAGGGTAACAGTCAGCTTCAATATCTTATAATAAATTCTACAGAAAATTCACAAAATCTCCATTATCAAGATAAGCCAGTTTTATAAATTAACTAAAAAACCCATGCTCTCTACTAAAAATATGAGGAAAATATAATAGATTCAAAATGCATTTGGTTGATCCAATACATTGAGTTTATATGTTTCATTCCCCATTCCCACCACTGTTTATTTCCCCTGTGTAGAGGGATATTGATCCATACCCACCGACATCCCCTCAATACTCACCATACCAATGCACGCCAATGGTTTCTTAATGTAATTGTCCACAATTCTATGACTGAAGGCTTTCTTTGGCCATAGAAACTAGAATGCAGCCCTTTCCCAGGACAGACTCAAACAGCTCACTCCCAGGAGAAAACCTCAATCACACACAGAAGTTAATAAATAAATAGACTAGATTCCCTTGGATGGAACAACTCTGATGCATACTCTACATTGCCTTTCAAAGGTCCCCATCAAGCACTGAGCCATAGTTGCCTGTAATGATTAGATATTCTTTCTAAGCTCACATCCTCCTTTTCCAACCAGTACTTCCTGGAATCATCTCTCAAATAAATTATTTTCACTGATATCATTGTCTCATGATCTGCTTATGGGAGAACCCATCCTAAGACATATCTTCATGAATCCCATAAAAATTTATATTCTATATTCCTTTTCTAAGGCCTGTTATCCAACAGCAAGGACCAAAGACAGTAATTTTTACCTTCTGGGATATCAAGGTCTATGGAAGGGATCTCAGTCTATACTGTCCAGATTTATGGCTATTTAGCTCCAGGGACTTCAATTCACTTGAAAGTTTCCAAAATCCATGGAAGCTATCAGCCATTTAAAAGGTGCTGAGTGGCTTCATATGGAAGCATATTTATTATCTAGCCTTGGTAAGATATATAGACTGTGAATATTATACCCAGAAAACATCAGTCTGAACTCTGACACCAAACAGTCAACTAGTCTTGAAAAAAAAATTATTTCACCTGTCTAACATCAGTATTCTAATCCACAAAATGAAAAGTTGAAATAGATGCTCCCTCAGCAGCTCTCCAGCTGTTAGGTTCCATGATTCTGATTCTAAATAGGTCTCTGAAGTCCATTACATGTGACACATTTTTTTCTTAATTTTTTTTCTTAGAAGATAAACTTAAGGGCCAGGCACAGTGGCTCACGCCTGTAATCCCAGCACTTTGGGAGGCCAAGGCGGGCAGATCACAAGGTCAGGAGATCGAGACCATCCTGGCTAACAAGGTGAAACCCCATCTCCACTAAAAAAAAAATTACAAAAAAAAATTAGCTGGGCGTGGTGGTGGGCGCCTGTGGTTCCAGCTACTCAAGAGGCTGAGGCAGGAGAATGGCGTGAACCCGGGAGGTGGAGCTTGCAGTGAGCCGAGATCATGCCACTGCACTCCATCCTGGGCGACAGAGCGAGACTCCATCTCAAAAAACAAAAACAAAAACAAAACAAAAAAAAAACACGATAAATTTACTAGCAGTATTCTTTCTCAAAACCAATTTATTAATTCAAATTTAGTGTTAATTCATCCAGACACACCTCAGTTTCCTCTGATCATTTTCTAAATTACAGTAGTTCATACAATGCTAAAACACTCTCCTTATCATTAGGCAGAAATTTTAGGTATACTTCCACTCAGCCACCTAGAAGCATTTCTGTGTTTTTCAGTTACTGGAAACAAGAAGAGATTACATAGAGAATCTATGCATTTGGACCAATCTAAATTCATGGGATGAATCTTCTCCAGTTACCTAACAGGTGTCACACAGAAGAGTTTGTCAATGATAATTAAACTCCTTTTCTGATCTGAACTGAGAAACTGAGCTTTGAAATCAGTTTCTCTTGAGTGGAGCACAACGATACAAGGAAGAATCTGACATAGAATGAAGGAAAAGGAATCAAAGTGAACTAGTGTTACAGAAAACAAATTACATTTGTAAACTTAGCAGAGTGCAGGAACATTAGATCTTGAGAAGGAAGAGAGGCAAACAAGAGTAGAAAAAGGTAGGACAGTGAAATGGTTTGCAATCTTTTAACCACAAGAGTAAAAAGAGCTAATAACATAGTGGAAATCAGACCAAACAGAGCTAACAGCTGAGATTAAATAGCACCACACTTATTCCACTCACAGTTGTCCTGGCACTTGAATCTCCCCCTTATAACAATTGATTTTAAAATAGAAAGTTTATTAAAGTGAAGCAAAGAGTAATTCCTAGTGAGCTATTTCTGAAGAAAGATCTGGGGAAGACTTTAGGGAGGAGTTTGGAATATAGAACAAGGAGAACAAAGGGCAAGAATATAGCATGTGTTAAAGAATAAGTTTGAGCCTGCATACACAAAAAGGGAAAGATAGAGATCTTCTAATGCTTCTTCTGTTTTAGAAGAAAACAGACTAGTTTTAAGCAATAAACAACATCTTTACCATCAACACTTGGTCTACTCATCTATTTGCTTCTTGGAAAAAAAAACCCGAAAACTCGGAACTCTGAATAAGAAAAGGTAAATATGTCATTCTCAGTATGAAAAGGCTCAGAGCGATGTAGGCCTGTTGGTTGGTTTACTTTCTGCACCCTTGACTTCATCTTAGAAAGTAAGCCAAGTGACTCAATACAGTAAGACAATTGCTGTTACTGTCTGAAAAGTTTAAGCTAATGATAATTTTTTTTTTTGATCTTTGGAATTTGACATTAAAAGTCATACTAAGACAAGGATCAGGTCTAAAAGCAAAAGGCAAACAGATCTGTCAGATTGGAATGGTTCCCTCAGTCAGCCACACAGCTCATAATCTTCAGAGCTACTTGGCCACAGAGAGCCAGTACAGCAGTCATGGCTGGCCTGAGCAATGCATGCAATTCACTGAAGAAATTTGCTGGTCAATCTGGGTAGCTACATGCAAAAATTGCCAACATCTGTATAAGCGAAAAAGGAAAAATGGAACTAATAAGGGAAATCAGGACCTAGGTTGAAATCAGCTTTCCAATTTACCAGAAAATTTGTTCCATTTTATTTTACTTTTGTATATAAAGCCTGGCAGATGCAATCTTTGAACAAATTTATAGCTGATGAGAGTCATCCTGGTATAATCGCTAAAACATAGATTTTTTAAAAAATCAAACAATCTAGCTTTAGTTTTTGGCTCAGCCACTTAGCTATGTGATCTTAGACAATTTATTTCATCTCTCTAAATCTCAATTTACTTTCCATGTAAAATGAGGATAATAATCCCTTCTTTGCAAGGTTAAATGAGGGGATGAGCTTAAAGCATCTATAGAGTAGGGATTTATTACATGGTAACAGTGGTGGTTGCAGGACTGATTAATAATAATTGATAATTGTTTTTACTTCTGTTATTATGAGGATGTCATTTTCACATTTTTTCCAATGATCATATTACCCCTTTATGGATAAAAACAGTGCTCTGATATTTTTTGGTTTATTCCTGGCTTTACCTCATTGGGGAGGGAAGGAGAAGGAGGATGACCTAAAATCCAATATTTCCAGGATTCTCAGAGAATCATTAATTAGTTACCTGAGTTTGGATTTCCAGGTTCTTACTTGAGCCAGCTAAGACTGGAAGTTTCCCAAGTCAAATTCAATATCCACTTCAGATAAAATGAGAGATAGTGAGAGAATATCTTGGTCTCTGTGCTAAGGGTCTTAATGTAAACCAAGACCAGAAACAAATAAATACAATGTAGTTTTACATTATGAAGAAATCCTGCTCCAAGTTCTAATTTTTGTTGAGTATCTTAAGGAACATGTTAATGTTTCATTTAATGACAGTGTTAGTTTCCACAGTAAACATATAATGTCACATAGCTTGTGCTTTACAGCAGCCTGAGAGTGAAAGGGAGGCTAACCTAAACATGTGGGGTGGGGAACAGGAGTAGGCAGAGTACTGACTTCAATAGTGGCTAACAAATAATGAACAATTCACAAAAGGATTATGGCAATTCAAGTTCCATTCCAGAAAGCCAGAAAATCAAATAAAGTGGTCCAAAATGGGAGAAGCGGGTCATGGAACCTCTTTGGTAATGGAAACAATAAGATAATCATTTGAGGGTCAGACTGTCTAAAGGAGTTTGTCTGAAAGTATGAACAGCAACTAGCCCAATCCCTGGTATACAAGGCTAAATGTAATGAAACTGGCAAGCAGGCCTCATCCTGCTGGAGAGAATATAGTGATGAGCTGAAAAACTAGAGCCAGCCATGTGACATGTTACTCTGTACCAGTATTATTCAAGGAAACATGGGAGTGTTGCCCAGAGAGTTGTGAAAGAATAGAGACTTGCAGTCTCAGTCTGGGAGGAAAAGAAACATAATACACAAAGGTGCCCTGTCCCTGATTTGAAAAAATAGAAAGTATAATTCACAACCATCTGAATGCTCAACACAAACAGCTGAGATGGGGTTAAGCCAGAGCAAAGACTCACATTAAGCTAGACACGGCTCATTTGTGCATTCAGGTACATCTTATACTTTCTAATTTTGCTTGTTATATAATGGTGAGGAGAAGGAAACATTTTACTCTGTAATCATATTCTAGAATATAGAACATTAGGCTACATAGTTTATGTTGACTTATGAGTATTTGGATGCTATTTGGCTATTCATAATGGGGGGAAAAAACATTTCAAACCTGCAATGTATAATGTGGCACAACTCACAGTTTTCCAAGCATACTGAGAAGGAAAATCATAGCCTAACTGAGGTATGCCCTTACTTGTGCTGTTAGTACAAAGCTATTTGGGGGTTCAAAGTGAAAAGGAGATTTTGCTTGCTTTCATAAAAAGGTATTACTCCACTCCACTGTCATCCCAGAGAGATATAAGGAAATGTAAGTTGTAAGACTAAATTTTAATAAGCATGTTTGAACTTTTATATCTAAATGAATGTTTTCTTCTCCAAAACAGTTACTTTGGGACAGTCTATGCCAATTTCACAAGGCTGCCTACATTGAAGGTGTCAGTTATTTCCTTTCCATCCACAGTCCTTCTCTGATAACCTGTGTCATCTACAGCCTGTGGAAGTGCAGCTTTATTTACTGTGTGTCCTTATACAAGTCAGTGGCTCAAGAGATCTTAAATGCAAAAGTCTGGCTGGAATTAAATGAAGCAAGACAAAGCTACTCCATCTTAGAATCTGCTTACTGGGGAATCCAAATTGTGACATGGGAAGTTACAAGAAGCTTTATTACAGATGGATAAAAGTTAGACATGTTAATGAAAAAATTTCCTTGGCAATTTAAAAGCTGGATTTTATCTAGATTTGGATCTAAAGCTCTTACAACTGCTACCTACAACCCAAATACCAAAGCATATTTCTATCAAAAGCAAAAAAAAAAGTGTATAAAGTCTTGTTCTTATTCTTAAAAATCATGTGAATTTTGCATCATATTAACATACATTTATTTGTTGTAATATTACATAATAATTTAAACAATAGTACTAATTTATTAACTTGTCCCCAAAATCTTCAAGTAAAATCAATAGAATCCCCCAGAAAAACTTGCCCTGTAGTCTTTGCATACCATCTTACCACTGTGTTCTACTCAAAAGAAAATATTTGAAATTCCTTGGCAACAGTTGAATGGGAGAGAGGGACAATGTAGAAAATGAGAAGATAGTAAACAATGTCACATAAAGAATCACAATTTCACCTTACAAGTTTGGGCCTAAAGACTTCATTTTCTGAAATGTTCTGGAATCAAACTGAAATAACCTGAATCCAAAGCACGAGAGTGACAGCACGTTCTTATTCTTTGTTTCTTTCATATTCCCTGTCCACCATAGGGGAAGGGAAGGGAACGGGGTCAGTATTGTCAATTTCATGAAAATCTTACTCCAACAACCAAAAAGTTCAAAGCTTGCTCTCAGTATCAAGTCAAATCAACCACCGTTGCCTTATTCCTCTGTTTATTCTAGGGATGCTAACCTGGAAGTGAAAGCAACTGAGATAAAACCTATAATACAAAAAGAAAAATAATGAATCCTAGGGGGAAGGCCATGTCAAGATAAAAAAAAATAGTAACTCTTCTACTTCCTACATAAGCTTCACACTTTATGTCAGAGGCTGCTATAGAGAAACTGATAGCTCTTGAAGCTGTTCTTAAAAGTGCATCACTTAAGAAACAATTTGTCAGTCTACTAATTTTAACTGATGAAGTATTTAAATACTAGCTTCATGTAACTTTTCTGCTGTCCAATGTTAAACTCATTTGCAATGACTTTTAATATTTATTAAATCCTAAAGCAATGTTGAGCACTCCAGAGTTTCTCTCATAGACCTTAAATCAGGCAAGAAGAAAAAAATGTCTCATTAATGATAGCACTCTTTGAAAGACTAAAAAGGGTACTACAATGTGGACATACACAACAATCCTGTAATTATTAATCATAACTTTTTTCATATTATATGTTGGCATTTATCATTTTATAATTACAACATTGCTGATAATACTAGTGAGGTCTAGTTCTTTTATTGGTTAGGCCACCATCTTTGACTGAAAATATTAGCTTATCTTAGAGGTCTATTTGGCAATTGCTGAATATTGAGCAGGTGCTAAATCCTCAACAATCCAGGCTCCTAGGAAAATAAACAATTCTCAAGAAAAGACCATTCTATCTGATGTGAGAACTCTCTTTACCCTTTTCCTACAAGCCCAATTGAAATGTCTCTTGGAGATCCAATGATTTAGAAATATTCTCCTCCAAAGGAATCTTGGGCCTTGAGGTTTCTAGAATGACCCAACCTCCTTAGAAGCATTTCTAATTTTTAAAAAACTTAGTGTATAGCATTGCTTATTATATATTTATAGAATTTATAAAATAAGAATTTCAGGGTCACAATCGTGAGCAAGTAGAGTAGGCTTCTACCTTGCTGGCTTTTAAAACG
Organism: Homo sapiens; assembly: GCF_000001405.40. Lineage (NCBI taxonomy): Eukaryota > Metazoa > Chordata > Mammalia > Primates > Hominidae > Homo > Homo sapiens. The sequence continues at coordinate 64,002,947 of NC_000005.10, forward strand.
AAGGAAAGAGAAGAAAACAATTGTCATGCTATGGGTTTTTAGAAGTGCTGTACCAATGCCAGGAAAACCAAATGCAATAAGTGATTGTTGATTGCATCCAGGATAGAAAGCAAACAAACAAAACTATAAAGAATACTCTAGGGGTGATTAAGAAAATTTGAATATGAACTTTACATTAGAAAATATAATTGTATTAATATTAAATTTCTTGAGTGGAAAATGGTATTATAGTAAAGTAAAATAATATTGTTCTTAGATAACAGATTCTTAATTATTGGGGGATGCGATTAAACTGTCAGGTTGTCTGTGATTTACATTCAAATGATCTTACTTATAATTTCTTTTGAAATAGCAATATTGCCGAAAGCTCAGGCATCTTGATACTTTGAAAGAAATTGGAATCTGATATCAAGAACAACAGAATATCGATGCAGAAATTTGAAATGAAGGATTTAAAAGATAATCTAAAGAAGAAAGTTTTGCACTAACATTTTGGATTCATGACAAAAGGAAAAGGTTGGAGAGAAAGGGGTCAGTCTAGGGAAAGTCACAATAGAATCTATTTATGAGATGCTTCTTCATGTTGAAAGGAAAAGAAAGGGCTCAAAGGGGCCTCAGATTTTTTTAGACAATGGCTAAGTGAAGGGATAGAGAAAATAGTGCAGCAATTTTTTTGCCAACTGCAAAAATTTGAAGTCATCCCAAATGACCTAGCTCTCTTTTCATTACAGTAAACTGGCTCCTTATACTTATAGTTCCTTGAATCATTTTGCCATGCTTTATCAACATGTACCAGGAAAATACTGAATCCCTTTCAGATGAATAACAGGGTGCCATATTCCACCCCAGATCCCATTTTCTGCCTGTTTCTTTCATCTGTGTTAAGTAATAATACCTACCGCTTATTATAAGCCCATCTTGTCAGACACGGGGCTAGGCATTTTATCTATATCTTATCAACAACCCAACAACTATCCTATTAAGTAAGAATTACTGTCCCACATTTGATAGCTGAGGAAGCAGAAGGTTAGAGATGAAGCAGTATGTCCAAGTCCACCCTAAAAGTGCTGGCTAGAATTCAAACCCTAGTGTGACATCGACGCTCTTCCCAACTAAATTTATTGCCTCCTGACAGTCTAACATACTTAGACTCCCATTATGTTCCTGCCTTCCTGGCTGGTCTGGCTTTCAGGTGACAGACACTAATCCTGCATGGCACTCCTCACTTGCTCTTTCCATGGTTGCCCATAATCTGTCACTGACAGCAGCTTAAAGAAGCTCCCAGATTCTCAGAGATAATGATACTGGAAATATGCGGGACTAACTACTCCTTATGTGGACCTACTGTCCTTGGAGGACACAGGAGGTTGGGAGAATCAGTGCTTTAGTACAGGCTTCCCTTCTCCAGATCTGTTTACCCACATATGGTTCTATTAATCTTCTCCACATAATCATATCCAATATGTTTTTCTGCTCTTTCAATAAAGGAGAATTAATCGATAGTAATTATAATTCTCTAATTAGTTTCTTAATGAAATTTTAATAGAACAGTACAAAACCGTAGACATACTTTTCAATAGTTAGAAAAAATTTTCCATATAAACTCAAAATGGCTTGCTTGTCCTTATATGTTCCTGCAGGATATTTTTAGTATTAATTGAGTCATCAAATCAAGTTTATTCACATTTTCCACTCTGTTTAAATTCCATTAATGTCTTACCTCCCTTTAGCATATATTTCTCTGCCAACTTCTCATATCTGATTTGTTTCAATCGCTTGTCTCTGATTATTTAACACCACCTATGTCACTTTGCAGTACCTAGTTGGCTTTTTAAAAATATTATCAACCCATCCATGCATGGCCATTGAATTGATTGGTTTTCAGTCAAATTCTTAGAGTTAGTTATATTAGATATGCTTGGGGAACATGCTCAATCCCTGGCGTTTTTTTGGAAGTCAGCCTTACTCATGGCTTCTGCTCATGGCTTCTGCTGAAGTGGAGGGTTTGAGCAGCCATGTTTTACCACAGAGATCTCTCTTTGGCCATCCATCTCTTGTTGGATCAGGAGTGGACAATCCCTCCAGTGGGAAACAAACAACAGGCCACTCTATGATAGACTAAAGTTATGACAGGAAACACAGACTTATAAAAAAGCTAGTGTGAAAAAAAATGCTGAAGGCATGCAGAGAGAAGTAGAAATGATAGACCATAGAGCCACAATAAAAGACAGATAGTACCTCTCACTTTCTTGGTTCCATGAGGCTTGGTTCTACTTCTGGTAGATGGATACTTTGTGAGTTTCCTCTGTACTTTCTATCACCTCCCCACTTAATGTACAGATAAGCAGAGTAACTAACTGTCATCTGTAACTGGGATATAGTATAATAGCAGGGCTAAGTAACAAGGATGGAACCAAAGTGGTTTTAAGAATCTGGATGTGGCCACAGCCAGGAGATCAATCACTATAAGGAGAAAACTGTGTTACATTTAAGAATAAAAAGTGAAGCAGAGCCTACAGTTCAAGGAATCAGCATGAATATAAAGGAACAAGTGTATAAAGGAGGTACAAACATGTAAGCCGTGCCAAGAAATATTAGTTATTAAAGGCCAGTCTCCAAATGAGAAACTCAAGAAACACAAAAATACTTGGAAATTTAACTATACAGCAGGTAGAGAACACAGCATGGAAGGGCTGGCTACCAAAATAGTAAAATATAATGGAAGCCAATGGTCCAGGAAGCAAAAATATCATTATCTTAAAATTAAGGCAGTATCTACCATGGCCTAGAGGGTGCACAACTAGAATTAGAAGTTTAGGAGAGTGGTCACAGGTAGAGATGAGTGGTCACAGGTGGAGATTAGTAGCTACATTCGAGATTGGATGGGACTAGATGGGGGAGTCAGACGGATCCAAAAAAATGAGGAAATGGTATGGTTTATCTCTAAATGTCATGCCTTGAAAGGCTCAAGTTCCAGACATAAGACATCACTTGGTCGCTGACATATGCTTCAAAGCAACTATCTCCCTACCTCTGTCTCCTAGTCTTCCTTCAGACTGGATAAACTTGGTTCTCGTGTCAGCTCTGAGATCCACCATCCCTTGTCTTCTTCCCACTTCATTTGTATAGTTCATATTCATTACGCTGGCTGAGTTTTCCCCTCAACATGAATTCTGATAGATTATCCTTCTTCTAATTCCTAGGATGGAGCTCCACTCTGTCCAGAAATATTTTCAACAGACAGAAGAAAAGATGGCACAGGCAATTAGGATACATCCTCCTTCTGCCAGCTTTGACCCAAGGACTAGGACTGTCATGAACCAGCAAGTTAGAGCCATCAGAGGGTTCAACCTCAAGGAGGTGGAGAAGACAGAGACAGAGGAATGCAGGCAGAAGATAAGAGCAAGTTATTGACTCCATCAGCTCCCATGACACACCAGACTACAAGGTGAGAGGTTGGGGTTGACATTCAGGAAGAAATGGTAAAAGCTGGTGACTTCTGGTGTATATAAATACACACACACACACACGAATATCAAGCAAAAATAAAACCCAAAGCCCCCCCAACCAACTGAAGAGACCTTTTCTGGGCCAAGGGAAACCTGAGAAACTGATTTTCCAACCATGACAGAAAGAGAGGTCAGAGGCACCTCATTATACCCCCTCCCTTTTGGAGTTTAGGCAAAACTGACGAGCATTAACATTGAAATAGAGATTATAAGACTGACAAAACAGACTTTTTGTGTCAATAAGGTACCAAATTCCAACCTGACTCTGGTATAACATCATATGACAGGTAGCAGGCCCTTAAGGAAAGTATTTTACCCCAAAATATGTGTCTTTGGCATTTTTTGAAATGACCCTGCAAAAACCATCTCTTGTGGGGGAAATTTGTATCTGTAGATCTGTAGAGAATCTCCTTCCCTTTCTAGGTCTTTTCCAGATCCAGGAGAAATTTAACTAAGAGTCTGACACCTTTTAAGGTCAGGTAAGATACATTTACCAAGTATTCCCTCGGAAGCCTGCTATTTAGAGGCTTCAACTACATAACAAGAACCTTGGCTTCTACAACTCCCCTTATTTTAACTCAAGCATTTCTTTCTATTGATTTTAACTTTAGGCAAAGCTTAACTCTTTCAACCAACTGACCATCAGAAAATCTTTAAACTTTACATCTACCAATCCACCTGTGACATCCCCCTGACTGTAGCCCCTCCATCCTGCCCCCAAGATATCCAGCCTTTATGGCCAAACCAATGTATACCTACATGTATTGATATATGTCTTTGCCTGTAACCTCTGTCTCCATAAAATGTATAAAACCAAGTTGTAACCCAACCACATGTTCTCAGGATTTCTTGAGACTATACCCCAGTGATGATCACTCATAATTTGCTCAGAATAAACCTCTTTAAACATTTTACAGAGTTTGGCCTCTCTTCTCTCTTTCTCTACGTATATACTTTCTCTGTCTCTCTCTCTCTCTCTCTCCATACACACTCTCTCTCTCTTCATATATTCTCTCTCTCCATATATACTCTCTCTCTGTCCATATATACTCTCTCTCTCCATATGTATTCTCTTTCTCTCTCTTTCTCTTTCTCTCTCTCTCTCTCTCTCTATATATATATATATATCCTCTCTCTTTCTCTCTCTCTCTCTACACACACACACACACACACACGTATACACTCATAAAGCCAAACTCTGTAAAATGTATCTTTTCTGTTAATAAGCAAAAAGAACCACAAGTCCATTGCACTGGCCCTCTCTCTGAAGTAAACAATGACTGGCCCTGTTTTCTTCAATAATCTTCATGCTCAAGGATATCCTACTTTCCAAAATACAGAACACACTACAAGTTTTAATACTGCTATTCTGTTTTCCCAGAGGCAGTTTTGACCACCTCTCAGATTTTTAAATGTAAATTAATTCAGCTGGATTGCAGCTATGCAGTTATTTATGGTGCATTTGCACCTAGGTAAATTGCCCTACTCCTCTCCTAGACAGTGAGGGGATCAGTCCCTCAGGCTTTTTATAATTTGTCATTTTCAGTTAATATTAAAATCCTCCAGGAAATGTTGCTTATGGTCAGTATGGCTCAGACGCCTCAGCAATGTCTCTGACTACATTGAATTCAGTCTTTCAGACTATGGTTGGATAAATCCACAAAGGGTAGTCCTCCTAGGGTTTTTGACAAACCATAAGAATGTATCTTCCTGACCTTCTTCTTTCTCCTGCCTCCCAATAACACACACACACACACACACACTCACACACACACACAAACACACATGAGACATTTATAACACTCCCACTTAAGAAACATCTACTGGGGAATTATCTCTCCCATGCTTCCTCAGTGTTTACAGGTATTCTAAATATCACTGAATAAGGTGGGGTATTTTCTCAGTAGTGCCCTGAAAGGGGTTATTTTCTGAGTAATGACTTAGTAGTGACAATGTTGTCTATCTCTTTGATGGATGCAGCAGGAAGATTAGAGGGAGGGTCCCCAGAGAATCTTGGACCAGTTTGTGCACTGGGAGGATGGGGTGGAGCCATGGGAAGTTCCCACCATTTGCAGAAGGGAGGAGTCTGGCCTCTCCTGTTCCTGTGTGGGAAACCTGCTAGCAGGATGCCCTCTTGCTTTGCTAAGAGTTATTTTTCCTTTGTCCTTTTCACCCAATACATTCCGTTCCCCTTCATCCTTCAAAGTGTCTGGGCGCCTAACTATTCTTTTTCGTGTGACAAGAACCTGTTTTTTTCTACAACATCTTTACAGAAATGAAACAACTTAACATGCCCGTAATGAAATTCACTATTGGTAAAAATTGACAACTGTTTGCATCCATAATTTCTGAAGTGTCCACTATGAATGACTCTTCCCTCAACCACTGAGCTGCAACTTTTCTATTCTGCAGCCACCACGGAAGCTGGGACCAGTAACCTCTCCCCTCTCAGCCCACAGGTTTTTAAGTGTATACACAGTGTATGTGATAGCCCTGGTTCCATCAGGAAAATGTAATGAATGAGCAGGAAAATTAGTCAATAATCTAAAACAGTAACAGCTAAAGGCTAAGAGGATTGTCCTGTTAATTCATGTTCTAAGGGATCACAAGTTTAGTTTACCCGAGAAAGATTTTTAAAAAATCAGTGGTCTTGAATGTTACCCCTTATTCATGATTCAAAGCCCTCCCAAACTACTCCCCATGTCTTTCCCCCAGATGACATTGGTTGATCATAAATCCCTCTGCTCCTGATTACTAATTAGCCTTATTTGCATGTGATTGTGTTTATTTGAATATTACTTTATATGACATCTGGCCTCATAACCAAAGCAACCAGAAATGGTACAAGCACTATTGAAGGAGGATACCTTGTCCTCTGACCTTTTTCCCTAGAGTCTCACAAACTGAACAATACCTCCCATAAACCCATATACTTTAGAGCGTTCCCATTACGACCCTCCTCTGGTCATGGTCCTCTCCACCAGTCAAGGAGTCTGTGAAGCTAAATGTGTGAGCCCTCTAGATAATTCTCCAGATACCAAGGATGCCAGAATTACTGGCCAAGATGCCTCAGCTCATTTCCAGGACCTATGAATCCACAGACTGACCATGCTGCTGATACATACATCTCTAAATCATATGATTCACTTTTGGCGAGGCAGTGTGCCCAGAGCTTAAATGAGAGCTGGAATGTCCACCCACATGCATTTGAGGTACCACTAGATGTGGGACAAAGTATCAATAAGAAGAGGAGAGTGGCAAATAGCCTCTGTTAAAAGCTTATGAGGGGCCATTGTTTTGGACTAACCTCCTATACTAGGCCCCAGCAAACCAGACCAAACCAAAAATGGAGTCACTCTATGCTAAGTGACATATAATCAAACTGAAACTTTAAGGAAGCAAGTAGACCCCCAAGCAGTCCAGTTTATCCTGAAAACAGGAGATTCACAGCAACCAATCAGAAAGAGCCAGTCTATCTGAGTCAGTGCAATAAGGAAATCTCCTCTGCTTTAACTGTTACAAAAAAAGTGACCTGTAGTAGCCTGACGTTAACCAATCTGCATTTTAAAAAGTATTCTGTTTCCTTGTTCCCACCTTACAAAAACCAACCATTCTGTCATGCCCACCAGAACATGCATTCTATTTTATAGAATGTGATATCATCTAATTCTAGAATCACAAATAAAAGCCAATAATATCTTGAAACTAAATTTATTGTAATTTCACCTTTTGACATCTCCATTTCAGCTCTTGCCACTACCCTTCAAATGCTAACAATGTACTTTCCTCAGTATCTTACTAAAATGTACACATTCCCCTGAATTCACTGACATTCAGAATTCACATCCTGAATTCACATTCTGTTTCCACTGACAAAATCTAATAATTTTCCTCCCTACAGTAAAAGAGTTTTCTTTTTCCTAGTCAACACTACTCAATGATTTAGGGAGAAAAAAGAAAGCATAAAGGTGATCTAGAGGCACACAGCTCTTAAGAAATGCATACCCTTGCAATTACTATATATCATAATCATATTTTATTAAGAAGAAATCAGCTTGAGCCATTTTATTTTTCCTCTCATCACTCATTTAGGTATGGTCAGTGATATGGCTTGGCTGTGTCCCCACGCAAATCTCAAATTGTAGCTCCCATAATTCCCATGTGTCATGGGAGGGACCCAGTGGGAGGTAATTGAATCATGAGGGTGGGTTTTTCCCATGCTATTCTCATGAGAGTGAATAAGTCTCACAAGATCTGATGGTTTTGTGAAGGGGAGTTTCCCTGTACATGCTCCCTCTCTTGCCTGCCACCATGTAAGACATGACTTTGCTCCTCCTTTGCCTTCAGCCATGATTGTGAGGCCTCCCCAGCCACATGGAACTGTGAGTCCATTAAACCTCTTTTTCTTTATAAACTACCCAGTCTCGAGTATATCTTTATTGGCAGCATGAGAACAGACAATACAGGCTGCTAACTTAGGTTTGGCATAGTTTACCGAGATTTGTTGTATTTTTCCTTCTGCCTTCTTCTCTCAGTTCATGGAAGTGAGCTCTCCATTGTGCCAGGCAGAGAAGGCCTAGAGAAGTTGGAATAGTGATGGATAGAGTCCTTTTCTTTAAATTCATTTTTGTTTTCTACACTTTAGCTCTTACCCACAGACAGACCTAATGAATAAACCCATACGTAAAAAGGCATCAAATGGCTGCAATGAATTAACATTCTGCATACTATCAAAATTGCCTATGGTATGAAGCTGTCACGTTCACATAATGAAGAAGCAGAAAGGTCAAATGTATAGAGTGTGGGGACCTGTGCATGTCGCCCAAGAAAACAGAGCCAAAATACCAGTCCAGTTATTTCATTAATACTAGTAGTCAATCTTTCTTGATCAACAGGAAAGAAGTGAGGAAAATAAAAGGTAATCTGTGCTTCTTATTGCTTCTAGTAAAAAGAAAAGTAAATTTTGAAAAAGTTCTATAGTAATATAGACTATATGGTAGAATGTAGCATAAAAATAAAATTATGAAGGAGGATGGAAAAGTGTACAAGGACAAGTTGGGGGAAAAAAACTATGTCACATGATTTTTCCCTGACTATAAAATTATTTTCCAAGGCAGTCATATCATATATAGTGATAAGAAAAGCAAAATGATTATAGAGAAAAAGAATTGTAAGCAACTCATTAAACTTAGAGCAGCACTGTTTATTGCACAGCTGCAGGGGCATTATTACCATCTATAGGATGGTGCCCTTTGGTTATGCAACAAGGTTGGCTGCCAAGAGAACAAGTAGAAGAATTAGAGTAGATGTCTGTCAACCAGCTTCCCAAATTAGGGAGTTAATGAAAGACAATATTAAGAATTGTTTATCAGTAACAGATACTATACAATTTGACAGATAATATATACCATGAATCTATAATCACATGACTCCTCAAAAGTTTATATACAATAAATGGAAAATGTTACTCATATTATGACAGAAGGCACAAGTAGGGAGAGTTTAAATGAATTCCACCAAGTCATAGGCTGGGATAATGTTACTAAGTCTTAGGCCAGACCCACAATTTCTCCCAAGCAATTAGTCAACTTAACAGAGCAATCTGACTTTAGGTGAACATTTTGTGGCACCTTGATTCTGTAGGCAATTTCAACTGCTTTTAAATAACACTTCCTCCAGGCTTCAGAGGCATTGTCACTTTATGGGATGGAGGAATTAGGCTATTACATATCACAAAGCTCATGGTAACTGAATGATCACATTAATTCCAATTAGTTCAGATGTGAGCAAGATCCTGAATAAAAAAGACAGCCTGAAGCACTGAGGAAAAAAATCTAAAATGGAAATACATTGAGTTACCAAGAGGATTCTAATGTGCTACCACTGCAATCTTATTTAATAACCTCATTATAGAATAATAAGCAAGAATAGAATTTGGGTTTCCAAAATTTGTAGAAGATAAGGTAAATTTGAAGTCACTAAATTAAAAAAAAAAGAAGCATGGAGAGAGAAATTTCAGGAAGGAAAGATCCATTAGCAAGAAATAAAATTAGATTCAACAGGGTATGAGCTAAACATCTGAATCTAAGGGGAACCAAACTTTCAATACAGGCCAGAAATCTTGAAATAGAAGTCTGAATGGTCATAGCAAGAGATAAATCTGCAGCCTGATACAGCACTAACCTCATCCATTGTTGCCTCGAGTTCCCAAAGGGAAGGTGGCCCACTCTGTTCAGTTTTAGTAAAATAGCTACTTCTTTCATAAGAATGTGACACCTCCATCCTATCTGCCTGCACCTGTACCTCTCACTCTCTCTTTCTGTTTGCTGTTAGCCAGTTGGTTCCAGCCGCCATTGTCCATGGCCTAGATGCAGTGTCCTTTAAGACTGGCTCTCCCAACCGTGAGAGGATGTGAATGGCAGCTGTGACTGTGAGTTTTGGATGTATTCAAACACAAGAAATGCATTCATACTCTTGTGCTTTTCTTGAAGCTGGTCTTATGAAAATGTTTGTTTTGTTTGCATGGCTTACCCTGTTTAATCAAGACTGAAACTATTTTAAAAATGGAAAACAATACTTGAGGCTATAGGGCTTTAATTCAAAGGAAGACAGTTTAATGGTGGAATTTCAAATGCTGTGACAGATTCATGGGATTAATACACTTGGGCAAAAAGTTCAGCTGGCTCTCCTAGAAACTTCCCCACAGATACTTGTCTTCCTTGCTTATGCAGAAGCCTGTTGACATTTGCTTACACAGAATGGTGAGCTATCATCAAGATGGAAAGGTGAAGCTTTGCTCCATTCATCTTTCTATGATAGCCTGTTAGAACTGGTACAGCAGTAGTCATGACTGTCTATATTCTATGCAAAAATTAGTCCCTAAAATAATCCGCCATCCCTGTCTCCAACCAAATTGTCATTTGTATTTCATCAAGATTAGGAGAAGAAACTGAGGGACACAAGGATGAGAGATGAAAAATTTTAGAGGCTGCAACCATACCCTCCAGAGAAACCTCACTGGGAGTCTCTGTATCCTGAGGAAGTATCACAAAGGCACAAGTCTCCAGAGGAGACCCCTGGAGGAGAAGAGGGCTACAGTAAAAGGAGGTGAAAAGGCACTGTTGGCAAGTGTGACTTCCCCTATAGCTCTGTGTTTGGAGGAGTCAACCCCCTTGAGCACTCTGTTCCCCTGGCTTCCGAAAAGCCAACCTTGCCCTCTAATTTTCTCAATCATAGAAGACACATAGCTCAAGAACTAAAGAAGAATTTATTCACTGTTATGTTCCATGTGCCTAGGCTACCTACCTGAGTTAATCCCCTTAGCTCAAAAATGTTTTCATTAACCACTAACTCCATTCTTTAATTCCAAACAGTATAATTATCATTTCTAAGACAATTTCCTCCCAAAGTACACATACCCCCTAAAGCCATGTAGTTTCTTACTTGTGTTTTATTCATTTCCATTTTCAGTCTCCTTCCTCTTCCCCTCAATAGTCTATTAATTCCAAGACTATTCAAATGAAGTGAAGGCAACCCTCTATTTCACTTTTGCCTTTTTTGGATAGGGACCAGATCCAGCATTCCATTTTATCCTCTTGTTACTTGTTCTATTTTCCTAATCATCTGACCCTTTCCCTTATCTGGGCCTGCAGTACCAATTGGTGATTTTTTCATCTTCAAGCATACCAGCATTCCTATGACTGCCTGCATCTCTCTCTGTTTTCTCATTATGTCCTTGGACAGTCCTGCCAATGACTTAACAATAGTTTGATTTAGCATGACCTCCCCAACTCCCCAAATTGCAGTGACATAAAGTCCTCCAAAAAAAAAGCCAGATGCTCTCCCTGGCAGTAAGAAATTTATGCCATCCATGTGGATGGTAAGAATAGTCTCTGCTGGCAGAACAGAGTCGGCACACGCACAAGACACACACACACACACACACACACACACACATACACACACATAGGAGAATCTAAATGCAGTATGGGCTCTATACTGAATGTGTATCATATCCTGGTCTTATAGATGTTTAGTGTTATGTGTAGCGGGTATGTTCGTGTATGTATGCGTATGTGCAAGTAGAAGAAACTGACTTTACCCTGAATTTTGTTCTATCTACTTTGATTTTTCTTTCTGAATGACTACTGTAATAAGGAACTTAATTCAACAAATATGTTGTGTTAGTCCATTTGGGCTGATAAAACTAACCTAGGCTGAGTGACTTATAAACCATAGAAATGTATCCATCACAGTACTGGAGGCTAGGAAGTCCAAGATCAAAGTGCTGGCAGATTTGGTGTCTGGTGAGGGCCCTCTTCCTTCTTCATAGACACCCATCTTTTTATTGAAACCTCACGTGGTGGAAAGACAAGAGAGCTCTCTAGGGTCTTTTTTATAAGATCACTAATCTCCATCCTCATAACCTCATCACCTCCTGAAGGCTGCACTTGCAAATACCATAATCCTGGGGGTTAGGATTTCAACATAAGTTAGAGAAGACACAAATATTCAGACCACAGTGTATGTCTAGCTCTTACTAAATGTCTGACATTGTAGGTATGATAGGACACCCAGAAATGTATAAAACATGACATCTAACTTTAAGAAGGTTATTTTCTATAAGGAAAATAATAGAAAACAAAAACTTCCTCAGTCTTCTAGGTTAGAGAAAGAAGGCTTTTGTGACAAGCAAATCTTAGGTTCTCATTTCAACAAGAGGGTAGAAGTATAAAGACAAATATAAAAAGATTGGTAACTTGCAAGCTGTTGGAGGAAAGTCAATAGGAGGTAGGAAAAGGACCAAAATTCTGGCTTTAATGTGCTATGTGAAATAATGCAGTTGGATTTCAGGTGGAACTGGCTCATTAGTATTGTCAGTTTCCACAGAAAAATCAAATATATTACTTTAGGGTTTAGGGCTTAACTTCCTTGCAAAGCACGAACAATATCATATTTCCTACTAGTAACGAAAAGGAAAAGCAGGCAATAAAACAATTCCAGTGAAAACAGACTAGAGCAATCATGATTTGCCAAATAGCATTGCAAAAATTGTTGTTTTTGAGGGGGCATTATGAACTCAAGCATGAAAAAACAAATCAAATACTCTTGTTTTTCAATGATTGTATGATACTTTATTTGACATTGGTGCAAACAATTTCTTATCAAATTATAGTCCTATTAGAGATATTTTGTAGAAAAGATGGCCATGAATTCCCTCATTTCTATCATTTCTGACTTTGATCTTCTTTATGGCCTAGATGTGAACAAAGGGTGTACTCACCACAGCTTTCTGCTGTTTGTAAAATGGGCCAATAGTGCTAATCGCAAGTTTCTGATAGAGTGTGGCTGTCTTGTGATCCTGGGTTCAGCTCAATTCCCATTGCCAGGGACACAACAGAGATCTTATAACTGGTTTAAATGGATAACCTCACTGAGGACAGGGTTAAGTCACCCTTATGTATACAAGAAGTAGATGACACTGTCCTCACAGCCCTAAGAAACCAAATCTGCCTCCCCACAAGCCATCCACAGTACTTCAAATTCCTGTCACTAGAGTGACCCATTTCAGTTAGTTACACTGCACCTCCAGCAGACTGCCTAAGAGAGGTGACACATTTCATTGTTGTGATTAGCTTAGTGAGTTTACCAAATGGGAGAGAAAGTCACTCAAAAGAACTCTGAAGAAATGGGACGCAGCTCTCTTGGGCTGACCTAGTCCTAGTGCACATTACTTAACATATCTGTAACTCAGTTTCCTTATCTGGAAAGAAGGGCTTTCATTAGAATAATAGATTTGGAAGCATTTCAAAACACTTTAAAATCTAATGCTATAAAAAAAAGACTATTAAATTCACTGTCATAGGGGGATTCTGTAAATAAGCTGTGCTTCCCCGAACAATGTAAAGTGTATTTAATAGTGCATGCCTCCTCCTTCTCTGGCCTTCCAGTTATTTTCCTATAAAAAAACTTATTCCATCTTGTTTTCCCCTAGGGCTGCACTATCTAATTCCTTCAAAAAAAGAAAACAAATATTGGCTTTAAATGACTCCAAACCACTCTGTGTTTCATTGAAAGGCAAGGCCTCCCTGGAATTCTTGAAAATAATGAGCCTAATTCTCTCTTATGCACCAAGCAGAACAAAAATGAGTGTCCTTCCAAATGCTGAGGACTCTGTAAAGTTAGGAAGAAACCTGAAGAAAAAGGCCAGTCAGCTGTTCCATGCGGCTTAAGTAACTTTCTGTAACCCCTACTTGGGAGACTAGGAGTTCTGCTCAAAGGATCACAACCTTGGAGCCCAGGTCATTCCAAAGCTGTCTAGTAGAGTAGCCATCCCCCATCAACTCGCAGTTCCCTATTTAAATCCAAAAGCTATAGGTTGTTGCAATAGCAGAAATAAATGTTACCGAGGTAGGACATTATATATTGATCCAATGATAGACTAATCAGACAAATAAAACTGATTACTGTTATGAACCCCATTTTACAGCTGAATAGAAAGATTTAGAAAGTTTAAGTTATATGTCCAAGTAATTGATTTAAAAGATAAATATAGATTAGAGAGGCTTTATTTAAGGGACGAGAGAAAGCAGAAGACGGGGAGGTTGAGAGATAAGAAAGCAGAGCAAGGGCTCTTTTGGTGAACTTATTGATGTCATATAATACTTCCTAAAATCTCTCAACATATTACCATGCCAAAGTGTGAGAAAGAATTTGAATCATCTGAAATTGTTTTCCTTATGAAAACTTTTAGTAAATTCATTTAAATTAACTTAGTGTTATTTAGGCCTTAAAAGAGGTAAGCCTTGTCAGATTCTATTTTCGTTGTTTGTCTTATACCCTCAGTCAGCTCACCCCAGGATGGAACCAGTGCTGCTTAGAAGGTGAAAGCTCCAGGATATCAGAAACTGGAGTAAGTAAAGAGCAAATGTCAATTGACTTGACCTCCCTCTCCATTTTCATGTGATCCTAAAGAATGAATCGAGGAATGTCATCATTCTATAAATTGAGATTTTTACAGCAGCCTTTATAGAACTATAAAAGATGGGTTCTCATTAAAAAAAAAAACCTGTGGTTAAAAGCATGTCAGAAGTAATAATGGCCCTCAAAGATAAATGCTTGTGCAATAAAGGAGAAATGGCTGGATTCATCCGTTTTATTTTTCTAAAGAACTATCTTGTATTAAACATTGTCGGTTTCTCAGCTCAGTAAAGCAGGAATTGCAGCTAAGACTTTTCAATATGTTTGTCCTGTTGTTCATCAGATAACTATTGCTGCCTTAAAAGTCACCCCTAAACTTAGGAGACTAAAACAACAATATTAATTTATTTCATAGGTCCTGCATGTCAGTAATTTGGGAGCAGTGTGGTGGTATGGTTCTGGCTTGGGATCACTCGTGAAGCTTCAGTCAGATGGTGGCCACAACTGGGGTTCTCCAAGATGTATTCATTGTCATGGCTGGGGCCTGAGCTGAGAACAGTGGAGCAGAGTCTGGAAGAAATGGGGCTTCTCATATTCTCTCTGTGTCTTTTTGTAGTCCCTTCTCATGGTGTCTCTAGGATGACAGCTTCAAGGTAGCCAGGATTGTAACATGGCAGCTAGGAATGTAAAGGTTTATATCCTCCAAGAAAGCCAGGGGAAGTTATACCATGTGCTATAAACAAACCTCAGAAATCATGTAGCAAACCTTTCTCCACATTCTATTTGTCAAGGTAGTAAAAAGGAACTGCCCAAGTAGAAGGCAAGGGACAAAGACCCCCAGTCTCTCAATAAAGTGACAACATCACACTGGAAGAACATGTGAGATTTTCCATCTTCTGAAAATATAACCTTCTACATACTGATTCTTAGAATTTGAATTCAAAATGCACTCAGTTGAAATCTACAAATCACATCACATTTACAGACATTAGTGAATTATATTGGATCTGCACTTCTCATTATATGTGTGGTAGTCCTCAGCATCTGATTACAGGGCTTTATTCAAAGTGTTTGCTTGGCAAGTATCTATGGCCTTGTCACAATGCTGTTTAGCTAGAAAAAGAAGACACAGCTAATTTCTATTCCTTCTTAAGTTGTTGTGTGAACAGGTTTAACCTCTCCATGCTTTTACTAATCTGTAAAATGAAGACCATATTAGCTCTCTTTCCTATATCACATAATTTATGAGAATAACCCATGTATTCATGTCCCACACAAATTTGGAACTACAGTAGGAAACCTAAAATGGTAGCAGAACCATATTCTCTTTGTCTCTGATGCCATTTGTAGAATTTTAGAAATTCTGACCTAATTGAAATTACTGCGTTAGTTTGGAAAATTCCAGGGGCCTGACTGGCATGCACCGTCCTACAGTGTATTTCCTTCTTTACAGTTCCTGAATGTGATGTCTTAGGATGATGTCACTTTGCTAAAGTGGGAACACCACGAGCCATCTCTATTAATTCAATCCGTTCATAAGGAATGTTGCTTTGTGCTCTCCAGGACTCAGCCAGGGGGCTGTGACAAAGAGAAATCACACTAGCAAATGTCACTCTGCTTTCAAAATCACCTTTCTCCTTTAACAACTGCTTGCCCTGCAACCATGTTCTTGTATATTGACCCCTGATACTTTAGGAAGAACTTCTTTCCAATAAGCTGTTTACTCTCCATGTGAGCAGAAACCCAGCTGGCCTGCCTCACAGGCTGTCCAAGCATGGCCAGACAACTCAATCCCCAGATTAGTTTAGGCTTTGCTGATTTCATCTTTCATGCCAATTCCAACTGATGAAGCATAGCCAACTGGAGTAACGGAGTAACCTAAAGCAGAGTCCAGGATCAGGAAGAAGAGTTCCTTGATCCGCTAATATTGTCTGCCAAAGGCACAGGAGGAAGAGAATGGTAACAATAAATCTCAGTGTTGTTAGAGCTAAGCACAAGCCAAGGAGAAAAGGTGCAGCAATATTCCCGGCCTGCAGGTTGACTGAAGATGACAAGGTGAGAGAATTGCTAAGTTTGTACAAAAGCTACAGTCATGGTTTGAGGAGAAGAAGGCTGAAATAGGAGAAAATCCATGAAAACAATAAAGTGTTTTTCAAATAAATTATTATTCCTTATTACAAAATTAGTACATGGTTATCATAAAACATATAGAAATATGAAAAAATATAAAGACATTTTAATTACCTATTACACTATCTTCCATTGTCAATGTTTATATGTATTTCTTTTTAGACTTTTTCTATACATACGCATAGTTTAATATTTTATTTTAACTTATGATCAGCTTCAGTATTTTCCTATGACATTATATAAGGAGTTTTGAATAGCACTATTATCTTTTATTACATAAATTTACCACAACTAATTTAATCAATATTTTATTCTTGGAAATTTGGGTTCTTCCTAATTTTACAATTAACACAAGGATAAACCATGGCAGGCAGAAGTCAAAGATGGTCTCCAAAAGTCCCGGTCCCTGGGGTACACACAGTCATCCAGTCAAACACTAATCTAGGTGCTGTTGTAATGGATTTTGCAGATGTAATTAAGGTCTCAAAGCAGTTGACTGTAAGATAGGGAGATTATCCTAATCGGCCTGACAATAACATTAGCCCTTTAATCCTGGGTCTAGAGGTCAAAGATAGGGGAAATCAGAAATTCAAAGTACAAAGGGATTTGACACACAAGAAGTTCTTTGTCACTGGAGGTGGGAGATGCCACATGGCAAAGAATGTAGGTGGTCTCTAGGGGCTGAGAGCACACCGCGGCTGACAGCCTGCAAAGAAACTTGGACCTCAAACTGCAGCCACAGGAACTGAATTATGCCAACAAACTGAATGATCCTGGAAGCCGATTCTTCCCCAGAGTCTCTAGACCAGAACTCATCCTGGTTGATACCTTGATTTCAGCTGTGCAATACCCTGAGCAGAGAATCCAGTCATCTTGTTGCTGGCTTCTCACCTATATAACTGAGCTGAGAAATGAGTGTTGTTTTAAGCCGCTAAATTAGTGGTTGTTATACAGCAATAGATAACTAATATAACACACTTACACGGAAATTCTTATGCATATCTCAGATTATTCCGTTTTTTTTTTTCTTTTGAGACAGAGTCTCATTCTGTCACCCAGGCTGGACTGCAGTGACGTGATCTCGGCTCACTTCAACCTCTGCCTCCCAGGTTCAAGCGATCCTCCTGCCTCAGCCTCCCAAATAGCTGGGATTACAAGCATGAACCACCACGCCTGGCTAATTTTTGTATTTTTAGTAGAGACAGCGATTCACCATGTTGGCCAGCTGGTCTTGAGCTCCTGACCTCAAGTGATCCTCCTGCCTCGGCCTCCCAAAGTGCTGGGATTACACGCATGAGCCACCTCCTCTGGCCTCAGATTATTTCTTTAAGATTTATTTCTAAACATAGAATTACTGAGACAAAGAATTTCAGTACTTTGACTCCATATGCATTACCAAATTTTCTTCTATAAAGGTGTGACAATTTACACTCTTACTATATATATATGAGTTGTTTTACTCTACCTTTACCACCTCTGAATGTTATCATTTTTAAAAATAATCCTTCCAAATTTACCTGTATTTCCTTCTAGTTTTCTTATGGTTTGATTTTAAGCAGTTAACATTTTAATCCACCTAGAATTTATTTAGGTATCAAGTATGTGGTAGGGGATTAGTTTTTTTCATTTCATCTCTCATATTATTAATATGTGTATTTTATATTGAATATTAATTATTTAATAAATCCTTTTTTCATTAATTTATGACACACCTTTTTATAATCTAAATTTTTACATATCCTGATGTTTGTTTCTAATTCATCTGTTCAGTTTTACTGATCCCATAATATTTATGTGAAAGTAATATATGTTTGAATGAACATTAAGCAGCTTCTATTCACAGACTCAAGAGCGTGGTACATTTGGATGATCAGCAGAAGAGATTTTAAAAGAGAAATACAGAAACCTCCAAAAGCAAGGAAAAGTCACAACAGGACAACCTATACCTTAGAAGTGCATCTGAAAGTTGACAGAAAGGCCTGTTACTGGGCAGCCATTGTGGTCTCATTTCCATTGACCATGTGACTTCAAAAGACTATTTGAGGATCTAGGATGGCCCATTGTAGAAAAGAGCCTCAGGTTTTGGATTTCTAACAACTAAACTAATTAATGATATACCTTCAACCTCCTTCACCCTTCTAAATATTCCCAACTATTGAGTACCTTCAGCTCCCTGAAGCTGGTTCTATTAATGTTGATTTGCTTTTTCTTCCTTGGCAATATAAATTATGACTCTTAGCTGGTTACAGAGCTAAGATGAGTTCTGTCTGAGTATGGGATAAAGATTACATTTTCCAAAATTCCTCAGAGATAGATAGGCAAAGTCACATGACTAAGTTCTGGCCAATAGCATATAGGCAGATATGTCATATGTGGTATCCAGTAAGTATCCTTAAAGAGATGAGGTTCACCCTTCACTTTCTCTTTCTACTTCCTGCTTGCTAAACTGTGGAGTTATGGTTATAATTCAAGCAGCCATCTTGAACCATAAGGTGGAAGCCACATGTTGCAGGTGAAATAACAACAAAATAGAAGGACCTGAGTTCTTAATTTTCACTGTGACATCATACAAGCTCTTTACTGCTTATCATTTATCTTTGCTTATCAAAGAGAGAAATATACTTTATCTTATTTAAGCTGTTAGTGTTCCACGTTTCTATTACTAAGCAACAAATATAATCATAACTGATTACCACTACCCACAAGATAGAACAAAGAGTCTCTGGCTATCTCTGCTAGAAAACCCTTATTTCCTCCAGATTTCTCACATTGGAGTATTCAATACAGTCCTCCAGAACCTACCTTTTATTCTCTCTTTTCCAGTGTGAGGGATAAACCCTTATGCCTTCTTTCAAGCCAGTACCAGGTTGTCTGTTTTATGTGACTACATAGGTATTTTGATTCAAACAATAGCCTAACTACCTATTTTGACATATTGTACAAGCAGATTAATACAGTAGATTCTCAGTGACACAACAATATCCAGAACTTTAAATCAAAGAGCACTGACAGGCCAAGAAATAAAAGGCATTGCTGTAATAAAATAGAAGCTTAGGACCAGTGTATATCAAGACAGCAAAATGTTATTGCCATCAAAGATATGCATTGTGTTCAGTTTGAGTTGGAGAACAAGGGTTAGTGCACAGTTGGGGTGAAAAAAGAAACAGTTGCAAGTTTTCCAATCACAGGCTGAAATGGTGGCTGTCATCTAAACATATCTCATAGCATTTTGTGGTACAGCCACATATATTATTAATAGCAATAGAAAAGAGATGACTTGGTAAGGCAGAAGGTAGGATGGTTAACATAGATGAGCCCCTTTCCTTTAATACCCTCCCTTGGATTCGGCACACATGAAATCATCTATAGCTCATGAAAATACAGCCTCTGGAAATTCAAGTGCCCACAATTAGCTGAGTGTCTTTAGCTGACAGTTTTTGAACAAGCCGATTGTATTATTTTTTCCAAAATAAATCAAAACTAAATATGAATCCCTAAGAGATAGTAAGTCTGAGAATATCAAAGTATTGATTTGTTACTATACAATGTTCTATTAGTATAATCATGACACCTAAAATTGATCTGATAGATTCAAGTTCTAATACAGACAACCTAGAATTCTAATTTCCAAGGCAACTATTCAGAAACTCATTGAAAACATTGCTTCTAATTCTCATAATTAACTCACATCACTATCCAGGCCTTTTTAGTATAGTTTAACCTTATAAGTGCCCTATGTATAATGACCGTGTACATCAAACAAGTTATAATTACTAAAAATATGCTTTCCTTACTATTAGTACTTCAAAAACATGTATGACTGCCAATAACAATTTCTATTAGGCATGAGGCAATTAGTGTTAACACACTGGAATAATACAAAAGCAAAAAAAAAATGTGGTTTTAGTTAACCTGGGAATTCTTACAATTATTTCTATCAGGGATAGATTATTTCTATCAGGCTCTTAAAAGGACAGGAAAGAGCTCCCAGGACCACATGAATGAACTTTTGAGAGCTCAGGACTCCAAGATGAGCATACTGCTGTAATATTATATGTAATTTACTTTGAAATAATTCTGTACAAACAGTGTTACAAAATGTGTGAATTAAACCTAAACTACAACCTAAGGCATTGTGATATGGTTTGGCTTTGTCCCCACCAAAAATCTCATCTTGAATTGTAATCCCCATTATCCCCACCTATCAAAGGAGAGACCAGGTGGAGGTAATTGAATCATGGGAGCGGTTTCCTTTATGCTGCTCTCATGATAGTGAGTGAGTTCTCATGAGATCTGATGGTTTTATAAGTCTGTGGTAGTTCTTCCTTCATTCACAGGAAGGACTGCCACTTTGTGAAGAAGGTGCGTTGCTTCCCTTTCACATTCCGCCATGATTGTAAGTTTCCTGAGGCCTCCCCAGGCATGCTGAACTGCAAGTCAATTAAACTTATTTCCTTTATAAATTACCTAGTCTCGGAAGTCCTTTATAGCAGTGCGCAATGGACTAATACACAATGTTAGCATTTGAAGTAATCAGGAGTTCACCCTCCAGGACTGGGGCTGCAACAAGACCTTCAAATATCAATATCTGAATCTGCACTAGAGAGTTTGTATAGTATTACAAAGAACCTTGCAAGTACATTTTCACTGCTGAAATTAGTGATGTTCAAGATACGTGTTTGGCTTGGAATTTTATACAGGCACCTCTGCCCTTCATGAATGAAGTCAAACTCTGAGCTATATGAGCTATTTCTCTCCATATCCTTGTTTGGATCTTCCTAATTATTTCTGTAGGTAATCAGTATTTTCTATTTTCAACTGCCCAGGTTTAATGTCTGCTAGAGGGATTTCACACATTAGAGTCACTAACTTCTAAGGGCTCAAACCCTTAAAACTACTCAGTGCTTCCCTTTACAGCTTCACAGTTGTAGCATGAAGCCTAATATCTCTGAAAACTCCAGAGCACCCGCACCTCCATTCTTCTTTCTTCCTTGTCAGGGATAGATGTGAAATTATTGGACATCATCTTATGTTTCTTTTCTGCTTTCAAATAATGGACAAGAATATGTTTGTCATCAGGGAGAATCACCTGATGAGGTTGGAGTAGTTTTCTCCACAAAACATTGTTGAAATCAATTAAAGAATACCTAAATAAATGGAAAGATATTTCATGCTCATAAATCAGAAGACTTAATATTGTTAAAATGGCAATACTCCTCAAATTGATCTACAAATTCAGGGCAATCCCTATCAAAATTCTAAGCTGGCTTTTTGAAGAAATTGAAAAGCTTATCCCAAAATTCATATAGAAATTCAAGGGACCCAAAGAGTCAAAATAATATTGAAAAAGAACAAAGTTGGAGAACTCACATTTCCCAATTTCAAAACTTGCTACAAAGCTACAACAATCAGCCAGGCACGGTGGCTCATGCCTGTAATCCAGCACTTTGGAAGGCCGAGGTGGATGGATCACAAGGTCAGGAATTCGAGACCAGCCTGGTCAATATGGTGAAACCCCATCTCTACTAAAAATACAAAAAAAATTAGCTGGGCGTGGTGGCACATTCCTGTAATCCCAGCTATTCGGGAGGCTGAGGCAGGAGAATTGCTTCAACCTGGGAGGCAGAGGTTGCAGTGAGCCAAGATAGTGCCATTGCACGCCCACCTGGGCAACAGAGTGAGACTCTGTCTCAAAAAAAAAAAAAAAAAAAAAAAAAAAGCTACAACAATCAAAATAGTGTGCTACTGGCATAGATATAATTATAGATATATATCAACAAATATAATTGAGAGTCTAGAAAGAAACTGTTACTTTTTTAGGCAATTTATTTTCAACATGGATATCAAGACAATAGAGGTGGAAAGAATAGTCTTAACAACAAATAGTGCTGGGACAACTAGATATCCATATGGAATAAAATGAAGTTGAGCAACTACCTCACACCACAAGCAAAAATGAACTCAAAATGTTTAAAGACCTAAATTTAAGAGGTAAAACTATAAAACTATTAGAAGAAAATATAGGTATAATTTTTCATGGTCTTGGATTTTATCAAAACCTAAAACTTTTGTGTTCAAAGGACACCATGTGGAAAGTGAAAAGACAACTTATAGAATGACAGAAAATATTTTCAAATCATATATCTCATAAGGGACTTGTATACATTCTATAACATGAATGAACCTTGAAAACACAACCTTTCACAAACAGTGAAAGAAGTCGACCACAAAAAACACATAGTGTATGACTCCATTTATGGTGTAGTGCCCACACAGGAAAATCTATATATAGAGAAAGAAGGTTAGTGGTTGCCTAAGGCTGGTGGGGAGGTCAGTGGGGAGGAGAAAGGAGTTGGAAAATGGAGGATGACTGCTAATGGGTACAGCGTTTTTGATGGAAATGATAAAAAAAAGTTCTAAAATTGATTGTGGTGATGTTTGTGCAACTGTGAATACACTGAAAACCATTGAATTATATACTTTATGAACCGGAAGCTATGTTAATAACATCTCAAAAAAGCTATTATTAAAATATTAGGAATGCACTTTTGAATATCCTGTCCCTAACTAAAATAAAATAAGAAGACAAAAAAGGTCAATTTTATTTGAAAAGAAAATTGCATATTATTGTTACTTTAATTTTTAAGATTTTTATACCAAACACACACAAACACACACACACACACACACACATAACTCTGGTGAGCCCAGTAGGATACCTTCAAAGTAACAGCCATATCAAACTCTGTTTCATCCTGTGTCCATACATTTAATGGTGGAATCTGTTTCCTGATCCAACAGGGTTAGCTAATGCTGCTGACAGAATATTGTCATTTTCTCCAGATGAATGATTCATGCAAGGTCCTTGTCAGAGCACCTGAAAAGATTTTTTAAAAAGCAGGGTTTTCACTGGGTTTATAGGAAAAGAGTGTTTCAATGTTTTGTGACTGCTGGCTAACAAAAAATGCATTTATGTGGCAGTATTTGGTTCACAAAATATTTCATTTTTACAGTTCTTGTGATAGCAGTGTTGTAGAGTAGGAAACTTAGTTTCTATCTTTTTTTAGTTGCCACAGGTGTCTATTTTGCCAGCGTAATCTAATAATTATGAACAGTTGATTGGCCAACTCAATTTACAACACATTGAATAAGGTATGGTGCAAGATCACTCTGTAATTCTATATTGTACATACTGTATTGCACAATTCTGTATTGCATTGTTCAAGATGAGTACAATTCAATACAGTATTTGTTTCTGTATAAAGATGTTTGTCAAGTAACGAGTTTGAATAAATAGGAATCTCATCAGCAATATTTATAAATACCTGATTTGCCACAACTACTTTCAAAACAATGTCTCAGATATTCTAGAGATTTATAATTCTCAAGCACCATTACCTTTAAGATTCCAATCATTTTAATTAAAAATGTACACCAATATAAATAAGGTCTTATTTTTTCCTTTTTCTGTGCTTGCTATGTGATCTTAGACAAAATTAGATACCTTTCTAGACCTCAATTTTTCTCATGATAAAATAAGGAATTAAACTAAATGATTTATAAGTTCCATACCATTTCTAATTATTCATAAATCCCTTCATTCAGGGACAATTTTTTGAGAACTGACCCACATTACCTAGTGTACTAGGCAAGAGGTAAAGCAATGTGGGTGGTTTATAAGACTAACCACAAGATAAATAAAATGAGAGTCTGATCTCATAAAGTCTATGATGCAGTATATGAAGTCTCATGAAAGAGATATAACCAAGGTTAAGAAAATAAAGAGCATGGCTGACTTCATTCTAAGGGAGGCTTTCAAAAATTTCCTGAAGAAAGGGACAGTTGAGTTCAAAAACCTTTAAGAAAAGATGGAGCTTGGACAGACAGAAATTGAATCAGGAATGAGTAATTATTTAGCACATGCAGACCATAGGTGAGTGCACATAACAAAGTAGTATGTTTCCCCCCAATTCAGCCCCAGCCCTTTTCTTGGAAATTTGAATTCATGTGTCTATTTTTATGTGTAAATACAGTTACAGGTTTTTCATGGACCTAAAAAATTTACCAAGGCCATTTGTGAACGTCTTAATTTTTTTTTTAAAGAGCAGAGATAACCATGGCCTTAGACAGCTTCACATCAGTTGGTTGTTGTATTGATTTTCTCTCTTGTGACAGTCACAGGCAAGACATGGAGCTGCCAATATCTCTTGGCAGACAATAATTTGAAAAGAGTGCTAGTATTTTGTGTAAAGATCAGCATATGCTACTCAAAAAATAAAAAAAGATACAACTTGTCTTTTTCTGGTTCAAAAGAATGCCATTGTGGGATACCAAAAGTTACTACATTATACTATGAGTAAGAAAGGTGGAGTGCCATGGGCTATTTCTATATGTGTGGCGATGAAATCAAGACAAATGCATTCCATATAAAGCCTTAGAGTATTTATAGACATACACACATGCACACACACATAAGTATATGTATATGCGCTATTTTATATTATCTCATTTAGTCCTCCCTACATGAATGAGGTAGTGACTACAATTATCTGTTTTGATGAGGAGGAAATTAAAGCACAGTAGGGTTAAATAATTTGCTCAAAGTTGTTACTAGCAAACAGCAGAGCCAAGTTTCAAGTCTATGGCTGTCTGATTCTAGAATATGCACTTAATTCCTCTACACCTTAGTGTCACTATTTGCCTAATTAACAGAGACAGATGCAGAATTCTGCACCTGTTTCACCACAAGTATAAAAACAATATCAGGCAAACCAAGGGATGAGATGCACTTATAATAGTTTCTTCACCTGAGATTTAGTCTCCCAGGTGCAAATAACCAAAAAGCATATTTAACATACCATGAGACTTCAATAGAAAGCTGGGTGGCAAGCTGCAGATATACGATGGATAAAACCTGAAACTTATTGAGTCATATAAGTATTTATAAGCTTGAAGATGTTAATGCTAGCAAGGGGATTAAAACAAATGAGATGGTACTTTAAAATATTCCCTGGGGAGATTAAGAAAACTGAAAGTTGGCATTGGGAAACACACACACACACACACACACACACACACACACAGACAAAGATAATTTTTAAAGTCAGAGGCTATTAAGCACAGTTCTCAAAAATTGAATTATTACTGAAAAGAAAAGATTTTGGCAGTCAGAAAGCAATAAAAAAGTATCTGAAAAGTGGTAATGGTTGTAAAATCTTCCAAGAATTCAATACTTGAAGTAGCTAATAAAGAATAGCTGGTATATTGGAAACTGTCAGAATTAATAAAATTTTCTGACTAGCATTATAAAGTCAGAAGAATTGGTAAGCATGTTTACTGATTTGCTCAAATTATCAATAAAGGAAAACTGAAAGATTAAATATCTTGATATTCAAATACCTAGAAAAAAGAACTGAAATTTTGGGGAAATATTAGATAGTACAAACATAATTGCAGTTCAGTGACTTCCTGAATCTATGTGAAGATTATTTTCTATGATAAATAAATATCAGTGTTAATGCAAATAGCATCCTCACGGTAAACTTTTCTATTTCCACTACTAAAAGCATCCTGTAGATAAAATGAGAGGTCTAATCTCATAAAGTCTCTAAAGTCTCTAAAATGGAGACTTTATTTAAATAAAAACTCTAAAGTCTCATAAAGTCTCTAAAATAGGTGAAAAATAGATGATTTTGATAGCAATAATTATGTATATATTTAAAAGCATCATGCTCCCAAAAGAAGTTGTATCAAGACTTTTGGCCAATTGATTGGTCATAGTGTCATTATACAACCACCATTTAATTTGAAATTATAAAATATAGTAACAATGAAAGCTAGCATTGAAAAATTACAGGAAGGTATAAAAATTACCTATATTTCAGAGTAAAAAGAGAAGATAGTAGAATCTCTAAATAAAACAGATAATAGACACACTTTTAAAACATAGGAAGACCAATACTTAATTGTTATTGCGTCAACTGAAATTGGAGTCTTTGTGGCAACTGAAAATGCAGTCTTATAAGCCTAAATCAAATCTTTACATTCTCTGCTATGATTCATGTGCTTTCCAGCTAGTTACTAAAAACTCCAAACTTCACTTTAATAATCTGTAAAAAAAAAAAAGTGATAATAGCATGCAGAAATAAATTGAAGTAAAATATCAAGGGCTTTCCCACAATGCCTGGCACATAGTAATGCCAAACAAATTTTAGTTATCTTCCTCTCAGAAAGAACTTTCTGTTCAAAGTTCTTTCTTCTGGAAAATTGGAAATGTGGTATAAGTTATAGCCTTTGAGAAGCTTGTAGCCTTGTTGGAATGATGAGATATATAGTCAGGGAACAGTCAAAGATTATAAGCATTTTATAATGAAATATGAAATATAAGTACTAACTGTTCAAAAAACAGTACTTATATAAAAAAAAAGACAAATCAAAGAAGGCATAAATTGTGGTTAACTATAAGGCTTCAAGAACAGATAAGACCCAAGGAGGATCCTGATGTACAAGCAGGATTGGATATGTGAATGGGAAGGAGGAGCCTTTTCCAAGCCACAAGAGCAATAGGTCTGGAAATTGGCCCTCCATCTTCCTGGCTCAATCCAGCCAACCCGAAGCTTAGCTTCTGGGAGCAACAGTACCAGATACCATCTGCTTGTCAGACTTACATCAAGGGGGCTTTCATCTCATCTCAGTCAGCTTTACCAAATCCCCCTTCCCAATGCATTTGCCTGCCAGGGTCCTCACACTCTCCAAAACTACTTCCTGCCTTAATGAAATTTATGAAGAGAAACATCAAAATTTGTTGTTCTGAATCAAGAGTTTGAGGATGTATCAGAATCCCTGGGGGACAGAAGAGAATGTGGGGAGGATCTAGCATAGGTAATTCTGATACCCCACACTCTACCTAAGAACATCTGACATAAATTTTATGCTAAAGAAATCAACAAGAGTCAAACACTAGCAAGACATCAACAGAAGCCAGATATATGAATAGATATGGAGGTAAAACAGACAGAAAAGCAGGAACCAGTGATGTGTGGTCATCACAAAGAGTTGAAGAACATCTCAGGCCAACGACATCTGTGTGGAATATTAAAAAATTGATATATGGCCCCAGAATACCGAAATTTTATTCAGTACTTTTCAACAGAGTATGACCTATGCAGCTGAAATTACCAGGCTTCTCTTTCCAAGTGAAAAAAGGATGCATTCATTCTTTTCCCAGCCTAAAACAGGATTATAAATGGCAACAGACCTCTCAAAACCTTGTCTTCAGTTACACAAAAATCAGTCTTACATACAATGTGAAGATGTCAGATGTGAGATTCAGCCACAGCCACATACAGGTTATCAGGCAAGGTGTGCAAAAATGCTGATCATGACAGGTAAGTGTTTACAAAATGAGAGTTCCCTCCCTCTGCAGACAACTGTGCAGCAGCATGTAAAGGTGAACAGAGATGCTATACATAGCTCCCGCTAACTGATATGCCTATCAAGTATAATGTTTCCATCCTAAAATGAATGCAAATTGCCCTGAGTACTTTTTAGCCTAAATTTAGATGTAAAAATATGGTAATGGATGTGCTTTCTTTCATATTTAAATATTGTGCTGCTGACCCTGCATTATTAGGGCACACACTTGAGGCCAGCTGCCCCAGTGTCACTGACGGATTTGCAGGCCGCCTATAACCAATAGCAGAAATAAAACAAAACAAATCACCCTAGCCAGAAATGGAGCTTATGGAGGTTACAGTGAGATTCTAGCAGTTTCTTCACCCCTGAACTTATCCCCATTCCACTGCCACCCCCAAGACTTGGAAATCAGGGAAATAACATGGTCCTTTAAGAGTTCAGCTCTAATATTAACACACAGTTGCACTGAGCAGAGAGATGCCAAGTTACTTTTGAGATAGAATGGCCTTTGGATCTACAGGATCTCACTATGTGCTAAGATGAAGGGAATGTTTTCAACCTTCCACACAAGAGAATTTTCAGTTTTCTGGCTCAGGTTCCCCATAAGTAAAGTTCACCTTCTAAGTGGCTTAGCCAGACCTATTCTAGGCTTACAGTGTTACAGAAAAGGGTGAATGCAAACGAAAAACCAGGAAAGTAAGGCCAAGAGTAAAATGGAAGGATCCTTGCTTGCTAGATGAATGCCCAAGTTCCCACTCTTCCTTTCATATGAAGAATTTGCACATGGCCTTAAAATGTTGGAAAAACCTTTGGATAAAACAGAAGGAGAAGCAGTCAAGTAAAGATCTTACAGATGGGCCAAAATGTCAGATTTGACAAAAGTTTAGGGATTTCACATGAGAGTCTCTGAGAAAACTGAAAGATGCTAAAGAACTGCAAAAGAAAGAGAATGAGTTTTGAAAAATGTTTTCCTGAGTTTTGGATTGTGTCCTATTACTGTTCTGTGAGAGATACAGAAAAAGAAATAATATTTTCAAAGGTGATTTTTGTAAAGGTGACTATATGCATAGAATGAGCCACCTGAGACCAAAAGAAGGTTTTATAACTATAATCTCATTAAATATATTAATATATGTAAAAAAGATTACCTTTTAATGTAAAGATTATCAAAAGTAGGACTTTAAAAAGTAGGACTAGTCAGGCATGAAAACATATGAATCTAAAAAGGAGATGCTCCAAGGCTGGTGCCTAAAAGCCTGCTACCAGAACTGCCCAAGAAGGGAGCCTTGGCCCAAGGACTGCCCTCTCTAGATCCTGGAACACATCACTGCTTTTGAAAACCTAATGATTTGAGTGTGACAGTGTGATGTCATTCATATTTAAATCCTGTAAATAATCCCCCTTGTTCTGGCTCCATTCTCACCAAACAATATTTTATATCCTGCCTAGGGGTCTCAATTGTCCTATCCTGTGGTACCTCAATTAGAATTTCTCATTTCAAAAGCAACAGAAAACCCAAGTCAAAGTTGTTTGAAGACTAAGGGAACACACATATCAAAATGGCTAAAATTAAAAATCTTAATAACACAAAATGTTGGCAAGGATGCAGAGAAACCAAATCAGTAATCTATTCCTGGTGGAAATGTAAAATGGCACAGCCATTGGAAGTTTCTTTTAAAACTAAAAGTGGACTTACCATATTACCCAGCAACTACATCATTAAGCATTTATTCTAGAGAAATGAAAACATGTTCACACAGAACTTTGTACACAAATATTTATGTCAACTTATTTGTAAGAACCCAAAACTGGAAACTACTCAAATGCCCTTCAATGGGTAAATGGTTACATAAACTGTGGTGGGTTCATACATGGAATACTACTCAAAATTAATAAGGAATGAATTATTAATGCATTCAACAATTTAGGTGAGCTTTAAGACAACTATACTGAATGAAAAAAAGGCATTCTCAACTGGTTGTATACTGTATAATTCCATTTATATAATACTCTTGAAATTAAAGTGTGGTAATAGAGAATAGATTAGTGGTTGTGAATAGCTGAGGATGAAGGATCGGAGTCTGGTTGGCTACAAGAGGTAACACAAAGGAGCCTGGTAGGGATGGTATAGTTATGTGTCTTAACTTTGGTGGTAGTTACATAAAGCTACCTGTGTAATTGAAGTTCATCAAACTGCATACTCACACATGCATGCAAACACATGTGTAATGTACGTATGTATAACATAAAATCAGAATGCGTTCATGGATTATACCAAGGTCAATTACCTGGTTTTAATATCACACAATAATTATGCAAAATAACATTAACTTTGTGAGAGGCTGAGCGAACGGCACATGGGCATTTTTATTCATTTATTTGTATCTTGCTATAAATCTATAATTATTTCAAAATAAAAAGTAAAAGAAATACTAATTCAAAACCTATGTTTATTTATTCCCACTGATTTATTATATACTATGTCAATAGGAAAATTGAATTGAAAGAGAAATTTGGGCCCAATAGGTAAATAAATAAATAGAGTTATTGGTTCAAGTGAATGGAAATCCAAACATAGTGCGGGCTTCAAGTTTGGCTGACCCAACAGCTTAATGTGTCACTGAGGACCCATTTTCTTTTCATTTCTTCATATTCCGTTCTTCAAAGACTGTTTCATTCTGAGTAACATTTGGGGCTATGTGTTCCATTGTACATGTTCAGTGGAAGGGAACATATTTATAAGATTCCAAGAAGGATTCAGAAATTCTTCCTAACTGGACTGCTTAGGTAAGGGAATCACATATTCTGATTCCTCAGACCATTCCAATTTCCTATTGGCCTGAAATTATTGTTATTAATGCCTCTCCCTTTTCAAATGCCTTAATGGAATATGTTATTTTCTCGTTAGGCCAAACATGGTCTACACCGAGAACTGATCTTCTGGACTCCAAAGGCAAGGGTATGGCTTCCCAACCAAACTTAAGGTATTACTAGGAAGAGGAGGTACCTGGTTGCTGAGTTAGCAATTAAAATTTTCCACTAGATATGAACCATTATGTTTCTGGTGGAAAACTAATAAATTGGCCTTCTGTTTCATACATTAATTTCTATAAGCTTGATTAATGTGAAACAATACCTGAAAAATTAATTTGTTTTCAGTGCCCATAATTTTGGAAACTGAGCCTCTAAGACTGATACTTGGCCACTAGTAAATCCATGAAAATGATGAATACTACCTGGAAAATAGCCAGCTGGCTTTTCCCTAGAGATTCTAACTTTGCTCTTGCATATTTTTCTCCATTAGTACACATGTTTGTTTAAAAATCTTAATTAAAAATGAAGCAAGGGAATAAGCAAATACCCTGTAAAGTTAAAACAGAGGAGATAGTCTCTTTGAATATTCGTAAGTGCCATAAGCAAAAAGCTGCTAAATTGTTGTATAAAGAATGAAATTCAATATACATACTAAAAGTAATGCAACAAATACTTTAGGTCTAAGCCAAATTGCTCATGCACATCCTAAAATAATAATATATCCTGTTAAAATTATATTATCTTCCTGTCAGAAGGAAATTATTAATTATAAATTATTAATTATTTAGAGCCATGAATACATTTTTAATATTTGTTTATGTTGAGCTTTGACACATACTTTTTTATCTTTAAAACAAGGTATCTCCAATTTGATAGTCAGATATAAATTATTACATGGCAGATTAAGAATATTAGAAAAGGTGCTGAACCTCAATTCTCTCACCTTGAAAGTACCTGGATACTGCAACTATCTCATAATGGACCCCCTTAATTCCAACCCTACACGTTTTTGTTTCCTTATAAAGCTACAAGTTCATCAACCTATCCTAGAAACAGAACCAAACTGACTCTGCAAGCCCCCTTTATTCACCTACAAACTTGTTCTTGTCTTATGAATTCCATCCCTGCTATGCTGTCCTATCTTACTCATCTATGACCTAGTCTTTACTTTCTAATGGCTTTGTCTGTCTGTGCTAAATTGTAGAACCCCAGCTTTGCCAAGGAAGAGAGTTCTTGGGAGAACTTGAGATCTCTCTGGCATCTGGGGTCATACATGAACAAAAAGACTGACAACAGCTTCTCATCTGGAAAATGCTAGAGGCTGGAGGTTGGCCAGTGCGGCCTCTCAATGGAAAAACAGAGAGAGGGCAGCAGTGGGAAATCTTACACTGTGATTATTCTGTGTAGCTAAAATGTATGAGTTTTCTGTGATCCAAGTATAGCCCATAGAGAGTAGCTAGGCTCAAGCTATTTTGAATTTATTTTGCTCAAGAGGGAAGCCAACAGATGTCAGAGAATCCAATGCATCAACAATGCATTTCATGAGAGGGGTTGTTGTAAGAGTTCACTGGAATACGTTGCTTATATCACAGAACTATCTACCATGGAAATTTTTCAGAATATCCATAGAATCCATGTCTGTACCCAATTTAATAGCCAGGCTTTTGATGCCTGTTATGTAGGCAGATTACGATAGTACCTGTAAGACCGTTACTCTTGTTCCTCTAATACTCCTTTTCCCTCCCAGCCTCAAAAGAGCCAAAGCAGCAAAGAAGGGATGGGAGGATGAGTGAAAAACAAAACAAAACAAAACAAAAAAATAGGCCACACACACCTCCTTCCCTGTGGCAAGTCCCAGTCAGGGGTGAAAGTCATGAAGGGAAGAAGAACTTTGAATTGAGTGTGAGGTTAACATTTTCATTTAAAATGGACAAGATCTTTTAATGTCTGAAAATGAACTGTTATTATGGAAACCATACTCACAACAGGAAATAACAGAAAGGCTAAGACATCTTTCCAAGATATCATTAGGGGCAGGGAAAGGAGATCTGAAGGTAGCGGTTGGTCAAAAATAAAGCCATTTTCTGTCTGAACCCCACCAATCCCAGATTGTTCCATTAAACAAGGAATATTCACATGCACACATACACATAGTATTCGGACTGATTTTTTTTATTTGCTACTATATCTTGAATAATTCTCATAACATTAAATATCCACATCCATATTCTGGCTTTGCAATATTTCTTTTTAAAAATACACTGTAATATATTTTACTGATTCCTTATTATTGGACATTTAGGTTATTTCCCTTAAGTTTCCTATTAAAACAAATGCTATAATAAACAACTTTATACGTAAAGATTTGCCTGTAACCATGATTCATTCTTTGGGACAAATCTCTGAAAGTGAAATTATTAGATCAATGAGTATAATCATTTTTAAAGTCTTGGATATATATTGCCAAATTTCAAAATGGATAATTTAATAAATGTATATTTAATTAATATCTATATCGATAGCTTCTCAAATTCTGCTAAATTTATATGCATTTTGTCAAAATTAAAAGTTAAAAATAGAATATTTTAGATACCAAAAGTTGTGCTGTACAGCATTTAGCTAAAGAAAATATTCAATGTTAAATTAAAATTCCAACTTACAATAAATGATCAAAGTAATCATTTATGAAAATAAACAATTACAAATAAATATAATAAATACAATATATTATATAATAAATAATTCAAATCTACCTGTAAACTGGCAACTTCAAAATAATGGCCCTCCACATATTTATTTAACTTCTAGGCTTTTGGGTAAAGTTGTTCTAATGATACCCACTCTGGATATCTATTTGAAATTTTCTCACCTAGAAATCTAAAGAACAAGGTCTTTCTTCCATTAGCAAGGACTTTTTAGGTAATAGACTCCATGAATGCTTGGGTTAAAAATAAGAGTTACACCCAAATGTTCAAAATAATCAGACTGCAGCACAGCCACCTGTGTTTTCTGAGGAAAGAAAATATCTGTGATGAGATATGGTTAAACTGGCTAACTGCCAAGCAAAAAGTGTTGTCATCTTTTCTGAATATAAACAGAATAGTTCAATAATCATAATTATTGGTCTGTGAGCAATAGCAGCAAATGTTTTAAAATTAATATTGTTTATAAGGTATGTGTAAAGTATTTTCATATATACATTTTCATTTGAATGTCATAACACCCCTACAAGGTAGATTGTATTATTTTTATTTTTTTGTAAGTGAGAAAACTAAAGCTCAAAAAATTAGTTGGCTCACTCATAGACAAGCAGCTCTGGAACAAACACAGCCAGGAGTCAAAACTGTACCTTAATTTTAAGTTCAGACTTTTTCTACCATGGTACTGTGCCTCGTGGTAAATTTATTTATTTATTTGTTTGTTTAAGGAATAACTTATTGAACATCACTGTGTGTCAGGAATTGTTGTAAATACTGCTCCACAACTGGTAAAGGTAACAAAAAATCCCTTCCCTCTCGTATCTTGTGATCACCAGCAGGAAGTTGAGGAAGAGAGAGATAACAATTAAAAAATAATTTGTAATATCTCAGGAAAAGGATAGTACTGTGAAAATGAATCTGGATTAGAGTAGACACAGTGATGAGAGGTGCTGATATGGTCTGGATCTGTGTCCCTGCCCACATCTCATATTGAATTGTAATCCCAGTGTTGGAAAAGGGACCTGATGGGAGGTAATTGGATCATGGGGGTGGATTTCTCATGAATGGTTTAGGAGCATCCCCATTGGTACTGTACAGTGAGTGAGTTCTCATGAGATCTGGCACATCTCCCCTCTCCCTCTCTCTCTCCTGCTCCAGCCACTTGAGGTGCAAGCTCTGCCTTTGCCTTCCACCATGATTATAAGTTTCCTGAGGCCTCCCCAGAGGCAGAAGCCACTATGCTTCCTGAACATCCTGTGGAACCATAAGCCAATTAAACTTCTTTTCTTTATAAAATATACAGTCCCAGGTATTTCTTTATAGCAATACAGGAGCAAACTAATACAGAAATTCATACTGAGAAGTGCGGCATTGCTATAAAGATACCTGAAAATGTGGAAGCAGCTCTGGAACTCTGTAATGGGCAGAAGTTGGAACAGTTTGGTTGGCTCAGAAGAAGACAAGAAGATGAGGGAAAGTTTAGAACTTCCTAGAGGTTTGTTAAATGGTTGTGACCAAAATGCTGATAGTGATATGGACAGTGAAGTCCAGGCTGAGGAGCTCTCAGATGGAAATGAGGAACTGATTGGGAACTGGAGCAAAGGTCACTTTTGTTATGCTTTAGCAAAGAACTTGGAGGCATTGTGCCCCTGCCCTACGGATCTGTGGAAGTTTGAAGTAGAGAGTGATGATTAGGATATCTGGTGGAAGAAATTTCTAAGCAGCAAAGAATCCAAGAATTGACCTGCCTCCTTCTAAAAACCTATGCTTATAGGCATGAGCAAAGAAATGACCTGAAACTGGAACTTACATTTTAAGAGGAAGGAGAATGTAAATGCTTAGGAAATTTACAGCCCAGCCATGTGGTAGAAAAGAAAAGACTGTTTTCAGGGGAGGAATTCAAGCAGGCTGCAGAAATTTGAAGAAATAAAAAGGAGCCAAGTGCTAATATCCAAGACAATGAGGAAAAGGCCTTGAACGCATTGAAGAGACCATCCTGGCAGCCCTTCCAATCACAGACCCAGAGGCCTATGAGGGAAGAATGGTCTCATAAGCCAGGCCCAGGGCGCTGCCACCCTGCACAGGCTCTGGACACTGCTCCCTGCATTCCAGTCACTTCAGCTCCAGGCTAAAAGTGTCCCAGTGACAGCAAGAGCCACTGCTTCAGAGGATGCAAACAGTAAGCCTTGGAGGTTTCCACATGGTCTTAAGCCTGTGGGTGCACAGATTGTAAGAGTTGAGGCTTTGGAGCCTCCAACTAGATTTCAGAGGATGTATGGAAAAGCCTGGATGTCCAGGCAGAAGCCTGCTGCAGGGGTGGAGCCCTCATAAGAAGCCTCTATTAGGGCAGTGTGGGGTAGGGGGATGTGATGTGAAGTCCCCACTCAGAGACCCTACTGGGCACTGCCTAGTGGATCTGTGAGAAGAAGGCCAGCGTCCTCCAGATCCCAGAATGTTAGAACCACTGACAGCTCTCACCATGCACCTTGAAAGCCACAAGCACCCAACACCAGCCCAAGAGAGCAGCCACAGGGGCTGACCCCTGCAAAGTTACTGAAGTGAAACTACCCAAGGCCTTGTGAGCCAACCCCTTGCATCAGTGTACCCTAGATGTGGGATGTGAAGTCAAAAAAGATTATTTTGGAGCTTTAAGGTCTTATTACCTTAAACTTGCTGGGTTTCAGACTTTCCTGAGATCTGTAGTCCCTTTCTTTTGTCTGATTTATCCCTTTTGGAATGCGAACAATGCCTATACCCCCATTGTATCTTGGAAGCAACTTTTTTTTTATTGCATCATAGGCAGAAGGGACTTACCTTGTCTCAGATGAGACTTTGGACTTTGGACTTTTGAGTTAATCCTGGAATAAGTTAAGACTTTGGGAGACTGTTGGGAAGTCATGATTGTAGTTTGAAATGTGAGAAGAACATGAGATTTGGGAGGGGATGGGGTGGAATGATATGGTTTGGATCTGTGTCCCCACCAAAATCTCATCTCAAATTGTAATCCTTAATGTTGGAAGAGAGGCCTGGTTGGAGGTAATTAGATCATGAGGGTGGATTTCTCATGAATAGGTTAGTACCATTCCCCCTTGGTACTGTATAGTGAGTGAGTTCTCATGAAATCTGGTTGTTTAAAAGGTATGTGGCACCTCCCCTCTCTCCTTTTCTTCCTCCTGGTCGTGCCATATAAGGTGCTGGCTCCCCCTTCACTTCTACCATGATTGTAAGTTTCCTGAGGTCTCTCCAGAGGTAAAAGCCACTATGCTCCCTATACAGCCTGCAGAACTTTGAGCCAATTAAACCTCTTTTTTATATAAAACACCCATTCTCAGGTCTTTCTGGAGAGCAATGCAAAAACGGACTAAAACAGATATTATTTAAGATTCAGTTCTTAAGGAAGTTCTCTTGGATGAGCTTGACAATTGAGCAGAGATCTGACTCTGAGAAATCAAGCTATGACGATATCAGGGACAAGATAACTCCATGAAGCATGTGGGAATCCCCTTTTTAACACGAGTTACTCTTGTTACAGGATAACTAATAGCAGTCTTGCCTACTATTAGCTTAATAGTTATTTCTAGAGGCAGGGAAATGCATTTGTTTAAATAAATAAGACTTATCTGAAAGAAGGCAAAGATTAAATAGCATATTCACCACCCAGACGCAAAAAGTGAAAGCTTCTGGGATTTCTACCTCTAACTAGCATGGTTTTTAAATACTCATAACTTTTTGTTGCCAGACAGCATTGGAGAACTCAGTTTTTTTTTGAAGAAAATCTTGCAAATTATCCATAGTTTCAGACTAATTTAATTTCATCCACAATCTTGTAAATATCTTTTAAGGACATTTACTAAGAGATAAGAAGGGGTTTCTTATATATTTTTTTTCTTGTGTTTTGTCCATTTTTACTGCATCTATCTTTTTTTTTTTTTTTTTTTTTTTAGAGACAAGGTCTCACTTTGTCACCCAGGCTAGGTGCAGTGGCAACATCACAGCTCACCGCAACCTCAAATTCTGTGCTCAAGTGATCCTCCCACCTCAGCCTCCTGGTTAGCTGGGACTATAAATGTGTGCCACCACACCTGGCTAATTTTTTTTTTAAGACACGGGGTCTCACTATGTTGCCCAGCCTGGTCTGTAACTCCCGGCCTCAAGTGATCTTCCCAGCTTGGCCTACCAAGGCACTGGAATTACAGGCATGAGCCACCACCATGACTGGCCTCATTTTTATTAATCTTAAAAAAAGATTATAAGCATTCTCCACTAGATGTCGTAAATCCTCAGCATCAGGTAATGAGGTATAATATTACATACTTGTTGCTTTAGTATAAGATATTAGAGCTCTTGATTATCCAATTACTTGGAGAAATGAAATAAAGAAGATTATTATCCCCAATAATTTAGGGAAATCTTTATAGAAATAATTGCTGGAGGTACAAAATGAAAGAATGGTGAAGAGATGCCAAAGCTTTAATTTTCTTATATGGAAGACCTTATGATGTAGGGTCTGTGTAGCTGCTAAAATCCATGAACATAGTATTGCTACCTTTTTTTTGGTCTCTTACTCTGAAACAGGCCACCTGCTAAGCACTTCACCTGCATTGTGGCTGAACCCCATAACAGTCTTCTGAAGTAATTACTATTAATACAGTTCTCCTTCTACTGATAAAGAGAGGCTAATTTAGCCTACCCAATATTCTATAACTAGTAAATGGCACAGCCATGATTTGAATTCACTGCTAGAGCATAGGCTCTCACAGAACCTGCTACACTGACTTTCTACCAGAGCCTTATTCCCAGCCTCTCTACTGGTGTTCTAACAACCAGGAGGTTGACTAAAAGCAACATCAGATTTAACAGCCACACATAATCCATTGTCCTCTATCCAAGAAACCTCAAGATAGGAGATGGAGCAAGATTGTGGAATAGAAAGCTCTACCAATTGTCCCCTCTCCAAGGACACCAAGTTAACTATCTACACACACACACACACACACACACACACACACGCAAAAGAAAAAAAAAACCTTTTTAAGAACCAAAAATTAGGTGAGCACTCATAGTACCCGGTTTTAACTTCATATCATGGAAAGAGTCACGGAAGAGACAGAAAAAGCAGTCCTGAATCACTGACACCACCTCTCCCTTACCCCTGGCATCAGCTGTGTGATGTGAAGTCTCTGGACACTGAGGAAGAACACATCAACTGTGAGGCATTGAACTCAGTGACGTTCTATTAGAGCAGAAAGGAATATTGGACCAAATTTAGCTGACAGCCACCCACGAAGGGAGTATTTAAAGCAGCCCTAGCCAGGGAGGAATCACCAATCCCTGTGGCCCAAACTTGAGTGCCAGCAAACAGCATTCTGTGTCTTCAAATAAACTTGAAAGGCAGTCTAAGCCATAAGTACAACAGTCAGGTGACTCCTAGGGCTGAACTAGGCCCAGACGCAGTGGACTTGGAGGACACAGAACCTACTGAGACACCAGCAAGGTCAGTCAAGGGAGTACTGGCATCACCCCACCCCTAACTGTAGGCTGCACAGCTTGTATCTCCAAAGAAGATCACTTCCTTCTGCTTGAGAAGAGGAGATAGGAGAGTGGGGAGGACTTTGTCTTGCATCTAGAATACCAGCTTGGTGACAGCAGGATAGGGCACCAGTCAGTCATGAGAGTCATGAGGACCTCATTCCAGGCCCTACCTCTAAGATGACATTTATAGACACACCATGGGCCAAAAGCAAACCTGTTATCTTAAAGGAAAGGGTCCAGTCCTCCCAGCATTCATCGCCTGCTTATCGAAGAGCCCTTGGGCCCTGAATAACCAGCAGTAATACCCAGGTAATACATCATGGGCCTTGGGTAAGCCTCTGAGACTTGCTGGCTTCAGGTGAGGCTCAGCACATTACCAGCTGTAGTGGCTACAGGAAAAAACTCCTTTAGTTTGAGAAAAGCTGAGGGAAATATAAAGGGGACTTTGTCTTACATTTTAGGTACCAGCACAGCCACAGGGAGGTGGAGCACAAAGCAGGCTGTTAGGAACCTCAGTTCCAGAACATGACTCCTGGATAGCATTTCTGGACCTGCTCTGGGCCATATGGGAGCCCATTGCCTTGAAGCATGAGTCCTAGGCCAGGCAGCATTCACAACAAGCTGTCTTAAGAGCACTTGGACATTAAGGAAATATCGGTGGCAGTCTGGCACTACTCCTCATGGCCTGCGGTGGCAATGGCTATGGGGTGAGGCTCCTCTGCCTTTGGAAAAAGGAGAGAAGAGTGGGAAGGACTGCATCTTGTGGCATAATGCAAGCTCAGCCACAATACAATAGAACACCAGGTAGACTTCTAAGGCTTTTGACTTTAGTCCCTGACTCTTGGATGGCACTTCTGGATCCATCTGAGGCCTGGGTGACCTTGCTGCCTTGAAGAGAAGAAAACAGGCTGGATGTCTTTTCCACCTGCTAATTAAAGAGTCCCAGGGACTTGAGCAAACATAGACAATAGCCAGGGAGTGGTTACAGCAGGCCTTGAGTGAGACCCAGTGCTGTTCTGGCTTCAGGGCTGACCCAGAACAGTCATAGTAGTGATAGCCACAGGGGTGCTGTATCTCTCCACCCCCAGATTTAGGTGGCTCAGAACAGACAGAGTCTCTGTATGTTTGGGGGAAAGTAAGAAAAGAGAACAAGAGTCTCTGCCTGAAAATCCAGAGAATTCTCCCTGACCTGGTCCAAGACCATCAAGGCAGTACCCCTATGAGTCTGCAAGAACAACAGTGTTACTAGGCTTAGCATGTCTCCTAAAGCAGATACAGCTTAGATCATAACATCCAACTCCTTTCAAACATCTGAAAAGCTTTCCCAAAAAAGATGACTACAAATAAGCCCAGACAGTGAAGACTGCAATGTATACCTAACTCTTTAATGCCCAGACACCGAAGAACATCCACTAGCATCAGCATCATCCAGGAAATCATGACCTTACCAAGTGAACTAAAAAAGGCACCAAAGTCAAAACCTGGAGAAAGAGAGACATGTGACCTTTCAGACAGAGAATTCAAAATAGCTGTGTTGAGGAAACTCAAATAAATTCAAGATAACACAGAGAAGGAATTCAGAATTCTATCAGATAAATTTAACAAAGAGATTGAAATATTTAAAAAGAACCAAGCAATAATTCTGGAGCTGAAAACTGCAATAGGCATACTGAAGAATGCATCAGAGTCCTTTAATAGCAGAATTGATCAAGGAGAAGAAAGAATTGGTGAGCTTGAGGACAGGCTATTTGAAAATACACAATCATAAGAGACAAAAGAAAAAGGAATAAAAAACGAAGCATGCATAAAGGATCTAGAAAATAGCCTCAAAGGGACAAATCTAAGCGGTATTGGCTGTAAAGAGGACCTAGAGAAAGAGATAGGAGTAGAAGGTTTATTCAGAGGGATAACAGGGAGCTTTCCAAACTGAGATAAAGACATCAATATCCAAATATGAAAGGGTTACAGAACATCAAGCAGATTTAACCCAAAGAAGTCTACTTTGAGGCATATAATAATCAGACTCCCAAAGATCAGCAACAAAGGATCCTAAAAGCAGTAACAGAAAAGAAACAAATTACATACAGGAGAGTTCCAATATGTCTGGCAGCAGATTTTTCACTGGAAACCTTACAAGCCAGGAGAGAGTGGCATGACATATTTAAAGAGCTGAAAGAAAAAAATCTTCACCCTAAAATAGTATATCCAGTGAAAATATCCTTCAAATATGAAGGAGAAATAAAAAATTACTCAACAAACAAAAGCTGAGGGATCTCAATACCAGATCTGTTCTATAAGAAACACTATAGGGAGCAGTTCGATCAGAAAGATAAGGACATTAATGTGCAGTAAGAAATCATTTGAAGTTTCAAAACTCACTAGTAATGGTAAGTACACAGAAAAACACTGAATATTATAACACTGTAACTGTGTTGTATAAACTACTCTTATCCTAAGTAGAAAGAATTGATGATGAACAGATCAAAAATAACTATAGCAACTTTTCAAGATATGGTACAATAAGATATAAATAGAAACAACATAAAGTTAAGAAGTTGAGGGATGAAGATAAGGCATAGATTTTTTATTAGTTTTCTTTTTTCTTGTTTGTACAAATAGTGTTAAGTTGTTATCAGGTTAAAATAATGGTTTATGAGATAATATTTGCAAGCCTCATAGTAACCTCAAACCAAAAAACATACAATGGAGACACAAAAAATACAAAGCAAGAAACTAAATCACATCAGAAGTGAAAATAATCTTTACTAGAGGAAGACAGGGAGGAAAGAAAGACAGAAGAGAAGACCAGAAAATAACCAGAAAACAACAAAATGGCTGGAGTAAGTTCTTAATTATCAATAATAGCATTGAATGTAAATAGACTAAACACACCAATCACAAGACATAGACTGGCTGAATGGATGCAAAGACAAGACCTATTGATTTGTTGCCTACAAGAAACACACTTCACCTATAAAGACACACATAGACTGAAAATAAAAGGATGGAAAAAGATAT
Organism: Homo sapiens; assembly: GCF_000001405.40. Classification (NCBI taxonomy): domain Eukaryota; kingdom Metazoa; phylum Chordata; class Mammalia; order Primates; family Hominidae; genus Homo; species Homo sapiens. The sequence continues at coordinate 64,044,984 of NC_000005.10, forward strand.
TCCATGCCAATGGAAACCAAAAAAGAGAAGGAGTCATTATGCCTATATCAGACAAAATAGATTTCAAGACAAAAACTATAAGAAGAGACAAAGAAGGTCACTATATAATAATAAGGGGGTCAATTCAGCAAGAGGATATAACAATTGTAAATATATATGTGCCCAACACTGGAGCACCCAGATATAGAAAGCAAATATTATTAGAGCTAAAGAGAGACATAGGCCCCAATACAATAATAGCTGGAAACTTCTACACCCCACTTTCAGCATTGGACAGGTCTTCCAGACAGAAAATCAACAAAGAAACATTGAACTTAATCTGCACTATAAACCAAATATATCTAATAAATATTTACAGAACATTTTATCCAAATGCTGCAGAATACACATTCTGTTCCTCAGTACATAGATAACTCTCAGAGATAGACCATACGTTATGTAACAAAACAAGTCTTCAAACATTTTTTAAAAACTGAAATAATATCTAGCATCTTCTCTGATTACAATGGAATAAAACTAGAAATAAATAAAAAGCAATTTTGGAAAGCATACAAATACACGGAAAATAGTATGCTCCTGAATGCCAATGGATCAATAAAGCAATTAAGAAAATTTAAAAATTTTTTGAAACAAATGATAATGGAAATACAACATACCAAACTTATGGGATACAGCAAAAGCAGTACTCAGAGGGAAGTTTATAGCTATAAGTGCCTACGTCAAAAAAGAGGAAAAACTTCAAATGAACAATCTAATGATGCATTCTAAAGAATTAGAAAAGCAAGAGCAAACCAAACCCAAATTTAGTAGAAGAAAAGAAATAATGATTGGAGTAGATACAAACAAAATTGAAATTAAAAAAACACAAAAGAACAATGCATGAAAAAGTTGATTTTTTAAATAGTTAAACAAAATTGACCAGCCTTAAGTAAGACTAACTAAGAAAAACAGAGAGAAGATCCAAATAAATAAAATCAAAATGAAAAAAGAGACATTACAACTGCAGAAATTCAAAGGGTCATTATGGCTATTATGAGCAAATAAATGACAATAAATTGGAAAATCTAGAATAAATGAATAAATTCCTAGACCTATACAACCTACCAAGATTGAATCATGAAGAAATCCAAAACCTGAACAGACCAATAATGAGTAAGAAGATCAAAGCTGTAATAAAAGTCTCCAGTAAACAAAAGGCCAGGACTAATAACAATCCTACTTAACAGAACTATTGACAATCCTACTCAAACTATTCCAAAGGCCAGACATGGTGGCTCATGCCCATAATTCCAGCACTTTGGGAGGCCGAGGTGGGCAAATCACTTGAGGTCAGGAGTTTGAAACCAGCCTGGCAAACATGGTGAAACCCCATTTCTACTAAAAATACAAAATTAGCTGGGCATGGTGGGCACCTGAAATCCCAGGAGGGCACCTGAAATCCCAGCTACTTGGGAGGCTGAGGAAGGAGAATTGCTTGAACCCAGGAAGTGGTGGTTGCAGTGCACTACAGCCTGGGTGACAGAGTGAAACTCCATCTAAAAAATTTTAAAAAATAAAAATAAATATAAAAAAACTATTCCAAAAAATAAAGGAGGAGGGAATACTTCCAAACTCATTCTATGGGGCCAGTATTACCCTGATATCAATACCAGACAGACATCAAAAATAAAAACTGCAGGCCAATATCTCTGATAAGTATTGATGCAAAAATCCTCAACAAAATACTAGCAAACTGAATTGAACAGTACATAGAAAAATCATTCATCATGACTAAGTGGGATGTATCTCTGGGATGCAAGGATGGTTCAACATTCAAAAATCAATCAATGTGATACCTCATATCAACAGAATAAAGGACAAATGCCATATAAATATTTCAGTTGATGCTGAAAAACCATTTGATACAATTCAACATCCCTTTATGAGAAAAACTCTCAAAAAACTAGGGATAGAAGGGATATACCTCAACATAATAAAAACCATATAAATCAGACCCATAACTAGTATTACACTGAATGGGGAAAAATTGAAAGCCTTTTCTATAAGATCTGGTACACAAAAGGATGCCCACTTTCACCAGTTATCCAGCATAGTATGGGAAGTCCTAGCTAGAGAAATCAGACAAGAGAAAGATATAAAGGACTTCCAAATTGAAAAGGAAGAAGTCAAATTATCGTCGTTTGCAGATGACATGGTCTTATATTTGAAAAAAACTACAGACTCCACAAGAAAATTATTAGAAGTGATAAATAAAATTCAGTAAAGTTCCAGGACACAAAATCAACATAAAAAATCAGTAGCATTTCTATAGGCCAACAATGAACAATGTGAAAAATAAATTAAAAAGTAATCCCATTTTCAATAGCCACACATAAAATTAAATACCTAGGAATTAACCAAAGAAGTAAAAGATCTCTATAATGAAAACTATAAATCACTGATAAAAGAAATTGAAGAGGACACCAAAAAATGGAAAAATATTCCATGTTCATGGATTGGAAGAATTAATATTGTTAAAATGTTTATAGTACCCAAAGCAATCTATAGATTCAATGTAATTCCTATTAAAATACCAATGACATTCTTCAAATAAATAGAAAAAACAAATCTAAAGTTTTATGGAACCACTAAAAATCCAGTATAGACAAAGCTATCCTAAGTAAAAAGAACAAAACTGGAGGAATCATATTACTTGACTTCAAATTATATTACAGAGCTATAGAAACCAAAACAGCATGGTTCTGGCATAAACACAAACATGTATGTCAATGTAACAGAATAGAGAACCCAGAAACAAATCTATATACCTATGGTGAACTTATTTTTGACAAAGCTTTAAAGAACATACATTGTGGGAAAGACAGTCTCTTCAATAAATGGTACTGGGAAAACTAGATATCCATATGTAGAAGAATTAAGCTTGAGCCCTATCTATCACCATATACAAAAATAAAATTAAGATATATTAAAGACTTAAATTTAAGACTTCAAACTATGAAACCACTACAAAAAAAATTGGAAAAAAATCTCAGGACATTGGTCTGGGAAAAAATATCTTGAGCAAACCCCACAAGCACAGGCAACCAAAGCAAAAATGAACAAATGGGATCACATCAAGTTAAAAATAGTCTGCACAGCAAAAGAAATAATCAACAAAGTGAAGAGAAAACCCACAGTATGGGAGAAAATATTTGCAAATTATCCATCTGAAAAGGGATTAATAATCAGAATATATAAGGAGCTCAAACCACTCTATAGGAAAAAAACCTAATAATCTGATCAAAAATAGGCAAAAGATCTAAACAGACATTTTTCAAAAGACATACGAATGGCAAACAGGCATTTTAAAAGGTGCCAACATCATTGACCATCAGAGAAATGCAAATCAAAACTGCAATGAGATATAATTTCACCCCAATTAAAAGGGCTTATATCCAAGATGTGGCAGGCCAGGTTTCCATTAGCAACCAGAACAGTCAATTTCCACTAACCCTTTACTATAATGCTGGTGAATGTACAAATTAAACATTAAAGAACTGGAGAAATTGATACCTGAGTAAAAGGGCTGGAATGTGAAAACAAACTCATTACAACTCAGCCTGGGTTTTCTCAGACCCTAAAGTCTGATCAAATAATAAAACTTTCTTACACATACACTTCATACCAGGGCCCACTTAAGATTAAGAAACTTTCCAAGACTCTGGAGAAAGCTTTCCAGATCCTAGACCCTAGTTAAAGATTAGATATAGATTGCATGAGACACTCCCACTTGTAGGTACACTCCCAGACGTAGGCATAGAGCTTAGAATATATATAAGCTCTGAAGAAAAATTTATAACTTTGAGTTGGTCTGGTAAGTTACTCCAACCTTCTCCCTATAACTAGTTGCAGAAATAAACTCCCTTCTTTCCCAGTCTGCTTGGACCATGAGAACAAGCAGCTGGACCTCATTCTGTCCAGGTACAAAAGATAGGCAATAACAAATTCTGGCGGAATGTAAGAAAAGGAAACCCTTGTACACTGTTGGTGGGAATGCAAATTAGTACAGCCACTATGGAGAACAGTTTGGAGGTTCCTCAAAAAACTAAAAATTGAGCTACCATATGACACATTAATCCCATTGCTGGGTATACCCAAAAGAAAGGAAATTAGTATATCAAAAAGATATCTGCACTCCAACGTTTATTGCAGCACTGTTCATAATAGCTAAGACTTGGAAGCAACCTAAATGCCCATCAACAGATGAATGAATAAAGAAAATGTGGTCCATATACATAATGGAGTACTATTCAATCATAAAATAGAATGATATCCAGTCATTTGCAAGCAACATGGGTGGACCTGGAGATCATTATTTATTATGTTAAGTGAAATAAGCCAGGCACAGAAAGACAAACATTCACGTTCTCACTTATTTGTGGGATCTAAATATCAAAACAATTGAACTCATGGACATAAAGAATAGAAGGATGGCTACCAGAAGCTGGGAAGGATAGTGGGGTTGGGCAGGGAAGTGGGGTTTGTTAACGGGTACCAAAAAAATAGAAAGAATGAGTAAGACCTACTATTTGATAGCAAAATAGAGCGACTATAGTCAATAATAACTCAATTGTACATTTTAAAATAACTTTAAGGGTATAATCAGATCATTTCTAACTCAAAGGATAAATGCTTGAGGGGATGGATACTTTATTCCCCATTATGTGCTATTTTGCATTGCATGCCTGTATCAAAACATCTCATGTACCCCATAAACATACACACCTACTATGTACCCAGAAAAATTAGAAATAAAAAATAGAAAAGTCTCTTGCTTTTCAAAGAAAGGGCAGGGAATTTTGGAATACAGGAGTATACCTGCATTTTATTTAAAAAACTCTCAAAATTCAGAGATACTCACCTGGAGGTCTCAAGTAGTTCAGTGAGTTCAATGTATGCAAATTGGAAAGAGAGATAAAGGATCAATCCCCTTTGGGAATTAAGAAAGACTTGCTGAGCTCTGGCTAAGACTAGAGCAGATTTATAAAAGGCACAGCCCTGCCCTACTGCTTGACTGAATGATGGGAGGCAAAAGACAATGACTGTGTCCTTCCCGACATGATGCCTGTGACATAGTCAGCACTCCTCTGTTGAGGAAAAGAAATGAGGCAGAGCGGAAACCCCTAAAAAGAAGATAAACCTAGAGAGACGATAAAACTTAAAACCACTTATGGAGTAACCCATCATCCAGTACAGGACTGGCATAGGCTATTTCAGCCATCCTGAGGCACCTGAGCCAACTTCAAAGGCAGGAGAGAGCAGTGGGTAATCCCTGTCTGTTGAAAGCCAACCTAGACTCAAGCCTGGAATAGCTTTCACTGCAGATCCTTGCTTCCCTATCAATATATGGCCTGACAGTGTCTCTTTTAGGCTCTGGGGAAGAGTTCTGACAAGCTTTTATCATGCATGAATTTATTGTCTTTCTCCTGAAAAGAAATATTTTCCTGACAAGTTAAAAATCTCTCTCTGCAATAAAAATGCCTTCAGCCTTTCTGAGCCATCACTGTATTTAAAGATTATCTTCTGGAAAGATGCCAAATTGAAGTCTTACAGACATTTGCCAGGCCATCATCTGCCCATCACCCAGAAGCTGCAGTTATTACTTAACATTTCAAGTGGTATATAAGTGTAACCTTTGGCAACCAGAGAGGATTCTCAGTTTCTCTTGTCCTGGGTTCCTGGTGATAGCAGCAGGAGGCAGACAAACCCTAGGCAGACAGGGGAGCATCCTCAGTGAAACACAACCTTCAAACTAAAGACAAGTTAAAGCCTGAAAATTGAGCTACAAGTCTTGGATAAATCTACAGACCAGATTGAGAACCGCTCTTCCTGATCAGCGTGCTTTCTTCTGATTGAGCCCTACCCTTCACCTATTTTACATATACCTACCCTTCCCTAATTGTTTTTTTACACTGTCATGCCCATCTTTGAGTGGTTCCTTTTTTATGCTTTTTGTATACTCACAAACCAATCAGCACACAGTCCCCCATTCTGAGCCCATAAAACCCCCGGACTCAGCCACACTTGGGAGAGCTACCCAACTTTGGGTACGAGACTATCCCCTTCAAGTCCCCTTTCCACTGAAAACTGTTCTGTCACTCAGTAAAACTCTCTGCCCTGCTCAACCTCCAGTTGTCAGCATAACCTCATTCTTCTTGGACATGGTACAAGAGCTCAGAACCCATTGAACACAGGTACGAAAAAGGCTGTTACACTGTAGCCCTCTGCATTCCGCTGGCACCTGGCAGACACCCCATGCAACAGGACCCCACTCACCAAGGTGCAGGCAGCGGGAACAACACCCCCTTTGGAGTTCCGGGTTTCCTGACGTCTTCAAGTTTTTTGGGTGCTACTGCATTCCCCTCATCCAGATTCCAGTGTCCAAGATGGAAGCCGGCTGTGGCATGCCCACTCCAGCCACAGGCTGGAGCACAAGTCAAGTGCAGCCCACCAGGCCAAGTGGGCGGGATACCTCCAGCAGTGATCTCAGAGCTGAGTAAGGCTCTGGACAGCTGAAAGCCCTGGACCATGAGGCCCTGGACAGTGTGGTCCAGCTGGCAAAGCAGCACTGAAAAATTTCTGCATTACTGGTCTGATAATGAACAGCTCTAGAAGAGAAATCCCAGAGGAGAGAAGGGTCTTATGCATGCGTCTATGTGTTTATCTATGTGTTTGTGTGTTTACACCCAAATCTTCTCCTCTACCCCATGTTTTCAGAAGACAGTGGCAGTTATAGTATGAAGTCTGCACAGTTATATTACCAGGTACTGGAACTGGTCTAGAGGGATATGAATGATGAAGACTCCAGAGGAGGAACAGATAAGAAACAAAAGGAGCAGGAGCAGACAAGCAACATATAATCTGCTTTCTGGAGATAATGAACTTCAAAGACAGTAGAAAGTGAATATCATGAAAAACAAACAAATCTCACAAAAAAGAAACCAAAGAGATATAAAAACTAAATACAATGAGCAATTTTTAAGTGGACCCTGGAATAAAAGAATAATTTTTAAGCTTGGGGGACAATTGGTGAAATTTGCATTTTTGATAGCATTCCATAATACTATTAATCAAAAAAGATTTTAGATTCTAATTCAATGTAACTGTTTATATAGAAAAAAAAATGGGAAAATGCTTTTGGAATTCTTAGGTTTAGTTTCTGTTTTGCTCCTAGAAATCACTTTTCAGAGCACCTGTGGGCCTGTCATGCTCACTCAACCCACCCAAAACATAGTTCGCTGGAGCTCTCACCTGTTGAGGTAAAGTGTGGGAAGTGGAATGTAGATTAGCCAAATTGAGAGTGGGGAATAAAGGTTAGAAAGAGGAAGAGCTGAATGACTAGATGTACAATAAAAATTAACAAGACAAGCCCAAGAAATAACACAATGATTTGGTTCCCATACAAGGAAACATGGTCCCTGAACAAGCCATGGGGTGTGTTTTTAGAGCTGGCTGAATCTGTAAGTAGTGACTATAACACATCAAGTTACAAAAAACCTAAATCTACTCTTTGTAGTCATAAGAGAGAGAAGTGGAGGGTGTTTTTCTGTTTTTTTTTTGTTTGTTTGTTTGTTTTTTGGAGTTTTTTTGGTTTTGTTTTGTTTTGTTTTTGAGACGGAGTCTCCCCGTGTCGCCCAGGCTGGAGGGCAGCGGCACAATCTCAGCTCACTGCAACCTCTGCTTCCCAGATTCAAGTGATTCTCCTGCCTCAGCCTCCTGAGTAGCTGGGACTACAGGCTCATGCCACCATACCTGGCTAATTTTTTGTATTTTTAGTAGAAACAGGGTTTCACTGTGTTAGCCAGGATAGTCTTGAGCTCCTGAATTCATGATCCACCCGCCTCAGCCTTTCAAAGTGCTGGGATTACAAGCGTGAGCCACTTTGCCCGGCCATGGAGGGTGTTTTTTAAAGGAAAAAAAAAAATAAGTATTGATCTAAAGGACTACTCCATACCCCACCCAGCTCTGACTGACCAGGTTGGCCCTGGCTGCAACGAGCCTACAGGTGAAAAGATTGGGCACATTTGTGGGGAGAGGAGGAAAGTGAGAGCAGGGAACCCAGTGAGACCCGAAACATTGGAGCGGCAGCATCTTTCTTCCCTGTCCATCATTCTCTGATACTTTCATCCCAACATTTAATAAATGTTCTGGATGATTTTCAGGCAGAGGCAAAGAGAAAGAGGGGGAGCTTTGTCTCCTTTTCTTTCTCAACTATATGCTTTTAAATGTATATGAGGGAAACTCTTCCCAAAAATGAATCATTGAACAAAAACAGATAAAAGCTCTACAATAAATCTCATCAGGGGAGATCCCAATACTTGAGAGCAGCAAAATTGAAACATTTCCTATAGAGTTTTATAGCACTAATTACCACAGTATTAATGTTGCACACATAAACATCATTAAAATCAGCAGGAGGGAAGCTTCTTCATGAGCCAGTAAGGAGAGATCAGCAGCAAATATTTAATTTTCCACTGAGGTTGGTATTAAAGGCAGACTTAATTTGTGCCAGAAGGAGACTTTACCAAGAGCAAGACCATACTAGCCAGGAAAGTGACTGTCTTAAATGCTGGATTCTATCCAATGACTATTAATTGGCACCTCTACTATTTTCCAGGCATATGCTTGGTGCTGAGACACAGCCTTTGTCCTCTAGAGCTTCCGCTATTTGTCTGAGTTCATCATCACAAAGTTTCTTTATCATCCCTAAGTATGCTCCTGGCTGGAAAATAATTTGAGCAAATGAACTTTTTTGAGTAGTGTCGATTAGGGTTCTGTGGTTTTAGACAGACACACACACAGACACACACACAAACACACACATACACAAAATCACTTTTAATCAGAGGAACTCTTTTTTCAAACAAAATATACATATAAACCAGCCTCTTCAATATTTTTGCAAGATATATAAGTTTGCTTTGAACCCCTGAATTCCCCACTCTGTGGCAGTGCAAAGATATCTGTGACTTCTTGGGACTGGGTGGGGTATGGTATACTTTGCTTGGAGACAGACACCTCCGGCATACATGCTGCTTATGTTCTGTGTTGTGCTGATGTGAAAACATTCCTCTCATGATTTTCAGCACTCACCATACTCACACAAATCATTTGGGGTTAAATTTTCTCAAATTATTGAGGGAACATAAAAGTTGGCTTCAAAAATTATTCCTTCTAGAAAGTTCTTTCTTCTGCCCCTCCACAGGGAACTTTCCACTATTCTTTCACCACAACAGTCTCCTACCTCATACTATTTTGCTGGCACCTTTCTTTACCCCCTATGCTAGTTCATTTTATGTGTCAACTTGACCAGGCCACGGAGCGCCCAGATATTTGGTTAAACATTATTCTGGGTATGTCTCTCAAGAGGGTATTTCCAGATGAGATTAACATTTTAATTGCCAGGCTGAGAAAAGTAGGTTGCTCTCCCTAATGTGGGTGGGCCTCACTCAATCCACTGGGGACCTGAATGTGACAGAAATTTGAGTAAAAGAAAATTTTCTCTCTCTCTGCCTAATGTTCTTCAAACTGGAACACTGATCTTCTCCTGCCTTTTGACTCAGACTGGAACTTATACCATCAGTTGTGTTTCTAAGTCGTCTGAAATGCAGATCTTGGGACTCAAACAAATGAACCAATTTCTTATAATAAATACATATATATATCCTAGATAGATATATATATATATAGGTATTTTATGCCTATATATAGATTTATAAATCTATATATAAATTTATATATATATAGGATATATATATCTAGGATATATATATATATCTAGAGAGAGAGAGAGAGATAAATAGATATCCTATTGGTTATGTTTCTTTGGAGAAGCCTAATAGAACCCCCACTCTTTTCTCTTCTTTCTTTTTTCTCCCCTGCTTTTTAGAACAAAATAATAATAAACAAAAATTGTTTACTTTCTCATGCAAAGCAGTTTAACCATCTAGTATTGTTGTTCAGGCTCTGCCATCCCTAACTTTCTGTCTCTGTGGAATATATCAAGGTGTTTTCCCAACATAGGCAGCTTCTTTATACTTCCTTCTCTAAGAGGAATTCCACTGTAATCTGTTGAGAATACCATCTTCATCATAGTACATATGGAAAGATAAACAGTGAGGTATTCTCCTTGGTGGAAATATGGTGGACCTGGAGCCTGCCTACTTTCTCCAGCTCTAGTCCTACCCACAAATCATCCTACCTCTAACTGCTGAGACAACTCAGGAAACCCGGGAGTCCTGGGTAGACCATCAAATTAGGCATCTGTCTGTCAGCCGGTAGAGAGCAGGTTCCTAAAAGATTGAGGCACAGAAGTAAAAACTAAACAAAGTTCTAGAAAAGAATAGGTTGCTGTAAAGTGAGGTAAGGATGAGGCTGCTGGAGAAAAATGTGGGAGCAAAAAAAACCTCAAGTGCACCCTAGATGGAGTATGAAAATGGAAAGGGGATTCCAGCATTGGCCTGCTGCTGGTCCCCAGGCCAAGTGCCGTACAGAGAAAGTAAATAAGTCTTGATCTTTTTTTAGCCTGTACCATTCCCACTGTGAAACCAAATAGTACTGTCAATAGAGGACTTATGGCAAAGCAATTCAGGCTATAATGCAAGATGTATCTATAGGTAGTAGAAAACATAGTTGGTGAAATATGCATAAGGTATTTCAGTAATATTTACATTTTATACATTCTATTTTATAATTTAAAAAAATGAAGTCCAGGTATGGTGGCTCATGACTGTAATCCCAGCACTTTGGGAGGCTGAGGCAGGAGGGTCACTTGAGCCCAGGAGTTTAAGGCCAGCCTGGGGAACATAGTGAGACCCTATCTCTATTTAAGAAAATAAATATTGTTATCAATGTTTTTAAAAAATAATGAGGATACAAATGGAATAAAATAATATGTTGAAAGGGGCCAGAGGGTCTTAGATTCATTGGAGAAGTTTTGGAGGTTTTTGGTTTTGTGTTTGCATTTTTCTTCTAGAGTTTCTTATAAACTATCATAAGCCTCCTTAATGGATCTCCCTCCTCCTCAGAGCTCATTTGAGTCTGACCTGAAAACTTCATTATTATACTCAGAAAGACTATTACACATTCAAAGCTTAACTTATTCTACAAACATCTATAGGCAGCAGAGACAACATAGTGTAATGGCTAGGAGAATAGATTTTGGAACCAAACTGCTCGGGTTTAATTTTAAGCTCTACCACTTACAAGCCGTGTGATCTTGGACAAGTTACTTAATCTCTCTGTGCCTTAGTAAAATAAAGGTAATAATAATACCTACCTCCAATAATTATATTGATGATTTAGTGAGCTCATCTTTGTAAAGTGCTGAGATAGTGTCTGGCTCACACAAAATGGAATTTTAGTGTTTATGTGTCAGGCATTATGTTGGCTGGTGAACAGATGGTAGTTGTTTTCATGGAGCTGACATTCTAATGGCTTCCAATGGTCTGCAAATAACTAACTACAGGAAGAGTTTGTTTTCCCAGGACAATTGTTACCTGGAAAGAGTCCTCCAAACGGAGGAAACAAAAATTCATAGAATAAATACAGTCAAAAAAAAGTTTTGGCCTGGATTTGATCTTTAAAAAAGGAAACTCAGAGTCATGATAAAATGTTATTTTATCTCATGTTTAACAAAATGTAGGTTATGATTGCAACAAAGGATAAATTTTGTGTTGGATTTTTATGGGAAATTTTTTTTCTACAAAATGTGTAGTATGGCAACCTTCATATCCCATTTGAATTTTTATAACATTTTTGCAAAGATGATCTCATTTGTAAGAATGTTGGCCAGCTTCACCAATTTTTTAATGCCTGGGTATACAAATTATTCTCCTTTGATGCTCTTGTCATCATCCTTGTTAATTTTCTCTTGGCTTTCATCTTATGAATAGTTTCGTGTTTATTTCAGCGTTTATCTGGACTTCATGATTTCCTATATTTTGGGGTTCATGAAATTTCACAGCAGTTCATTAACATCATATCTAAATTATATTATGGAATGTTTATAGCAACCAACAACCAGAGGGGAAATGTCAAAGATATTATGGTGATAGGTAGATATTATTTATGATAAATGAAGAGAAGTTTTAGAAGAGTTGGGGTTAATATTATAAACTGTCAGCTAATTATTGACTCTATTCATGTTTTATAATTTTTGTTTCCCCTTATAGACTCATGACTTCAGAGACTAAGATGATTAATAATCATGCTTTTCATATTAATAAAGGCAGACAAAATAAGTATAATAATCAAAGTATGTACCAAGTTCTATAGGAGTAAGCAATAAAAAGCCATTTGTTCTACCTGGAAGAATTGAGCCTATTTTATGAGGAAGCCAGTGTCCATGAGCTAAAAATGACAAATTGAGTAGTATTTCAACAAAACACGAGCATTCTCAAATTAATAAAGGCAGAAGAGGTCATGTTATTTTTAGAAAATCATAAACAATCTGCATAGGAATTGTTTAGAGGGCTGTAAATGTGGATTTGGGATGGAGGTAATGGAATAAGAAATGGCATGAACGAATGAAGAAAATAACTATGGTTGCAGTGTAAAGATTGCATTAAAAAGATAGATGATTAGAGGCAAGGAATCATATTAGAAAGTTATTTAAATAATCCCATCATGCCTGAACCATGGCTTCCCTAAGAACCCTGTCCTTTATTTTTTGTTCTTTGCCTCTCTCTCCCTTACTCTATCCCTTTTCCTTAATTTCCTCCCTACTCCCATTGTTCCACCTTACTTCTATATATAACTCTATGCCTTTTAATCCTAAATGTCCAGTAGGTTCACATGACCCAGGGAATAGTAGAAAAGAAGGAACAAAGGTCATTCAGGTCTGCTGAGCCACCATTTGAAGGGAGGAGGAAGCAAGGCTTTCAGTGGGCTTCCACATTCCAAGCTCTAAGCTAGCACTTTACATATCTTATTTCAATTAATCTTAACATGCCTATGAGTTAGAAACTCCTGACCTCACTTTTTAAACTGAGGCTTTGTTGGTGAGACATGAATTTACTTCCAGGTCTACTTGCACTGAATCTATGCATCTGTACCACACTTGTACTAAGTAGTGAAGGGCAAATGGGTAGAGTGAGGCCTCCACTGTGAGAAAAATGAATTGAAAAAGCGATTTAGGCATTAAAGAAAACAACGTAATATTCTAAGCCACAAATGCTTGCTGGTTTTTTTTTAATGTTGCTGTTGATTTTTTTTCCCCAAGCCACATGTAGAAGATTGGTCTAAGTTGAATGAATGAACTTCCTCAAATCAACTTCCTCCATGGGATTTTTCAAGAAATCACAACCCAAAGTCTATATGTTGATAGCATTACTGCTTGCCAATTTCTTACTTATCCCAGGTTTATGTTGTTTTAATAATTATTTAATTGCCTTAAAGCCAAGCACAGTGACTCACACCTATAATCCTAGCACTTTGGGAGGCTTAGGTGGGAGGATCACTAAAGTCCAAGAGTTTGAGACCAGGCTGAGGAACATAGCAAGACTCCATACTTACAAAAAACTTTAAGAAAAATTACATTTAAAAAAAGAAGCAGAAAATTCTGTATTAGGTTCCCAGGGTAAAAATTTTTGAGGGAAGTCAGAAGAATAAAAAGAGAATGCCTTATATTTAAATTCATGAATTCATTCATTAACTATTTTGAGTGCTGATATGATTTGGCTGTGACCCCACCCAAATCTCATCTTGAATTGTAGTTTCCATAAGCCCCATGTGTCATGGGAGAAACTTAGTGGGAGATAATTGAATCATGGGGATGATGGTTTTATAAGGGGTTTTTCCCCTTTGCTTGTCACTCATTCTCTCTCCTGCCACCTCGTGAAGAGGTGCCTTCTGCCATGATTGTAAGTTTCCTGAGGCCTCCCCAGCCATGTGGAACTGTGAGTCAATTAAACCTCTTTTCTTTATAAATTACCCAGTCTCAGGCATTTCTTCATAGCACCGTGAGAATGAACTAATACAGTAAATTGGTACTAGAAGTGGGGTGCTGCTGTAAAGATACCCAAAACTGTGAAAGTGACTTTGGAACCAGGTAACAGGCAGAGGTTGGAACAGTTTGGAGGGCTCAGAAGAAGACAGGAAGATGTGGGAAAGTTTAGAACTTCCTAGAGACTTGTTGAATCGCTTTGACCAAAATGCTAATAGTGATATGGACAATGAAGTCTAGGCTGAGGTGGTCTCACATGGAGATGAGGAACTTGTTGGGAACTGGAATAAAGGTGACATTGCTATGTTTTAGCAAAGAGACTGGAGGCATTTTGCCCCTGACCTAGAGATCTGTGAAACTTTGAACTTGAGAGAGATTATTTAGGGTATCTGGCAGAATAAATTTCCAAGCAGCAAAGCCTTCAAGGTGTGACTTGGTCACTGTTAAAAGCATTCAGTTTTATGTATTCATAAATATATGGTTTGGAATTGGAACTTATGTTTAAAGGGAAGCAGAATATAAAAATTTGGAAAATTTGCAGCCTGATGATGCAATAGAAAAAAAAACATTTTCTGAGGAGAAATTCAAGCCAGCTGCAGAAATTTGCATAAGTAACGAGGAGCCAAATGTTAATCACCAAGACAACGGGAAAAAAGGCCCCATGGCATGTCAGAGGTCTTCATGGAAGCCCCTCTCATCACAGGCCCAGAGGCCTAGGAGAAAAAAAGGTTTTGTGGGCCAAGCCCAGGGCCTTGCTGCTTTGTGTAGTCTCAGGACTTGGTGCCCTGCCTCCCAGCCTTGGCTAAAAGTGGCCAATGTAGAACTCAGGCCATTACTTCAGAGGGTGCAAGCCCTAAGCCTTGGCAGCTTCCATGTGGTGTTGGGTCTGTGGGTACACAGAAGTCAAAATCAAGGTTTGGAAACCATCTAGATTTCAGAGGATGTATGAAAATGCCTGGATGTTCCAGGCAGAAGTTTTCTGTGGGGATGGAGCCCTCACAGAGAACTTCTGCTAGGCAGTGTGGAAGAGAAATGTGGGGTCAGTGCCCCACACAGAGTCCCTATTGGATACTGCCTAGTGAAGCTGTAAGAAGAGGGCCACCATCCTCCAGAATGCAGAATGGTAGATCCACCAACAGCTTGCACTATGTACCTGGAAAATCTGCAGACACTTAATGCCAGCCTGTGAAAGCAGCCAGGAGGGGTGCTTTACCCTGCACAGCCACAGGGGTGGAGCTGTCCAAGGACATGGGAGCCTACCTCTTGCATCAGTGTGACCTGGATGTGAGACATGCAGTCAAAGGAGATCATTTCAGAGCTTTAAGATTTGACTGCCCTGCTGGATTTCAGACTTACATGGGGCCTGTAGCCCCTTCATTTTGGCCAATTTCTCCCATTTGGAATGGGTGTATTTACCCAATGCCTGTATCCCCATTGTATTTAAGAAGTAACTAACTTGCTTTCATTTCCACAGCCTCATAGGCAGAAGGGACTTGCCTTGTCTCAAATGAGACTTCAGACTTGTACTTTTGGGTTAATGCTGGAATGAGCTAAGACTTTGAGGGACTGTAGGAAAGGCATGATTGTGTTTTGAAATGTGAGGACATGAGATCTGGGAGGGGCCGGGGGGGAATGATATGGTTTGGCTGTGTCCCCACCCAAATTTCATCTTGAACTGTTGTTCCCATAATCTCCATGTGTCATGGGAGGGACCCAGTGGGAGGTAATTGAATCATGGGGGTGACAGTTTTAGAATGGGGCTTTTCCCCCTTTGCTTGTCTCTCATTCTCTCTCCTGCTGCCCTGTGAAAAGGTGCCTTTTGCCAGGATTGTAAGTTTCCTGAGGCCTCCCCAGCCATGCTTAACTGTGAGTCAATTAAACCTCTTCACTCTAAATTACCCAGTCTCAGGTATTTCTTCATAGCAGCATGAGAACAGACTAATACAAGTGCCTACAATGGACCTGGCACCATATGAAGCTCAAGGATAGCATGATTGATTATAAATCAGTCACAGTTTCTTTCTTTGTGGTGCTTATATTTCAGTAGAAAAAAGTGCATCCCTAACGTATACAGTAATTAAGCAATAGTAGGAAGATATCAGGAGAGGTAGGTGGATGTCTTTAAAAGAGAGAGCTTTAGCAAGTAGACTTTCTCCACCATTTCCAGCTTTTCATTTCAGAAATATCTTCCTCATGCATTCACACATTATAGGAACTGCTTATATATTTGATCTCCAAGTTAAATGAAGTACTAGTTCAAGGAGAATTAGGCCATCTATACTTAGGATTGAATTAATTCCATTCAATGCCATGTAATTTATTGAGTGCTCAGTATTTGAATAATCTCAAATACAAAACTGAGATTAAACTGATCAAGGTCATAATCCCTGGCTCTGAGTCAGTTATTTGACATTTCAAGTTTCAACAACATAATATAGGAATAACTGCTTGTGTAATACTTCCCAGGAGGCAGAAGGAAAGCCTTTCTGCTTTGAGAACATGAAGGAAATAGCAAAGAACCAAGAAAATTGTAACTGCTCGAAAATTAATTTTAATTAGGAAATGTAGACACAACACCAAACAAACATTAGTCTTTATTTTCATTAATAAAAGAAAATCGAGGTATTCCACAGTGCTAATGGGAAGAAGTATGTTTTGGTACTCAGAAAACATGCCTGGCATCAGTAATATTTTGCAAAGTAGAAATTGAACTTCTTGTTGGCCCTCGATAATTTTTCTCTTGAGTTGAAAAGGGAGATTTAAACATGGCCTATAAGGCTCTACCTAATCTGTTCCCAGCCCCTGTCATTACCTCAGCTCCTACTTTTGTTTATACGTTCAGTTCCAGCACCCCTGGCCTCATCTTCACTGTTCCTCAAACATACCAGTACTGCTCCTGCCTCAGAGCTTTGTTACTTGCTATTCCCTCTGCCAGGAATAACCCTCCATGAACTATCCATGTACCTTATTTCTCACATCAAGTCTTTGTGCAAAAGTCACCTTCTCCAGTTGGCGTTCCCTGATCATATTATGTAAACTACAAACCTTTTCCCAGTGCTTCCCAGCTTTATTTTTCTTCTAACTCTTGGTCAGTATCTAATATGTTATTTACCTTGCCCATAATTTCTATCCCTGCTAACAAATAAGTTTCTTAAAGGTAGGGACTTTTTTCAACTGTTTTGTTCACCACTATAGCCTCAAGAGCTAGAACAGAGCCTGGCACATGGCATGCATTCAATAACTTTTTGTGAGTGAATGAATAAATAGCATAGCCAGCTACAGCTGGAAAGGCCACAAAGGAAGCACTTGCAACTTGGTGTGAAACCACCTAGATATAATGGTTTCAAGAACTCTGAATGCCTCCTTGAAAAAGGATCACTGATCTCTTTCCTCTTCTTCAAAGATATCAGAAAGTAAAATTTTTTTAAACCATCCAGCGATGTCAATAAGTTTATGTCTGATTTAAACCACTAAATGGAGCCATTATCAAGAAGAATACCTGTGCAAGAACAGAAATGATTGCCCGATCAGGTCAAAATAAAACTATACCCTACAACCCTTGAATTATGACTGGCATAAAATACAAACCACCTAGCTAGACCAAATCTCATAAGATCCCAACAAGCTCCAGGCACCAGGGTTATCATTCTTTATGAGCAATTCCAGGCAGAAAAATTATCTTTACAGTGATTTCAAGCATTAAGTTGGCTATAAAATACAACGATTGGCAAAGATAGTTATGGCACCTCTCAGTAAAATAAGACTATGCAATTATCATGAAAATAGACTTTCAACAGCTATTCTTATAAGCATTTTATTTTCATGCTAAAGGCAAACACATTAGCAGAAAACATGCATATATATGACTTTATAATTTACTTATATATCTAATGAGTTACGTAATGTCTGTTGAGGGCTATGGGTTCACCTACAGCTAGTTTAGTCATCATAGCAAGAGGCTACAAAGATTCTACACTTAAGTACAAATGCAATGTTACCATTTATTACAAATTACCTTTCCCCCTCTTAGTAGAAGTAGGGCAGAATAGAAAGAAGCTCCTCAGTAGAGTTACATCCTGATAAACCTATCGTAGTTTGAAAATACTGTAAGTTGAAAATGCATCTAATACACCTAATCTACTGAACACAATACTTAGCCTAGCCTACCTCAAAGGTGCCCAGAACATCTCCATTAGCCTACAGTTAGACAAAATTATCTAACATGAAGCCTATTTTACAACAAAGTATTGAATATCTTGTGCAATTTTTTGAATACTATACTGAAAGTGAAAAACAGAATGGTTGTATGGGTACTTGAAGTAAACTTTCTACTGAATGTGTATCCCTTTCACAGCATCCTAAAGTCAAAAATGCATTAAGTTGAACCATCCATAAGTCAGAGATTGTCTGTAATCAACCCATGAGGTATTCCCAAAATAAATGTTCAACTTATTGGCTTCTGTCATAACTTCCATCAGTAGAAACAAGCCCTTTCTTCCACAATTAAGCATAAAGCTTCTCAGAAAAATATCCTTAAGAACAGCAACATTTTAGCTTAAGTTCACAAAAGTAATGCTTGGTATTAGATCCACTCCTTAGGATATGATTTG
The DNA here is from genome assembly GCF_000001405.40 of Homo sapiens. Lineage (NCBI taxonomy): Eukaryota > Metazoa > Chordata > Mammalia > Primates > Hominidae > Homo > Homo sapiens. The sequence continues at coordinate 64,063,578 of NC_000005.10, forward strand.
ATAATGAAGAGAGTTTAAGAACTCTTCATTCCCTCTTCTTACTTTTACTGTCTTTTAATGTATTTTGTTTTGGTTATTGTTGTTGTTAGTAAAATAACAACACCATAGAGTATGTTTCCTCTATGAGTTTGACTGTTTTACTTACGTCATATAAGTGGAATCATGTAGCATATCTTCTATGACTGGCTTATTTCATTTAACATAATGTCATCAAAGTTCACCCATGCTATCACATATTGCAGAATCTCCTTTTTTTAAGGCTGAATATTCCATTATATGTATACAGCACATTTTTAAAAATTCATTCATCCATTGATGGACATTTAGGTTATTTTAACTTCTTGGCTATTGTGAATAGTGCTCATATCTCTTTGAGATATTGATTTTAATTCTTTTGGGTAAATATCCAGAAGTGAGATTGCTAGATCTTATGGTAGTTATATTTTTAATTTTTGAGTAATTTTATACTGTTTTTAATAGCAGCTACACCAATTTACATTCCATAAACAGTATACAAGAGTTCCAGGTTTTCCACATCCTCACCAACACTTGTTACATTTTGTCTTTTTGGCAGTAGCCACCCTAACAGGTGTGAAATTATGTCTTACTGTGCTTTTAATTTGCATTTCCCTGATTAGTGATCCTGAGCATTTTTTCATATACCCATTCGCCATTTGTATATTGTCTTTGAAAAAATTAATATCTAAAATATGCAAGGAACTCACAGAACTCAATAGTATTTTATATCACACACACATATAGGAGCTCACACATCTCAACAGCATTTTAAATATATATATATATATGTTTGTGTGTGTGTATAATGCTATTAATTTTTGTGAGTTCCTTATATATTTTAGATATTAATCCCTTTTCAGATGCATAGTTTGTAAATACTTTCTCACATTCTGTAAGTTGCATTTTCACTCTATTGAGTGATTTATTACTTTTTAGTAGAAGATTGTGACATAAATCAAGAAAGTAATAGAGATAAAATAATCATAGGCAAAATTAAGTAAATCAAGTTTGTTAACTTTCAATCAGTGGAACATAGTTCACTAGATATTTGATGGTTTTCAACTGGGGTTGAGGAATGAGAATGCAATCATGATTCATTTGAGAAAGTGTCCTTGGTGGGTATCGCTAACTCTCTCCCTCCCAACTCTCTTTAGGGTGTAATACAAAACCAGAAAAATAAAGCCAGCAGTGGGGGAGGGGCGCAGATAAAGAGGTCACTTTAGATTAAGGTAGTCTCCCATAATGTCTAGGGGAAAGCAGGCATGGGAACTGGAGAGAGAAAGAGATGGAGAGAGAGAGAGGAGAAAAAGAAGAGTGGAAACAAAGGGAAAAAATGGGTTCTGTGGTTCCTTTGGGCCAGTTAATAGAAGCCTACAATTCCCTAGAGGAAGATGCTGCACCTTCAATTGCTGCCTCTTGTGTATTGTCTGGGAAGCTAAGCCCAGTGGACCTGAAGGATACCTGCCATGGTAAGTGGAACTCATCTCAGGCTCAGTGCTGTGGAGAGGCCTTAAGGTTGCCCTCACACTGCTCACACTCCTCACTAGGTTGTTACTCTCCTAGCTCTAGAGACACTACTAGCCTAAACTACTTTCAGAAAATTATGAACAGTTAATGAAAATTAAAATTCACTGCAGGAAATCCAAAAGCTGACGGAAAAATCCCAAGCTAACATCTAGAAGAGGTGAATTCCACTAAAGAAAAACTGATGGAAAAGATATATGAGAAGCCTCAAGAAGATAATTTAGAACACAAAGAAGATTTTCTAAGTGTTAAAATTATGACATTTTAACTTTAAAAGTAAAAAAACAAAATGGCATTCACTGATGAGAATCAAATTTGTACTCTGGGAAGACAAAAAGAAAAGAAATAGTTCCTAATATATAAACACAAAGATATTTTAATTATGAAGGAAAATGCAAGACACTGGAAGGGCAGATGGAATAGTGATATGGACTGGAAGCAGGGAAATATTGGGTACAAGAGGGCGGTCCCCTCAAGCCTGGACCCATGGTCCAAAGTGAGAACATGCATTCCTGTTTTCCCACCCAAATGTGGCCTTTTCCAAAACCATCCTGGCCCACCCTGCCCCCCATCCTGTAACCATAAAAACCCCAGGCCCCACCAGTGGAGCAGCACAGTAGCAGAGCAGCAGAGAAGGAGAGGAAAGAAGAGAAGCAGCAGCCAGATGTTGGAGAGAAGCAATTTGACTTCAGAAGGATGGTTTGATGGCAGGACCTTGGAGAAGAGTTCAGACAGGGGCAGCTGAATTCCAGGCGAGGACCACCTTACCACTCCATCCCCTTTCCAGCTCCCCATCCTGCTGAGAGCCACTTCCACCACTCAATAAAATCCTCCACATTCACCACCATTCAATTCGTTTGTGCAACCTGATTCTTCCTGGACACTAGACAAGGACCTGAGTGCAGGTACAAGAAGTTGTCACCTTGACCCTCCACTGAGCTGGTTAACACTTAAGCTGTCCACAGATGGCAAAGCTAAAAGAGCACACTGTCGCACATGCCCTAGACACTGCCACAGTCCCACACACAGTTCTGCTCCTGCTGGTTGCCCAGAAGCACTTGTCCTGGTCTCTGTACCCACTCACATGAGTGCTTCCCCTTCCACAAGGGGTTGAGAGCTGTGAGCTGAGTAAATGAGCCAACCCCTTTGTGAGTCCTGCAAAGGGGGCAGGGAACTATCCTATTTCAATAGTAAGGACAGATCCAGAAGAGAAAGGAGAATAAACAGGGAAGCAATAATAAAACAAATAAATAGATAAAAATTCTTTAAGCAGCAGCCTCTTGGTGTCCAAACATTCTTGAGCCTGAGAGGGCTTAGTGACTGAGGCCGTGCTGTCCTTCTCCCAGTTGTGAAGAGGCAGCTCAATGTGGATTTTCTACTTCCAGTTAGGACAGAGTAAGCAACATCACATCCTCTCTCTCTCTCTCTCTCACTGATTATAACTAAAAATCCTAGACAGGATGCATAAATAGACTAACTGAGGACTCTGAAAAGTAAATAAAAGCAAGCAGATTGAAGAGAAATATAAAGCACAAAGAATAAGCAATATGGCAGAGATTTTCTTCAGGGCTGTTTTCTTCTCTCATGCCTCTGGGATTAGGCTCCAGAGCAGCCAGAATCCTGGAACTGCACAGAGGGTATGAGCAGAAAAAGCGCCAAGAGAAATCCTCTCTCTGGCTGGAGGACCACAGAGGAGGTTAGGAGGGTCACTGCAAGGCAGAGGCCCTGGGAAGAATCCCTCAGTTGTCCCTCACCTTTTCAATGTCTGTGATGGTTAATTTTATGTGTCAATTTGCCTGGGCTAAGGGATGCATGCGGGGTGTGTCTGAGAGGGTATTTCTAGAAGAAATTACCATTTAAATCAATATACTAAGTAAAGAAGATCTACCCTCACCCATCCATTGCAGACCCACCCAAATAGAACAAAAGAGGTGGAGGAAGGGTAAACTCCATCGTCCTGAGCAATTGATATCAATCTTCTCTTGTCCTCAGACATCAGAACTCCTGGTTATAACAATGGTTCCTCTGTTTCTTGGGTCTTTGGACATAGACTGAATTACACCACCAGCTTTCCTGATTCTCTAGCTTGCAGACAGCATATCCTGGGACTTCTCATGCAAGCCAGTTCCCATAATAAATCTCTTCCTCATATGTCTATATATATATATGTGTGTGTGTGTGTGTGTGTGTGTGTGTGTGTGCGCGCGCACGCGTATCCTCATTTGTTTTGTCTGTCTGAGAAACCCTGACTATTCACATGATGGAATACTGCACAACAGTAAAAATGAATGAACTGAGCTACATCTGCCAATATAAATAAATCTAAAAGCTACAGTGTTAAACTAAAATAGCAGCAGAATAATGAAACAGCCATTGCAAAATTATAACTGAGAAAATGAAATAGATTTGACCTAACCAACTCCATCTTGCTTCTAATCTCCAAGCTGTTCTTGCTCATTCCTGGGTGTAGGCTGAACCAACTTTGGGAGGACCTTAATTTATATTTTGAAGCAAAAATGATAATGGCCCTTTCCCAAAACAAATCCCCTTATTGCCTGGAGAATAGTCTACCTTGGAGGACTAATAAATTAGCCAAAAGATTAGAAATTATGATATAGGAGTCACGCAACTAGAGACTACAAGATTTTGACCCTCCTCAAATTGCTCCTGGGGATAACATCATTATTGTAAAACCTAAGATCAGTGCTTGAGATATTTTGCAGACTCCACACTTGATGGATCAGCTGGCACCACCTAGATCAATAAACTGGCTCAACTGATCTTGTGGCCTCCTCTTAGGAACTGACTCAGTGCAAGAGGGCAGCTTTTACTCCCTATGATTTTATCTCCAACCCAACCAATCAGCACTCCCAACTCATTGGTCCTTACCCAGCAAATTATCCTTAAAAGTTCTGATCCCAAGTGCTCAGGGAGAGTTATCTGACTAATAACAAAACTCCGGTCTCCCACACAGCTGGTTCTGTGTGAATTACTCTTTCTCTATTGCAGTTCCCCAGATAAATCTGCTCTGTCTAGGCAGTGGGCAAAATGAACAGTACAAGACCATGTGCATAACATTTTAAAACATCCAAAGCAATTCTATATTTTTATTATATAAATGCATGCAAAGGAATTAAAAACATGAACTCAGGGTGGTGGTTACGTCTGGAAGAGGTAGGAGAATGTGACTCATACTACATAAAGGACTTCAATGAAAGATGTATTGAATTTTTTTTTTTTTTTTTTTTTGAGATGGAGTCTTACACTGTCACCCAGGCTGGAGTGCAATGGCGCGATCTCAGCTCACTGCAACCTCTGCCTCCCAGGTTCATGTGATTCTCCTGCCTCAGCCTCCCAAGTAGCTGGAATTACAGGCACACACCACCACACCCGGCTAATTTTTTGTATTTTTAGTAGAGACAGGGTTTCACTATTTTGGCCGGCCTGTTCTTGAACTCCTGATCTCATGATCTGCCTGCCTCAGCCTCCCAAAGTTTAAGCTAGGTGGGAGCTACATAGTTGTTATATAATTATTCCCTATATTTCTTCAGTATACAAAGTGATACTAATTTTACTTATAAACATTGATGCAAAAATTCTAAATAAAATATTAACAAATTAAATCCACGAGTATATAAAAAGAATAATATACCATGAAAAAGTGTTTATTATATCCATCAGTATAATTTGTTACATCAACATGTAACTGTGTATTTAAAGAAAAATGACCACTCACAGAGTTTATTCCAGTAATGTAAGGCTGAATCAACAGCAGGAAATCCAGTAACATAATTCATGGCACCAAAGAAAAGACAAATCCTATATGATTGTATATTGAAAACGTTATTTGATAACATTCAAAGGTTAAATGGATATAGAAAAACTAAACGTACTATTTTAGAAAGCTGTTTGCTCCTCCAAAAGAGAAGTTTTATCTCCTTGAAGTCTGGGTATTTGGTAAAAAATCAAGAAGTTTAAAAAATTATATATTTACCAAAAAAACAAGAGCCAACATTACACTAAAAACAAAATGTTAAAATCAAGAATAAATCAGAAACAACCTTATTGCCATTATTTTTTAATGTGGTTTTAGAAGTTTTAAGCTAAAGCACTGAGACCAGAGTTGAAATAATCAATTCATATAAGTAAGAAATAAAAAACAAGATCCTACATCCCCAACCAAGTGAACAGATCCTCTCTTGGCCAAGGGGACCCCAGGGAAAGCTTGGAAGCTGTGTTCCCAGCAGCCATGACAGGCTGGGAGGTCAGACAGCCTGATTAAACAAACAACTGACCAAGAGATTACTGGATATGGTTTTTAGCACAATATCACATATATCTCTTAGTGATTGTGTTAGCCAATTTGAGTGTTGATTTAGAGATAGATCTGCTCTCTCATCTAGGAGATTTGCAGAGTAGATGATACAAAGCCAATATGGTAGCTCTGTGACATCCTGATGGGAGTACAGGACAAAAGGCACCTCCCTCAGCTATCTGTCCCCACTTTAAAAGAAATCTGTAAAAGTCCCACCCAACAATTCTATTTGCATTTCACTGACTAGATCTGAGTCACTTGGCCATACATATCTGAAAGCAAGGGAAAAAAATGTAATTTTCTATTATAGCTGGCCTCACTGCTACCCCAGGCAAAATTAAGGTTCTGTTGGTAAGGAAGAAAGGAATACAAGACATTGGCTAGGCAACTTGAAGTCTGCCATTCTACTGTAATAAATATAGCACAGTATTAGCATAGCAACAGAGAAATAGCTGGGTAGAACAGAGTAGCAGTCTTGAAATAGATACAAGTATATATGGGAATCAAATTAGATATTATATGTCAGCTTAGAGGGGAAAGATGTTTTGTTTAATACATAAATGGTGCTGGCATAATTGGCCGCTCTGGAGGAAAACAAAGTTAAACACCCATTTTACATAACATATAAAAATAAATTACTAATAGATTTGAAATTTAAATGCAAAAAATAAACATGAAGAAAATTTAGAAAATAAATAATTTTAGAGTGGGAAATGCTTCCTAAGCAGAAAAGGATATGTAAGCATTACACAATTTGAATCCATGAAAATGGAAAATCTATATGGAAAAAGAGGCCATAGACAAACTCTAAAGATGATCAATAGATTTGAAAAAAATAACACATGTGAGAAACACAGGGTTAGTATTTCTAAAGTATCCAAAGCTCCTGCAAAATTTTAAGAAAATCACAAACAACAACATATAAAAATAAGCAAGGAATTAAAAACAGACAACTCATGTAAGAAGAAATTCAAATGGCCAATAAATACATGTAGAAGGAAACATCAGCTGAAAACTAGATGTCAGGGAGATGAAAGGTAAATAAATGAGATGTATTTTCTACCCTGCAGATTAGTCTTGATTAAAGTATGCAAAATCATTTCATGTTGGTGAGGCAGCAGACATTCTCAATATAGCTCATGGGGCTAAAGAGCCATGTATTTTCTTTTTGGGAAGCAATATAGAAAAACCTATTAAAACTATACATATATATATATATATACTCTTTGAGCAAGCATGCTCACTTTTGAAAACCTCTAACAGTTAAAACATCAGTATAGAAGAATATGTTAGAAGATAACACATAGAAATTCCAAGGTTGCTCATAGTGGCAAAAACTGAAAACAATGTGAATGTTAACAGGCACATTGTAAAATAAATGTCATTACCTCCATATTATAAATTATCATGCAACAGCTAAAAAGTGCATGAGATTGAAAAAAAAGTCAGGTTTCAGAGTAAGATATATAAACTATTCCCATTATGGTTTAAAAAAAGGAAGGAAACTCATCCCACAATTGTATATGTGTTTGGTGTATTTGTCCAGACATGATGAATGATGGGGAAGGACACAAATCATATTGTTTACAGCAAAGATTTCAAAGGAGTGGAGCTAGAGATAGGATACAAGGCAGAAAAGTTATTTTGTGTATTCATCTTTGGCCCCTTACTTTCTTCAATGGACATGTATTACTTTTGGGATTTAAAAATTAATTGTGGTTTGACTGCCCATGTCACCAAAGTAATGAAGTTTTGTCAAATAATAATTTTAGTTTTTCCTACAGAAAGAGCTAAACAGATTTTTTTCACCCAACATTTGTACCCTAAAATTGGTTTTACAGGTTGAATTATGTCCCTCCAAAAATATATGTTGAAGTCCTAACCCGCAGTACCTCAGCATGTGTCTTTATTTAGAAATTGGGTCATTGCAAGCATAATTAAGATGAGGTCATATTGGAGAAGGGTGGGCCCCTAATCCAATATCACTAGTGCCTTTATTGGAAGATAGCCGTGTAAAGAAAGAAAGGAAAACTGAAAGAATGGCATGTGGAGATGGAGGCAGAGACTGGAATGATGTCAACTGGTGTTCCTATGAGTCAAGCAACACCAAGGATTGCTAGCCATCACCAGAAGCCATGGAACATAGATTCTCCCTCTTAGAACCCTCAGGAAAAATTAACCCTGCTGACACCTTGATTTTGAATGTCCAGCATCCAGAATTGTGAAAGAATAAATTTCTGTTATTTTAAGCCACCTGGTTTGTGGTATTGTTATGGTAGCCCTAAGAAATGAATACAATGGGTAAATCTGTTTCTTAACTACCAGCATATTTCAATGCATATGAGAAGCATAATCAATGGATTTTCTTTACATTCAAGGAATATAAGTTGTTTCTAGAAACAAAGATTCTCAGTGGCTTGCTTTGAAAATTCTTATTAGAAACTCTATATAAGACAGTTCTAACTTCATTTTCAGCTCATATAAGAAAAAGAAAAGATCTTCAAGAAACATATTCCCAAAACAATGATTCTATAAGTTCAGCATCATATAATGTTACTATTTAAAATTATCTTAAAGACTGTATTCTAGTTTAGCTTAACTGGATAGAACTATTTAATGTGTACCCTCCCTCTACTGCTAGGCACTGTGATTGAGGCTTAGGATATAAGAATAAACAAGATAGATTCATTGATTTAGGATGCTTACAACCTAGTGGAGAACACAGTGCTATGGCAGGGATAAGAATAGTAGGAGATGGGAGAATGGCCACAGCAGAGGGTTGAAGTGAAAATTTTTAGGGAAGATTTCCTCTAAAGAAAGTAACATCTAGGCTGAAACTCAAAAAAAAAAAAAAAAAATAGAGACAAGCAAGTGAATGGGGACGCATTGAAGGGAAGTGTATTCTAAGTGCAGGGGTCAACATGTGCAACTACTAAATGATAGTTTAGCTACTAGAGGTTACAGTGCATAGCCCACTACAGGAATGTCATTTCACAGTGGTGAGAACACAGAGTGTGCTGGAAGACATAGTGAGTTAAGGCTGAAAATTAATTGCAACTTTGTAAACTGTGTTAAAGATTTTAGACTTTATCCTGAGGGTGGCAGAGGGAACAAACCTGAGAAAAGTAATCCAGGCAAAAAAGGTTGGTGCTGGAACTAGGAAGTAACAGCAAGGACAGAAAATACTGAGTAGATGAAAATAGGGTTGGAAAATAGAATTGGTTTGATAATTGAATGGGAGAGTGTGGAAAAGGGAAGGATGAAGGTCAGCTTTTTGGCTAGGGCATCAGGATGAATACTGAAGCCATTTCCAGGAAAGATGTATAAAGTATGAGGGCTGGAGGATGAGGTCAGACATCCCTGAAAAACAATCGAACATCTGGCAGAGAAGGAGACTTAAAAGACATGAAGAAGAGAGTGCCGGAGAGAAAAGAGGAAACCCAGAAAGATATTGCACTTGAAAACTGGAGACACAATGTTCCAGGAAAAAGTGAATGGTCCACAGTATAGATTGTTTTCAAAAGGTCCATTAAATAAGAATTGAGCATGTTTATTGGATTTAGCAAGAAAATGTTGGCTAGTCACCCTAGCAAGAGCAGTTTTAATGGAGTAGTAGGAATAGAAATCAGATTGTTGTGGGCTGAATAGTGAAAAGGAGGGGAAACCAAGAAACAGAAGCTTCAGTTTTAGCAAAGAGGAAAAGCAGCTAGGTTCTGATTGCAAGAGGCTAAGTAAGTTTGTAGATTGCTGGTAGATCAAGTTTGGTGGCTCCCTTTACATGGGGGGAAACCAAGTTACAGAGAAATGATAGCAAATGTTTATCTCTAAAGAGGTATATCAGTTATCATGTTGCATTGAAATTTTAGTACTTCCTTTATACTTTTTTGCATTTCATGTTATTGTATTTTTATAAATTTAAGGAGTACAGGTGCCATTTTGTTACGTGGATATATTACATGGGGTAAAGTCTGGGCTTTTAGTGTAACCATCACCTGAATAATTCATATTGTAGCCATTAAGTAATTTCTCATCTCTCAGGCCCCTCCCACCCTTCCTCCCTTCATGTCCAATGTGTATTATTCCACAGTCTATGTCCATGTATACACATTATTTAGCTCCCACTTATAAGTGAGAACACGTGGTATTTAACTTTCGGTGTCTGAGTTGTTTCACTTAATATAATGGCCTCCAGTTCCATGTACGTTGCTGCAAAAGATATGATTTTATTCTTTTTTTATGACTGAATAGTATTCCATTGTTGATATCTGCCACATTTTAAATTCAATCATCCATTGATGGACACTCAAGTTGATTGCATATCTTTGCTATTATGAATAGTGCTGCAATAAACATACAAGTACAGGTATCTTTTTGATATAATGGTTTCTTTTCCTTTAGGTAGATACCCAGTAGTGGGATTGCTAGATAGAATGCTAGTTCTATTTTTAGTTCTTTGAGAAACCCCCCTACTGTTTTCCATAGAGGTTGTACTAGTTGACATTCCCACCAACAGTGTGTAAGCATTCCCTTTTCTCTGCATCCTTGCCAACATCTGTTAATTTTTTGTCTTTTAAATATGTGCTTCCTTTATGTTGTAAAAATATTATTGTATGGACCAATGAGTCAGTCAAGGTTATGTATTAAGTATATTTTTTGAAGTATATACTTTCCTTTCAAAGAATTTGAATTCCAAGGAAGGAAAAAAGACAAAATGTTCCACACCCAAAAGTGACAGAAGCAGGTCTCCAAATTGTACAGGGAAGGTTATAAGATACTAAACAGTGCCTAAAATGAAATGAAGGCTATCAGGTTCTATAAATGTCTGGTGTGTGTTATCCGAAATCAAGTAGGAATAGTCTACAATTCAAACTAATAATAAAAACACATGCCAGGTGCAGTGGCTCACGCCTATAATCCCAGCTGTTTGAGAGGCCTAAGTAGGAGGATCTCTTGAGCCCAGGAGTGTGAGAACTGCCTTGGCAACATAGATCTCATCTCTACAAAAAAAAAAAAAAAAATATATATATATATATATATATATATATATATATATATATATATATATATATAGCTGAGCTTGGTGGTGTGTGCCTATGGTCCCACATACTTAGGAGGCTGAGATGGGAGGACTGCTTGAGCCCAGGAGGTCAAGGCTGCAGTGACCCTGGGTGACAGAGTAAGACCCTGTCTCAAAATAATAATAATAACAATAACAACAACAATAATAAACCTGATATGGTGTTTCCTGCTTTCAAAGGCTTTTGGGGGCAATCTCCTAAAGTACCAGCAGGTGGGGATATTACAAAAGAGGACGGCAATCACAACAGTGACTTGTTGTCATCACCAACATACAGGAATGAGATGTTAACAGATCAGCAATGGTGGTACCTCCTAAGCATACCTCCAAGTACGCTCCAGGAAATATGACCTTCCTCACTATCCCTAAGAAAAGAGGTTTCCTTTTCTTTGAAATATGTGATACAGTGATTGAGTTGAGTGAAACAATTATTAGTGTGTTTTGGTTTCCCTCATCTCAAATTTTGGAAATGTGGTTACATCATTTTTATAATTAATAATATATGTATAAATTAAGAGGATACAAATGCAATCAGTTACCCCCAAACACACTGTACTTCCAGAGATTAGTTTTAAAATAAAATATGTATTGGCTGGGCTTGGTGGCTCACGCCTGTAATCCCAGCACTTTGGGAAGCTGAGGCGGGCAGATCACTTGAGGCCAGGAGTTCGAGACCAGCCTGGCCAACATAGTGAGACCCTGTCTCTACTAAAAATACAAAAAATTAGCTGAGCATGGTGATGCATGCCTGAAATCCCAGCTATTCAGGAGGCTGAGGCAGGATAATTGCTTGAACCCAGGAGGTGGATGTTGCAGTGAGCCAAGATCATGCCACTGCACTCCAGCCTGGGCGACAGAGCAAGACCCTGTCTCAAATATATATATATCAATATAAATATTTTATTAAATATATATCTTATCAAATATATATATCTTATCAAATATATATATATATACACACACACACATATATATATTTTTTAAGGTAAATTCTGGTGTTTCCAATCTGTGGGATTAGAATTGTTCATAGATGTATGGCATCTATAACAACAAACTTCTACAGGGATGTTTAGGAGGGATTTTTTGTTTAATTTTGTTTTGTTAGTTGTTTGTTGCCTTGCCTAATAGTTCCTATATAATTTCATGTTAAATATAATTGCACTTGGCTGTCTAAGAGTTTGACGGGCTGATTTATAAACATAATTTCATTGGTTTGTTGATTGGTTGGATGGGTGGGTGTTTAGGGGCTTATAGATTGATATTTTTCTGAAATCAGTTTCTGGGTTTACAAGTAATATTTTGAATGTGCCAATTTTGTGTAACATTTTGAGGGAAGGATTTCTGGAACTACCCTAATTTAATGATAAATAGGCCTAGTAAATTATTGCCTGAAATTATTTTGTGTATGAAAAGGCAACTACCAGCAAAAGCATTCTAAAGACAAAAAAAAAAAACTAAGACTTTTTAGTGAATATAAACATGTACACATACATTTTGTAAAATCAAATTTATTTTATGGATTAACTTTCTACTGTCCCCCTTTATTTTAAGGGCACAATAATCATCTCCTGTTTAATACTTCTAAACCTGATTTTCTTAAGAATTGGCTCTTTCTCATCTTATAGACCTCAGGCCTTCTCATTAGGAGATTGCACAGAAAATGTAATCCTAGGAAAAGTAAAAAGACAGAGGATTTCATTCAACCATTGGGGTCTATTAAGAAATAAGTTTTTTTTTGGGAGGCCGAGGCAGGCGGATCTTGAGGTCAGGAGTTCAAGGCCAGCCTGGCCAACATAGTAAAACCCTGTCTCTACTGAAAATACAAAAAAAATTAGCCGGGCATGGTGGCAGGTGCCTGTAATCCCAGCTACTCAGGAGGCTGAGGCAGGAGAATTGCTTGAACCAGGAGGCGGAGGTTGCAGTGAGTGGAGATCGTGCTACTGCGCTCCAGCCTGGCTGACAGTGTAAAACTCTGTCTCAAATTTTAAAAAATAAAATAAAATAAAAATAAGTTTTTAAACTAAATACTGTTTTTATAAGAAGAGCAATGCCAAGCGCTAAAAGGTACAGCAGTTGAAAACCTTGCTAACTTTGTCTCTTGACAGCCTTTCATAGCATGGCTTATCTGATATGGTGTCTAACATTAAAAGTTCTTTGACCATACACAGAGTATGGAATGTCCATATTACAGGCAGTGGAGAAAAACATTGCTTGTGCACCCTGCAAACTTCTCTATCTGAAATGGGAGCACAGACTAATATCTGGGCCAGCCGTTGTTCAGCCTTGCTTGATCAAACATAGCAATTACGTGAAATTGGGGTAATGAGGCTGCTGCCAGCCAACCGGGGCATATTTTATTACATCTAGTTTTCAAAGAAGGTAGAATTAATATATCAAAGCAAATCAGTGTTTGAATATGGCTTTATTTTTTTTCTTATCTAAGAAGTTATTTTGGTCTTTTAGTCTCCTGTGATCTTTATTCTGAGCTACTGTCTACATTGTAAGCCCTGTCTCAGAAATTGTACCCACACTTTGTACAGGAGATACTGTTTCCTACTTTGAAGCCTCTATGAAAACCGTTAAGACCTGAGTAATGATGTTAAGTTCATGCTGACTCTCAGTGTCAAAGACAGGTTTAAAACAAGTTATCTTAAAGCCTGTGATTTTACCATTTACATTTCACTCTTTGGCATCTGTCAATGAATGTTTTCTTTCCAAACCAGAAGGGTAAAAAACGAAATTCCTTTTAAAAGATAAATTACCCCTTATATTCAATCTCACCAAAACTACAATGTTTGGCTTCTATTTGTCACCTGAAGAAGGCAGTTCCCTGGTATTTTCACCCTACGATTTAGCTGAAGCATTCGCACTTACGCACCGTATAGATAAAGCAAGTTCCTACAGAATTCAGGCAAAAGATTATTTCTTTGCCTCAATTTCATCAGATGAGTGCTTTGGACTATGGATTTTGAGGATATTACCACAAAATCATTTTCTAAACCACCTTATGTTCTGTTTAAATGTGCTTTAAATGTTATATTCCGTGGAAGTTTATAATCCCTTGAGGGGAGGTAACAATCAGAGTAGTCTAATTCTACATCATTTGATCGAGGGATTAACTACTTGTATCTTAAATACTAGATAATTGAACGGAAAGGAAAACTTGCAACCATTTAGAAGTCAGCTGGTCGGGAAACCACCGATGGAGAAATTACAGAGTGTGGAGAGGTTTCCATGAGTAGAAACAGCTGCAGTGCCTTTTTAACATCAGAACTGAATAATGCCCGGAAAAGTTTCATGTTATGCAATGTGAGGCATTATTTCTAACATTCTGAAATAGATCTTGTGGTTTGAATATTTGTGCAGGACCACATAGTAGTACAGTAAATGAATGGAGCATTAGAAAGGAAAACATAAATTATAATAGTAATTTCTGGCCGGGCGAGTTGGCTCACGCCTGTAATCCCAGCACTTTGGGAGGCCGAGGCGGGCGGATCACGAGGTCAGGAGATAGAGACCATCCTGGCTAACAAGGTGAAACCCCCGTCTCTACTAAAAATACAAAAAAAAATTAGCCGGGCGCAGTGGCGGGCGCCTGCAGTTCCAGCTACTTGGGAGGCTAAGGCCGAAGAATGGCGTGAACCCGGGAGGCGGAGCTTGCAGTGAGCCTAGACCGCGCCACTGCACCCCAGCCTGGGCGACAGAGCAAAACTCCGTCTAAAAAAAAAAAAAAAAAAGAAATTTCTAAAGCTTACATGTTACATGTTATTTGTCAGGGACTATTGTGAGCGTTTTACATATACATGTTTTAGTTCATTTAATTCCCACAAACACTCTTTTTTTTTTTGTTTTTGTTTGGTTGTTTTTTTCTTCTTTTTTTTTTTTTTTTTTTTTTTTTGAGATGTAGTCTTGCTCTGTCGCCCAGGCTGGAGTGCAGTGACGTGACCTCGGCTCACTGCAACCTCCGCCTCCCGGCTTCAAGGGATTCTTCTACCTCAAGCCTCCGGAGTAGCTGGGACTATAGGCTCGAGCGCCACCACTCCCAGCTAATTTTTGTATTTTTAATAGAGACCAGGTTTCATCATATTGGCCAGGCTGGTTTCGAATTTCTGACCTTGTGATCCGCCCGCCTTGGCCTCCCAAAGTGCTGGGATTACAGGCGTGAGCCACCGTGCCCGGCCCCACATTACTCTTACAAAATAATTTTATGCTCAGATGCAGTGGCTCACACCTGTAATCTCAGAACTTTGCGAGGCTGAGGTGGGCAGATCGCTTGAGCTCAAGAGTTTGAAACCAACCTGGGCAACATGGCAAAACCCCATCTCTACCAAAAAAACAAAAACTAGCCAGGCATGGTAGTATGACCTTGTAGTCCCAGCTACCAAGGAGCCTGAGGTGGGAAGATCACTGGAGCCCAGGAAGTTGAGTCTGCCATGAGCCATGATAGCACCAGTGCGCTCCAGCCTAGGCAACAGTGAGACCCTGTCTCAAAAATAATAACAATAACAATTTCTATTGTTACTTCAATTTCTTTCATTTTTTAAAATTTGACATATGATGTACACACAGAAAAATGAGTTTGGACAAATACAAGATATAGAATAAAACAATTCATCATCCCAAAAATCACTTCGTGCCTCGTCCCTGAATCACCATCTCCAGTGATAACCATCTTTCTAATTTCTATCACTGGACTTTAGTTTACTGTTAGAGAAGTACATGTAAATGAAATGATACAGTTTGAACTGTTTTTTGTCTGCCTTCTTTTGCCTGAATTTTTTTTTTTTTTTTTTTTTTTTTTTTGAGATAAGAGTCTCACTCTGTTGCCCAGACTGGAGTGCAGTGGCGCAATCTCGGCTCACTGCAACCTCCGCCTCCCGGGTTCAAGTGATTCCTCTGCCTCAGCCTCCCGAGTAGCTGGGACTACAGGCGCACACCACCATGCCCGGCTAATTTTTGTATTTTTTAGTAGAGATGAATTGATATTTTTAAGATTCACCCATGTTAGAGCATATATCAATAGTAAACTGTTTTATGAATACACCACAATTTATTTTCCCATTTTCCAATTGAACATTTGTGTTATTTCCAGTTTTTAGCTATTATGAATAAAACTGCTGCCAATACTCTGATACAAATCCTTTTTTGGACATATGATTTCATTTCTTTTGAACTAGGATTAGAATTATTATGCCATAGTTTAGGTGTTTATCTGGTATCATATCAAATTGTGAGACATTTTCCCCAAACAGTTGTATCATTTAACATTTTCATCCAGTATGTTTGAGAATTCAAGTTGTTCCATATCTTCATCAATACTTGGAATTGTGACCCTTTTTAAATGTATTCATTCTTAAGGGTTTGTTGCAATATCTCATTTTTCTTTGAATTTATATTTTCTTTATGATTAGTGATATTGATCATATTTTAATTTGCTTACTGACCATTGGTATTCTTTCATTGTGAAGGGTCTGTTAAAGTCCTTTGCCTATTTTTTATTGAGGCTGTTTGTATTATTATTATTGAATGCTAAGGATTATTTGTATATGGCAGATACAAGTCCTTTGTCAGAGATATGTAATGTGCATATTTTCTTTCTGTGTGTGGCTCAACTATTCATTACATTAGTGGAGTATTCGAATGAGCAGAAGTGTTTTATTTTCATGAGGCCAAATTTGTCCCTTTTTTCTTTTAGGGTGAATATTTTCAGTGTTCTGTATCCAAAAATTTTTCCTACACCCAGGTAATGAAGATATACTCCTATGTTATGTTTTATTTTAGAAACTTTATAGATTGAACTTTTATGTCTTGGTTTATAATCCAACTCAATTGATGTTTTTTAATGTATGGTATTCAGGTAGCTGTCAAAGTTCTTTTTTTTGCATATTGATATTCAGTTCTAGCATCATTTAGGGAAAAAAGGGGTTTCATCCATTAAATTGCTTTCATGCCTTTGTCAAAAATTTACTAGAAATTTAACTGTGGTGTGAGTCTATTTAGGGGTTTTCTATTCTCTTCCATTTTTGTCTATCTTTATTCTGTGTTAATTTTATTTTTCTTTCAGAACTTTACAATCTAGTTTCATTTTCATCTGGCTTGCATTATTTCTGATGAGAAGTAGAGATTGTTCGTACTGTTGTTCTCCCCCGGGTATCTTTTTGTCTAACTATTTATTTATTTATTTATTTATTTATTTATTTATTTATTAGATTCAGAGAGTACATGTGCAGGTTTGTTACATGGATATATCGCATAATGCTGAGGTTTGGGCTTCTATTGAAACTCTCACCCAAATAGCGAACATAGTACCCAATAGGTGGTTTTTCAAGCTTTCCCTCCCTTCATCCATCCTCCTTTTGGTGTCCCTAGTATCTATTGCTTCCATCCTTATTTAAATATGTAGCCATTGTCTAGCTCTCACTTATAAGTGAGAATATGTGATATTTGAATTTCTGTTTCTGTGTTAATCCACTTAGGATAATGGCCTCCAGCTGCATCCATGTTGCTGCAGGAGACTTGATTTCATTCTTTTTTGTGGCTGCATTGTATTCCATGGTGTCTGTATGCCACGTTTTCTTTACCCAATCTACCACAGATGGGCACCTGGGTTGACTCCATGTCTTTGCTATTGTGAATAGTGATGCAATATTGGAGTGCAGGTGGCTTTTTGATAGAACAATTTATTTTCCTTGGGGTAGATACCAAGTAATGGGATTGCTGGGCCAAATTGTAGTGGTATTTTTAGTCCTTTGAGGGATCTCCAAACTGCTTTGCACAGGGGCTGAACTAATTGCCACCAACTGTGTATAAGCATTCCCTTCACAACTCATCCTCGTCAGTATCTGTTATTTCTTGACTTTTAAAAAATAGCCATATTATTAAAGCTATTACATTGTAGACTGCTGTGAGACAGTATCTTATTGTGGTTTTACTTTGCATTTCTCTGATGATTACTGATGTTGAGCATTTTTTCATATGTTTGTTCACTACTTGTATGTCTTCTTTTGAGAAGTGTTTGTTCATGTCCTTCGCCCACTTTTTAATGTGATTTTTTTTGTTTTTCTCTTCTTAATTTAAGTTTCTTATGTATTCTAGCTATTAGTCTTTTGTCAGATGCATAGTTGAAAATATTTTCTCCCATTCTATAGGTTGTCTCTTTACTCTACTGATAGTTTATTTCACTGTGCAGAAGCTCTTTACTTTAATTAGGTCCCAATTGTCAATTTTCGTTTTTGTTACATTTGCTTTTGAGGTCCTAGTCAATTTGCCTAGGCCAATGTCCAGAAAAGTTTTTCCTAGGTTTTCTTCTAAGATTTTCACAGCTTGAGATTTTACATATAAGTCATTAATCCATCTTAATTTTTATATATGGTGAGAGGCAGGAGCCAATTTCATTCTCTTTTTTAAAAATTTGTGGGCATGCAATGAGTAATAATGAAATCAGTATATGTGGGGTATCCATCACCTCAAGCATTTATCCTTTGTGTTAAAAACAATCCAATTATAGTCTCCTGTTATTTTAAAATGTACAATTAAATTATTATTGACTCTAATCACTCTATTGTACTAGAAAATACTAGGTCTTATCATTCTTTCTGTTTTTCGTACCCATTAACTATCCTCACCTTGTCCACATCCCCCTGCTACCATTCTCAGCCTCTGGAAACCATTCTTCTATTCCCTCTAGCATTTCTTGTAAAACAAGTCTGGTGTTGCAAAAATCCCTCAGCTTCTTTTTGTTGAGAAAGTCTTTATTTCTCCTTTATGTTTGAAGGACATTTTTGGCAGATGTTCTATTCTATGGTGTAAGCTTTCTTCTTTCAGCACTTTAAATATATCATGCCACATTCTCTTGACCTGTAACGTTTCCACTGAAAAGTCTGCTGCCAGATGTATTGGAGCTCTATTGTATATTAGTTGTTTGTTTTATCTTGCTGATTTTAAGATCCTTTATACTTGACCTTTGGGAGTTTATTAGATGACTTTGAAGCCTCTTCTTTGGTTTAAATCTGCTTGGTGTTCTATAAACTTCCTTTACTTGGACATTAATGTCTTTCTTTGGGTTTTAGAAGTTATCTATTATTATTCCTTTGAATGAGCCTTCTACCCCTATCTCTTTACCTCCTCTTTAAAGCCAATAATTCTCAGAGTTGACCTTTTGAGGCTATTTTATGGATCCTGTAGGCATCTTCATTCTTGTATACTACTTTTTTCCTTCTTCTCTGACTGTGTTTTCAAAAAGCCTGTCTTCAAGCTCACTACTTATTTCTTCTTCTTGATCAATTTTTCTATTATGAAATGCTCATGCATTCTTCAGTGATATGGTTTGGCTTTGTGTCCCCACTCAAATCTCATCTTAAATTGTAATCCCATAATCCCCATGTGTTGTGGGAGGGACCCAGTAGGAGGTAATTGAATCATGAGGGCAGATTCCTCCATGCTGTTCTCATGATATTGAGTGAGTTCTTATGAAATCTGATGGTTTTATAAGGGGCTTTTCCCGGTCTTTGCTCAACTCCTCTCTCTCCTGCTGCCATGTGAAGAAGGATGTGTTTGCTTTCCCTTTCACCATGATTGTAAGTTTGCTGAGGCCTCCCAGCTATGTGAAACTGTGAGTCAATTAAACCTTTTTTCCTTTATAAATTCCTCAGTCTTGGGCAGTTCTTTATAGAAGCATGAGAATGGACTATTACATTTAGCATGCCTGTTGAATTTTTCAAACTTGAGAATTTCTGCTTAATTCTTTTTAATTATTTCAATTTCTTTGTTAAATTTATCTGATAGGATTCTGAATTCCTTCTCTCTGTTATCTTGAATTTCTTTGAGTTTCCTCAAAACAGCTATTTTGAATTTTCAGTCTGCCACGTATCTCTGTCTTTCCACAACTGGCCCCTGGTGCTTTATTTTGTTCATTTGGTAAGGTCATGTTTTCCTGGATGATCTTGATGCTTGTGGATATTTGTTAGTGTCTGGACATTAAACCATTAGGTAATTATTGTAGTCTGCATGGTCCAGGTTTTTTGTACCCATCCTTCCTGTGAAGGCTCTCCAAATGTTTGAAAAGACTTGGGTGCTGTATGTGTTAAGGTGAGTCTCAAGACCAGTAGCACTGTGGTTCTTGCAGACACATAGAGGTACTGCCTTGATGGTCTTGAACAAGATCCAGAGAATTCTCTGTATTACAGGGCAAAGACTCTTGTTCTCTCCTTCCTCTTGTTCTCTCCTTCCTTTACTTCTCCCAAACAAATGAATTGTCTCTTGCTGTGTGCTGAGCTGCCTGAAGCTGGGGAAAGAGTGAAACATCCACTCATGTGGCCACCACCACTGGGATTGTGCTGGGTCAGACTTGAAGCCAGTACAACACTGGGTCTCACCCAAGGCTCACTATATCCACTACCTGGCTACACCCTATATTCGCTCAAGGCCCTGGGTTCTAGAATCAGCAGGTGCAAAGCCATCCAGTCTTGTGTCCTTCCCTTCAGGGTGGCAAGTTTCGCCATGCCTGGGACAGGTTCAGAAATGCTGTCCAGGAGCCAGGACCTGGAATCAGAAACCTTAGAACTACCTGGTGCTCCATTCTACTGTGGCTAAGCTGGCACCAAAACCACAAGACAACATTCTTCCTACTCTTCCTTCCTATTTCTCCAGGCAGAGGAGTCTTTCCCCACATCCACCACCACCATAGGCCCATAAGGAGCACTGCCATGGTACCACCAATGTTCGCTTAAGGCCCACAGGTGCTTCAGTCAGCTTGGGGTAAATGCTGCCAGGCCTGAAACTCACCCTTAATGGCAGTAGGCTTTCCCTCTGGCCAAGGGTAGATCTAGAAATGCCAACCAAGAGTCAAAGCCTGACAATGAGGACCCCAAAAGTTCACCCAGTGTTCTTCCTCATTGTGGCCAAGCTGGTGCCTAAGCTACAAGAAAAAGTCCCCTTTATTCTTCCTTCTCTTTTTCTGAAGCAGAAGGAGTATCTCCTCATAGCCACCACAGCTGTGAATACACTGGGTCACACTTGCAGCTAGCATGTCTGAGTCTCACCCAAGGCCCACAGCACATACCACCTTGTTACTGCTGCTGATTATTCAAGGTCCAAGAGCTCTTTCATAAGCAAGTGATGAATCCTGCCAGGACCGGGTACTTCCCTTCAAGGCAACAGGTTCCCTTCTGGCCCAGGGTATGTCTAGAAATGTCATCCAGGAGCTAGGTCCTAGGGCCTAGCTAGAATGGGGGGCCTCATGACTCTGCCTTGTGTCCTATCTTACTGTAGCTAAGCTGGCATCCAAGATGCAAGACAAAGTCCTCTTTATTCCCCTTTCTCGTCAAGAAGAAGGAACGGTTCTCTTTTGGAGCTGTGAGCTGTGATCCCTGGGGTTTGGTGAAAGATGACATAAGTGAGTCCCTTAGCCACCCTGTCTGCTGTCTTACTAGATCTTGTGCCCCCGCCAAGTCCAGTGACTCTTAGTCCAGCACAGCACTAGGACTTGCCTAGGAGTTGCAGTCCTTGTAGCATAGACTGCCTTTCAAGTTTACCTAGGACCCCAGAGCACTTTAACCCATGATGGTGGGGCTTGCTGAAACTCAAGTTGCAACCACTGGAATGAGCAATTCCTCTTTGGCTAGGGCTGGTCTAAATACTCCCTCTGTAGTCACCAGCTGATTTCTGCCTGGTGTTGGCAGCACTTAGTTCCAATGTAGAGTCCCACAGTCACTGCACTCTCCCTCTCCCAAGCTCACAGTCTCTCTCCATGCAATGTAGCCAGTGCCAGGGGATGCGGGAAGAGTGGTGTTGGCAGTCCAAGGCTATAATTCCTACCCTCTTCAGTGCCTCTTTCAGTGATATGAAGTTAAAAACCAGGTATTGTGATTACTCATCCAATTTTTGGTTCTCATGAGTGTGCTTTTTTGTGCAGATAGTTGTTAAATTTGTTTTCCTGTGGGGAGGATGATCAGTGGAGGCTTCTGTTCAGCCATCTTGCTCCACCTTCTCTCCTTTCTTTGTCCTTTTTAACTGTTGTTCATTTAAAGCCTATTCTATGTGATACAAGAATAGTAACCCCTGCTCTTTTTTGTTTTCTGTTTGCATGATAGATGTTTTTCTGTCCATTTACTTTGAGCCTATGGGTGTTATTACATGTGAGATATAGGTCTCTTGAAGACAGCAGAAGGGAAGGTCTTATTTTTTGTCCTATTTGCCACTCTATATATTTTAAGTGGAGCATTTAGGCCATTTAGGTTCAAGGTAAATATTGATATGTGAAGTTTTGTTTTTGTCATAGTGTTGTTAGCTAGTTGTTTTGTAGTGCAGTTGCCTTATGGGGTCTGTAAGCTTCGTACTTATGTGTGCTTTGTGCTAGCAAGCATCATTCTTTTGCTTTCATGTTTAGAATTTCTTTAAGCATTTCATATAGGGCTTGTCTTGTGATGAATACCTTTACCATTTGTTTGGGAAAGACTTTATTCTCCTTTGTTTATGAAGCTTAGTTTGGCAGGATATAAAATTCTTGGCTGATATTTTTTCTTTATGAAAGCTAAAAATAGGTCACCAATCACTTCTAGCTTGTAGCTTCTAGCTTGTGAGGTTTCCACTAAGAAGTCTGCTGTTAGTCTAATGGGATTCCTTTTATAGTTAATTTGGCCCTTTTCTCTATCTGTCTTTAAGATTATTTTTCTTTTCTCATTTACCTTGGATAGTCTGATGACTATGTGTCTTGAAGATGGTCATCTTGTATAATATCTTGCAGGAATTATCTGCATTTGTTTTATCTGCATGTCAACCTCTAGCAAGATTGGGGAAGTTTTCCTGAATTATATCTTCAAATATATTTTCTAAGTTCCTTACTTTTTTTTTCTTCTCTCTCAGAAATGCCCATAATTAATAGGTTTGGTTGCTTTACATAATCCTACATTTCTCAAAGGCTTCATTTACCTTTTTAAAATTGTTTTTATAATTTTTGTCTTACTGGGTTAATTCAAAAGACTGCTCTTTAAACTCTGAAATTCTTTCTTCTGTTTGGTCTAATCCATTATTAAGGCTTCTAATTGTATTTTTTAATTTTTCTAGTGAAATTTGTAATTCCCAGTGTTTGATTTTTTTTCTTAACATAGCTATGTTGTATTTTATATCCTGGATTATTTCTGTTTTCTTTATACTGGATATTAATTTTAACTTTTCTCAGATTTTATTGAGTTTCTTTGCCACCCATATCCTGAATTCTATATCTGTCATTTCAGATATTTCAATCTGGCTAGCATACATTGCTAGGGAGCTAGTACAATGCTTTGGAAGGGACAAAACACTCTTGTTTTTTGTATTGCCAGAGTTCTTGCACTGATTCCTTCTAAACTGAGGGAGTTATTGTCTAATGCCAAAACAGATGCTTCGTACATTTTCCAGTATTATAGTTGTCTATTGTGGGAAGGTAGTCTGATACCCACTATTTGGTCATATTTGGAATCAAAAGTTCTTTTATTTAGATTTTATAATTGAAGAAACTGAGACAAAGAGAGGTTTAGTAATTTACCAAAGCTCTTACAACTTGGCAAAGTCAGGATATAAATTCATTCAATCTGGCTCCAAAATGTGTGGTCTAATGGAGAGACTGACCATAGAGTTTTGGGATTCTTTTTTATCACCTCAATTTTATGAAGTTAAAGTGAAAAAAAAAAAAATTGAGGGGGTGGAGCCAAGATGGCCGAATAGGAACAGCTCCAGTCTACAGCTCCCAGCATGAGCGACACAGAAGATGGGTGATTTCTGCATTTCCAACTGATGTACCAGGTTCATCTCACTGGGGAGTGTCGGAAAGTGGGTGAAGGACAGTGGGTGCAGTGCACCAAGCATGAGCCAAAGCAGGGCAAGGCATTGCCTCACCCAGGAAGCACAAGGGATCAGGGAATTCCCTTTCCTAGTCAAAGAAAGGGGTGATAGACGGCACCTGGAAAATTGGTTCACTCCCACCCTAATACTGTGCTTTTCCAATGGTCTTAGCAAACGGCACACCAGGAGATTATATACTGCACATGGCTCAGAGGGTCCTATGCCCACAGAGCCTCACTCATTACTAGCACAGCAGTCTGAGATCAAACTGCAAGGCAGCAGCAAGGCTGGGGGAGGGGCCCCTGCCATTGCAGAGGCTTGAGTAGTTAAACAAAGCAGCCAGGAAGATCGAACTGGGTGGAGCCCACCACAGCTCAAGGAGGCCTGCCTGCCTCTGTAGGCTCCACCTCTGGGGGCAGGGCATTGCCAAACGAAAGGCAGCAGAATCCTCTGCAGACTTAAATGTCCCTGTCTGACAGCTTTGAAGAGAGTAGTGGTTCTCCCAGCACGCAGCTGGACATCTGAGAATGGACAGACTGCCTCCTCAAGTGGGTCCCTGACCCCCGAGTAGCCTAACTGGGAGGCACCCCCCAGTAGGGGCAGACTGACACCTCACATGGCCGGATACTCCTCTGAGACAAAACTTCCAGAGGAACAATCAGGCAGCAACATTTGCTGTTCATCAATATCCGCAGTTCTGCAGCCTCCACTGCTGATACCCAGGCAAACAGCATCTGGAGTGAACCTCCAGCAAACTCCACTAGACCTTCAGCTGAAGGGTCCTGACTGTTAGAAGGAAAACTAACAAACAGAAAGGACATCCACACCAAAACCCCATCTGTACGTCACCATCATCAAAGACCAAAGATAGATAAAACCACAAGGATGAGGAAAAAACAGAGCAGAAAAACTGGAAACTCTAAAAATCAGAGTGCCTCTCCTCCTCCAAAGCAATGCAGCTCCTCACCAGCAATGGAACAAAGCTGGACAGAGAATGACTTTGACTAGTTGAGAGAAGAATGCTTCAGATGATCAAACTACTCCAAGCTAAAGGAGGAAGATTGAACCCATGGCAAAAAAGTTAAAAACCTTGAAAAAAAATTAGATGAAAGGCTAACTAGAATAACCAATGCAGAGAAGTCCTTAAAGGACCTGATGGAGCTGAAAACCAAGGCACGAGAAGTACGTAATGAATGCACAAGCCTCAGTAGCCGATTTGACCAACTGGAAGAAAGGATATCAGTGATGGAAGATCAAATGAATGAAAGGAAGTGAGAAGGGAAGTTTAAAAAGAATAAAAATAAATGAACAAAGTCTTCAAGAAATATGGGACTATGTGAAAAGACCAAATCTACATCTGATTGGTGTACCTGAAAGTGACGGGGAGAATGGAACCAAGTTAAAAAACACTCTGCAGGATATTGTCCAGGAGAACTTCCCCAATCTAGCAAGGGAGGCCAACATTCAGATTCAGGAAATACAGAGAACAACACAAAGCTACTCCTCGAGAAGAGCAACTCCAAGACACATAATTGTCAGATTCACCAAAGTTGAAATGAAGGAAAAAACGTTAAGGGCAGCCAGAGAGAAAGGTCGGGTTACCCACAAAGGGAAGCCCATCAGACTAACAGCTGATCTCTCGGCAGAAACTCTACAAGCCAGAAGAGAGTGGGGACCAATATTCAACATTCTTAAAGAAAAGAATTTTCAACCCAGAATTTCATATCCAGCCAAACTAAGCTTCATACGTGAAGGAGAAATAAAATCCTTTACAGACAAGCAAATGCTGAGAGATTTTGTCACCACCAGGCCTGCCCTAAAACAGCTCCTGAAGGAAGCACTAAACATGGAAAGGAAAAACCAGTACTATCCACTGCAAAAACATGGCAAATTGTAAAGACCATCAAGGCTAGGAAGAAACTGCATCAACTAACGAGTAAGATAACCAGCTAATATCATAAGGACAGGATCAAATTCACACATAATAATATTAACCTTAAATGTAAATGGGCTAAATGCTCCAATTAAAAGACAGAGACTGGAAAACTGGATAAAGAGTCAAGACCCATCAGTGTGCTGTATTCAGGAAGCCCATCTCACATGAAGAGACATACATAGGCTCAAAATAAAGGGATGGAGGAAGATCTACCAAGCAAATGGAAAACAAAAAAAAGGCAGGGGTTGCAATCCTAGTCTCTTATAAAACAGACTTTAAACCAACAAACATCAAAACAGACAAAGAAGGCCATTACATAATGGTAAAGGGACCAATTCAACAAAAAGAGCTAACTATCCTAAATATATATGCACCCAATACAGGAGCACCCAGATTCATAAAGCAAGTCCTTAGAGACCTACAAAGAGACTTAGACTCCCATGCAATAATAATGGGAGATTTTAACACCTCACTGTCAATATTAGACAGATCAACAAGACAGAAAGTTAACAAGGATATCCAGGAATTGAACTCAGCTCCGCACCAAGTGGACCTAATAGACATCTACAGAACTCTCCACCCCAAATCAACAGAATGTACATTCTTCTCAGCACCACACTGCACTTATTCCAAAATTGACCACATAGTTGCAAGTAAAGCACTACTCAGCAAGTGTAAAAGAAAAGAAATTATAACAAACTGTCTCTCAGACCACAGTGCAATCAAACTAGAACTCAGGATTAAGAAACTCACTCAAAACCGTTCAACTACATGGAAACTGAACAACCTGCTCCTGAATGACTACTGGGTACATAACGAAATGAAGGCAGAAATAAAGATGTTCTTTGAAACCAACGAGAACAAAGACACAACATACCAGAATGTCTGGGACACATTCAAAGCAGTGTGTAGGGGGAAATTTATAGCACTAAATGCCCACAAGAGAAAGCAGGAAAGATCTAAAATTGACACCCTAACATCACAATTAAAAGAACTAGAGAAGCAAGAGCAAACACATTCAAAAGCTATCAGAAGGCAAGAAATAACTAAGATCAGAGCAGAAGTGAAGGAAATAGAGACCAAAAAAACCCTTCAAAAAATTAATGAATCCAGGAGCTGGTATTTTGAAAAGATCAATAAAATTGATAGACCGCTAGCAAGACTAATAAAGAAGAAAAGAGAGAAGAATCAAATAGATGTAATAAAAAATGATAAAGGGGATATCACCACCGATCCCACAGAAATACAAGCTACCATCAGAGAATAGTATAAACATCTGTATGCAAATAAACTAGAAAATCTGGAAGAAATGGATACATTCGTCGACACATACACCCTCCCAAGACTAAACCAGGAAGAAGTTGAATCTCTGAATAGACCAACAACAGGCTCTGAAATTGAGGCAATAATTAATAGCTTACCAACCAAAAAAAGTCCAGGACCAGATGGATTCACAGCTGAATTCTACCAGAGGTACAAGGAGGAGCTAGTACCATTCCTTCTGAAACTATTCCAATCAATAGAGAAAGAGGAATCCCTCCCTAACTCATTTAATGAGGCCAGCATCATCCTGATACCAAAGCCTGGCAGGGACACAACAAAATAAGAGAATTTTACACCAATATCCCTGATGAACATCGATGCAAAAATCCTCAATAAAATACTGGCAAACCAAATCCAGCAGCATACCAAAAGCTTATCCACCATGATCAAGTGGGCTTCATCCCTGGAATGCAAGGTTGGTTCAACATACACAAATCAATAAACATAATCCAGCATATAAACAGAACCAATGACAAAAACCACATGATTATCTCAATAGATGCAGAAAAGGCCTTTGACAAAATTCAGCAGCCCTTCATGCTAAAAACACTCAATAAATTAGGTATTGATGGGACATATCTCAAAATAATAAGAGCTATCTATGACAAACCCACAGCCAATATCATACTGAATGGGAAAAACTGGAAGCATTCCCTTTGAAAACTGGCACAAGACAGGGATGCCCTCTCTCACCACTCCTATTCAACATAGTATTGGAAGTTCTGGCCAGGGCAATCAGGCTGGAGAAAGAAATAAAGGGTATTCAATTAGGAAAAGAGGAAGTCAAATTGTCCCTGTTTGCAGATGACATGATTGTATATGCAGAAAACCCCATCATCTCAGCCCAAAATCTCCTTAAGCTGATAGGCAACTTCAGCAAAGTCTCAGAATACAAAATCAATGTGCAAAACTCACAAGCATTCTTATACTCCAATAACAGACAAACAGAGAGCCAAATCAGGAGTGAACTCCCACTCACAATTGCTTCAAAGAGAATAAAATACCTAGGAGTCCAGCTTACAAGGGACATGAAGGACCTCTTCAAGGAGAACTACAAACCACTGCTCAATGAAATAAAAGGGGAAACAAACAAATGGAAGAATATTCCATGCTCATGGGTAGGAAGAATCAATATCATGAAAATGGCCATACTGCCCAAGGTAATTTATAGATTCAATGCCATCCCCATCAAGCTACTAATGACTTTCTTCACAGAATTGGATAAAACTACTTTAAAGTTCATATGGAACGAAAAAAGATCCCGCATCGCCAAGTCAATCCTAAGCCAAAAGAACAAAGCTGGAGGCATCACGCTACCTCACTTCAAACTATACTACAAGGCTACCGTAATCAAAACAGCATGGTACTGGTACCAAAACAGAGATATAGACCAATGGAAGAGAACAGAGCCCTCAGAAATAACGCCACATATCTACAACCATCTGATCTTTGACAAATCTGACAAAAACAAGAAATGGGGAAAGGATTCCCTATTTAATAAATGGTGCTGGGAAAACTGGCTAGCCATATATAGAAAGCTGAAAGTGGATCCCTTACTTATACCTTATACAAAAATTAATTCAAGATGGATTAAAGACTTAAATATTAGACCTAAAACCATAAAAACCCTAAAAGAAACCTAGGCATTACCATTCAGGACACAGGCATGGGCAAGGACTTCATGTCTAAAACACCAAAAACAATGGCAACAAAAGCCAAAATTGACAAATGGGATCTAATTAAACTAAAGAGCTTCTGCACAGCAAAAGAAACTACCATCAGAGTGAACAGGCAGCCTACAGAATGGGAGAATATTTTTGCAATCTACTCATCTGACAAAGGGCTAATATCCAGAATCTACAATGAACTCAAACAAATTTACAAGAAAAAAACAAACAACCCCATCAAAAAGTGGGCAAAGGATATGAACAGATGCATCTCAAAAGAAGACATTTATGCAGCCAAAAGACACATGAAAAAATGCTCATCATCACTGGCCATCAGAGAAATGCAAATCAAAACCACAATGAGATACCATCTCACACCAGTTAGAATGGCAATCGTTAAAAAGTCAGGAAACAACAGGTGCTGGAGAGGATGTGGAGAAATAGGAACACTTTACACTGTTGGTGGGACTGTAAACTAGTTCAACCATTGTGGAAGTCAGTGTGGCGATTCCTCAGGGATCTAGAACTAGAAATACCATTTGACCCAGCCATCCCATTACTAGGTATATAACCAAAGGATTAAAAATCATGCGGCTATAAAGACACATGCACATGGATGTTTATTGTGGCACTCTTCACAATAGCAAAGACTTGGAACCAACCCAAATGTCCAACAATGATAGACTGGATTAAGAAAATGTGGCACATATACACCATGGAATACTATGCAGCCATAAAAAATGATGAGTTCATGTCCTTTGTAAGAACATGGATGAAGCTGGAAACCATCATTCTCAGCAAACTATTGCAAGGACAAAAAACCAAACACCACATGTTCTCATTCATAGGTGGGAATCGAAAAATGAGAACACATGGATACAGGAAGGGGAACATCACACACTGGGGTCTTTGTGGGGTGGGGGGAGCGGGGAAGGATAGCATTTGGAGATATACCTAATGTTAAATGACGAGTTACTGGGTGCAGCACACCAACATGGCACATGTATACATATGTAACTAACCTGCACATTGTGCACATCTACCCTAAAACTTAAAGTATAATAAAAAAAATTTTAAAATTTTACTTTAATGTGGTAGGCCATGGATAGGTGAAGAACATGGGATTATATAACCATGGCAATAGCTGCAATAACGTCTAATACTTCCTTCTCCAGATAAAAAGAAAGGAAAAAATAACAATAAATAGTTTTTTTGTTTTTGTGACCTTGTGGAGTGTTCACTTTATGCATTCTACTATGAGCACTGAACATCAGAGTCATTTCCATGAAAAACTAGAGAGATATCATGAGAAGCTATATCAATTCACTCATTTGTATCCTTGCCACTTGTTCTGTTCCCTAGTCCAAAAATAAATCATAGTGAAAGCAACTTCAGGCCATGTGTTGTCATTGTTGTCAGCCTCTTTTACTGGATCAGTCCTTTGTAGTCTTGTCTAATACATCTAGGCTCAAAATTACATATTAAATTATTTTGTAATTTCTCCAAAAACTGCAAATTAATTAGAATTCTAGAACTTAGGCTTAGAGATACTTTCCATAATATTACTAGGCTTGGAAAAATTTCTAGTTTCACTGCTCGCAATACCATTCAGTGATTTTTTTAACGAAACATCACAGGTAAAATAGGACAAAGTTTCCCCTATAATGGGAAATTCAGATTTTTATTTCAGCATTACATTTTTAGACTCCATGAATTCAGATTTCTCTTGTTAAATTGCAGGTCCTTCCCTTGATTCATTATTTATAAATTAATATATATTTGAAGGAGATATTATATGTCCCAGAAGCTACCCTCAAGAAGCAGAAAAAAACTTCCATATAATCTTCAAGATAGCACAAGATAATGCAAATTATATCAAACCTTTCTTAAAGAAATCAAAATAAACAACCTCGGTATAATCCAAACTATGAATACATAATATTCCTAGCCTTGATGGAATAACTGTAGAAAAATCATGATTATAAACTGACAAAGAACAAAAATTGTATGACTTTGAACAGTATATGATGTATATTGCAGATAAGCTATTGTGCTTATTTACTTTAATCATTAGCTTTATGCAAAAAGAGGAGGTATGAAATACTTAAAAGTTAAATAGTGAAAACCCTTGGTCTAGGTCATAAACCTAATAAAAAATTGACTCACTCTTCAGGTGTAAGACATTAAAGGATTAAGTGTGACTAAATAAAAGAAACATGTCTTGAGGTGTCTGCCTCCCCATAACTCTCTTCTCTAGCAGCTGCCTGTTAAAATTGCAGGTGCCTTCAGTCAAATTTGTGCCATGTGGTCTCAACACAACAGCTCATTGAATTCGGGGTATGCATTGGACTGAAAGTATCCAGTGCTTTAACCAGCTGGTGATCAATCATATTGTCTATACTTACACTAAGAGGCACAAGTTGTAGGGTGTGGAAATGAGATATGTGATTGAATTCGATAGAGGCAACCTGACGTAGTCATTTTTAGCTATATGTATGCCAACAACTAAGCAGGTGGGATGTAGTCAGAAGCAGAAGATGGAGCAGGTACTTAGACACAAATAAAAGGTGGATTGAGGAAGTCTTGATCTCTGGTTTTCCAGTTCCTGATTTCACAAGCCTACTTGTATTTCAGTTTTTATACACTTAAGCCTGCCTGTTGAATTCTTAAAATTAATCTCCCTTCACTGGAACTAGCTTGCATGGCTTCCTTGCAATAAATATTCCCTAAGATGCTTAAGCACCTAGTTCTGATTGTCCTTTGAAAAAAATCAGTACAAACTGGCATACATTTTAAAAGTTTCTTTGGAAGTGATTATCTCCAAAAGCAAAGAGGTAGCCCATCCACCTACCTAAGTGAGCTCCATGGTCCCTTACAAAATAAATGATCCAACATAATTGACCATGTGCAAGAAATAAGCAGCTATTTTACATTGTTTCACTGATTAAGAAATCAGGACAAAGGAACTGTTAATACCAAGTAGCTATTGGTGCTTGAGAATTGGCATATTCAAATCAAACTCAGTGAAATAAAATGGAGATGGATCTGCTTTTGGTTCTTGCTAGAGACATGTTAATTAACTTTTCCTTTCTATTAACCAACAGTTATATTAAAATGACAGTGGTTTTGCTCTCCTGTCTTTTATTCCTGTTGTAACAAGTATATAATCTTCTCTAACAGGAATTTCTATGTTTACTCTTGTGATCTCATTAGACCTAAATATTGTCAAATGTTAATGTACCAAAACAGAATTTGAAATAATTTATTTCCTCTACTTTATTGCATTTCCAAGAATTGGAAACAATCGGTGTAATTGGCTATTTGCACCAAAAACACCTTCCTTGAGAGTACTCCATCAGTTGATTCTAAATCTAATAATATCTTTTTGTTTGTACACCATTTTAAAGTTTTCCAGGCACTGTCGTATGTAACATCTCATGTTGTTTTCAGTGGGAGAAGGAGATAATCCTATCTCTATTTGCAAATGAGAAGACAAAGGCCAAGAAATTCCAGTGCCCTATTTATCTGTGAGCTACAGCAACAAATTACCACAATATTGTGGTCTAAACAATTTAAATTTATTTTACATTTCTGTAGGTCACAAATCCAACCTGGCCTCACCAGGCTAAAAGCAAAGTGTTAGCCGGGCTGCATTTCTTTCTGAAAGATCAAAGGCAAAAATCCATTTTCTTGCTTATCTAGGTTGTTGGTAGAATTCAGGTCCTTTAAAGACCAAGACCCCCATTTTCTTGACGGCTGTCAGCTGAGGCCCATTCCTGTCTTCTAGAGGCCAGCTGCATTGCTTGACTCATAGTCCCTTTCCTCCACCTTCAAAGCAATGAAAGACTTGTCCTTTCACATTTTAAATCCCTCCTCCTTCTTCTACTGTCTCATCTCTCTAACCAAGTTGGGAAGCATTCTCTGCTTTTAAGGGCCTATGTTATTAAATTGTGCCCACCTGGATAATACAGGCTGCTCTCTCCATCTCAAGGTCTGTAAACTTAATCATGCCTCCAAAGTCCCTTTTGCCATGTAAGACAACACAGTCACAGGTTCTGGGTATTAGGGCATAAACATTTTTGGAGGTGCCATTATTATGCCTACTATATTCAGTGAAGGCTAATTTAGGTCTCAGAGGTTTCCTCTCAGGCACAAAACTTACAAGAATCTCCTTTCAACATGATTTAAATAACAAAAATAATATTCTAGTAATGCTATAATATTTTTAAAGCATCCTAAGACCTTGGAAGCCAGAAAACATATCCTAAACACTTCTAAAAGTCTTCTGTCTGCAAGATGGAAAAATTTTCAAAGTCATAGGCTAATTTGGTATCCAAAATAATAAAACAGTGCTTAATTTCACAATATTGAGAAGTCTGAAAATGTGTTTTCTAGTCTCTACATTCTAAACACTGCACCTGTATTTTCTTTTCCCCCACTACATCCCTAAATCAGAAAAGCTATCAAAATTATTTAGGTATTGCCTGTGCAGTTCCTTTAGTTTTCAAATAAACTCATGTTTTCAAAACTATCCTGCTTATGTACAATTTTAGTGCCTCTTCTGGAATGGATACTATCTCATGTACATGCAAAAATCCTTACATATTGTGCCCCCTCCCATATGTCTATCCATATGGAAAAGACTTTATTTCTTTGACTCTAATCTTCCTAATCCTTCTTAACCTAATCTTGCTCCTTGCCCAGGCCTCTGACCAACCAGCTAAGTCATTTGCCACAGCCATGTGTCTTGTGCCAGAGGTTTCTTCTCTTAAATCCAGAATTGATGAGGTTCACTATCCAAAGCTCTGCCTTTAGGAGGATTTCCCCCATACCACAGTCTTTCTGAGACATCTCTGAGTGCAGCTATAGTTCAAAATCAGTCAATTTTGTGTTTGCACCAACATAGCAAGTCAGCCAATCCATAAACCAAGCCCTGTTTATGTTTTCTTTCAAAACTTCTGTCCACTGGATGGATGGAATGCCCATCAAAGTCATCTGTTCCAAGCTAAGGTATAAGTATCTGAGCAACTTACGTAATAGGGGAGTGTGCACTACCTCTTTCTGCAGCTTGACTATGCCTCTAGCCTTGCTCAAAACTCTCAAAAGTATTATTTTCCTCTTACAATGGATCCTACCATCTTACTTACAGTAGGTTGCTGCTGGGCCCTCCTAACTTTGTGAATGAGAGGATTTGATACTCTCCCAACTCATGATGGGCAACTCTGGCTATATGGTCACTTCATGTTCCATGCTTAGATGCTCAGTCTCTCTGAAGTCCCAGGGGCATCCTAAGAGTGTTTTATAAATGGTGTACAGCTCTTTGCAGAAGATTGAATAGCCTGTTTCAGAATTCTAGGGTTCTTCTCTGCCACTCTTCAACTGGGACTTTTCTAGTGTCATCTTTTTCTACCACAGTTATCTCTGATACCATGGTTTATATGACCTAAATGGCAGACATGTTTATACTGCATTCTTGATGTGCTACACAGTCTTTTCTTGCTCTATATCCCACTCAAAACTAGCAGTATTCTCAAGTGCTACCTCAAAAACAACAAAAAGGAATGCCAAGCATTTTGCTTCTCTCTTTATGGTAGGAGGTACAGGATACAGCATCATATCCTTTGCTTTGGAGAGAATGTCAGCGTGCTTCAGCTTTCTGCACCCCTAACCTCTTCACCAATGTGGCAGCCCTCTGAATTTTTGTGGTATTTATCTCTCACCTTCTGGTGTACATGAGTTTACTAAGGTAGTCTGAAGGCTGAGAGCTTCTTGCTCTTCAGGTCTATTAAACACATTGCCATAGATATATTGAATGAAAGTAATGTTCAGAAGAATGTCCAGCCTGGCAAGTTCCATTTAAGATTATGTTGTGCAGCAGATGGAAGAGTTAACATTGACCTGGAGACAGACTGTGATAGGCACTTTGACTATTCAATATGAAGGTGAATCATTTATTCTTCCCTGGTGGTATGGAAAGAATGTATTCACAAGATTGATAGCTGCAAACTGTGTCATAGAGACTTCATTTAGGGCTAGTACTTAGTTAAGTGCCTGGTAATCCACTTTGATATGTCACAATTCATCAAGTTATTGCAAGTTTTATACTAGTAAATTAAATGAAGTTATGATTGAGACCACCATGTCTGCATTATTTTGGTCTTTGAATATGGCACTAATCTCTGTCATTTTCCTTGGGATGCATTATAATTTGACTTACTGTATTGGCAGGGATAGGGAGAGAACAACTTCAAGGATTCTACTTGGCTTTTCTTGCTAAAATAATTGGATTTACAGGTCAAAGAACAAATGTGAGTGTTCCATTATGAATATACATTTAGGAACTAAAAAAACTGCCACCTAATGGATCACCATGGACCTAATGGACCCACCATGAGACGAATGTGGAATAGAACTCCATTTATGACTAGAATTGATATGTCCTTATTCTAACAGGGGGTCAGTGATTATGGTCTGAGTTCC
Organism: Homo sapiens; assembly: GCF_000001405.40. Taxonomy (NCBI): domain Eukaryota; kingdom Metazoa; phylum Chordata; class Mammalia; order Primates; family Hominidae; genus Homo; species Homo sapiens. The sequence goes on from NC_000005.10 coordinate 64,098,737, forward strand.
CTGGTGTCAATGTCAATTCAAAGCCTGTATCCAGTAGCCCTCAACAGGTGTGGGTATTCTCTTTTCCCTAGTTGATTTTTAACCTAGTAAACAGCTACAAGTGTCTTTGGGGGAAGGAATGGGGTGATCAAATGCACACATTACTGTATATCTTTGCCATAGTGTTGGAAGGTCTTTCCTTGTGGGGACCCAGACTCTCCTTTAGTTGATGAATTCTGAGTAGAGTAATCGGTTCAGATGTAGAAACTGCTAAGGCATTCTGACTTTCCGCTGGGAGGCTGACCTCAGCCCTCTGCTTATCCAATCTTGACTTTTTTTCTGGAGATATATATGGTCTCAAATAAAGTTGAACTTTGACCTGACCCCTGTGGCTATGGAGGCTCTAGACCAGTGCTGCCCAACAGAAATACTGTGTGAGCCACATATGTACAAATAAATAGGTAAATTATTTTTAATACACTTTAACCCAAAATATGCAAAATATTGTCATTTTTACATGTAATCAATATAACAAATTATTCATAAAACATTTTGCATTCTTTCCTTCTTTGTAAATCTTCAAAATCACTGTGTATTTTACAGTTCTGACATATCTCAGTTCAGACTAGCCAGGTTCCAAAGTCTCAGTAGCCACATATGGTTAGCTCTATATTGGACATTACTGTTGCAGACTGTAAGTTGCACCACAGAATGTCCCATTTTAATTCAAGTGGACTGAAAGAGCAAATTTAGACTTTAGTACCTTTATATCAATCAGTCAGTGACCACTCCAGCAAAGGAAAGTGGGTGTGAAAATTCCTAGACATCTCTGGGAGAGGCACCTCTCGCCAGTCAATGGTAATTCGCTGAAGAAGGTCACAGCTGTAAGCCATTATCCAAGCATTTTCAGTTCTTAGGGAATGGGTGCAGTGGCTGGAAAAGGAGACCAGGGTGGTAATCCTACAGTGTTCATTATAGCGTACCTAAGTTAGCTAAAATAATTTTTGTAACTTGCATCCAGAAACCTTACAATGTAACAGAATACCTAAAGTGTGGTTTTATCTCATGCCCTTATTTTTAAGAAGGCTTTGTAATGTGAGCTACTCCCCAGATCTTCAAGTTCTGGGCTATTCTATTAAACAGTGAAGAAGAAAACAAAACGACCCTAATTTATCCAACTGAATAAGTCTGCCAAGTGCAAACAAAGCCTTAAGTTAAAGCTGGGGCTCTAAAAACCTGGTCCCAGAATCAGTAGTATCTTGGAACTTGTAGAAAACACAGATTTGGAAACTCTGGGGGTACATCCCAGCAATCCTTGTTGCAAGCAGGCCTCCAAGTGATTGTGATGTAGTCTGAAAAGTACTGAGTGAAATGCATGTCTCTCTGGAAATACAGCCTCAACCTTAGCACGGCAAAGCCTTTGACCCATGTGAAGAAGGCAGACTAGCTTCCTACATTGATACCCCTAATACTGGTGCACTTTCCATCAGAGATATAGGAGAGGCAAAAGGTCTTCATATTTGATACACTAATTAACATAGAGCAACTTACCACTCTGTATGGTAGATTGCTTGAAGCTAGTGTTCTGTTTTTCAGAGCATATGGAACAGAAATTGATTCTGAACTTTTACCTGATGTATTTCTGTGGAAAAGTGCAGACCAGTATGACACCTGCTGGTGCAACAGGCCTAACACAATGTGACAGAGAAATAGAAATGACAGCCAAAGAGCTATGCCTAACCCTTCTGCCAAGCTGCCCTAGATTTGCTCAAATTCATGGCCAGGTAGACCTGGGGAGTTGACAAAGTGCTGATTCTTCTTTCTGCCCGGGGATGCAAGTCTCCCAGCCAAGTCTTAGAGAACAAGCTAATGATCAAGAGATAAAATAAGTTCAATGAGAGGCCAAGCACAGAAAAGTCATCAAAACAGAGCCAAAGGGCCCAAAATACGTTGAAAATTATCCTTAACATCAAATAAAGAACATTTCAGTAAGCTGGGATTTTTAGTCACTTAATGATTAATCATTGAAACATTACTTGTTTATAACACATAGGGCAGAATTATGACAGAATGTTTAGATATTGAGTTTAATTAGCATAATACCAATTCCTTTGTTTACAGTTGCCATCCATTACTATTTTGTTCTGACTCCAACACATCATGAAACTCTGCAAAAGTTGTTGCAAATATTTGCAGATATATCTACTCTAAATAGTGAAGGAGAAATAAAATACTTTACAAACAAGCAAATACTGAGAGATTTTGTCATCACCAGGCCTGCCCTAAAACAGCTCCTGAAGGAAGCACTAAACATGGAAAGGAACAACCGGTACCAGCCACTGCAAAATCATGCCAAAATGTAAAGACCATCGAGACTAGGAAGAAACTGCATCAACTAACGAGCAAAATAACCAGCTAACATCATAATGACAGGATCAAATTCACACATAACAATGTTAACTTTAAATGTAAATGGACTAAATGCTCCAATTAAAAGACACAGACTGGCAACTTGGATAAAGAGTCAAGACCCATCAGTGTGCTGTATTCAGGAAACCCATCTCACGTGCAGAGACACACATAGCCTCAAAATAAAAGGATGGAGGAAGATCTACCAAGCAAATGGAAGACAAAAAAAGGCAGGGGTTGCAGTCCTAGTCTCTGATAAAACAGACTTTAAACCAACAAACATCAAAAGAGACAAAGAAGGCCATTACATAATGGTAAAGGGATCAATTCAACAAGAAGAGCTAACTATCCTAAATATATATGCACCCAATACAGGAGCACCAAGATTCATAAAGCAAGTCCTGAGTGACCTACAAAGAGACTTAGACTCCCACACGATAATACTGGGAGACTTTAACACCCCACTGTCAACATTAGACAGATCAAAGAGACAGAAAGTTAACAAGCATACCCAGGAATTGAACTCAGCTCTATACCAAGCGGATCTAATAGACATCTACAGAACTCTCCACCCCAAATCAACAGAATATACATTTTTTTCAGCACCACACCACACCTATTCCAAAATTGACCGCATACTGGGAAGTAAAGCTCTCCTCAGCAAATGTAAAAGAACAGAAATAATAACAAACTGTCTCAGACCACAGTGCAATCAAACTAAAACTCAGGATTCAGAAACTCACTCAAAACCGCTCAACTACATGGAAACTGAACAACCTGCTCCTGAATGACTACTGGGTACATAACGAAATGAAGGCAGGAATAAAGATGTTCTTTGAAACCAATGAGAACAAAGACACAACATACCAGAATCTCTGGGACACATTCAAAGCAGTGTGTAGGGGGAAATTTATAGCACTAAATGCCCACAAGAGAAAGCAGGAAAGATCCAAAATTGACACCCTAACATCACAATTAAAAGAACTAGAAAAGCAAGAGCAAACACATTCAAAAGCTAGCAGAAGGCAAGAAATAACTAAAATCAGAGCAGAACTGAAGGAAATAGATACCAAAAAAACCCTTCAAAAAATTAATGAATCCAGGAGCTGGTTTTTTGAAAGGATCAACAAAATTGATATACCACTAGCAAGACTAATAAAGAAGAAAAGAGAGAAGAATCAAATAGACGCCATAAAAAATGATAAAGGGGATATCACCACTGATCCCACAGAAATACAAACCACCATCAGAGAATACTACAAACACCTCTACTCAAATAAACTAGAAAATCTAGAAGAAATGGACAAATTCTTCGACACATACACCCTCCCAAGACTAAACCAGGAAGAAGTTGAATTTCTGAATAGACCAATAACAGGATCTGAAATTGTGGCAATAATCAATAGCTTACCAACCAAAAAGAGTCCAGGACCAGATGGATTCACAGCCGAATTCTACCAGAGGTACAAGGAGGAACTGGTACCATTCTTTCTGAAACTATTCCAATCAATAGAAAAAGAGGGAATCTTCCCTAACTCATTTGATGAGGCCAGCATCATCCTGATACCAAAGCTGGGCAGAGACACAACCAAAAAAGAGAATTTTAGACCAATATCCTTGATGAACATTGATGCAAAAATCCTCAATAAAATACTGGCAAACTGAATCCAGCAGCACATCAAAAAGCTTATCCACCATGATCAAGTGGGCTTCATCCCTGGAATGCAAGGCCAGTTCAATATACCCAAATCAATAAATGTAATCCAGCATATAAACAGAACCAAAGACAAAAACCACATGATTATCTCAATAGATGCAGAAAAGGCCTTTGACAAAATTCAACAACCCTTCATGCTAAAAACTCTCAATAAATTAGGTATTGATGGGATGTATCTCAAAATAATAAGAGCTATCTATGACAAACCCACAGCCAATATCATACTGAATGGGCAAAAACTGGAAGCATTCCCTTTGAAAACTGGCACAACACAGGAATGCCCTCTCTCACCACTCCTATTCAACATAGTGTTGGAAGTTCTGGCCAGAGCAATTAGGCAGGAGAAGGAAATAAAGGGTATTCAAGTAGGAAAAGAGGAAGTCAAATTGTCCCTGTTTGCAGACGACATGATTGTATATCTAGAAAACCCCATTGTCTCAGCCCAAAATCTCCTTAAACTGATAAGCAACTTCAGCAAAGTCTCAGGATACAAAATCAATGTACAAAAATCACAAGCATTCTTATATACCAACAACAGACAAACAGAGAGCCAAATCATGAGTGAACTCCCATTCACAATTGCTCCAAAGAGAATAAAATACCTAGGAATCCAACCTACAAGGGACGTGAAGGACCTGTTCAAGGAGAACTACAAACCACTGCTCAATGAAATAAAAGAGGATACAAACAAATGGAAGAACATTCCATGCTCATGGGTAGGAAGAATCAATATCGTGAAAATGGCCATACTGCCCAAGGTAATTTATAGATTCAATGCCATCCCCATCAAGCTACCAATGACTTTCTTCACAGAATTGGATAAAACTACTTTAAAGTTCATATGGAACCAAAAAAGAGCCCGCATCACAAAGTCAATCCTAAGCCAAAAGAACAAAGGTGGAGGCATCACGCTACCTGACTTCAAACTATACTACAAGGCTACAGTAACCAAAACAGCATGGTACTGGTACCAAAACAGAGATATAGATCAATGGAACAGAACAGAGCCCTCAGAAATAACGCCGCATATCTACAACTATCTGATCTTTGACAAACCTGAGAAAAGCAATGGGGAAAGGATTCCCTATTTAATAAATGGTGCTGGGAAAACTGGCTAGCAGTATGTAGAAAGCTGAAACTGGATCCCTTCCTTACACCTTATACAAAAATTAATTCAAGATAGATTAAAGACTTAAATGTTAGACCTAAAACCATAAAAACTCTAGAAGAAAACCTAGGCATTAGCATTCAGGACACAGGCATGGGCAAGGACTTCATGTCTAAAACACCAAAAGCAATGGCAACAAAAGACAAAATTGACAAATGGGATCTAATTAAACTAAAGAGCTTCTGCACAGCAAAAGAAACTACCATCAGAGTGAACAGGCAACCTACAGAATGGGAGAACATTTTCACAACCTACTCATCTGACAAAGGGCTAATATCCAGAATGCACAATGAATTCAAACAAATTTACAAGAAAAAAACAAACAACCCCATCAAAAAGTGGGCAAAGGATATGAACAGACACTTCTCAAAAGAAGACATTTATGCAGCCAACAGACACATGAAAAAATGCTCATCATCACTGGCCATCAGAGAAATGCAAATCAAAACCACAATGAGATACCATCTCACACCAGTTAGAATGGCGATCATTAAAAAGTCAGGAAACAACAGGTGCTGGAGAGGATGTGGAGAAATAGGAACACTTTTACACTGTTGGTGGGACTGTCAACTAGGTCAACCATTGTGGAAGTCAGTGTGGCAATTCCTCAGGGATCTTGAACTAGAAATACCATTTGACCCAGCCTTCCCATTACTGGGTATATACCCAAAGGATTATAAATCATGCTGCTATAAAGACACATGCACATGTATGTTTATTGCGGTATTATTCACAATAGCAAAGACTTGGAACCAACCCAAATGTCCAACAATGATAGACTGGATTAAGAAAACGTGGCACATATAAACCATGGAATACTATGCAGCCACAAAAAATGATGAGTTCATGTCCTTTGTAGGGACATGGATGAAACTGGAAATCATCATTCTCAGTAAACTGTCACAAGGACAAAAAACCAAACACCGCATGTTCTCACTCATAGGTGGGAATTGAACATGAGAACACATGGACACAGGAAGGGGAACATCACACTCTGGGGCCTGTTGTGGGGTGGGGGGAGCGGGGAGGGATAGCATTAGGAGACATATCTAATGCTAAATGACAAGTTACTGGGTGCAGCACACCAGCATGGCACATGTATACGTATGTAACTAACCTGCACATTGTGCACATGTACCCTAAAACTTAAAGTATAATAATAATAAAAAAAATTTTATTAAATAAAAAAAATTTATGAAAATATTAAATAGACAATAAAATGTTAAAATACACTTTTCCATGTATAATAGCTCTGTTAACTATCTTGATGACCCTATTCCGTATTGTAGTTCACTAAACACTGACAAATAAATGCTGCCACGTATACCTTGGCTTGTTAACCAATCTCCAAAGAACTAAAACATACTAAAATGTACGACATTAAAAGCCATAATGAAGATAGATATGTGTATGAGAGAGAGTATTTTAGGTACTGGCTATATTTCTGAATTATAATCATGACCATTTCCTGGGATTGTACTGTTATTCACGTGTGGTGGTACCATTAGTAGGGGTTACGTAAAGATAGATCTGAATCTCATTACCTCCATCTGCCAGATGCATGGCCCTAAGCAAGCCATTTCACTTCTTTGTGACTCAGTTTCCTCCTTTGTGAAATGAGATGAAGATAATGTCCCATTGGGAAATTGACTTACAATAGAAAGAAAGGGAAATGGATCCTGGGAAGGCAAAATTGAGATGACAACTTCCATAATACCTGTCTTCAAATATTTGAATGTTTGACAAATGAAAAATAAACCCCTTTTATTTTGTGAAATCTCACACAAAATAACAAGAATTAGTGTATAGAAGTTACTGGGAAGCACCATTTATTAAATAGAGAATCTTTTCCCCATTTCTTGTTTTTGTCAGGTTTGTCAAAGATCAGATGGTTGTAGATGTGTGGTATTATTTCTGAGGGCTCTGTTCTGTTCCACTGGTCTATATCTCTGTTTTGGCACCAGTACCATGCTGTTTTGGTTACTGTAGCCTTGTAGTATAGTTTGAAGTCAGGTAGCGTGATGCCTCCAGCTTTGTTCTTTTGGCTTAGGATTGTCTTGGAAATGCGGGCCCTTTTTTGGTTCCATATGAACTTTAAAGTAGTTTTTTCCAACTCTGTAAAGAAAGTCATTGGTAGCTTAATGGGGATGCCATTGAATCTATAAATTACCTTGGGCAGTATGGCCATTTTCATGATATTGATTCTTCCTATCCATGGGCATGGAATGTTCTTCCATTTGTTTGTGTCCTCTTTTATTTCGTTGAGCAGTGGTTTGTAGTTCAACTTGAAAAGGTCCTTCACATCCCTTGTAAGTTGGATTTCTAGGTATTTTATTCTCTTTGAAGCAATTGTGAATGTGAGTTCACTCCTGATTTGGGTCTCTGTTTGTGTGATATTGGTATATAAGAATGCTTATGATTTTTGCACACTGATTTTGTATCCTCAGACTTTGCTGAAGTTGCTTATAGCTTAAGGAGATTTTGGGCTGAGACGATGGGGTTTTCTAAATATACAGTCACGTCATCTGCAAACAGGGACAATTTGACTTCATGTTTTCCTAACTGAATACCCTTTATTTCTTTCTCCTGCCTGATTGCCCTGGCCAGAACTTCCAACACTGTGTTGAATAGGAGTGGTGAGAGAGGGCGTCCCTGTCTTGTGCCAGTTTTCAAAGGGAATGCTTCCAGTTTTTCCCATTCAGTATGATATTGGCTGTGGGTTTGTCATAGACAGCTCTTATTATTTTGAGATATGTCCCATCAATACCTAATTTATTGAGAGTTTTTAACATGAAGTGTTGAATTTTGTCAAAGGCCTTTTCTGCACCTATTGAGATAATCATATGGTTTTTGTCATTGGTTCTGTTTATATGCTGGATTATGTTTATTGATTTGTGTATGTTGAACCAGCCTTGCATTCCAGGGATGAAGCCCACTTGATCATGGTGGATAAGCTTTTTGATGTGCTGCTGGAGTCGGTTTGCCTGTATTTTATTGAGGATTTTTGCATTAATGTTCATCAGGGATATTGGTCTAAAATTCTCTTTTTTTGTTGTGTCTCTGCCAGGCTTTGGTATCAGGATGATGCTGGCTTCATAAAATGAGTTAGGGAGCAATCCCTCTTTCTCTATTGATTAGAATAGTTTCAGAAGGAATGGTACCAGCTCCTCCTTGTACCTCTGGTAGAATTCACCTGTGAATCTGTCCGGTCCTGGACTTTTTTTGGTTGGTAGGCTATTAATAAATAGTGCTGGGAAAACTGGCTAGCCATATGTAGAAAGCTGAAACTGGATCCCTTCCTTACACCTTATACAAAAATTAATTCAAGATGGATTAAAGACTTAAATGTTAGACCTAAAAATATAAAATCCCTGGAAGAAAACCTAGGCAATACAATTCAGGACACAGGCATGGGCAAGGACTTCATGTTTAAAACACCAAAGGCAATGGCAACAAAAGCCAAAATTCACAAATAGGATCTAATTAAACTAAAGAGCTTCTGCACAGCAAAAGAAACTACTATCAGAGTGAACAGGCAACCTACAGAATGGGAGAACATTTTTGCAATCTACTCATCTGACAAAGGGCTAATATCCAGAATCTACAATGAACTCAAACAAATTTACAAGAAAAAAACAAACAACCCCATCAAAAAGTGGGCAAAGGACATGAACAGACACTTCTCAAAAGAAGACATTTATGCAGCCAACAGACACTGAAAAAATGCTCATCATCACTGGCCATCAGAGAAATGCAAATCAAAACCACCATGAGATACCATCTCATACCAGTTAGAATGGCAATCATTAAAAAGTCAGGAAACAACAGGTGCTGGAGAGGATGTGGAGAAATAGGAACACTTTTTATTGGTGGGACTACAGTTTACAAACTGGTTCAACCACTGTGGAAGACAGTGTGGCTATTCCTCAAGGAACTGGAACTAGAAATACCATTTGACCCAGCCATCCCATTACAGGGTATATACCCAAAGGATTATAAATCATGCTGATATAAAGACACATGCGCATGTATGTTTATTGTGGCACTATTCACAATAGTAAAGACTTGGAACCAACCCAAATGTCCAACAATGATAGACTGGATTAAGAAAATGTGGCACATATACACCATGGAATACTATGCAGCCTTAAAAAATGATGAGTACATGTCCTTTGTAGGGACATGGATGAAGCTGGAAACCATCATTCTCAGCAAACTATCGCAAGGAACAAACCAAACACCGCATGTTCCCACTCATAGGTGGGAATTCAACAATGAGAACACTTGGACACAGGAAGGGGAACATCACACTCTGGGGCCTGTTGTGGGGTGGGGTGACGGGGGAGGGATAGCATTTGGAGATATACCTAATGTTAAATGACGAGTTAATGGGTGCAGCACACCCACATGGCACATGTATACATATGCAACAAACCTGCATGTTGTGGACTTGTACCCTAAAACTTAAAGTATAATAATAAAAAAAAAAGAAGTTACTGGGAAGCATATTCCTAATAAATACAAGATATAACTATATAATTATTACAGTCATCGACAATGAACAGACTGCACCAAAAAGTGAGGATGTCCTATCACAGTTTCCAAAGTTAGATGAATACTTGCCAGTGATCTAATACAGGGGATTTTTTGAACTGGGCAGAAAGGAGGAGCAGATGAAATCTAAGGTCCTTTCCATCTCAAAGTCTATGGTACATTCTATAAACATTCTAGCTGAAAATCATGTGTTGTTGCCGTTGCTGTTTTTTAAGTAACTTTTTAAGATATACTAGTATTTCTGAAAGGCCTCTGTCAGGCTCATAAGGAAACTGGATATGAAATTTTGACCAGCTTATCGGTTGCCATGGCAACCAGAGAAAGGGACGTAGCAGAACAGATTGGCTAGTGATCAGAGACTTGTTAAAGAGCAATTACTGCAAATGAGGAAAAAGTTGATACTATGCAATAACAATATCGGAGCAGTGTGGTTGACCTATCATGTTAAGATTAAAAAATCAGGATTGAGTGTACAACCACAAAATATGACAAAAATTTTAAATATAAATGCTTACCTAAACAAAAGGAACAAAGATATAAAGCATGATAAATAAGTACTGGTGCAAGATTAGGGTTAGAGGTTATTAAAGGAAGCTGTTCTGAATCAGTAAGTATGATTTTTTAACACAATGATTCACAAGCAGCACTTATTTCCTGTTAAATGAATATTTAAATAAGTTGAGTGTGACTTCAAGACCTATTTGGAAATATAAGTATGGATGCTTGGATGATGCAGCATAAATGGATGTTGAAACCCTCTCATCTGCACAAACTCCTCATCCAATTTTAGTCAAACACATACTGGCCAAGATAAAATACAACTAAATCTAAGCAATCATCTAAATGTGTCAAAAGTCATCTGGATGAGAGAAAAAAGTACTTCGATTCAATGGAAACAGATATTAAACTTATTTCAACATAATTATTAAGAAATTCTCCACAAATAAACCTTTATCCATATACTTAACTGTTTTCTAAATACAAAATAATGAATTGATCTAGATTTGAAGCTATTTCATGGCTGGGCAGAGACATTTCTGAACTTTCTAAAACTGTATACAAAATTGATGTCTATTTGCTTTCGCTTACAGAATATGGCCCATAGTTCCTGTAAGATTTTTTAAAGAAACTGTGACCCATTAAGAACACTAGGTGACCCCATTACACTTCATGGGATCTGAAGCTGATCCCATTGATTCCATTCACTTCAGAAATTTATACCCTGAAACTTGTGCTAACTTCAATATTTCTGTAAAACTTATGATAAAAGGAAAGTATACTTCAAACTAGTCGCTAAAATTAGGTCCAGAAGTGATGCATGGGTTATAACAAGGAGTTTTTACACACTTGCAGCTGGTACAGATAGATTAGAGTAGCCTTCCCTCTTACACTGAGCTCAAAGGAGAAGCTCTGTCACTGGGCCACCACTCACCATTAGGGGCCACTTCAAGTATTTTAGTTTGGAAGCACATTCCTAAACATACTCAAGAAGACATAAGAGGAAGGTAGATGTATTTCCATTACACAAATTAATAAAAATAATGTGGGAATGTACCTCTGAATTAGCCTATTAGAGTTCAGAAGAGCAGATAGATAAAGGTAAATAGAGGCAGAATTACCTAAATATTGGAAATGAAAAACCACAAAAAAATTTTTAGATTTATGGAATTTGGCTAAGTTCTCTGAAGCTAAAGTTATCTTCTTTTCAAATTACATCAATGCTTCTGGTCAAGAAAAGAGCCAGGAATGAAAATGTTGTGTCAGTAAGCAAGACATTAGAAGTGTCACAGGAAAAAAATGTTTCTGATGCATATGAATACCGAGCACACATGCTTCTGAGAATGAGTTATCTGTTTCTGCTCAGCAAAACAGGCGCCCTTTCAAAGGACCTGTGGACAGACATTTCCTTTATGCCATGTGATTACCTCCACCAAAATATTTTCCAGTAAATTTTAGAATATGAATTGCCCTCATGCCTACAGCCATGACTGAACTTAATCCCATTCCTAAGGTATGTTTATTGCTGAAATCCCAACCCCTACTACCCCACTAATAAGTTATTTTCTTTTTCTCTGTCACTATTTTTTGTTCTCTTCCTGCTCCCCAAGTTCTAAAGCTCCAGCATTCCGCAGCTGGCTGGAGCCTCTCTGCCTCCCCCAAGGCACCAGCCAACTATTAGCACTGCTACCTCTGGGTCTTCAGTTCCTAAAGACAGAGGCTGTCTTTTCTTTCTCTTGCCACTGTGAGACTACCCTACTTCCTCCTAGGCCAGATTTTCTAAGTATATTGAAAATCTGCCTGTCCCCACTGCAAACACGTCTGTAGTTATTCAATTAATGTTTAACATTGCATTCTCTAGACTATTTCCAACTGTTTTCATCTTTTATTATTCTTTCCTTCAATTTTTGCCAAAACATTCACCCTAAAATGTTAAAGGCTGAACCAGCTGAAGCTGATCAACCAAAACATTATGATGGGGTGTTTTTGTGTCCTTAAATCTGTACACCATTGCTGATGTGTTTGATTTAGTAATAAAATACTGAAATGTTTAGAATTGCCCAAGGCCATTAGTCCCTTTATGCCACCAATTATTTCCCATCTTTTAGCTGAGTATTTTATTCATTTTTGTCTTCCTACTTATGTTTTTAGATCTACTCTATTTCATGACTCAGAGTCCAGATATGCCATGAAAAGAATTCTTGATATTATATTGGTCTTAGTTTTGGAAAGTAATGTGAGTTTACACTTTTTCTTGTTTCTTCTCTTGGTAAAAAAGTTTCTGTTTTTAGTGGAGAAAAGGAGATAGGCTTTAAATGAGGTTGTAGACAGATACCATACTAAATAAGGAATCTTTCCTGTAGAAGCTTACCTTCTCAAAGTGCCTTTATCTTTTATCTTAAGTACAAATAATTTTTCTGAATTTGGTGTTACTCATGAGCCTGATTACTATTCATAACAGGTTGTATTTTCCAAAGATGGTCACCAAAATATCTCACCTCACATGCTTTTCTGCAACTTGACCTTAACATTCCTTCATCATTCCACATCAAAATGTGTAAATATATATATATATATACCCAACACAGGAGGACCCACATTCATAAAGCAAGTTTTTAGAGACCTATGAAGAGACTTAAACTCTCACACAAAAATAGTGGGAGACTTCAATACCCCATTGAGAGTATTAAACAGATCATTGAGGCAGAAAATGAACAAAGTTATTAAGGACCTGAACTCAGCACTTGACCAAATGGACCTAATAAACATCTCCAGAACTCTCCACCCCAAAACAACAGAATATACATTCTTCTCATGGCACATACTCCAAAATCGACCACACAATCAGATATAAAACATTCCTCAGTAAATTCATGAAAATCGAAATTATACCAACCACACTCTCAGACCACAGTGCACTAAAGATGGAATTAAATACAAAGAAAATCGCTGAAAACCATACGTTTACATGGTAATTAAACAACCTGCTCCTGAATGACTTTTGGGCAAATAATCAAATTAAGAAAGAAATCACAAAGTTACTTGAAACTTCTTGATTTTGAAAATGAGAACAGAGATACAACATACCAGAATCTCTGGAACACAGCTAAGGCAGTGTTAAGAGGGAAATTTACAGCACTAAATACCCACATAAGAAAGAAAGATTAACAACCTTTCTATTAACAACATCACAACTAGAACTACATCACAACTAGAACAACATCACAATTAGAACTAGATAAACAAGAGCAAACCAACCCAAAAGCTAGTAGAAGACAAGAAATAACCTAAACCAGAGCTGAACTGAAGGAAATTGAGATGCCAAAAACCATTCCAAAAATCAACAAAGACAAGAATTGATTCTTTGAAAAAATTAATAAGGTAAATAGACCACAGCTAGAATAATAAAGAAGAAAAGAGAGAACATCCAAGTAAGCATAATTAGGAATGACAAAGGGGACATTACCACTGGCCCCACAGAAATACAAATAACCATCAGAGACTACTATGAACATCTCTATGCATACAAACTAGAAAATCTACAAGAAATGGATACATTTCTGGACACATACATCCTCCCAAGACTGAATCAAGAAGAAACTGAATCCATGAACAGTCAATAACAAGCTCTAAAGTTGAATCAGTAATAAATAGCCTACCAACAACAACAAAAAAATCCCTTGACCAGCCAGATTCATAGCTGAATTCTAGCAGATGTACAAAGAAGAGCTAGCACCATTCCTACCAAAACTGTTCCAAAAAATTGACAAGGAGAAACTTCTCCCCAACTCATTCTATGAGACCAGCATCATCCTGATACCAAAACCTGGCAGACACACACACACACACACACACACAAACACACACACACACACAAAACCACTTTAGACCAATATCCTTGATGAACACAGATGCAAAAATCCTCAAGAAAATATTAGCAAACTGAATCCAACAGCATACCAAAAAGCTAACAATTCACCACAATCAAGTAGGCTTTATCCCTGGGATGCAAGATTGGTTTAACATATGCAAATCAATAAATGTGACTCATCAAATAAACAAAACTAAAGACAAAAAACACATGATTATCTCAATAGATGCAGAAAAGGCTTTCAATAGAATTCAACATCCACTCATGTTAAAAAAAACCAAGGAGAGTCTCTTCCATTGTCCCTTGATTTAGCTGTGGGGTAAAATATTGCAGTACATAATACAATGTTGAGTCCAATACCTGGCTCAGTTTCCATGGCTGTCCTTGGAACTGATACTCTGGTCATGAAATGACACTGAGGCGCAACATGTAGACTAGCTCTGGGTGGCATGTCCTCCAATAGGGTCTTCTGTTGTTTTCTGTATCAGCAATTGATCACTGAAAAGAGAAAATAAAATGGTTAAGGAGAAAGCTTTCCACCCAATTAGCCAGTGAAGTAACTAAAACCGGAAAGCATACAGAAGAGCAGACTGAATCCACTTGATATAAAGTAATGAAAAGAAAATTGCCCTCAGCATCCCCACCTTATTGTACAAAAAACTTCTAAAATGAAATAAATGCACTGCCACTTCTGTTTTTTTAATAATGAATTTCCATTAGATACCGAGGAAAGAAAAAGGACCTTTGCCTCTCCCTGAGCTGAACACTTATGGACAAAACATGAAACAGTTTCTTCCTCAACATGTTTAAAAGCTAAGCACATGTAGCCAAAAAATGATAGGGCACAGAAGAGGCCAATACCAGCCAACAAAAGGCATGGGTTTTGTTTGGTTTAATGAATGAAAAACCATTGATGATGACCTCAAAAAGAATTATTTTTCTAGAGGAAAGACTGGATTATCTTTCTATTTTTCTCTAGAGAAAAAGATATCACAAAATTGTTATATGTAGTGGCAACCAAAGAGTATGCAAACAGAGAAGGAAACTATTGTACAGACCTTTAGGCAGTTACTTAATTTTAAAAAATCATTCTCTTTTCCTCTGTGTTTTTTGGTAGTTATAGTATTTGTCACCTTTTGAAAATCTGTGCTTTATTGTGGATTATTTTACATTTTATCATCCTAGATTAATGTCCTCTTTTATGTCTAAACATTACTTCCAAATAGCTTATTCATGGAATAATGATTAATTTTTATAAATCATTTCATGTTTTAAAGAATGGAATTCTTAGCCTTCAAAGACCCAAGACAGTAGTACTTATTATATCTCACTTATCTGAAGAAATTATTTATTTAAATAACAAATAAAAGTCAAACAGCACAGAGGGAGTAAAGCTCATATAATAAGACACAATTTCTTCCTCTTTAGAAATGAATGCAATCTGATATGAACAAGCCATTCAAATACTTAATAAGGTTCTGGAGAAGAAATAAATATACACCACATTGACAGCAAGCTTTGCATCTGTATTTTACATTAGATTCATTCTTTCATTAAACAAATAATTGTTGACCTCTGCATAGACAGGGCATTATGCTGCTGTGGGGCTATCATTATTTTTTTTAACTATGATATATTTTATTCACTACATTAGTCAGGGCTCTTTTGCTTGCCAGTGACAGAAACCCAATTCAAACTATCGATATTAAAAAATGTATATATTGGCTCACATACTTGAATAAGAATGTAACTTAAGAATAGATCTATCAAAATTATCAGAAATTTCCTCTGTCTCCTCACTGACTTTATTCTTAGACTGATTCTACCATTGTGTTGGCTAAATGGCCACCACCAGTTCCAACTTAGGACCTCAGTGAAAAGTCAGCGCTTTTCCAAGAGTCCCAGCTTAAGCCCCAGTGCTTTTGTCCATTGGCTGTAATTGATTCATTTTACGTTATGTGACTATTCTTAAACCAATTACTATGACTGAAAGGAACCAATATACTACTTTATCAAGTTCATGTCTGCCCCTGGAGCCAAGAGAGAAGTAAGCCTCATCCAAATGGCCAGCAATGAAATAGTGGACCAATGCTTCCTCAATTAAAAAGAGGGAATGGATACCTGAGAGGAAAAAAATAATACCTTCCCACTACAACTATACACAAGGAGCTACAGAATAGAGTAAGATATAAGTATGTAAACAACTATAATGTATCTCTTTGCCTCTGTCTCTCTGCTTCTCTATTTATCTATATCTGTCTACATTCACAGACACACACAGTGGTGCATATTAAATGTTTAGCTGGCTCTGCAGGGGAAAATAAGTTCTGATTTATACTGTTATCCAATCTCCATGGTGTAAATACTCTCATCATAGCTGATTTCATGTACCAATGTGATGTCACTGAACGTGGAATTGAGGAGATATATCCACACGTTCAGCTCTTCTCAGCCAGTATGAACTGTCTCCAGCATACCATTGCCATAATTAAAGATAAGGTGGGAGAAGTTTCAATCTAAGTGAACAGAAGTAGTATATGGTCTGACCCTTACAGGATGAGTAGAATTTTTGCAAACTGATTATATGTGTAGTATTATTAAAAATAATTACAGAGGCAGATCAAAGAATCAGAGTTGGAAAAATGAGAGATGTTTTATAGAACTCAAAATTGTTTTCAAATATTTAGTTTATATGAACTTGTGCCCCATATCAAGAGAGTTTGACATGGCATTTCACAGGGAAGGGGTAATTTTGGTGGGGAAGAATATTTCTATATTCTGAGGGTCCCATAAGAGTTTAGAATCCATTTAATTGCTTTACTTTTCAAAGTCATTGTTTTACTCTCAACCCTCTATTATCAGACCCGATTTATGTGTAACTGTGAATAAACTACAGCCACTTCAAATTCTTTTTAAAATGTCCTTTATCCCCAAGAGTAATGCACTGAGAGAAATATGTCATGTTCCTCATAGACTTAGATCTATGCCAGTAGAAACACCAAAGGGATGTTGCATAAACAAGTAATATAGACTTCTGGTTTCAGCTCTGACATATAAAGAGCTTGAAAGTCGTTACTCCTGTCCTTAAAAGAAAAAGTTGAAAGAACTAAAAAATCAATGATTTTTCTTAGACCCATCAGGAACTGAGGTTACAGGCAAGCCACCATCCAAAATCTGAAAAGAGAGAGATGAATCCAGAAAGTGACAGCCAGGATCTGCTTACCTGGAGCAGAAGCTACTGGATCCATAAACTGGCAGACAATCTTAAATGGTAATAGTGATGATTTACTGGCGACCGATGGTAGATTGGCATAAGAGTAAGAAACTCCTGGAGACTACAGTCTTAGGGCAGACCCATACTTTCTTGGATTTACCTTCAGAACCTCACCAGGTTCTCACAGTGAAGATCTAAAAAAGACATGCTGATGGCTCTGTCAGGGGGAGGGAAATAATAACCAATGTGAAAAAGGCCCAGAGTCTTCTCCTTAACGAAGGCCTACTCAATGAGGGAAAAGACTACCAGAGCCTTATCCCAGCTGGGGGAAGGATGGGAAGGGCATTCCTTACCTTTCTGCACACTCTAGCCTTTCTTTCTCATCTAAGGGGAAAATAAAGGCTATACAATGGCAACATAATTGTTAAAATCACAGATAAGAGACATAAGGCCACTAATTATATTACAGAATTCTTTTCTCTCCCCTATACCTTAGCACCACACCAGCACGGCTCCAGAATAACAATAGTGGATTATAGCTAAAGAGCTGTGGAGACCAAACTCTCTCTGATGAGGTGTGCACGGGAAAGCTCAAAGTCAAGAGAGGAGACAAAACAAGGACACTAGAGGAATTTGAAGGCCCTGAAACCCGTAGTGATGGCAAACAGCAAGCACAGCCCAATTCCTAGCTAGATTATCATAAGTCCTCACACTAAAGGCCTGTTTACCTCAGTTCCTATTCCTGATACAAACATGTCAGGCTTTCAAAGAAAAGTCACATGGCATGCCAAAAGCAAGAAAAAAAGACACAATCTGAAAAGACAAAGCAAGCATCAAAACAAAATTCAGAAATGACATATGTTGAAATAATCAGAAATGGAATTTAGAGTGATAACTGTGATTAATACGTTAAAAGCTCTACTGAAAAAAGTAGATAATATGTGAAAACAGATGCTTAACGTAAGCAGAGAGATGGCAACTCTAAGAAATAATCAAAGGGAAATGCTAGAAATCAATGACATTGTAATAGAATGAAGAATGCCTTTGATGGAATCACCAGTAGACTGGACATGGCCAAGTAAAGAACCAGGGAGCTTTGAAGGTAAGTGCAGAAGTGATACACTCAGGACTAGACTTAAGCAATGGACAGTTCAACTCTTGCTGAAAGCCCAAGAAGGCATCTGATATGGTTTGACTGTGTTCCCACTCAAATCTCACCTTCAGTTGTAATAAGCCCCATGTGTCAAGGGCATAGCTAGGTGGAGATAATCGAATTATGGGGTCAGTTTCCCCCATACTGTTCTCATGGTAGTGAATAAGTCTCACAAGATCTGATGGTTTTATAACTGGGAGTTTTCCTGCAAAAGTTCTCTTGCCTGCCACCATATAAGACATGACTTTGCTCCTCATTCGCCTTCTGCTGTGATTGTGAGCCCTCCCCAGCAATGTGGAACTGTGAGTCAATTCAACCTGTTTCCTTTATAAATTACCCAGTCTTGGGTATGTCTTTATTAGCAGTGTGAGAACAGACTAATACAGCATCCTTTACTACCCCGTAGTTTCAGGGTCCTCTTCTGATAAAAAGGGATAGTGGGATGGAGTAAGCAAAGTCAAATTTGACACTTTTTCTAGCACTCTTGAACTACATCAAGATTTGCCACTTTTTCTAGCCCTCTTGTACTACCTCAGTGTCTTTGCACTCCCTCTCCTTCCAACTCTCATACAGCATGATTTCTGGGTCTTAAATTAGGCATTTATAAAATTATACAAATAAAGCTACTTGCCATATTATCTCTCTTGGAGTGTATTTGCATTACAAGCTTTATCTAATTGTGTATTTAAGGCTTTGCTTCCTATGGAAGGAAGAGCAGACTCCAGGGAGGAGGTGGGAGATGGAGGGCCTTTTTCTTAACCCTGGAATCACATCTCTGCCCCATGCATAAGGCAGCCCTGTGGGGAATTGTTATGTGCATTGCTCTCGAGTAACAGGTGAGAATGGAGTTCCAAGAACAGCAGTATTAGGAAGGTGAGTAGTGGGAGGCTGCAGGATAAGGATTGGCCTAAGCCTTGGGGACTAAAGAGCCAAGGGGGTGGCCTAAGCCTTGGGGACTAAAGAGCCAAGCCTTCTGTGGTATCAGGACCACCTCCTTAAGTTGTTAAATCCCATGACCAGAAGAACCTGGAAAGAGTTTCAGGGGGACACCAGGTGAGAAAATCAAGCCCCGTGTGAAAAGGTCACAGAAATTTCCATCGTTCCACTGAGAAAAGGGATGGCAATAAGGATTTTTAACATCCGTGAGTAAAAAGAAAAAATTATGGGCAGTTGGTCCTTTGCCAGAGGACAGAATTCAGAAGACAGCTTTGGAACATAATGTGATAGATTCAGAGCACATATTGTTACACCTTTAAATAAGCTATCTGAAGGATAGTGGAAACAATCCAACTATGGATGGTTTTATTCTTTGTTTGTTTGTTTGTTTGTTTTTACACAGAGTCTCTCTCTGTCGCTCAGGCTGGAGTGCAGTGGTGCAATCTCTGCACTGCAACCTCTGCCTCCCAGGTTCAAGCGATCCTCCTGCCTCAGCCTCCCAAGTAGCTGGGACTACAGACACACACCACCACTCCTGGCTAATTTTTGTATTTTGAGTACAGACGAGGTTTCACCATGTTGGCAGGCTAGTCTCAAACTCCTGACTTCAAGTGATCCACCTGACTCAGCCTCCCAAAGCGCTGGGATTACAGGTTTCATCCTTTTCTGAAGGCCAGAAGAGATATTTAAAACAGATCCCAAACCTTGATTAGATGTAACCTGGCCTGCATTCTGCTAACAATTTGGTTTTATTTCACCAAGAAACTCTAGCAACTAATATGTTCATCTGTCAAATGCAAATAGAGCGAAACCTCTCTGCAAAACTATCTGCTACTGAGTCATTTTCATTAAGAAGCTAGTCCGTCTTATACCCCATCCAAAGAGTGCTTGATTCTTGACAAATCAAAACTACCACAATAATAACAGGCTCTTACCTATAAAGCAATCTCACAGCACATAACTCAAGGATAATGCCACGGTGTTCTTCCACTGGAAACATCCTACTGATGCAAGTGGAATCCCTGCTAGGAAGCACTGCCAAGTACTTTGAAAAGAGAAAATGGTTCTACTAGCTGATTCACTTTCTTGATGAGCTTCAACTACAGTATCTACTTTAGTGTGTTCAGAGAATCAGCATAAATGTATCCAGTAATCCTTAACAGTAAGTCTATTTTTTTATCTATTTATCTGTCTAATGTATTATAGATCCATTATGTTTCATCCAATGGCTTGCTTTCATGAGACTATGTTTGCCTTATTTTTTGTCAGTCTTTTAAAATTGTTTAAATTGGAGAGCCATTTTAGTTAACTTTCACGCAGAACCAAATAATTTTTCAAATTTAAAATGTTTTCTTTTTCTGTGCTACCCCCCCAAAAAATTATTGACCTTGAATCAATGTCTCTTAAACACATCTCTCTAGCCTCCTAGCTGTATTTTTTAAATCACAGATTCTGATAGAGCAGATACTTTTAGAAGTTTTAAGATTCTTAGACTTGGTTCCACAAAATCCATTCAACTCTTGCCCTTCCACTCTAATGAGAATAATATATCAAAAGGACAGCAAATGAGAAATCGGATTATTAAACCTCAACATGAAACAAAAGATATGGTATGAAATATTTATAAGCAGAACAAAGAGCATTGATGGGAACAGAAGATGATGAGGATGATGTCTAAAATTATTAATGTTACAGAAACCATCCAGGAAAATTAACTGAATGATTGCTCTCCATTGCTATGAGTGAATGATAGTGGTAGCTGAAGGAGATTACAGGTAAATGTGGTTTTATTTACCATAATTTTAAAGGTAGTTTCAAAGTCATTGCCCATAATAAACTACTCATGCTTTGGGGATACACAGAGACTGAGATACATGTTACATTTGTTCAGAACACTTAAATGGGAATGTTCCCCTTACTTAGTAGTGCAAATCTGGCAGGTGTAACCAATATAAGGTGTAACCAGTATCTTCAGTAACTAGATACTGACTGACTTAAAACCTACACTTCACCCTCCCTCACCCCTCCTATGCAGCCATCACCAAGTCCTAAAAATCTCATGAATCCATTCCTTCTTTCCATTTCCACTATCACTAACAAGAGAAATCCTGGCTACCATCGTCTTTAACCTGCATTACTGCAATGGTTTCCTGACTGGTTGCCTATAAGTGGTTCTTACTACCATCTAACAGCAGCCAAGTGCTCATCTTAAAATGCTCATCTTATTACATTCACTTTTTTCTTAAAATATATCAATATTTTCCTGTTGTTTTTAGCATAAAGACAAATTGCCTATGACTCCTTGAGTGATCTGGCCCCAATCTACATCTCCAGCCTCACTTTGCATCATTTTGCCTCCTCTCACTCTCTCTTATCCAGCCACACTGCCCCTCTTTGAACCCCATGTTCATGTCATGCTCACTCCCAGCACAGGACCTTTGCACAGACCATTCTCCTCTCCTAGGAAGCTAATTTGCCCACCTTCAGCTAGTTAATATCTACATATTTTCAGCTCTCAGTGATGTCATATGCATAAAATATTATGAAAACAATAGAGGAGGCACACAACCCATTCCAGATGGAAATCAAAGACTTTCTAAAAGTCCTGGGCCTCTAGTCTGATTCATACTGGAGCTGAGTAAGGTGAAGAGGGAAGGAACAGCATTCCTGGCAAGGGAACAATAGAGCCAGTGGAACAGAGAAATTAGTACTGTCGGAGCCAAAACTAGCAGGAGAGGTTGAAGGGAGATAAAGTTGTAGAAGTAGAGGGCTACTTACATAGAGCTAAAAGTCTATGGAAGAACTTTAGAGGGTTTGAGGAAAGGGCAAAAGAATATTAGATTTGCTTTGAGCGATTTTCCCATAGTCACCGGGTGGTTAACAGTATTTGGACTAAGATCTCATTTTTCTAACACTCAGACCAAATGTCATTCACCAAACTCAGTACATCAGAATAACCTAGGGATTGTTAAATGCAGATTGCTGGACCTCACTACTGGAGTTTCTGATTCACTGTGTTTGGGACAGGGCCCAAGAATTTACATTTTTAACAAGTTTCCAGGTAATACTAAAGCTCCTAGTCCAAAGACTACACTTTGATAATCACTGCACTAAATGTTATAACTTGATAACTGAAATATAAAGCCATTCAAAGAGATTTAACTCTAAAAAGAATAAGAAAGAAAAACTGAGGCACAGAAATGCCAAAACAATGGAAAACCTAAGAGCATTTTTTTTCTTAGCAGTAAACATAACTTTAGGCTGCAAATTAACTAATCTCCTTAAATCTCATTTTCTTACCTGTAAAACAAGATCATCAAGTGAAATGAGCACTATAGTTCCTTCCAGTTCTAAAGGTTTACAATCCTATGATTTAGCTTCTTATTTATATTTTGCTAAGGTTTTTTTTATTAAGTTACTTGTTATTCCATAAGTATACATGTGGGTAAAAATGAGAAGAAGAAAACAGACTGAGACTTTTGGGAAATAAGAGTTAAACCAAGAATTCTAACAAAAAGAGGCTGAATCATCAAGTTAATCACATATACCTATGAAAGATGGTTATCAATAAAATATCAACAAGAAGAAATTATGCAGTTTGCTAAAATTCCTGAACTTTTAAACATCTAACAACTCAATTTTTAAAAAATTTTAGATTTGGGCCGTACATGTGCAAGTTTGTTACATGGGTATATGGCATGATGCTGAAGTTTGGAGTTGTAATGATCCTGTCATCCAAGTAGTGAGCATAGTACCCCATAGGTAGTTTTCCAACACTTGCCTGTCTCCTTCCCTCCCCTGTTTTGGAATCCCCAGTGTCTATCGTTCCCATCTTTGTCAGTTATTCCCAATGTTTAGCTCCCACTTTTCTGTTTCTGCATTAATTCGCTTAGGATAATGGCCACCAGCTGCATCCACGTTGCTGAAAACAACATGATTTCGTTTTTGTTTTTGTTTTCTTATAGCTGCACAGTATTCCATGGTGTATATGTACCACATTTTCTTTATTCAGTTCACCATTGATGGGCACCTGGGCTTATTCCATGTCGTTGCTGTCATGAATAGTGCTGCAATAAACATACAAGTTTAGGTGTCTTTTTGGTAGAATGATTTATTTTCTTTTGGATATATACCCAGTAATGGAATTGCTGGGTTAAATGCTAATTATATTTTTAGTTCTTTGACAACTGATTTTTTAAAGCATCTTTCTAAATGGGTGTTTTTATCTGAAACATAACCCAGGTGTTATTTTCTCTTTACCAAACATCTCAAACTATACTTCTTTGCCAGAAATGCCATCTTATTAGCTAAGATTCCCATGGTGAGACAAATTTTAAAGAACCATCCAAATAGTAAATAGTGTCCAGAATCTATGTAATATTCATGAGGGACCATTTTCTTTCCAAATGAAACATCAAAAAATGTTTTAATAAGATTTTACATAGTTCCAATTTTCTTTTTTTGACCAAATGCCATGCTTTTTCGATTAATCCTTTAAGACCACCAGATTGTTATATTTTTATTTTTTACTGATTAGATATTGGGAATTAAATAGTATCTGATATTTTCCCTGTAGGTATTGATTCTCTTTTCGATTAATGCCCTCTAAATAACTGTCTTTGTTGTTCATATTAAATTGACAGCTAGATTCTAAACAAGTGCTATTAACTTTGTCATAACCCTAAAATTAGGAGAAATTAATAATGGGTTGGGGGCAGGGTTGGGGATACAAAAGATGGACAGCAGCGACTCTAAGAAATATGGCATTGAAATTAGGACTAATTCACAACTTCAGGGGGGTCTACTTTTCTGGCAATGAAAAAGACTTGTTAATTAATTGCTCTCTTCTATCTGTCATGTACCTGTCTTTAATTTGACCCCTCTATTTAATAAGAATTCTTTGCTCTTTTCAAAGGCTTTCTCTCAAAGTGCACTTCTTATGTTCCCTTTGGCCCACAAATGGCCACCTTTTTCACAATTACGTACTCTTGAAGATACCTGATGATGAGGATGAAATTCCAGCTCTTTGTGGAGGTTTTTACAGATTACAAAGTGACAGAATCCTACCTCAAACTTGGTTACATAAAATAGAATAATTTGTTGGAAGGACACCAGGATACTTCTCAGAAATGAAGGAAAAGCTGCAGGATCAGGGAAACTCAGAAGAACTTAGTGACTGTCACCAGAGGCCCAAGCACAGCTTGTTTTCTCTTCCTTCCTCTTTTTTCTGAGTTCTTCTTTGTGTACCTTCATCCAGTTATACTGCAGGAAGGCTTTCACCATACTGGACCTAGACTGGCCCTGGCAGGGTCATGTACCATCTCTTGGCCCAATCACTTTAGCAAAAGTAACATAATATTATAAGTCCAACCTAGGCCACATCCCATTATTATGCCAATTAAAATGTCCAAAGGGGAAGTGCCTTGCCTGGTAACTTTCCGGTTATATTGGGAGGAAAAGTCAAAGAAAGGTTTGTTTGTTCCCAAACAAATAAAACAATATTTCCATTACTATTGCAGTGTAACCAACCACTCCAAATTTAGTGACATAAAACCACCATTATATTTTCTGTACCCAAGAGTAGTACATGTGATGTATTTCTGGAAGAGCATATTTGAAACTAATTCCATTCAAGAAAATCAAGAATATTTTTTAAAATTAGGTATCCCTTATTATAAAAGCAACTTTAATAAAGACTGTGCATAGCAATATACCTGTAGATTTGATACCTCAACTTACAGCCAAAGTTTCACCTTTAAGTCAAAACTGCAAAGGATATATTGATGCTATTAATAAAAATAATAAACAACAAAGAGTATAACACTAAGGGAATTGATAGCTGCCTAGGAGGTGTTAACAGAGTATGGTAAACCCAAGGACAATGAAGCCCAACTGCACATTCATTACTTTAACATGTTCAGCAATGAGGTAAGATAGTCAATTATTAATGGTAGCACTGAGACCAAGGGCCTAACAATGCCTTTATGGTTATTAAATGTTATTTGGCGTTTGTTATCTCAAATTGCTTTTGTGTTGCTTGCTTATGACCTTCCTATTGCTCTTTTGGGGGTGCTAAATAGTCAAGCATTTCTAAAGAATTGTTTTCTAATCATCTGAATGGAGGAAACTCTTCAGGTACCTATCTGAACATAATTTTCTTTGTGGTTCACAAAATGATATTAAAAGATAGATCAGCCTACAAAAAGACAAATCATTCCAATTTACCTTTTAATGATCCAATATGAGGAACTGTATTTTTATTTGCCTACTAAAGACTTGCTGTCATTTCACTAGTATTTTATTGATGGCAATTAGATAATGTCATTTATGTCCCACAATACTAAAATAATGCACTGTTACTAAGCTTTTCATTTTCGAATGGCCTTCCTTAACCTTCATCCTTCAGTACTCATTTAGTACATTGCATACATTAATAAATTCTCAAACATTGCTCTGATTTTTACACTTACTGTCATTTGGTGCTATTTCATTTAGAAGAAACACAACACTGGAACAATGTAAAGCACACCAGCCCAAGTAACAACTGACCATCTTTCAAGTCCTCTCTTTGTTTGGGTTACATTAAGAGCAGTAAAAAGAGAAAATTCTAGATGGAAAGGAAAGCATGTTGTTCAAAGCCAAGACAGACAAAAGACAGGTTGTCTTTTTTTATTTCCATCCTTAACCTTGGCAAAATAAGAGAGATTGTCTTTTTTCTTAACCTAGGACATGGGTCCTCTGGCAAGGAAGAGCACAGAGGGCAGCAGTTATTTCTGAGAACAGATGTAGAGATAGAAGTGTTTGTCCTCCTATCACAAATACCCACTGTGTCCTAATTATACATCTGCCAGGATGAATTAAAGGTAAGAGGACTTGAATGCCTTTCTGTATTTTGCCTTATCAAGAATGATAAACAGTGTCAAGACAGAAGTTAGGACTCACTCTCAGGAGTAATACAACAATTTAAGGATTTTGAGAATGCCAAATATTAAAAATCAGTGTTAATAATAAGCAGCTAACATTTTTTGAGCACTTACCATGTGCCAAACACTGTTTTAAATACTTTACTTAGATCCCCTATAAGCCTCAACACAAACATAAGTGCTATTGTTATTCCCATTTTTCAGATGCAGAAACTGAGACACCAACAGATTCAATCACTTGCCCAAGGATACACTTGGAAAATGATGAAGACAATGACAATTGAAAAGAAATGTTACAGAGAAGGGAGAAAAAAGAAGAAAGTGAGTAATCAGAATTTTATCAGATATCAGCTTTGGCTCTTTTAGTAGGTAGTAAATATGGATTTTCTGGAAGAGAAGTATTATCTTGTGCCCAAATAATAGTAATGTTTGAAAAACAACAGATATGAGGACTCTTGTTACTAACAAATAGTGACCATTTATTGGTATCTTCTATCTACACAGCTATGTGCATACACATGCACATTTAATCTGCAACAGTCGTTTGAGAAAAAGAGTATGAGGTCAATGAAGCTCAGAGTTGCTGGGAAATCATTGAAAGTATGCTAAGTCTCATTCTTCCTGCAGATTCCTGTGGGGATATATGACACCCACAGAAAGGAACTGGAAATTGTCTCCAGTGATTATAAAGTCCTGGAAGGAAATCTAAGACTTGAGACATTGATGGACTTTAATCTAGCCTTCCAAACAAAGTTTGGGATTTTAGTAGAGAAAATCCATGGTGAATTTAATGGCTACATACATAACTGATATCAAATAATGAGATTTGATTTCTAGAAAACAGTTAAAGTTTCTTTAGTGTTAGAAACACTGTTGAAAGAGTTGTTAGAAAGAGATGAGTACTCCAAGAATGTGTTTGCCAAATGATTTGTAGATCTGATCAAAATGGTATTAAACTCAAAATTGAAAAGAGAAAAGTTTACCATTATAAAACTAGAAACTATCTAGATGATTCAATATTGGAATACTCTGCACCTAGTGGGGAAAGCAGCTTTTCCATAAAGAAAGCCCTTCCTAGAATTTTTTGAATTTCAAAAACTTCTAGATTGAAAAAATGGAAAAAAGTATGATAGTCTCTTGCAAGAATTAAACCTTAGGATTCAACATAGAAGCATTATTGATTAGAAGCAATCCACTAAAGTAAAATCTAAAGCAGGAGCAGGAAATGCTGACATGCAGAGTCCAAAGGTAAGGTTGACATATCCAGAAGCTGAATTAGGAGCACTAAAGAAAAAGCAATCACAATCCATCATTTTTTTGTAGCTATCACCATGTTAGAAGTGTATGTTCATCATTCTGTATGCAGCTAATGGTGAGTCATTCTTGCAAATAAAATAAATATTCATACTATATAAGCATATGTACATTACATAAATTATATGCATACTGTTCCAGGAAATAACAGGTTTGGAAGCAAATAAGTCTGTAAATTGGCAATTTTGGCATGCAGTTCTGTATAGAACTAGAAGATCCAAAATTTTAATTGTTGAAATGCTATTCAATTGCTACTTTAATTGTTCAAAATGCTCCTATTTACTTGCATATCCCTGAGAGTATGAATATTCACAATAGACTGTAGTTCTTCATAAATGCTATAATTTCAATGTTTCTTATTTATTAACCATATTTTTGATACCAATAATGAGTAAGCAGTGCGAAGAATGTTAATCTTTAATAATAACTTCCAATTGCAAAAATTCCTAGGAATTCTGAAATCTTTTTCTCAAATCCTGAAGATAAATATCTGTTGGAATTTGAAAACACTAGGAGAAAGTCTAGAATGGCAATTTAAAAAAATACTGAGTGTCATGACTACACAAACATGTAGTATATAATAATTCACTTCTACTATCACTTATCTCTATTTGAACTACTAGGTCATTTTATTTGTATAGTGGACTTCATTGGAGCCTTTTAAAATGGTTTTGGTCCATAGAAGTTAGGCCAATGCTCACGTTAAGTTGGGATTTTACCAAACAAAGATAATTATAAATTTTTATCATCACTGATAATTTGTGGGAATAAACTCATGTCTAGAATATTATACACATTGTTTAAAAGAAATGATCTTATTAGAAAGGAGGTTAAGAGGCATTATGCATCAAAATAACAAAAACTTGAAAGAAAATCAATAAACTTAAAAGTAGAGACATATAATATACTTTTGTAGGGACAAAAGAATAAATAAATATAAGCCAAACACTGTGGTAATTTATTATACACCACCCAGTTGGTATGAAAATGAATGGTACTTCCTGAAGACAGTTTCTAAAAATGATATAAAGAGAAGATAAAATAATAAACAGTTGCACTTATCTGGAAATTCCTTCAAAGTTTTATTTCTGTACAGTGCCTGAGTATAACAATAAATACTTGTTAAATGAGTGACGTAAGCGAATTTTGTTTAAAAAAAAAGCTATCTTTAACCGTTCTGAACCTTGTTTTGCTAATTCTTTTATTTCTCTAAAGTTAGAAGAAACAAACTGTAGAAAATGGATTTGTACCATCTCTTTAGTTTTTTAACTATTTTTAACAACTTTATTGAGATGTTATTGACATACAATAGACTGCACATATATAAAGCATACAATTTGATAAGTTTTGACATATGTACACCCATGCAACTATCACCGCAACCTAGATAAATGAACACGTCCAATAGTTCCAAACTCCTCATACTCCTTTGTGATTCTTCTCTTCCACTCCTCCTGACACCCTTCCGCATTCTGACAAATACTGATGTGCTTTTCTGTCACAAATATTAGTATGAATTTAATAGAATTTTATACAAATTGAGTCATATAGTATTATTCTTTTTTTTTTTTTTTTTTTTTTTTTTTGAGACGGAGTCTCACTCTGTCACCTGGGCTGGAGTGCAATGGCGCAACCTCAGCTCATTGCAACCTCTTGGGTTCAAGTGATTCTCCTGCTTCAGCCTCCTGAGTAGCTGGGATTACAGGTACCTGCCACTACGCCCAACTAATTTTTGTATTTTTAGTAGAGAAAATGTTTCACCATGTTGGTCAGGCTGGTCTCAAACTCCTGACCTCGTGATCTGCCAGCCACAGCCTCCCAAAGCACCGGGATCACAGGCGTGAGCCACCACGCCCGGCGAGTATTCTTTTATATCTGGATTATTTCACTCAGCATAATTATTTTGAGATCCACTAATGTTGTGTGTGTCAATGGTTCATTGTTTTAAATTGCAGGATAGTAGTCCAGTATACGGATATACCATGGCTTGTTTATTCATTCACTTGTTCATAGACAGATACTTTGGCTGCTTCTAGTTTGGGGCTATTACAAATAAAGGTGATATGAACATTTATTTCAAGTTTTTGTATTGATACATTTTCATTTCTATTGATTGAATATCAAAATGTAGAATGGCTGAATCATATGGCTCATACGTGTTTAACTTTTCATAAAACTGTCAATTTGTTTTCCCAATTGGTTATATTATTTTACACTAAAACTAGATGTATCAGCGTTGCAGTTTCTCCACATTCTCACCAACATTTGGTATGGTCAGTCTTTTCACTTTTAACCATTCCAATAGGTGTATAGTGGTTATAATTGCATTTCCCCAGTGACTAATGATGTTGAACATCTTCTTATGTGCTTATTTGTCATTTGTGTATCTTTTTCGGTGAAGTGTCTTCAAATAATTTGCCCAGTTTTTTGTAGGGGTTTGTTTTCTTATTTTTGAATTTTGAGAGTTCTTTATATATTCTGTGTAAAAATCCTTTGTAAGATTTGCAAATATTTTCTCCCAGTCTGTGGCTTGTCCTTTTATTCTCTTAACGATGAGTTTAACCATGCTTTTTATTCTCTTTATTCTCTTAACAGAGCAGAAGTTTTTAACTTTGAAGTTTTTTTTTTTTTTTTTATACTTTAAGTTTTAGGGTACATGTGCACATTGTGCAGGTTAGTTACATATGTATACATGTGCCATGCTGGTGCGCTGCACCCACTAACTCGTCATCTAGCATTAGGTATATCTCCCGATGCTATCCCTCCCCCCTCCCCCCACCCCACAACAGTCCCCAGAGTGTAATATTCCCCTTCCTGTGTCCCTGTGATCTCATTGTTCAATTCCAACCTATGAGTGAGAATATGCAGTGTTTGGTTTTTTGTTCTTCCGATAGTTTACTGAGAATGATGATTTCCAATTTTATCCATATCCCTACAAAGGACATGAACTCATCATTTTTTATGGCTGCATAGTATTCCATGGTGTATATGTGCCACATTTTCTGAATCCAGTCTATCATTGTTGGACATTTGGGTTGGTTCCAAGTCTTTGCTATTGTGAATAATGCCGCAATAAACATACGTGTGCATGTGTCTTTATAGAAGCATGATTTATAGTCCTCTGGGTATATACCCAGTAATGGGATGGCTGGGTCAAATGGTATTTCCAGTTCTAGATCCCTGAGGAATCGCCACACTGACTTCCACAATGGTTGAACTAGTTTACAGTCCCACCAACAGTGTAAAAGTGTTCCTATTTCTCCACATCCTCTCCAGCACCTGTTGTTTCCTGACTTTTTAATGATTGCCATTCTAACTGGTGTCAGATGGTATCTCACTGTGGTTTTAATTTGCATTTCTCTGATGGCCAGTGATGATGAGCATTTTTTCATGTGTTTTTTGGCTGCATAAATGTCTTCTTTTGAGAAGTGTCTGTTCATGTCCTTTGCCCACTTTTTGATGGGGTTGTTTGTTTTTTTCTTGTAAATTTGTTTGAGTTCATTGTAGATTCTGGATATTAGCCCTTTGTCAGATGAGTAGGTTGCAAAAATTTTCTCCCATTTTGTAGGTTGCCTGTTTACTCTGATGGTAGTTTCTTTTGCTGTGCAGAAGCTCTTTAGTTTAATTAGATCCCATTTGTCAATTTTGTCTTTTGTTGCCATTGCTTTTGGTGTTTTAGACATGAAGTCCTTGCCCATGCCTATGTCCTGAATGGTAATCCCTAGGTTTTCTTCTAGGGTTTTTATGGTTTTAGGTCTAACATTTAAGTCCTTAATCCATCTTGAATGAATTTTTGTATAAGGTGTAAGGAAGGGATCCAGTTTCAGCTTTCTACATATGGCTAGCCAGTTTTCCCAGCACCATTTATTAAATAGGGAATCCTTTCCCCATTGCTTGTTTTTCTCAGGTTTGTCAAAGATCAGATAGTTGTAGATATGTGGCATTATTTCTGAGGGCTCTGTTCTGTTGCATTGATCTATATCTCTGTTTTGGTACCAGTACCATGCTGTTTTGGTTACTGTAGCCTTGTAGTATAGTTTGAAGTCAGGTAGTGTGATGCCTCCAGCTTTGCTCTTTTGGCTTAGGATTGACTTGGTGATGCGGGCTCTTTTTTGGTTCCATATGAACTTTAAAGTAGTTTTTTCCAATTCTGCGAAGAAAGTCATTGGTAGCTTGATGGAGATGGCATTGAATCTGTAAATTACCTTGGGCAGTATGGCCATTTTCATGATATTGATTCTTCCTACCCATGAGAATGCAATGTTCTTCCATTTGTTTGTATCCTCTTTTATTTCCTTGAGCAGTGGTTTGTAGTTCTCCTTGAAGAGGTCCTTCATATCCCTTGTAAGTTGGATTCCTAGGTATTTTATTCTCTTTGAAGCAATTGTGAATGGGAGTTCACTCATGATTTGGCTCTCTGTTTGTCTGTTGTTGGTGTATAAGAATGCTTGTGATTTTTGTACATTGATTTTGTATCCTGAGACTTTGCTGAAGTTGCTTATCAGCTTAAGGAGATTTTGGGCTGAGATGATGGGGTTTTCTAGATATACAATCATGTCGTCTGCAAACAGGGACAATTTGACTTCCTCTTTTCCTAATTGAATACCCTTTATTTCCTTCTCCTGCCTAATTGCCCTGGCCAGAACTTCCAACACTATGTTGAATAGGAGTGGTGAGAGAGGGCATCCCTGTCTTGTGCCAGTTTTCAAAGGGAATGCTTCCAGTTTTTGCCCATTCAGTATGATATTGGCTGTGGGTTTGTCACAGATAGCTCTTATTATTTTGAAATACGTCCCATCAATGCCTAATTTATTGAGAGTTTTTAGCATGAAGGGTTGTTGAATTTTGTCAAAGGCTTTTTCTGCATCTATTGAGATAATCATGTGGTTTTTGTCTTTGGTTCTGTTTATATGCTGGATTACATTTACTGATTTGCATATATTGAACCAGCCTTGCATCCCAGGGATGAAGCCCACTTGATCATGGTGGATAAGCTTTTTGATGTGCTGCTGGATTCGGTTTGCCAGTATTTTATTGAGGATTTTTGCATCAATGTTCATCAAGGATATTGGTCTAAAATTCTCTTTTTTGGTTGTGTCTCTGCCTGGCTTTGGTATCACAATGATGCTGGCCTCATAAAATGAGTTAGGGAGGATTCTCTCTTTTTCTATTGATTGGAATAGTTTCAGAAGGAATGGTACCAGTTCCT
Source organism: Homo sapiens (assembly GCF_000001405.40). Taxonomy (NCBI): domain Eukaryota; kingdom Metazoa; phylum Chordata; class Mammalia; order Primates; family Hominidae; genus Homo; species Homo sapiens. The sequence continues at coordinate 64,131,682 of NC_000005.10, forward strand.
CCTTGTACCTCTGGTAGAATTCGGCTGTGAATCCGACTGGTCCTGGACTCTTTTTTGTTGGTAAGCTATTGATTATTGCCACAATTTCAGCTCCTGTTATTGGTCTATTCAGAGATTCAACTTCTTCCTGGTTTAGTCTTGGGAGAGCGTATGTGTCTAGGAATTTATCCATTTCTTCTAGATTTTCTAGTTTATTTGCGTAGAGGTGTTTGTAGTATTCTCTGATGGTAGTTTGTATTTCTGTGGGATTGGTGGTGATATCCCCTTTATCATTTTTTATTGCGTCTATTTGATTCTTCTCTCTTTTTTTCTTTATTAGTCTTGCTAGTAGTCTATCAATTTTGTTGATCCTTTCAAAAAACCAGCTCATGGATTCATTAATTTTTTGAAGGGTTTTTTGTGTCTCTATTTCCTTCAGTTCTGCTCTGATTTTAGTTATTTCTTGCCTTCTGCTAGCTTTTGAATGTGTTTGCTCTTGCTTTTCTAGTTCTTTTAATTGTGATGTTAGGGTGTCAATTTTGGATCTTTCCTGCTTTCTCTTGTGGGCATTTAGTGCTATAAATTTCCCTCTACACACTGCTTTGAATGCGTCCCAGAGATTCTGGTATGTTGTGTCTTTGTTCTCGTTGGTTTCAAAGAACATCTTTATTTCTGCCTTCATTTCGTTATGTACCTAGTAGTCATTCAGGAGCAGGTTGTTCAGTTTCCATGTAGTTGAGCGGTTTTGAGTGAGATTCTTAATCCTGAGTTCTAGTTTGATTGCACTGTGGTCTGAGAGATAGTTTGTTATAATTTCTGTTCTTTTACATTTGCTGAGGAGAGCTTTACTTCCCAGCATGTGGTCAATTTTGGAATAGGTGTGGTGTGGTGCTGAAAAAAATGTATATTCTGTTGATTTGGGGTGGAGAGTTCTGTAGATGTCTATTAGGTCCACTTGGTGCAGAGCTGAGTTCAATTCCTGGGTATCCTTGTTGACTTTCTGTCTCGTTGATCTGTCTAATGTTGACAGTGGGGTGTTAAAGTCTCCCATTATTAATGTGTGGGAATCTAAGTCTCTTTGTAGGTCACTCAGGACTTGCTTTATGAATCTTGGTGCTCCTGTATTGGGTGCATATATATTTAGGATAGTTAGCTCTTCTTGTTGAATTGATCCCTTTACCATTATGTAATGGCCTTCTTTGTCTCTTTTGATCTTTGTTGGTTTAAAGTCTGTTTTATCAGAGACTAGGATTGCAACCCCTGCCTTTTTTTTGTTTTCCATTTGCTAGGTAGATCTTCCTCCATCCTTTTATTTTGAGGCTATGTGTGTCTCTGCACGTGAGATGGGTTTGCTGAATACAGCACACTGATGGGTCTTGACTCTTTATCCAATTTGCGAGTCTGTGTGTTTTAATTGGAGCATTTAGTCCATTGACATTTAAAGTTAATATTGTTATGTCTGAATTTGATCCTGTCATTATGATGTTAGCTGGTTATTTTGCTCGTTAGTTGATGCAGTTTCTTCCTAGCCTCGATGGTCTTTACATTTTGGCATGATTTTGCAGCAGCTGGTACTGGTTGTTCCTTTCCATGTTTAGTGCTTCCTTCAGGAGCTGTTTTAGGGCAGGCCTGGTGGTGACAAAATCTCTCAGCATTTGCTTGTCTGTAAAGGATTTTATATCTCCTTCACTTATGAAGCTTAGTTTGGCTGGATATGAAATTCTGGGTTGAAAATTCTTTTCTTTAAGAATGTTGAATATTGGCCCCCACTCTCTTCTGGCTTGTAGGGTTTCTGCCAAGAGATCCGCTGTTAGTCTGATGGGCTTCCCTTTGAGGGTAACCCGACCTTTCTCTCTGGCTGCCCTTAACATTTTTTCCTTCATTTCAACTTTGGTGAATCTGACAATTATGTGTCTTGGAGTTGTTCCTCTCAAGGAGTATCTTTGTGGCGTTCTCTGTGTTTCCTGAATCTGAACGTTGGCCTGCCTTGCTAGATTGGGGAAGTTCTCCTGGATAATATCCTGCAGAGTGTTTTCCAACTTGGTTCCATTCTCCCCATCACTTTCAGGTACACCAATCAGACGTAGATTGGGTCTTTTCACATAGTCCTATATTTCTTGGAGGCTTTGCTCATTTCTTTTTATTCTTTTTTCTCTAAACTTCCCTTCTCGCTCCATTTCGTTCATTTCATCTTCCATCGCTGATACCCTTTCTTCCAGTTGATCGCATCAGCTGCTGAGGCTTCTGCATTCTTCATATAGTTCTCGAGCCTTGGTTTTCAGCTCCATCAGCTCCTTTAAGCACTTCTCTGTATTGGTTATTCTAGTTATACATTCTTCTAAATTTTTTTCAAAGTTTTCAACTTCTTTGCCTTTGCTCTGAATGTCCTCCCGTAGCTCAGAGTAATTTGATCGTCTGAAGCCTTCTTCTCTCAGCTCGTCAAAGTCATTCTCCATCCAACTTTGTTCCATTGCTGGTGAGGAACTGCGTTCCTTTGGAGGAGCAGAGGCGCTCTGCTTTTTAGAGTTTCCAGTTTTTCTGTTCTGTTTTTTTCCCATCTTTGTGCTTTTATCTACTTTTGGTCTTTGATGATGGTGATGTACAGATGGGTTTTTGGTGTGGATGTCCTTTCTGTTTGTTAGTTTTCCTTCTAACAGAGAGGACCCTCAGCTGCAGGTCTGTTGGAGTACCCTGCCGTGTGAGGTGTCAGTGTGCCCCTGCTCGGGCGTGACACCCAGTTAGGCTGCTCGGGGGTCAGGGGTCAGGGACCCACTTGAGGAGGCAGTCTGCCCGGTCTCAGATCTCCAGCTGCGTGCTGGGAGAACCACTGTTCTCTTCAAAGCTGTCAGACAGGGACATTTAAGTCTGCAGAGGTTACTGCTGTCTTTTTGTTTGTCTGTGCCCTGCCCCCAGAGGTGGAGCCTACAGAGGCAGGCAGGCCTCCTTGAGCTGTGGTGGGCTCCACCCAGTTTGAGCTTCCTGGCTGCTTTGTTTACCTAATCAAGGCTGGGCAATGGCGGGTGCCCCTCCCCCAGCCTCGCTGCCACCTTGCAGTTTGATCTCAGACTGCTGTGCTAGCAATCAGGGAGACTCCGTGGGCATAGGACCCCCAGAGCCAGGTGCGGGATATAATCTTGTGGTGCGCCCTTTTTTTAAGCCCGTCGGAAAAGCGCAGTATTCGGGTGGGAGTGACCCGATTTTCCAGGTGCTGTCTGTCACCCCTTTCTTTGACTCAGAAAGGGAACTCCCTGACCCCTTGCGCTTCCCAAGTGAGGCAATGCCTCGCCCTGCTTCGGCTCGCGCACGGTGCGCGCACCCACTGACCTGCGCCCACTGTCTGGCACTCCCTAGTGAGATGAACCCGGTACCTCAGATGGAAATGCAGAAATCACCCGTCTTCTGCGTCGCTCAGGCTGGGAGCTGTAGACCGGAGTTGTTACTATTCGGCCATCTTGGCTCCTCCCTTAACTTTGAAGTTCTATTTATCAATGCATTCTTATATTGATTGATCTTTTCATGTTGTGTCTAAGAAATCTTTGCCTAACCCAGGTTAAAATACTCTATAAGTTTCAGAATTTTAGGATATAAATCTGCACTAGTTAGGGGTTCTCCAAAGAAACAGAACCAATTATAGATATTATTTGTATATATACATATAATTGTACCTATACATATACAATAATCTTGTATACATATAATTGATATGCAATTCTATGTATATATACATATATGTATACATATACCTACACACATATACATATACAATTATATATATACACACACACCTATATATCTATATGTATATATAGAGAGAGAAAGAGCGAGAGAGAACCAGGAAGCCAGTGGTGTGATTCAACTTGAGTTTGAAGGTTTGGTGGTTGGGGATGGTGGGGAGGGTGATGGTGTAAGTCCTGGTCCTAGTTCAAAGGCTCAAGAATGAGAAGCCCCATGTTTGAAAGCAGAAAAAGATGAATGCTCAACTCAAAGAGAAGAGAGTAAATGTACCTTTCCTCTGTCTTTTTGTTCTATTCAAGTCCACAACAGATTGGCTAATGCTCACTCAAATTAGTGAGGGTGATCTTCATTCAGTCTACCAATTCAAATGCCAACTTCTTTCAGAAATACCCTCACAGACACACCCAGAAATAATGTTTTACTAACTATCTGGTCATCCTTTAGCCTAGTCAAGTTGACACATAAAATTAGCCATCACCATATTTCCATCATCCTAGGTAAACATCAAAGCTTATTTTTTAATACATTGCTATCCAATTGTTCTAGCACCATTTGTTTAAAAATAACTATCCATTCTCCATTAAATTGTCTTTGCACCTTTGTTTAAAATGAGTTTCCCATTCCAGTGTAGGTCTATCTCTAAACTCTCTATTCTACCTCAGTGATCTATCTTCCTGTCTTTACAGTGTTATTACATTGTCTTAATTACTGTAATTTTAAAATAAGTCTTGAAACAAGGTGGTATTAGTCCTCCAATTTGTTCAGTTTTCAAAGTTGATTTAGCTATTCTAGGAACTTTTCATTTTCATGTGAATTTTAGAATCTGTATGTAAATTTCTTTTTTAAAAAAGTGTGACTGAGATTGCACTAAAACTGTAGATCAATTAATTTTGGGAGAAATGAGTGTTAACAATTTTGAGATTTCTGCTTCATGAATATTTATTTATTCAAGTCTTCTTAAATTTTTCTCAGCAATGATTTGTAATCTTCAGTATATAAGTCTTCCTGCAATGAATAATCTACTGTCATCCAATCCAGTGTGTGTGTATGTGTGTGTGTGTGTGTGTGTGTGTGTGTGTGTATTTCAAACACTACAGTGAAATAAATAAATATATATATATATTATTTCAAACACTGTAGTTTACATCTCTAGAAGTTAGATTTTGGTCTTTTGAAAATGTTCCATCTTTGTACTTAACTTTTCAATCCAGTTATAATAACTATTTTAGTGTCCTTGTTTGCTAATTATTGTTTGCTAACAATTTTTTTAGTCCCTGTTGATTGATTTATATCTCCATTATGTGTTGTATTTTTCTACTTTTTTACATACTAGGTAATTTTTGCCTGAATCCCAAACATTGTGAATTTTTTTTGTTGGGTACTTTTGATATTTTTGTTTTTTGTTGTTATTGTTTTTGTTTGTTTGTTTGTGTGTGTGTGTGTATTTTGAGACAGAGTCTTGCTGTATCGCCCAGGCTGGAGTGCAGTGGCGTGATCTTGGCTCAGTGCAAGCTCCACCACCCGGGTCCACTTCCCTAGTAGCTGGGACTACAGGCGCCCACCACCATGCCCGGCTAATTTCTTATTGTATTTTTAGTAGAGACGGGGTTTCACCGTGTTAGCCAGGAAGGTCTCAATCTCCTGACCTCGTGATCTGCCAGCCTCGGCCTCCCAAAGTGCTGGGATTACAGGCGTGAGCCACCACGCCCAGCTGATAGTTTTGTTTTTATACAAATGTTCTTGAGGATTTTTTCCTATGATTCAGTTAAGGTACTTGGAAACAATTTGATTCATTCAGATCTTACTTTAAGATTTATTAGGTGAAATGGAGCAGTATTTAGTGTAGAGTTAATTATTCCCCACCACTGAAGCAAAATTCATCTGTATACTCTACCTATTGTCTTCTAAAGTTGGAGGTTTTCGACTCTGGCTGGTGGTAATACAAACTACTCCTGGCCCTGTGTGAGTGCCTGGCACTGTTACCTCTAATTCTTTCAGGTGGATTTTTTTTTTACCACATCCTTGAGCAATTCACACTAGAATCAATAAAAGGTAGTTACAGAGAGCATTCTGAGAAGATGGCATAGTAGGAATCTGTCTCCCCAGCTAAACAACAATTACATTGGCAGGATCTGTCTGATGTAACTGTTTTGGAACTGGAGTCTAGTGAAAGCTTGCAACTTTCAGGGGAATACTTAGATGGTAAAATGTGATTACTTTTGGTCAATTTCAGCCCTTAATACAGTAGCAGCTACCATCCCCCACCCTTCATCCTCATGGCAGGCAGCTGTGTATGTGTTTCTCATGCAGCTTTCACACAGGTTAAGGGAGCCAGGGTAGGCAAAAAGGATCCTGTTCTGCAAATATCAGTGATCTGTGCTCTTATCACTGATTTCTACTTTTGACCACAGAGGTGTGGACAAAGAGGTAGCAGCTATTATTCTTGCACCTACCCACATTGTTGCAAGCCCCTCCTCCTCTAGCTAAAGTGACTTTCAGGAAATTTAAAAGGTGGTGTCTTCCTCTCCCTCCTTTCATTTTCTCTTTTTTTTTATTTTTTGAGAGCCATACATTGACAAGTAGGACATTCAAAAGCAACCACATATATGAGGGAAATTAGAAATCACCATAAACACCCAGGGGAAGGCACAGGCTCAGAAAATGCCTGAGAAGACCTTAAATTTACACTCAGGCTGATCCTTGGCACAAAGATATCCTAAATAATAAAAAAAAAAAAAAAAAAAAAAAAAAAAACACAGCAAACTCTGGGAAGGGGGTAGATTCTGATTTCTAGAGTTATCACACTTTTAGATTCAAATCTCCAGTTTTCAAAAAAATCAAAAGGCATACAGAGATACATTAAAGTATAGCCAATTTAAAGGAAAAAAATTATTCCAACAGAAACTTTCCCTGAAAAAAAGACCTGATGGTAGATCTACAAAATAAAAACTTTAAAATAACTGTCTTTTAAAAAGGCTCAAAGAACTAAAGGAAGATATGGAGAAAGTCAAGAAAATTATGTATGAACATAATTTAAATATAAATAGAGAGACAAACACCTAAAAAGAAACCAAAAAGAAAATACTTGAAAAATACAACAAATGAAATTATTAAATTATTAGAGGTATTTAAAGGTAGATTTGAGCAGGTAGAAGAAAGAATCAATGTACTTGAAGATAGGACAATGGAAATGATCAAGCCTGAGCAGCATGAAGAGGAAAGGTTGAAGAAAAGTGAACAGAGCCTAAGGAACATGTGGAACACCATGAAGTGGACCACTATTTGCACTGGGGAACTGGAGAAGAAGAAAGAGAAAAAGAGGCAGAGAGAATATTTGAATAAAATTTGACCAAAACTTTCCAAACATGATGAAAGTCATGAATATAAACACACAAGAGGCTTGATGAACTCTAAGCAGAGTTAACTCAAAGAGACCCACACTGAGGTACATACTCAAACTGTTGAAGGCCAAGGACAAAGACAGGATTTTTAAACCAACAAGAGAAGTGACTCACCATATACAAGGGATCCTCAATAAAATTATCAGCAAATTTCTCATCATACACTTTGGTGGCCAGAAGGCAGCAGACTGATACATTCAAAGTGCTAGAAAAAAAAACAAAAACCATCAACCAAAAATATTATATCTGGCAAAACTGTATTTCAAAATGAAAGAGAAATGAAGATATTCTCAGATAAACAAAAGCTGAGGGAGTTTATTATCACTAGCCCAGCCCTTCAAAAAATGCTAATAGGAGTCCTGCAGCTTTAAATAAAAGGATAGTAGACAGAACTCAAAGCTTTATGAAGAAAGATCTCAGTAAATGTAAATACACTGGCAATTATAAAAACTAGTATTATAACAATAGTGCATAATTATTTGTTTTCTACATGATTTAAGAGACATTTAAAAAAATAATTATTAGCCTAAAAATTAGTACTATTATTACTTTGGTTTGTAATCCCACATTTTGTTTTGTACATAATTTAAGAGACTAAAACATTTAATAGAATTATTAGCTTATATTTGGGAGCACATATAGAGAAAGGTGCAATTCTGTCACATTAACAACTCAGAAGGGTGGAGACAGCTCTTAAATAAGCAGTTTTTGTAAGGCATTGAAGTTAAGCTGGGATAAATTCAAAGTAGGGGGTCATAAAATTAGGATCTTAAGTACAATCCTCATGACAACCACAAAGAAAATGCTATCGAATATATAAAAAAGAAAATGAGAAATTATTTTAAATATCTCACTACAAAAAACATCAGCTAAACAATAAAGATAGTAATGCAGAAAATGAGGGACAAGAAAACAAATACCAAAATGACAGAAGTAAGTTCCTTCTTACTTAAATATTACTGGATTGAACTCCCCAATCAAAAGACAGAGATTGAAGTAATATATTTTTTAAATGTGATTCAACTATATGCTGTGTACAGTAGACTCACTTTTTATCTAAAGATACAAATAGGTTGAAAGTTAAAGTATAGAAAACAATATTCCATGCAAATAGCAATCAGAACAAAGGAGATGTGCCTATACCAGTGCCAGACAAAATAAACTTTATGTTCAAAGTATTACAAAAGACAAAGAAGGACATTATATATTCATAAAAGATTCAAAATAGCAAGATGAAATAATTAGCATTTATACGCCTAATAACAGACCATACATTATATGAAGAAAAAATTAACAAAACTGAAGAGATTAATTGACAGTCTACAATAAATAGTTGGAGATTTAAATATCCCACTCTCAATAATAGAAAAACCAGACAGGAGACAAGGAAATAGAAAAATTGAATGACGCAATAAACCAACTAAATCTAACAGACATATACAGAACATTCTTCTCAACAATAACAGAATATACATTCTTCTTAAGTGCACATAATAGATTTTCCAAAATCGACTATATGTTAGGTCACAAATTAAGTCTCAATAGATTTTAAAAGATAGATATCATATAAAGCATCTTCTCTGACCATGACAGGATGAAATTGGAAATCAATAACAGAAGAAAACTGAAAAATGTATAAATTTTTAGAAATTAACATACTCTTAACCAATCAATGAAAAAGAAATCACAAGGAAAATTAGAAAATACTTAAAGATTAATGAAAACAGGTTGGGTGCAGGTGGCTCATGCTTGTAATCCCACCACCTTGGGAGGCCAAGGCAGGCAGATCATTTGAGCTCAGGAGTTCAAGAACAGCCTGCTCAACATGGTGAAACCCTATCTCTACTAAAAAAACAAAAATTAGCTGAGCATGGTGGCACATGCCGGTAATCTCAGCTACTCAGGATATAAACACACTAAAATCAATCACATTTCTATACACTGATGATGAACAATCGGAAAAGAAAATTAAGAAACAATTCAATTTAAAATAATATCTGTCTTAGTGTATTCCTGCTGCTATAACAAAATACCTGAGACTGGGTAATTTATAAATAACATGCATTCATTTTCTCATATTTCTGCAGCCTGAGAAGTCCTAGATCAAAACACCAGAAAATTCAATGTCTAGTGAGGGCAGCTATCTACTTCCAGGATGGTGCCTTTTGCTACATCTTCACATGGCAGAAGGGGCAAACAGCTCCCTCACACCTCTTTTATAAGAGTGCTAAGTCATGAGGATGGCACTCATGACCTAATCATCTCCTAAGGACCCCACCTCTTAATACTATCACATTGGCAAGAAAGTTTCAACATGAATATGTGTGTATGGGGGAGACACATTCAGACCACAGCAGCATTATAAATAATAAAATACTTGGGAATTAACCAATGAGACGTAAGACTTGTACAGTGAAAACTCTTTTTAAAAATTCTGAAATAAAGAAGACAAAAATAAATGGAAAGACATCTTTTGTTCATGGACTGGAAGGCTTAGTATTGTTAAGATCTCAATACTACCCAAAGCAATCTACATATTTAATTCAATCACTATCAAAATCCCAATGACCTTTTTTACAGAAATAAGAAAACCCATCCTAAAACTCATAACTATATGAGTTAGTATCTGAAAGGACCCCAAATAGCCAAAACACTCCAGGAAAAGAAGAACAAAGCTAGAGGAATCACACCTCCTCATTTCAAAATTTATTACAATGCTACAGCAATCAAAGCAGTGTAGACCTGGCATAAAGACAGACATAGACTATTGGAATAGAATACAGAGTCTAGATAACAAACCTTTACATGTATACTCAAATTATTTTCGACAGAAATGTCAAGACCACTTAATGGAGAAAAGTCCATTTTTTCAACAAATGGTGTTGGCTAAACTAGATATCCTCATGCCAAAAAATGAAGTTGGACCCTTACCTAACACCATATATTAAAAAAAACTAAAAATGCATCAATGACTATATTAGCCTGTTCCCACATTACTATAAGGAAATACCTGAGACTGGGTAATTTATAACAAAAAGAGGTTTAATTGACTCACAGTTCTGCATGGCTGGGAAGGCCTCAGGAAACTTACAAACATGGCAGAAGGCACCTCTTCACAAGGTGGCAGGAGAGAAAATGAGTGCAGCAGGGGAAACGCCAGATGCTTATAAAACCATGAGATCTCGTGAGAACTCACTATCACCAGAGCAGCATGGGGGAAACTGCCCACATGATTCAATTTTGTCTCACCAGTTTCCTCTCGCAACACATAGAGATTATGGGGATTACAATTCAAGATGAGATTTGGGTGGGTACACAGCCAAATCATATCAATGATCTAAATGTGAGAACTAAAACCCTTAGAACAAAACACAGGGCAAATGCTTCATGACGTTGAATTTGACAATTATTTCTTAGATATGACACCAAAGGCACAGGTAACAAAAGAAAAAAAATTGGACATCATAAATTTAAAAATGTTTGTACACCAAAAGACATTATCAATAAAATAGAGTGTCAACCTACAGAATGGGAGAAAATATTTGCAAGAAGACATTTGCAAATTGCATATCTTTTAAGGGATTAGTATCCAGAATACATAGAGAATTTCTTAAATTTAACAACAGAAAACTATCTGATTCAAAAATGGGCACAGGACTTCAATAGACATTTCTCCAAAGAAGACATACAAATAGCCAATAAGCACATGAAAAGATGCTCAATATCACTAGGAAAATTCAAATCAAAACTACAATAAGATACTACCTCACACCCATTAGGATGGCTGCTAACAGGAAAAAAAAAATAAGTGTTGGTAAAGATGTGGAGAAATTGGAACACTTGTGTACTGTTAGTGGGAACATAAACTAGTACAGCCACTGTGGGAAACAGTAAAGCAATTTCTCAAAAAATTAAAAATAGATTTACCATATGATCCAGCAATTCCAGTTCTGAATATGTACTTAAAATAATTGAAAACAAGGTTTCAAAAGGGTATTTGTATATCCATGCACATAGCATTATTCACAATAGCTAAAATATGGTGTTAAAGCAAACTAAATATGGCCTGAGAAGGACTTTGTACTTCTATATTTGAGTCCTTGTGGACGAACTGCAACCTAACTTAGCGGGTAGACAAGATTGAAACCCTGACTTAGGAGTATGCACCCATAACAGTGGTTGAGTCTTGGCCAATCCTAACAGCCATACTTCAACCAGTAATACACTGCTGAGTGTTCAAATTGTGTTCAAATGAGGTAAATGGCAATCTGTAACCAATCCAGCTGTTTCTGTACCTCACCTCTGATTTCTGTACATCACTTCTCTTTTTTTGTCTATAAATTTGTTCTGACCACAAGGCAACCCTGGGGTCTCTCTGAATCTGCTGTGATTCTGGGGACTGCCCAATTTGTGAATCATTCATTGCTCAATTAAACTTCTTTAAATTTAATTCAGCTGAAGTTTTTCTTTTAACAATGGAAGCAACCCAAGTATAATACACACACACATTATACACACCACACACACACATTATACACACCACACACACAAATATTTCAACCTTAAAAAGGAAGGAAATTCTGGCATATGCTACAATGTGGATGAACCTTGAGGACATTATGCTAAATAAAATATGCCAGTTACTAAAACACAAATATTATATGATTCTACTTATCTGAGGTATTTTGAATAGTCAAAATCATTAAAAAAACCAGAAAGTAGAATGATGGTTTCCAGGGCCTTGGAGTAGGAGAAAAACAGGAGTTATTGTTTAATGGGTATGTAGTTTCAGTTTTGCAAGTTAAAAAGAGTTCTGGAGATAGATGCTGGTGATGACTGCCCAACAATATGAACATACTTAATACTACTGCCCTGTACACTTAAAATGGTTAAGATGGTAAATTTTATGTTATGTGTATTTTATCACAATAAGAAAAATTGGGAGAAACAGGAAGTTATGGAAAGGTTGATTTGAGATCAATAATACTTTCTAATACTTAAAGGGCATGTAAATGGAATGGATGACCTTTTAAGATGGCATGATGAGATCTCACAAACTGAAAATATTATAGCAAAAACTGGAAAGCCATTTATTGAGGATTTTATGGTAGAGAGTAATCTTTTATTATTCAGAATATTGTATTAGATTACTTTTAACTTCTTGGATGGAAGAAGACATGATTTTCGATAACCATAGAGGTGAGCCAGAGTTCAACATACTTGGAGATAAAATAAATTAGATGCACTCTTACCCCACTGAGTAAATAATGCAGCAAATACACTTTCACTATTAAGAGTTATAGTAAGAGTCACATTGTTTAAATCATTAAGCCTTTATTTCACCAAAAAATATTACTTCTCCATTTAATATGAAGATATTTTCCAATACCTTGAAGTATAAACCTTTTGATTTAGTTTTTACAGTATCACCTGAAAACACTGCTATGCACAGCAATAATAGTGTGGGCTCATGAAACCAAATTATAGGTAAAAACAAGCTTAAAGAAGGGATTGAGTCTGTGTGATAGCATTTTTCGGAGGCTCTGGAGCCCCCAGAATAGATTTTTCCAAGATTTTCATCATGAATAACAAAATATATATAAATACCTCTAATGTGAAAGAGACAGGGCTAGAATATCTGAGAACTGGAAATGGACTGAAGGAGGACCTATCTACATGGGTGATTATTCTTTAACATTCCTGCTGTATCATTCATGTTCCTGGAAGGAAACAGAAGCCACACCCAAAAGGGCTTTGGGGAAGAAACTTAAATGAAGGTCCTATTTATAGAGGTGTGAGTAGTGTGATTATTATAGCTCCACGCTATTATCACCCTTAGTCCTGAAGCAGCAAAGAAGATGTGCCATCTGCCAGGAGCTGTGGCTGTCAAGTAATGCAGGACTGCCACACTATGCTTTAGTCATGGAGGGAGAGAGAGGAGAAAAGATCTCAACCTCTTTTTCCTTCCACCCTCTGATCACCAGCCAATGCTTGCAGAATCCAACTAGAAGCCATAGGACAGAGAACCCAGTTAATGGTCTGTAGACATCAGCCTTTCAGGGTACAGAACCCAACATAGAACACAGAAACATTTCAGAGAATAAATTCAGGAGAGTGTGGTGGCAAATTGAGAAGAACCAAAACACTGGGACCTCAGAGAAGAATCCAGTAGCTGGAACAGGGAGATTCATCCACATTGTAGCATATGCCTGTGCTGACACATTAAGTAGGCACTATGCTTTGGCACCCATACACTCAGTTGTGAGTCACCCTTTCATTCCTTTTTTTCTCACATCCAGTTGTATTTACTTCATAGCATATCATTATATGAAATTACCATTCTTTTTTGTTTGTTTAAAGTTTATTACCTGTCATCTCTTCACTAAAGAGTATGCTCCATGAGACAAGAACTTTATTGGACACACTACTTTGTCTCTAGCACTCAAAACAATTGGCACATAGGAAATATTTAGTAGACACTTCTTTAAAGATCTTTTGCCTAAGTAGAAGTTTGAATGGCTGTCATTTTCTATCTGAACTTCTTGGAACAGGGAGGCTCCACAACACTTCCCTATATGGAAAATTATTTAACAGCTAAATAAAGATTTATAAAGTAATAGCTAATGAAAATGACATTTAAACTGGATTGGAACAAAACACATAAAGGACCAAAATTCCTGGGCAAACGTTTGCTTAGATATAGGCCTGGGGTTAAGCCAAGGAAAATCACTGGAATAATTCTTGATAAAAAGATTTGACCCATACCAGAATGACACAGTAAATCTCCCGAATAGATTTTCATTCCAAACTAGTACAAGAAGCCAGAAAGCCTCAATACGAATAAACTTCCAAACAGCCCTTTGATGTGAGGCTTGCCAAAGAGCAGCAGTGAGGAATGAAGTCCGACAGCTCAGAATCTTCTTTGGCCAACTAAATTAATGTCAAACAAAATAAAAACCTAGGCAGCCATTTATATAGCCCAGAGAGGAATAGAGAACCCTTTTCTTGCTTTATTTGGAAGTATCTACAAATTAAGACACTTATAAATCATACAGTTTTAATTTATTCAACATAAAAGTGACCCAAATGAAAAGTCCATTATTGTATTTAGCATAAGTGGTATTTATTTATCAAGCACATGCTGTTATAGTAACTGTGTCACCAAGCAGACGAAAAGAAGTAAAGTACAATCCCTGCCCTCTTGAGGATTACAATCCATGGCAGAAAAGATAATAATCTTTTTATTATCTTTTCTTTTATTGTCTTTTCTTATTATCTTTCTTTTATTATCTTTTCAGAAAGCTAATAATCAGTTTCATGACAAAGGCTATAAGAAAGGTATAAACAAGGCGTGATGAAAATACAGGAAAGGGAGGAGTAGGCACTGCCCAGAGATAAGGGCTTCGCAGAGGGAATGATATTTAAATTGAGTATTAAAGGGTATGTAGAAATATTTTTAGTTTAACAAGAGGATTTGGGAAGACATAACAAGCACACCATAACACTGCCAGTATTTGCAACTGTGCTTATTTGCAATTGTGCTCACTATTGTTGCTGCTAGCAGCTATTATAATTGTGATGAAATAAGGAGAAAAAAACAGGTAAATTTAATTCATAACAGATACAGTCATGCCACATGAAAAACAGATAAATACAGCTTGAGCCATATGTTTTACAACAGTTCAAATAGAGAAAAGTAATAGGACAATAAAGTCATCACATGGCAAAATGGGCATTTAAATCTCTAAGCTGCACTGAAGTCAGAACCATGTTCAGGTTGCAAGTGATAAGAACTTCTGCCACATTGAATTGATGTTCTTAATCTGACCTCATCCAATTTCATGACTCTAAGTACCATCTATAGGGTGTGTCGCCAAACATTGTATCACCGCCCTAGTTTTCTCCTCTGATCTCCTCTTTGGTATATGTGCAACAGGCATCTCAAAGTAAACATTTCCAAATAATAACTCTTGTTCTCTCTACCTTCACTCATCCAGCCTGCCCTTCCCACAGACTTCTCCATCTCAGTAAATGACTTCAGCTATTAAATTTCTCAGCTACCCAGTTACCCTTCAGTGCTCTCTTTTATACCCCTCATTCAATCCATCAGCAAATCTTCTATCTTCAAAATGTACCCAGAACTGGACCATATCTCACCACTTCCATTTTACCATGCTGGTCCAAGTCATTGTTACTCCTTGCCTCCTAATATGTCTCTCTGCTCATCCCTTGCCACAACTATAGTTTATTATTCATGCAATCTTCAGAGTGATCAATGTAAATATGCATTGCCACATCTCCCCTCTATTCAAAAGTCTCCAATAGTTTCCAGTCTGATTCAGATATATTTGTCTCTGTATGTCTGTGTGTTTGCCCCTGTCTCTGTGACTCTGTACATATGTCTCTGTATTTGTGTGTCTCTATTCTCTGTATATGTCTGTGTGTGTGTGTGTGTCTCTGTCTGTGTCTGTGTCTATGACTGTACATATGTATCTGTGTGTGTCTGTCTCTATTCTCTGCATTTGTCTCTGTGTGTGTCTCTGTTTATGTATCTGTGTGTCTTTATGTGACTCTGCATGTATGTGTGTGTCTCTATGTGTATGTCTCTATGTGTATCTCTGTGTATCCCTGTGTCTGTGTATACATACATATATGTATGGGTATATGTATGTACACATGTATACCTATGTATAAAATTGCCCATCTGGCCCTGTGTGCTCTGCCCCCTCCTGTCCACACTCACCTTTCTGGCCTATGCCCTACTCTCCCTCTCAGTCACTCTGCTGCAGTGCGGCAGCCACACGGCCTCCTTGATGTTCCTCAAACATTCCAACAGGCTGTTGCCTCAGTGTTTACTGTTCTCTTTGCCACTTCCTTCATGTGCTTTACATCTCAGGGAGGTCTTCCCTGGCCTTATCTAAAATTTAAATGCCCCTTCCCCCACTCCATATCTCCATTCCAAGCTATATTGCTTGTGTAATCTTGGATTTACCTTTTCCTGTTATGTATGTCTTGTATGTCTCCTCCCGACTGTTCAATGAGGGCACAGATTTCTGTCTGTTTCACTCACCGCTGTATCTGCAGTGCCTCGTATTTCTTCCACAAAGGATCTTCTCAATAAATGGTACTTAATTTTTTAAATGCAGCTTTTCATTACACACTAGCAACTGGAAAGGCATGCAATTCTATTTCCAAAATTCATTAAACAAACGTGGTAAACATTCAGGCCAGAAGGCGGCAGCAAAGCTTCATCAGCCCAGCAACCGGCCATCATGCTGGGTCAGCAATTCAGAGGCGCAACTAATGGAAAATTAGGCAGAACAGCTTTTCACCAGGGAGTCTGAGCTGAAGGAGGTGAGGCCAGAGAACTGAGCTGGTTAGGACTGCACCCTGGCCAAAGAGCAGGGAGACAGATAGGAAGAGAGAGAAAGGCAAGGCTTGTCCAGGAGAATGAGACCCACATTAGGGGCTCACAGAATGAACATTCAGGTTGTCAGGGAACTTAATCAGGTGCCAGAAAATTTGGCATATTATCTCAGCAAACTCAGGTAAACCTTTTGGCGATGTCCACAGGGAGGTTCCCTTTCAGATAACAAGTCTATTTATCACTGTAGCTAGAATCTGGGAGCCAAAATATACCTACCCCTATTAAGACAGGAGAATTATGCCAGTCCCAACAAGTGTGTCACCAAGCCGACAAAAATAAGTAAAGTACAATCCCTAGCCTCTTGAGGATTACAATCCACGGCAGAAAAGATATGAAAGCTAATAATTAGCTTTCCCTGAGGGCCATGTTTCTTTTCACAATTGCAGTGCCACATCTCATACTTTGTTAAAGAAAAATAAAGATGGCAAGTGCTTAGGTCTAGGCTGCTGCAGAAGAAAACCAGATGTAGGAGGAACTGTGACTCTGCCTCTCATGCAGGCCTGAATCTGGAGTGTGGTCCTCCTGTGGGGTTGCACTTACTCTGGATTTTTCCAGAAAGACTGTCTATAGGTGCCTGCATGCTGTGTTCCTGTGAGGGAAGCCCCAGCTGTGTCTGTGGTGGAGTGCCAGAGGGGAAAAAGGACCCCTTCTCCAAGCCCTTTCACCATCACGGAGGCTGCCTGCCTGTTGGGGTAGAGATGTAGACTTTCCCTACTACACCCGGCACTGCAATTGTGTCTCTGCTGTCAGAAACTAACCATTAGTGGAAAGATCTGGAACTTGAGGCCTGATTTTCAGATTCTTTTGTTCCATGGGGTGATCCTTGACGTGCTGCTCTTCCCCTTCCCCTAGGGATGGGGCTTCCTGAGAGCCGGACTGCTGTGCTCGTTATTGCTCTTCTGGGTCTAACCACTCAGTAGGGCCACCAGACTCCAGGCTGGTGCTAAGGAATGGCTGCAAAAAGCCTGTGATGTGGTCCGTCTTTAGGTCTCCCAGCTGTGAATACCAGCACCTTCTCTGGTGGAGGTGGCAGGAGAGTGAAGAAGATTCTGTGAGAGTCTTTGGTTGCAGATAGGCTTAGTGTGCTGGCTTTCTTGAATGCTGATTGTGCTGGTGGTGATGTTGTCATGTGGACAGACTCAGGGCCTCTGGTTATCCAGAATACTGCAGGTGGTGGTATTAACTGTTGTTTTCTCCTTCCTGGGAGCAGGGTAATTCTGTCATGAGTTGCTGTAAAGGCCTGAGTTGGTTGGACTTCAGCCAGGAGGTGGTGCTTTCATGACAGCACCAGCTGTGATATTAGCAGTGGGATATAAGCCTCCCCTAAGTTGGCCAGGGGAGGTATTCTGGTTACTCAGGCAATGGATGGGATCATAAAGCTCCCATGAGTGTATGTCTTTTGTGTTCACCTACCAGGATGGGTAGAGAAATACCATCAGATGGGGACAGGGTTAGGAGGGTCTGAGCTCAGACTCTCCTTTGGTGGGCTTGCCATGCCACTGTGGGGATTGGGAGGGTGGTTCTCAGGCCAATGAGGTTATGTTCCAGAGAGGACTATGGCTGCCTCTGCTTAGCAGTATTGTTCACCAGGTAAGTGGGGAATAGCTAGTAGCAAAAGGTCGCACCCACCTCCCACGCAGTTGGCAAGGCTGGTCTCGCTCTCACAGTGTCCTACTGAGAGGTGACAGCGTGCTGGCAGCCCTCGCAGCCCTCTCTCACTCTCGGTGCCTCCTCAGCCTTGGCGCCCATTCTGGCCACACTTGAGGAGCCCTTCAGCCCGCCGCTGCACCGTGGGAGCCCTTCTCTGGGCTGGCCGAGGCGGGAGCCAGCTCCCTCGGCTTTCGGGGAGGTGTGGAGGGAGAGGCACGGGTGGGAACCGGGACTGTGCATGGTGCCTGTGGGCCAGCTAGAGTTCCGGGTGGGCGTGGGCTTGGCGGCCCTGCACTTGGAGCAGCTGGCCAGCCCTGCCGGCCCCAGGCAGTGAGGGGCTTAGCACCCAGGCCAGTAGCTGCGGAGGGTGCGCCAGGTCCCCCAGCAGTGCTGGCCCACCGGCACTGTGCTCGATTTCTCACCGGGCCTTAGCTGCCTCCCTACGGGGCAGGGCTCGGGACCTGCAGCCGGCCCCCACCGCCCCTCTGCCGTGGGCTCCTGTGTGGCCTGAGCCTCCCTGATGAGTGCTGCCCCCTGCTCCATGGCGCCTGGTCCCATCAACCGCCCAAGGGCTGAGGAGTGTGGGCGCATCATGGGACTGGTGGGCAGCTCCACCTGCAGCCCTGGTGCGAGATCCACTGGGTGAGGCCAGCTGGGCTCCTGAGTCTAGTGGGGACTTGGAGAACCTTTGTGCCTAGCTAAGGGATTGTGAGTGCACCAATCAGCACTCTGTGTCTAGCTCAAGGTTTGTGAACACACCAATCAGCACCCTGTGACTAGCTCAGGGTTTGTGGATGCACCAATCGGCACTCTGTATGTAGCTAATCTGGTGGGGACTTGGAGAATCTTTATGTCTAGCTAAGGGATTGTGAATACACCAATCAGCACTCTGTATCTAGCTCAGGGTTTGTAAATACACCAATCGACACTCTGTATCTAGCTAATCTAGTGGGGACGTGGAGAACTTTTGTGTCTAGCTCAGGGATTGTAAACACACCAATCAGCACCCTGTCAAAACGGACCAATCATCTCTCTGTAAAACAGACCAATTGGCTCTCTGTAAAATGGACCAATCAGCAGGATGTGGGTAGGGCCAGATAAGAGAATAAAAGCAGGCTGCCTGAGCCAGCAGTGGCAACCTGCTTGGGTCCCCTTCCACACTGTGGAAGCTTTGTTTTTTCACTCTTTGCAATGAATCTTGCTGCTGCTCACTCTTTGGGTCCACACTGCCTTTATGAGCTGTAACACTCACCGCAAAGGTCTTCAGCTTCACTCCTGAAGCTAGCGAGACCACAAACCCACCAGAAGGAAGAAACTCCGAACACATCCATACATCAGAAGGAACAAACTCCGGACACGCTGCCTTTAGGAACTGTAACACTCACCGTGAGGTCCTGCGGCTTCATTCTTGAAATCAGTGAGACAAAGAACCCACCAATTCTGGACACACTACTAACAGTGCCAAGTTTAGATCCAGGCAGCTTGCTCTCCTGAAACTCAGACGTTGCCTCAGGCCATAAACTACCCCACTTAGCAAGCAAGCACTGCTTTCAGGCCTTGCCCCTCCCCATCTGCCAACAAAGTTGGCTGTGACTCCAGCTCTTGTATTTGCAGCAGTTCCCATTCACCCCCATATCCTGTCAAAAAAGTTAGTGCCCAGTTAAAATTATTGCAAAATTCAGTTGGAAACTTCTTACACCCTGTGACCCTTCCCTAATTCTGCTGAGTGCCTTCCCTGAGGGCTTCTGTGAAATACAATCAGAAATGGCTTCCCTGCGCACAAGGTGAAGAATGGGAGTGCCTACAAGGCTCTTCCCACTGTTGCATTTACTTTTATATTTTGCACAGCTCCCTAAATCCATTCCAGCTCTAGATAAGGTTAAATCCTTCTCTGGTGATCTGTATTTTCAGATTCCTCAGCGGGAATACGTGTTTGAAGGCAGGTTTTCCCCCTTTCAGACTATGGAAACTCATAGTTGTTCATCTGTCTCATGCAATCTGCAGTGACTTGTGCTTCTTTCAAAGATCTGTGAATTCTTTAGGTTTTCCTGGTATGGTCCTGCAGTGGTTCTTGGAGCAAAAGTCCACAGTATGAATCTTCACATGCCATACTGTCCATCCAAGTAGGAGGTACATGTTAGCACTATCTCCTATCCAGTATCTTCTGCCTGTGAAAGGAAATTAAATTTTGACACCCCAAACTCATTTAGCCAAAGGGAAAAGTCAAGCTGGGAACTGGGTCATGCAAACCTGTCTCCACCTTTTGATTCCTAAATAAAATGGCTACAAGATGAAAAGCTACCCACTTTTCCCATGTTTTGCCAGCAAGGAAATTCCTGGTGAGCTGTTACAACTTCACCATGGCAATGCTAATTGATAGCTTATCTTGACAGGTGCAGTCACCCAGCCTGCCAGACACAAATGCGTATCAGATTGTCCCCCTACCCCATTTTGTCTGTATTATCTTATGTTAAGATGCAGATTCCCCACATTTTTCCTTTGCCCCTTTTGTTTAAGTGAAAACTGTGTGCTTCTCAATATCCCGCCCTTTCCCCTTTAAATTTGGAGCCCTCAAAATCATCTTCAGAGAAAGGCATAGACCTATCTCCTGTGAGCATCCTTAACTTTGGTGAATAAATCTCCAAAAATGATTGAGACTTTTCCCATCATTTGCTTCGACTGACACCCTCATCATGACTTTTCTACTGCAGGAACATCCAAATATGCAGGGATTACTTTTTCAATGTTTCTGTGGCCTTATTGCATCCCTGCCAAATCTGAGCCCCACGGACTGCCATTTCAGCTCTTCTTTCATGACACCTTTATTCCTTTTGCTTTTTGTCCTGTGACCATGCTCACTGTTCCAGTCCTGAACTTCATGTAAATCACATCAATTTACTGTTTTTGTTCCTCCTCTTGGGCTGCTGATCATTTTGAAGAAAATCTCAAAACCTACATACCCATTTCTGCCATCATTCAAGCCTCAGCTGGCTCCCTCTGACATTTTATAATCTTTTATTTTGTACTCAATTAACTACACATTCACCACTTATACTGAACATTTTTTATTTTTGCCTGTCAAATGTCCATTTCCATTTGTTTTGATAACAGCACCCCAATATTCATTTGGGTAACTATGCCTATCTCACTTTCAACCTTTGTGGACTGAGTAGGGGACTGATTCCCTTCTACACATACATACAGTTTTATGGGTGAGAAAATGATATGCAAAGGACCAACTTGCTAGTTCCTTCTCTCTGTGGGAATGAGCATGTGGTACAAGTCTCTACTGGAAGCTCAGTTCCAGAACTTTGCTGGAATTAAAGAGATATTACTTTTTGCATTGTGGTTGCTAAACTGGATGAATTTAAGCCTGGAGCTACTAGTGGCCAATCTTGCCACTACATAAACTGATTCTGCCTAAAAAGGAAGCCAGCACAGAGAAATAGAGGGAAAATGGTGAAAATAAATTGATGATGGCATCATATTTTGTTGTTAAAAACAAATAGTTCCTCTTCAAAGGGTTTCAATTCCTGGTTCTTTGTTCTATTCTAAAAGGTAATCGTACCCATTCATCTATCAGCCCTCCCTATCTCTGCTATGCCCAAACACCCCATGATGTACCATACCTGTCCTTCCCATCAAATGCCCACCCTTGCCTCCTTTGATGATGTCAACAGTAGCTTAGTTTACCCTAGATTGAAATTAGCCTAGATTGTGTGGTCCGACCCCAGCCCACAAGGGGAGGACACAGGAACAGGGTCTGCATTACAGATAAAAATCTCCTACTCTCCTTTGTTTTGCATGCTCTCCCTTGCCTCTGCCTTGCATGCAAGAGGCGCCCTTCTATAGAAGTAAATTGCCTTGCTGAGAAAACTTTTGCCTGAGTGCTAGTTTCACTTTGTGGCACCAAATATTTGTTTCTAACAATTTGGGGGCCTGCCCAGGATTCCCATTTTCCTCTGAGGAAGGGGTCTCTGGTCATCTCCCAGGGGGAGATGCGTCCCACTGCCTCACTGCAGTGGTCTCAGGGGCTAAAGATCCAGCCATCACCCACTGTGATGAATAAACCCAGACTCTCAGCAATGTGGGAAGGAAAGGCTTGCCTACAAATACCACAGTGACCAGGTAACTTCGTGCACAGACCAAGGTAAGAAAAGCCGCAGAGGGGGCAGCAAAGTATTTCCTTGGTTGTTGGGATATCTTGGAGGCTGAAAGTGTGTGTGAATGATCACTGCTTGTGGTGCTGCTTGTGTGAATGGTGATAAGTACTACTGCTGTGTGGGGTGAGTGGGTTCTATCTGCGGTTCCGTGGTCACCTCATATGGCTTAGGGCAGATCCTGCCATGGGGCTTATACCAGCACACCAATACTAAGAGGGACCTAATTTCCCACAAGGGAAGTGGCCAGATAGGACGAAGCGAATGGAAAGGAGTGCAAGAAACCTCCAGTAAAGGGGGTGAGCCTCTAGAGAAAAGGGAAGGCAAGAGATTTCTAGTAAGAGAGGTTGGACCACACACACACTCAAGGGAGCATCCAAAACCTCCAAGATGGGAAACACTCCTAATACAACAGGGAAAGATAAGGACGGGGATAGTCAGATCACCTCCAACAGTCCTTTAGGTCTCATGCTAAAATATTGGGAGGAGAAGGAGAGGACTAGGCACAAGAAAAAGCAACAGATGGTAAAATATTGTTGTTTCATCTGGGCCAAGGAACCCATCCTCAAATCTGCCATCTTCTAGCCAAAATATGGATCAGCTGAGGCTTGGGTCTGTCAACTTTTAATTCAGTATGTGAATGACAAAATTCCAGTCGCGCAGGAAGAAACAGACTATGCTCTCTGCTGGAGAAAAGAACCTGTTCTCCTCTTTCCCCTAAAGAATGCAGGGGAAGCATCAGATTTCACACTCCCCAAAGTAGGCATAGTAAAACCAACCCCTAGGCAGAGGACTCCCTATGCCTGGGACCCTCTTAAACCACCTTCTCCTGTTTAATTCCCCACGTCTTGACCTGCCCCCTTCCCAGGCAGCTGCTGCCACCCCAGACCCAGTCCCAGATCCTTCTCCTACTCCTATTATTCCTCCCCCTTATAAATCTGACTCTTGGGAATTACCACCACCCCATGAGTCTGCTCCTTGTCAGCCTAAGTATCCTTCCCTAAAGGGACTACAACGTGAAGTACAGCAATGTAAAAAAGATATTCAAAATCTTCCTTTCCCCTCTACCTCTAAGGAATCAGCTCCAACTATCTTCCCTTTGAGAGAGGTGCCCCAGGGAGGAGGAGCTATTGGCTTTGTAAATGCTCCTTTGACTAGTTCAGAAGTTAGAGGTTTAAGGAAAGAATTTAAGCCATTGCTAGATGACCCATATGGGGTAGCAGACCAAATTAATCAATTCCTAGGCCCCCAGTTATATACGTGGGCTGAATTAATGTCTATCCTGGGTATCTTCTCAGGGAAAGAAAGGGCGATGGTTCGCAGGGCTGTTATGACAGCTTGAGAACATGAACACCCTCCCAGCCCAAACGTTCCTGCAGCAGACCAGAAATTCCTGGCCCAAGATCCTGAATGGGAAAATAACAAAGCAGTACACTGGGAAAACATGAAAGATCTCAGGGAAATGATAATTAAAGGAACTCAAGAGTCAGTGCCCCTCACTCTGAATCTTTCCTGACATACAACAAGAAAAAGATGAAGGCCCCATGAAATTTCTACAAAGACTAAGGGAACAAATAAGGAAATATGCAGATTTAGATCCAGAAGACCCTCTCAGGCAAGGAATGTTAAAGCTACATTTTGCAATAAATAGCTGGTCAGACATAGCAAAGAAGTTGCAGAAACTAGAAAACTGGAAAAATCAGTCCATAGAGGAACTCCTAGGAGAAGCCCAAAAAGTGTGTGAGGAGAGATGAAGAAAAGCAAAAACAAAAAATGAAACTTATGCTATCCACCTTCCAACAGATGGCTTCAAGCCCATATGTTTTTAAACAGAGACTCTGGGTGGGGCAGGAATTATAAAGGGTCCAAACCCCTGTTTGGAGGACCCAAGCCTCCAACTAGGGGACCTGGACCCTCAGTTACCAGGCCCTCTAAAGAGTATGGAGGAGCAACGTCAAAGAATCCCGGAACTGAGGGAGAGGAAGAATAGAATAGGTGCTTCAAATGTGGAAGAGCAGGCCACTTCAAAAGAGAATGCCCCCAGTGGGAAAAAGAAAAAGAAATTGTTCTGCTCATGGCATTCAAGGAGGAATAAGGAGGTCAGGGGCTCTGTCTTTTCTATCTCAAGTCCCACCAAGAGCTCTTGATAAATTTAGAGGTGGGACCCAAACATAAGCTTATCACCTTTTTAATAGATTCAGGGGCTGCTGGTTCCTCTGTTTGCTATCGGCCCTCTAATATAAACTGCTCATTAGGGGAACTTCTTGTCTCAGGGGTGAAAGGGGAAGGATTTAAAGCCAAAGTTTTAGAAGAAACAAAAGTTAAATACAAAAATCAATCAGCCAGTATTAAATTCCTGCTAATCCCTGAAGCAGGAACAAACCTGTTAGGAAGAGACCTGATGTTAATACTAGGCATAGGCCTGCATGCCTGCCCTGAAGGATTTTTCACTTCATTGAACCTGCTCACCACCACAGAAAAAAGTTACATTCATCCCAATGTGTGGTCAAAAGAAGGGAACCAAGGGAAACTAAGAATCTCCCCCAGTTCATATAAAGTTGAAAACCCCTGGGGAAATAGTAAGGAGAAGGCAATATCCAATTCCTCTAGAAGGCAGGATAGGCCTGAAAACTGTGATTGAAGGTCTTGTTCAGGATAAGTTACTTGAACCCTGTATGTCTCCATATAATACTCCTATATTACCTGTAAAGAAATCAGATGGGTCATATCAACTAGTAAAAGACCTCTGGGCCATGAACCAAATAGTCCAAACCACTCACCCTATTGTCCCCAATCCATATACTATCCTCAGCAACATTCCATATGACCATCAGTGGTTTACAGTAATAGATTTAAAGGATGCCTTTTGGGCATGTCCCTTAGCTGAAGACAGCCAAGACATACTTGCTTTTGAATGTGAAGATCCTCATTCAGGGCGGAAGCAACAATACTGCTGGATGGTCCTGCTCCAAGGATTTACAGACTCTCCTAACCTGTTTGGCTAAATTCTTGAACAAATTTTAGGGAAGATATCTGTCCCAGAGTCTATATACATGCTCCAATATGTAGATGACATACTTGTGTCTGGGGAAACTCATAGAACAAGGATCTGATTTCTTCATCAGTCTTCTCAATCACCTGGAAGGGGAGGGATTACAGGTATCAAAGGGGAAGCTCCAATTCGTATAGCCTGAAGTATTTAGGGCACTTGATAAGTGCAGGCAAGCGAAGAATAGGACCCAAAAGAGTTGAAGGAATTGTGTCCTTACCCCTGCCTAGTACAAAACAAGAGCTTAGAAAATTTTTAGGGCTAGTTGGATATTGCCACTTGTGGATTGATTCAGATGCTCCAAAAGTCAAGTCTCTGGACTCCAAGCTTACCAAGAAAAACCCCACCCCCTCCGTGGGGCCCCAGAGGAAGTCAATGATTTTAAAGAATTGAAACATTTACCCATAACTGCCCCTGTTTTAGCTCTGCCTTCCCTCAAACAACCATTTCACCTGTTTGTCAATGTAAATAAGGGAGTAGCTTTAGGAGTGCTTACCCAAGAACATGGGGGCCACTGGCAGCCCGTGGCCTTTTTGTCAAAAATTCTAGATCCAGTAACCTGTGGATGGCCCAAATGTATTCAATCTATAGCGGCCACTACTTTGTTGATTGAGGAAAGTAGAAAGCTAACCTTTGGGGGAAAATGAATTGTTAGCACACCTCATCAAGTTAGAACAATGTTAAACCCAAAGGCAGGTAAATGGCTTACAGACTCAAGAATTTTAAAATAAGAAGCCATTCTATTAGAAAAAGGTGACCTCACCCTCACCACTAACAGTGCCCTTAACCCTGCTGCTTTCCTAACTGGGAATCCAAACCCCAAAGATCCTGAACATGATTGTTTAGATCTCATTGACTACCATACTAAGGTTAGACCTGATTTAAGAGAAACCCCTTTTGAAACAGGACGTCATCTTTTTATAGATGGCTCCTCCCGGGTGGTTGAAGGAAAAAGACACAATGGATACTTTGCCATAGATGGAGTTCTTGCCGAAATAGAATCTGGAAGATTGCCAAATAATTGGTCTGCTCAAACTTGCAAATTGTTTGTGTTAAATCAGGCTCTAAAATATTTATGAAAGCAAGAAGATACCATCTATACCTACTCCAAGTACGCCTTTGTGGGTAGTGCACACCTTCGGAAAAATTTGGACTGAGCGGGGTCTAATTAACAGCAAAGGGCAGGACCTTGTCCACAAAGGATTAATCACTCAAGTTTTAAAAAGCTTACAATTACCTGAAGAAATAGCTGTTGTGCATGTCCCAAGGCACCAGAAAATTTCTACCTTTGAAAGCCGAGGAAATAACCTTGCTGATCAAATTGCAAAACAAGCTGCCCTCTTTCAAAAAGCACCTATCTTCTACCTGACTCCCTGTCTCTCTCCCCTAGTTGCAATCCCTATCTTCTCTCCCGCTGAAAAGGAAAAGTTAGAGAAACTAGTAGCTAAGGAAAACTCAGAAGGGTAGTGGGTGTTACCAGACCAAAGGGAAATGCTTTCCAAACCACTTATGGGAGAAATCCTGTCCCGACTACATCAAGGGACTCACTGGAGACCTCAAGCTATGTGTGATGCAGTTCTTAGAGTCTATGGATGTATAGGAATTTATACCTTAGTAAACCAAGTTGTGGACAGCTGCCTAATATGTAAGAAAACTAATAAACAGGCCCTAAGGAAACAAACTTTTGGGGGCAGAAGCCCCAGATTAAGGCCATTTCAAAGTATTCAAATTGACTATGCTGACATGCCCCCACTAAGTCACCTTAAATACCTAATAGTAATAGTAGACCACCTCACTCATTGGGTTGAAGCCATTCCTCTCCTCAGTGCAACAGCTAATAATGTGGTTTAAGTATTACTAGAGAACATAATACCTTGGTTCAGGCTACCAGAAAATATTGACTCAGACAATGCAACTCATTTTACTGCAAATATCATTAAAGGGCTTATTCAAGCTTTAGGAATCAAATGGGAGTATCATACCCCCTGGCATCCATCCTTGTCAGGAAGAACAGACAGGATGAATCAGACTTTTAAGAATCATCTAACTAAGTTAATTTTAGAAACTCTATTACCCTGGACTAAGTGTCTCCCCATCGCTCTACTCAGGATTGGAACTGCCCCTCGAAAAGATGTTGGCCTATCCCCTTAGGAAATGCTCTATGGGTTACCATACTTAAGCTCCAGTAGTGATATTCCCACTTTTGAGACCAAAGATCAATTACTTAGGAACTATATACTTGGTCTATCTTCTACTTTATCTTCCTTTAGGACTAAAGGTCTCTTAGCACAAACCCCACCTCTTGAGTTTCCAGTCCATCAGCACTGGCCCGGAGACTACGTCCTCATTAAGAGCTGGAAAGAAGAGAAACTTGAACTGTCCTGGGAGGGACCATATCTAGTGCTCCTAACAACTGAAACTGCAGTCTGAACCACTGAGAAAGGATGGACCCATCACACCTGAGTCAAGAAAGTGCCCCCCCGAATCCAGGGCTATGGGCTATAGTCCCAGGGGAAAATCCTACCAAACTAAAGCTAAGGAAAGTTTAACTCTCTTTCATTTATTCTATTACTCCTTCTTCTTTCCTTTTTCTGTTGCTAGCCACCTCATTATTAATGTAACTAGATTAGACTCACCCCAAACCATTACCTTTGATGCTCGTTTAGTTATTTCTTGTGGGGATCTCCAAAGCCAGAGACAGCTTGCAGCAGCAGAGAAATATCTCTGCCCCATCCACAGCAGATGCTTCTAAATTGTTTAAGTACCTGTTTTGTCATACTTGGGAATATGTCATTTGGACCACTCAATGTCAAGACTGGGTCCCCTCAGAGGATTTCCCGCTAGCAGTTCTAAAGCCCTATAACCATTTTACTAAAGGAAGTGCCCCTCCCAACTGTCAACATAACCAGTGTAACCCTGTGCAAATTTCCATCACCATCCCAACTCTCCAAGATTCCTCCCCTACCCTAAACTGTTTTTATGGTATGGGAGCAGATGTAACAGGAAAAGACCCTATAGGTTTCTTCGAGTTGCACCTCATTACATCCTCATCCCTCACATTTCCACCTCTATCCTCTTCTAAACCTGCTGACCAGACCACTGTCTCTTCTCCACCTAATGACAAAACCAACATAGCTATTGTAGAGGTTAAAAATTTAAAACAAACACTGGCAATTGAAAAAGGATACCACGATGCAAATGCCTGGATGGAATGGATTGAATATTCTGTTCGCACTCTAAATAAAAGTGACTATTACGCTTGTGCGCATGGTAGGCCAGAGGCCCAAGTTATCCCCTTTCCACTTGGATGGTTTTCTGACCAGCTGGGCATGAGCTGTAAGGTGGCACTTTTCCAAGACCCCACAGCCTGGGGTAATGAATTCTGTCGAACTTTCTGCTATTCCCTGAAGTTCAACATCGTGCAGGTCAGCCCCTGAGAGCCATCCAGCCTCCATCTCCAGACACCAATTTTACTTCTTGTCTCTCACTACAGGGACAACATTTGGCATTTCTTGGAGACTTGAAGGGATGCAGTGAGTTTAAATCTTTCCAATAGCTTACCAATCAGTCCGCCCTTGTTCATCCCCATGCTGATATATGGTGATATTTTGGTGGACCTCTACTGGACACTCTGCCAAGTAACCGGAGAGGCACTTAGGCTTTAACTCAATTGGCCATCCATTTCACCCTGGCATTTCATCAACCAGAAAAAGGGAAACCACAACACCATAAAACGAGAGAGGCCCCTCATGGATCTTTCAACTCTCATGTTTATATAGATGCAATTGGAGTCCCACAGGGGATACATGATAGATTCGAAGCCCAAGACCAAATAGCTGCAGGATTTGAATCATTATTTCCATGGCTAACTATTAATAAAAATGTAGATTGGATAAATTACATCTATTATAACCAGCAGTGACTAATTAATTACGCTAGGGATGCTGTCAAAGAATTAGCCAAACAATTAGGGCCTACTAGCCAGATGGCTTGGGAAAACAGAATGGGCCCTAGATATGATATTAACAGAAAAAGGTGGAGTTTGTGTTATAATAGGAACCCAATGCTGCACCTACATTCCCAACAATACAGTCCCTGATGGAAAAATTACAAAAGCTTTACAAGGTCTTACCTCCTTATCAAATGAATTAGCCACAAATTCTGGGATAAATGACCCTTTCACAGGATGGTTAGGGAAATGGTTTGGTAAATGGAAAGGACTCATGGCCTCTATTGTTACTTCTCTTGCAATCGCAATAGCTGTGTTTATTCCTGTTGGATGCTGCATCATACCCTGCATTCGTGGACTAGTCCAAAGACTTATAGAAACAGCTGTTACCAGCACCTTCCTTAGTTCTTCCCAATCTTATACTAATAGATTATTTCTCCTGGAAGAACAACAAAGCTGAGTCATGTTAGGTAAGTTTGAATAACAAAATATATAAATTCAAGAGGGGGAAATTGCTGTTAAGAACAAACAGTTCCTCTTCAAAGGGTTTCAGTTCCTGGTTCTGTGTTCTATTCTAAAAGGTAATCGTAACCATTCATCTATCAGCCCTCCCTATCTCTGCTATGCCCAAACACCCCAAGATGTACCATACCTGTCCTTCCTGTCAAACACCCCTTGCCTCCTTTGATGATGCCAACAGTAGACAATCGGAATTAGCCTAGATTGTGTGGTCTGACCCCGGTCCACAGCAGGATAACACAGGAACAGGGTCTGTGTTAGGGATTAAAAAAACGCCTGCTCTCCTTTGTTTTGTGTGCTCTCCCTTTCCTCTGCCTTGTAAGCAAGAGGTGCCCTTCTGTAGAAGTAAATTTCCTTGCTGAGAAAACTTTTGCCTGAGTGCTAGTTTCACTTTGTGGCATTGAATATTTGTTTCTAACAATAAGAACACTTAGATCCACACATGCCTGAAGCTATCATAGGCTTATCCATACAAACTAGTGAATATTTGCCTTGGGCCAACTTGAGTTAGGTTTCTGTCACTTCACTGAAATGAGTCCTAACTAATGCACTTCTGGATGGAATGGACCGAGCAGTGCATTAGGCACTGCTCTCCAGAAACTGTTTCTTAAAGATCATTAATACTAACAACAATAGCTGATATTTATTGAGTGCTTACTATATACCAGGTATCATTTTAAGCACTTTGCTTGGGTAAAATCATTAAAACCTCACAATAACTCTACGATATTACTATTATCTCCTGTTTACAGATGAAAAAACTGAGGCACAGAGAGATTAAGAAACTTGTTCTCAGGTTATACACTTGTAAGTGGAAGATTTGAGACTCAAGCCGAGGAAGAGTTCCACACCTGTGCTATTCTACACTGCCTCAAGAGTCAGCATATCCAGTGGCCTTTTCTCATTCTCTTTAGCCTCTTTGTCCAGTTCGACTATGCATTTGCTCTTCAAACTTGCATAGAAAGCTTTAGGTTTCCAGTCCTTCTATTAGGAACTTCTTTAGGTTTTCTTCTGCTCTGCCTCCTAAATCTAAGGTTTTCCTAATAATTCTCTGCTCTTTTCTTGGTAATCTCACATACCTCTGTGCATTAACTCAAACCTCTAATTTTGAACTTCCTGCTGTTTCCAATTCACCCAATGTCCTGCTAGGGCCTCAAATGGCATGAATTGCATCACACAATGTTGGGTTTGTAGGAAGAAATTAAATTTTTTTATTATTTCAGTCTTGTTGGAAATTATAATTTATGCTAGAGGTTATAAAATTCAACCGTTAGGTAATGAGATTATTGACACAGGTGCTTTGGGAGGACTAAAGATTCAGCTAGCCATTATATCCGGTGTGATGAGAGATAATGTTAGTTAATATTTAGATACTAATTACCTAGTAGTTAAAATAAATCTGTACTTATTTTGTATCTTATAATCATAAAGCTGAGTTTTTGTCTGTCTTTTTACTAAAATGTAAATGATCTTCCTGAAATATTGAAAATCATACTCTTCGTTTGTACCTTTGAGATGATGAATATTTGTTAAGATGTTTATTAAAGGAAAAAGTGTTTCTTCACTTCTGGTTGTAAAATGACTGGAGAGGTTGTTTTTAGTTTATCACACCTGTGCAAATTAATTCCTCTCTAGAGTCATGGGTTCTCATACTTGACTTTTCTTTAGAATCATCTGATATCCCACATCAAGAAATTCTGATTGAATTGTACCACAGTAAGAACAGGGCATTGGTATTTTCACAAGCACTCCAGGTTATTCCAATGTGCTTCCAAGGTTGAGAATCATTGCTCAGAAGTTACACTTTTTAAGGTTGCTCAATAAATATGGGACACCCAGTTAAATTTTAACTTTTAGTAACCAAATATTTTTAGTGTGTTTTATACTAAGAATTAATTCACTGTTTATCCAAAATTCAATTTTAACTGGGCATCCTGTGTTTTTATTTGTGAAACTTGTCAACCTTATCATTTCTCTGAGTTCATCCCTGTGATTTCATCAGAAATAAGAGATTATATTACATTACTGAATTAGAAAGCATCAAGACTTTCATCTTGTCTTTCTTCTTTCAGTCCTGTTTGTAATAAATCTTGTACCTCCAAAAGTTTATTTCTTTAAAAAGGAAGCACTGCAAATTCAGCCAGGAGGCCAATCTTTTCCTCTAGAAGTTACCCACATTCTCCCTCTTGGGTGTTTCCAGGGTGGTTCCCTCCCGGAAAGGAAGGTCAAGTCTCTCTCAGGCTTCAAAGCTCTCTGACATTTCTTGCCATCTCATCTTTCTGATTCTAGGTGGAGAAAGTTTTCTGCTTTTAAAGATTCATGTGATTAGGCTGGGCCTACGTAGGTAATCCGAAATAGTCTCCCTATTTGGGTCAGTCACTTTTATGACATCAGTAAAGTCCCTTTTCTATATACTGTAACATCTTTGCAGGATCCAGAGATTAGAATGTGGACATTTTGGGGGAGCCATTCTGCCTACCACAGTTGTTGCGGGTGTCACCTTCACTTCTCTTTTCTATCAGATTCTCTGTCTAACCACTTTGTTATAGAATACATCCTCCAATTGCTTCCTGAGAAAGAATGCATGAAAATACTATTTAAACCTTTGTATATTTGAAAATGTCTTTTTAAACCTCATACTTCATCAATTTCAAAATTGGAAATCATTTTTTTCTCAGAATTTATCTTTTATTTATGTTTCTGTTGAGAATCCAATGCCATTCTGATTTCTAAATCTTCATAAATCACCTCCTATTTTTTCCTCCATGAAAGTTAAGATCTCTCTGACTCATGTGGTTTGAAATTTCACAACTTGGTTATAGAAAATTTTTATCCATTAAACTGAGAGCTCATGTGCTTCTGTCCTTTAGCTCTGAGAACTGTTGTCCTCGTTTTCTTTGGTAATTATCTTTCTTCTCTTTGTTCTACTAGCTGTTAGATATTCCACCTTTCCTTGCCTAACTGCCCTGGCTAGTGCCTCCACTATAATGTTGAATAGAAGTAGCAACAATTGACATCCTTGTCTTATTCCTGATTTTAGGTGAAAATGTTCATTCTTTCAAGATTAAGTATGATGTTAATTATGGATTTTTCAGAGGCTCTTTATTAGGTTGAAGAAGTTTCCTTTTATTCCTAGTTGAAGTGTTTATATCAAGAAAGGGTGTTAGATTTTGTCAATTGCTTTTCCTTCATCTTTTGAGATGATCATGTGGTTTTTACATTTAGTCTATTTAAAGTAGTGTGTTACATTAATTTTGTATGTCACACCAAACTTGCATTCCTGAGATAAATCCTACTTGGTCATGTTGTATAATTTTTTAAAATGTTGCTGGGTTTGGCTTGCTAGTATTTTGTTGAGGATTTTTATGTTACTATGCATAAGGTATATTGGTCTGTAGTTTTCTCGTGATGTCTTTCATTTTGTTCTTTATTTCCTTGTATTTCCAGATGGGAAGTCACTGCATACAGCCCTAATCTTAGGACAAGTTTCCAAGTAAGCCACTTCAGGCAAATAAAAATTTCTGTATCTAGCAGAGAAACAAAGCTGTATATTTTTTTTGAGGTTCCCTCCTAGCTCCCTTCCCTCTCCTCAAGCCAACTAATAAAACTTGCTTTTTATATTCCGAATCTTATTTATAGTCGTTTGATCATCTATGAGGCACCTGCAAGTCAACATTTACTGCACGCGGCCCCCTCACTCCCTAAATAAGCACTTTTGATTTACCGCCAGTCATCAACTCACCTCCCAACTGCAATTTGTCAAGAGTAGTGTCAGGTGCACTTTAGTGGTTAATCTCCTTGCACATCGGTGGAACTTTAGGCACAAGAAGGTAAGCAACGAAGATAGTGATATACGAAGGGAAAACTAAACCCAGGTAGCGTTGCCAGCTTAAAAGTCCTAGGCATGGGGATGGGTGGATGGGACGCCGGCCTAAGATTTTAGCAGGGAACAGACCCAGTAGTTGGCTTGGATCTCTTAACTCCAGAAAAGGCCGAGTGAGGACAAGGGAGACCACAGGGATAATTTCTGTGGCTCTGGTAAGGGGATGACAAGGGAGAAAAACTTTCCCACGGTTCCGTCTGGCCCGCGGCGCTTGTCTGCCTGCGCGGGGTCAAAGCCCGGCGCCGCCCACGCGCGGCTCGGGTGGGAACCCGCAGACGTGGGGCGAGCAGGGCCGCTGGCTGTGGCGGGCGAGCGCCGGGGCGCCACGTCCGAGGCCGCGGGGTCGGGGCTGCAGGCACAGCTCGAGCGCTTTCCGCGGGGTTTGGCTCCTGTCGCTTCCCGTCTCGCCGAACCGGCATCGCCGCCGCCGGAGCCGCAGCGAGTCCTCAGAGCCTGGCTGCTGGCGGCCGGGAGCGCCGGGACGGGGCGCGAAGCCGGAGGCTCCGGGACGTGGATACAGGTAAAGGCCGGCGGGTCGGAGTCGGGCGGGGCGCGGCGGCGGCGCCTCTCGGAGGGACCTGGCCTCGGCCGGGCCCTACCCAGCCGCGGTGGCCCGGGCCCCCACGTTGGCCCAGGCGGGGACGTGCCAAGGGGCTGGGCTAGGGTTGCCGCTGGCCTGGCCGCCTCTCGCCCGGCGGGCCTCAGGTGACGCGGCCGCGGCTTAACTTTCGCACCTGAGGCTCTCGGAGCGGCCTCGGGGCGCGCCCACCTGGAGGTTGGAATTACACAGGGTCGAAAAAGCTGAGTCCTGGAGGCGAGGCGCTGTAGGTGTGGCGGAGGAGGCCGGGGAAGGTGGGGTGGGTGCCAGGGGTCCAGTACTGAACCCTCTCCAGGTCTGAGGTGGGGAACTGCGTCTTGTTTAATTTCGGAGCTTGTGGGGACCACACAGCCCCTTCCACGGCCGATTCCCTCTGCACGGTTCCACTTTCCTTTGTCTAGCCCATTTCAGTATCGGCGTCGCAGTCGCTTTTGTTGCAGCCTTGGGTCCGGAGTGTACGACTTTCTGCTAGGCAGAGGTCATAAGCTCTGAAATCCATCGGGCGGAGGTGGGGAGATGGTCCTTTGGTGGGAAATTACTAGTGCTGTTATGAACACTAACACATATATTCCACCTTGTTTTTTTTCGAGATAGTGCTCATTATTTTCGTAGCATCTAACAGTTGTAAGTGTATCTGTGAGAGCATTCATTAGTTAACTTCAAAGGAGCATTATGCGGTCGGGTTACTATTATCCCATTTTATAGACCAGACAGCTGAGGCACCCAAGAGGCAAAGTGATTATATCAAAACTAAGCAGTCAATCCTTGTGGAATCTGTGATTAGAACTTGTCTGACTAGAGTTGTCCTTGGTCCAGTTGGTCTCTTAGTCTCAAACAAAATTTAGCTCTCAAAGATGGACGGTCTGATGCTCATTGTATTTTTATATACTCATTAATTGTTAAAACCTTTCTTAAAAAATAGAGTCAATTCCTTTCAGACTCCTGTTATAGTACCCCTAAAAGTGATACTTGAAAGATCATAAACACTTCAGTTTCAAATGAGTGGTATCATTTGAGTCGTAGAAAGAAGTAAAATTCCGTTGTCTTTTATCTGTCAGACTTTCGTCTCTTGTATAAATGTAGTGCCACTGGCAGCCCAAAGATACTTTGGTGACAATGGCAGAAACTCTAAATATTTATTTAATAAGTAGAATCGAGGAGGCGAGCTGTTAGGTTTCCCGGAATATTTGAGTAAGTTTTTTCTCATAAAGAATCAAAAATTTAGGAGAATAGTCATTTTAATTATTGTAATGAAAAATTATCTCGTAATTGTGTACGTGTTATGTTGTACTTTATCTCTCTGGAACCATCAACAATTTACCAGTTTCCCTAGGGTTTGCTCTTAGTTTTGTCAATGGTATTTTATTACCCCATTTTTCTTCCTCTCTTTCATTTTTTGTGTGTTTGGTTTTTCAAAGTGAAGATTTTTTCTTCGAAAATTCAAAAAATAATATTGAAAAAATCAACAAGATTTCTTTCTTGATAAAATAGACTTAATTAGCACTTTTTTGAGTGTGTCTGAGGACCGACACCAGCCTCTTTAATAAGCACCTCATACATGAAGCAGGAATTCTTCCAGGCAAGAATGCAATAAATTAATCATTTTAATATATTTCTGTAATATGACATAGCTACCTGAATGATAATGCTTTTTACTCTTACAATGTCTTTTTCATTAAGGAGCATAAAGATTAAAAATTTCGCTTAAATTTTGCTAACTACATAGTACAAGGGGACAGTGTGCTTAGACTTAATTGTTGCTTTCATGGAATAAACACAGTTCTCTCTCCCTTATACCACCTCCATTTGGCCATCTGAAAAAAGAATGGTGATGTGTCCTTTCCTTCATAGGGATATTTGGGGAATTAATGAAGTAATATCTCGAAAGTAGTTTGAACTCCACGGAAGAAAGCAGCTTTGTAACTTTGAAATGTGATTGCAGAGTCTTGAAACATTTTCCCTCCTTAAACGTGCTGTCGTTTATATTTTTAGAGAGTGGTCATTCCAAGTAGTCACCTCAGGAGGCTAAAAACTTATTCCAGTAGTGCTGCTGCCATTCATAATTATTTTGTATTTTTTGAAATTTCTAGTCAATTTACAAGCAAAATAAAAACATTTCATGATAACATTCATAAACACTTGTTTTTGTTTCTATTTTTTAATCAAAAAACTAATTCAGCTTGAGTACCTATTTTCTTTGCTAAATTTGGCAGAATGATTTCTACATGGTTGTAAAACTCAGTTCTACCTTCAAGATTTTACCACTATTAAGGATATTTAAAGGATTGTCCTGATGGCTACGAAGGCAGTTTTAAAAGGGCAGTTTAAAAATAGTTTAAAATAATGACAGACATTGTTAGAATTTGCAACCTTCCCAGAAGTCTACTACAAAGGGGACAGTGCTTACTTGTAGGCTGAAGTTCTGTGTGTATGTGCACATTTGCATGTAATCTCTGTTGTAACCTATCAATTATCTCTTTTCATCACATTGATTTCTTAGAAATCAGATATTTTACTTACATATTAAATAGAGTACATTAAGTAGATCACATCATACTGGAACAATGTTAGATTGGGAGTGTATTTCATAGAGAAGTTTGAATGTCACATAAATTTAAATTTAAATCTTTGTAACAATTTTGAATAATAAAATGTGGCTCCATATTGTATGTTTTGAGTGTAATACAGCCAAGGCAATATAGCCTCAAAATATAAAATTGCTATTTCCAAAAAAAAAGTTATTAACAAGTTGTGTGTGCAACAGACTTTCCTGACCACACCGATGTCAAAAGAAAAAATTTCGACAAATTTAGTTTAAATATCAAATTGGCTTTTATTAGCAATTCTGAAATTGGGTAGCATCTCATTCCATAAAATAGAATGCCATGCCCTAGGCATGGCAGAATAGTTGGTTTTTGTAAGGTGGAAACAAGGAAACAGAGTATTTTTAAAAGTCTGTTGGTTAACATCAGATTACTTAAGGTTACTTTTAAGTGTTAAAGCAGAAGGGGCTACTTATGCCAGCTTAGGTTTACTAAGCCCTTTCCTGTTGCAGCAAATCTCCTGTTTTCAGGAAAAACTAGTTTGGTCTTTGAACTAGTTCCTTACAGTTTCAGACTGATTATGTGGCACTGAGCATGAGTGACTCCCTTTTGGTTTGATCTCTTCGGGCCTAGTGGAGGAGCTCCGTCTAAAACAACGTCCTGTTGTAAATATTATTTAACAATTCTGTCCTTTCAGTAAGCTTTCACCTAAGTGAGAGTGTGACCAAAACTTAGGGCATTAACGCTACTCTCAGTTACTATCATTCTGGGTTTCCAGTCTCAACATGTCATTAATAGGTTAGGTGTCCTCATTATCATAGGTTTCTTTGAGTTTTTATCATATCAGCTGGAGAGAGATCATTGACATTCAGCAGATTGCTGCATGCAGTCATTTAAAACTTTTGAGAGAATGCAGCACACTAGGGAGACTACCATTATGACTATCAGAAAGATAATACCAAGAGTTTGGAATGTGATTCTTAATCAAAGTTCCCATGAACCAAACCCACTGAAATTGGACAGATCAAAGAACGAGAAAGACAAAGAATCCACTTATTTTAACCAAGTAGCCTGTTTAATTTTTTTTGCAACTGAGTCTCTATAATACCGGAATTTATCCATGTGCAACAATAAGTGTTACCAACTGCAAAGACTCCTCGCTCTTTGACCAGTAGAAATCTAGAGCAATTCTGTTAATACCTAGTATAACTTTAACAAGAGAATTCAAAGAAGTCTTGTGCAGCTATAGCATTGCAGTAGAATCTTCTATAGAGGCTATTTCGCGGGATAAATTCTAATCATTACTTCATTTGTATTACTCTAAGCCATAGGAAAAGGGACCTAACAAAGCCGATCCAAAAGGGTTAATGCCTCTTGGCAGTGTTCTCTTTAATCTATGACATAGGTAAGGAGTGAGCCAGTATTCCACTTCTGGATTATGGAGTGACAACTTACCATTTAGATTTTTAGCCCACATTGACCCTTCATCCTCTACCTGTCAAGGCATGAGGTTGCCTGTGTATAAGGTTGGCCACAGAGTTATCCACAAATAATGATACACCCTGTGGGTGCACATAAGGACTGCTTCCCAGTTCTGTTGTTTGTGGATATATTGCTTGGAATGGTGGATTTAGCAGTTTCTAGCCAAGGTTAAAAAACTAATATGTTTGCACTAAGTCAGTTTGAAATAAACTCTATTCAGGCTTTTGGTACAATCCTGTCTTATGATACACTCATTTGGACTTGGTTCTTGTATCCCATGACTGGATTAAATTAAAACAGGGAGAGAGAACAAGTGGGTCTAGAAATCTGACTCTATAAGAGGGACCAGTAGCACAATTTAAACAAGCAGTTGTGTTCGGGGTGTTTTTAAGTTAGCCACTGAGTAGATTAAAAGATCTTTTAAGTTATGTAAAGATTTGGGTTTGGCAGGACAGATCCAACACTCTGTGAAGTTACCTACAGAAGCAACTGGTTATGACAGTATTATCCTGCCTAGCGGAAAAGGCATAAGAAAGGAAAAATTAAGAGGGATAAGAATCTTATTATGATGGAGGATCTTTTTCTGATGTCTTGGGAAAAGCCATCCACAGTGTGAAGTCATCAGCTTCTTATCCTGGTTAACCTGATTTTTTAAGGTCTGTGGCTTAAGAAGAGAAGCAGGTGGCATCAGGAGGTGGTCTTTTATGAGGGAGATGTGAATCCAGGGGTCAACACCTTTGAGTTTAGCTGCTATGCCTGTAGTCAGGAGCACTTGGTATGGTCCTTTCCAGTGGGATTCAAGAGCAGTCTTTCTTTGAAGACATTTCGAGAACACCCAGTCACCAGGTTCCAACAAGCCTTTTTGGTTCTGTGTCTTGAAAGTCTTCCTTTACCTGTTGGTGATAACTTTTGGCATAGTGCATTAAGAATGTACAGTATTGGGTCATTTCAACATAGGTCTATTAGGGATCTACATTTGGAGTAATAGTCAACGATATAGAGTAACAAGCAGTAATTTCATAAGAAGTTAACTTGTGTTTTCCAGCACTGTGGCTCTGAAGAGTCATAAGAGCCAGAGACAGAATTTTAGGCCAAAGAAGGCTAGTGGTTTCAGAAAAGTTGGAAATTCTGAGGTTAAGTATCCCATTCATTTTATCGACCTTACCAGAGGACTGAGGGGGATAACGACAATGATAATGCTAGACTGTTTGTAAAAATTTAAGTAGAGCATGAATTAACTGTCCAGTAAAATGAGTGGCTCAGTTACTTGAAATGGCATTCAGTATATACCGCAGGTGTGAAGTACTACTTTTGGCAGTTTTGTTTTACAGTAAGGGCATTGTCAGCCTTTTGACATGGGAAGGCCTGAGCCCATCCAGAGAACATATAGACTATAACAGGCACATACAGACTATTGCAAGTACATGCTTGGTGGGAGTGGATGAAGTCTCATTGTACATGTTCAAATGGGCCTAATGGTTGGAGTGAGGGGTGGTCATTCCAGGGGAACTTTCTTGGATTATGAGTTTGCCAGCTTAAATATTGATTTTAAATAGCTTTTATAACTTTATAACAATTTTCCCACCACAACTTTTTGATCATTTGATCTATCTTGTCAGTACCATTATGGATAAGGGAATGTAAGAAGCATAACAAATATCCCTTAAGTGACCTTTGGAGTACCAAGTGGCTGTCTTGGCCTTCCCAGAACTTGGAAAGGAAATTATAAGAACATCCTTCTCATTCCTAAAATTTGTTTTAATTTTTAGAGGCCTTCTCCACCCCGCCCCCCCACCAATAACTAACAGCATCTGGGTATAAGGAAGCAAAGTTAAGTAGCAGGGAGCATGTCTTACTGTTTCCAGCTGTTGGATTTAGGTAAAAGACCTCACA
This sequence comes from Homo sapiens, assembly GCF_000001405.40. Taxonomy (NCBI): domain Eukaryota; kingdom Metazoa; phylum Chordata; class Mammalia; order Primates; family Hominidae; genus Homo; species Homo sapiens. The sequence goes on from NC_000005.10 coordinate 64,171,950, forward strand.
GAGTTGGGTAACATCTTTGGCACAAAAATCAGTTGGAGTACTTACCTGCTATTCAGCCTCAGTTCTCTTTGTTTGAGCTTCTTCTTTTATAACAGTAATGTCTTTGGGCATCAGTATCCAGCAAGGAGCTTATCAACTTGTGGGCCACTTTTTATTGGTATGCCTGAAAAAGTGAGGAAACATCTTTGCTTCCAAAGTGTTTCAAAATCACAAACCACTTCAAATGCATAGTGACTGTTAGCGTAAATGCTGACAGACTGATTTTTAGGTAAAATTCAGGCACAGGTATGTGTGTGAGTACTCCCCAGTGCCTGCTTTAATGTACAAAAAGGATTACAGGTTTTGAATCATTGGGCAATTCTAAAGCAGGGGGCTGGGGGTTGTTGTACTACCCTTTTTCATTCTACAAAGGCTGCCTCATGTCTCCCCCCACCCCCCACAAGGAATGGGTTTAGGAACTGAATTTTTAGTGAGTTCAATAAGTTGGGATGCTAAGAGTAAAGATTTAGGAACCTGTAGATGGCAATATGCAACTAACTCTACTAACATATTAAGTTGTCTCTTAGTTCTGGGCCTGGGAAAATCGTGGATGAGCCTAAGTTTTTTAGGAGACTTGGATACTTGCAGCACTTAGATCATGTCTTAAATAGTAAATAGTATCTGATGATAAATGTAATTTTTCTATGGAGACGTTATGTCCTTTCTCTGTTAACTGTTAATATGTAGATGAAATACTCTTAGGATGCCTCCTCAGTGCACGAACAAAGAGGTCCTCCGTGTATTGCAGGAGAGTTGACCCTCGATACTGGAGGGTGTGCTCAAGTCTTGATGGAGCACTTGAGAGAAGTAGGAGGGGGCTTCAGTGAACCCCTGAGGCATGACTGTCCAGGTACACTGTTGATTATTCCAGGTGAAAGCAAATAGATATTGACTGTCATGGTCAGTGGGAATGCTAAAAAAGGCTGAACATAGTTCTACCACTGTCAACTGTTTAGAATTCAGGGGACCTGGGATAAAAGAGTATTTGGGTTTGGAACCACTGGGAAATGTTAAATAATTATCCTGGTAATGACTCTTAGATCCAGACAAATTGCCATCCTTGCCTGTTAGATTTTTGTCCCTAGTATACAGCAAACTGTACAAAAAATAGAATCATATTAACCAAAACCAAATATCCTTGATACAGTATATATTAACCATTTAATTAAGGTTTTTATTTTCTTTTACAGAGACAAATTTTAATTACTTGAATTCCCAGCCAAAGTAGAAACCACCCAATAACATTTAAATGAGAATAATTTTACATATTTCTTGAATGTATCTTGAATGTATATACAATTTTTGTTGTCATATTTTTGTAAATAGCCATTTAATTTCACTGTACTTTTATTTATAATTGACACATTTTTGACATATATTGTACATATTTGGGGGTACAGTGTGATGTTCTGATACATGTATATGTTGTATGATGATTAAATCAAGGTATTTATTACCTCAAAGATTTTTCATTTATAGTGAGAACATTCAAAATTCTCTCTTCTTGGTATTTTGAAATATATACAATATAGTGTCGTTAACTATAGTCATCTTGCTATGCAGTAGATCACCAAAACTTATTCCTTGTACGTAACTGCAAGTTCGTACCTATTGACCAATCTCTCTCCCTCCTCCTTTCCCTTTCCCCTTTCCCTTTTCCCTCTCTCCCCTTTTCTACTTCCCAGATTCTGGTGACTGCTGTTTTCCTCCCTACTTCTATAGCATCAACTTTTTTTTTTTTTTTTGAGATGGAGTCTCATTCTGTCACCCAGGCTTGAGTGCAATGGCATGATCTCGGCTCACTGCAACCTCTGCCTCCCGGGTTCAAGTGATTCTCCTGCCTCAGCCTCCTGAGTAGCTGGGATTATAGGCATGCACCACCACACCCAGCTAATGTTTGTATTTTTAGTAGAGACAGGGTTTCACCATCTTGGTCAGGCTGTTCTCAAACACCTGACCTCGTGATCCACCTGCCTTGGCCTCCCGAATTGCTGGGATTACAGGCGTGAGCCACCACACCTGGCCTGACATAACTGTTTTAGGTTGCACATGAGTGAGATTTTGCAGATTTTGTCTTTCTGTGCTTGGTTTATTTCACTTAATATAATGTCCTCCAGACTCATCCATGTTGCCACAAATGACAGGACTTCATCCCTTTTTTTGGCTGAATAGTGTTCCATTGTGTATATATACCACATTTTCTTTATCCATTCATTCTTTGATGGACACTTAGATTGATTCCATATCTTGGGTATTGTGAATAGTACTGTAATAAACATGGGAGTGCTGATGTCTCTTCAGCATACTGATTTCATTTCCTTTGGATATATACCCAGAAGTGGGATAGCTGGATCATGTTGAAGTTCACTATTAATTTTTTGAGGAACCTCCATACTGTCTTCAATAATGGCTGGACAAATTTACATTCCCACCAACAGTATGTAAGAATTCCTCGTTCTTCATATACATTCCAGCATTTGTTATTTTTTTTTCTTTTTGATAACAGCCATTCTAATTGGGGTGAGATTATGTCTCATTGTGATTTTAATTTACATTTATATTTACCAAACAGTTAGTGATCGTTGAGCATTTTATCATATACCCGTTGGCCATTTATATGTCTTCTTTTGACATCTATTCAGGTCTTTTGCCCATTTTTGATCAGATTATTATTATTTTACTGTTGAGTTAAGTTCCTTATATCTTCTGGATATTAACTCAGATGCATAGTTTGCGAATATTTTTCCCATTCTATAGGTTCTGTTTATCGATTGTGTCCTTTGGTGTGCAGAAACTTTTTAGTTAAATATAAATATAATCCTGCTTGTCTATTTTTGTTTCTGTTGCCTGTGTTTTTGAGGTCTTATCCAAAAAATCATTGCTCAGACCAAGGTCATAAAGCATTTCCCTCATGTTTTCTTCTGGTAGTTTGATAGGTTCCGGTTTTACATTTAAGTCTTTAATCCAGTTCTTTTTTTTTTTTTTTTTTTTTTTTTTGAGACGGAGTCTCGCTCTGTCCCCCAGGCTGGAGTGCAGTGGTGCAATCTCGGCTCACTGCAACTTCCACCTCCCGGGTTCAAATGATTCTCCTGCCTCAGCCTTCCAAATAGCTGGGATTACAGGCATGTGCCACCACACCCGGCTAATTTTGTATTTTTAGTAAAGATGGGGTTTCTCCATGTTGGTCAGGCTGGTCTTGAACTCCCAACTTCGGGTGATATGCCCGCCTCGGACTCCCAAAGAGCTGGGATTACAGGCATGAGCCACTGTGCCTCGCCAATCCGTTTCTATTTTGAGGTGATTTTTTTTCATATGGTAGAAGACGGGGGTTTAGTTCGTTCTTCTACATGTGGATATTCAGTTTTTCCAGTATCATTTATTTAAGAGACAGTCCTTTTCCTAACATGTGCTTATTATACCTTTATCAAAAATCAGTTGGTTGTAAGTGTGTGGATTTATTTCTATATTCTCAATTCTCTTCCATTGGCTTTTCTATTTTTATAGCAGTACCATACCATTTTGATTACTATAGTTTTGTAGTATATTTTGAAGCCAGATAATATGATCTCCAGCTTTATTCTTTTTGCTCAAGATTACTTTGGCTATTTGGGGTCTTTCGTGGTTCTGTATGAATTTTAGGATTTTTTTTCATTGCTTTGAAAAATGTCATTGGTATTTTTATAGGGATTGCATTAAATCTGTAGATTGCCTTGAGTACTGTGGACACTTTAACAATCTAATCCATGAACACAGAATATCTTTCTATATATTTGCATCCTCTTCAATTTCTTTTATCGATATTTTATAATTTTTACAATAGAGATCTTTCACATGCTTGGTTAAATTTATTTCCAGGCATCTAATTTTTTGTAGTTATTGCAAATGAGATTGCATTCTTGGTTTCTTTTTCAGATAATTCTCTATTGGCACATAGAAATGCTACTGAATTTATATATTGATTTTGTATCTTACAACTTTACTGAATTTGGTAATTAGTTCTAACAGTTTTTTGGTGGAGTCTTTAGGATTTTATAAATCCTGGAAGATTTTGAGAAGAACTGGTATTAGTCTTGAAATGTTTGATAGAATTCAGCAGTGAAGCCCACAAATCCTGGGCCTTTACTTTGATGTGAGACTTTTTATTACTGAGTCAATCTCCTCATTTATTATTGGTCTTAATGTAAAGGTTTTCTATTTCTTCATAGTTCAATCTTGGTAGGTCGTATATATCTAGGAATTTGTCAGTTTGTTTTCAGTTTTCCAATTTATTGGCATATAGTTTTCATAATATTTTCCTTTGTATTTCTGTAGTATCATTTGTAATATCCCCTTTTTCATTTCTAATTTTATTTGAGTCTCCTATCTTCTTTTTCTTAAGGTTCTGTTAATTTTGTTTATCTTTCCAGAAAACCAGCTCTGTTGTGCTTATCTTTTGTATTGTTCTTTTTAGTCTCTTCTCGAAAAAATCCCTTTTTGTGGGGAATGCCAGGTACTTCTAGTCAGCCATCTTGATGACATCACTATTAACAAGGTGTTTTCTTGCTTTCTTAGATTTTTAGAAAATTTTTGAGAAATGACGGCTGAGTTTCATAAAAAAGCTGGCTGAGGAAATTGAAACTCCTGAGTTTTTTAATCTTGATAAATTTTTCCATAGCAAGCAGAAATACTGGAGAACATTCTGTTAGTAACTGAATTGTCCTTATGTTTTATAATCTCTTTACCTGATTAGTTCACTGATGGTTTGATATCTGGAAAACCTTAGAAACAACCACAGCTGTTTAAAAGCAGCTTTAAAACATCCTTGGTAAAATTGCTGAAATAAACAGTGAGGCTTGTTCTGAATGAGAATTGCCTAGCCTATTCAGAAACCTGTTGAAAAAATGTATCCTAGAGGCCAAAATTGAAGTATGGACACATATTTTGGGCAGCAAGGAATGAAGAGAATAGACGTGTGGGCCAATGGTATTATAGGTAAATTGGGGGCTGTCTACTCAAAGTTTGTTTAATAGAGTTAGAAATTAACTGCATAAGGAGAACTTCTATCTTTCTGGCCAAATTTTGCTCAGATCTCTGGTTTCAAGGTGGAATTTGTTAATTCTCAGACTGTTTTCTGATGATACGTGAAGTGTATAATAGATATTTGTATAGCTACACGTGTCTGACTTAGAACTACTAAGGCTGTAGAGTCAGAAATAAAGCTTTCTCTGCTCAAGTCAAACATTATACTTACTGCTAGCCAAACAACCCTACACATTCCCGACTTAGTGTTTTGGCTTATTTATTTTCCTTGTTTTAGATGTCCATATCTCTTCATTCTACTTGGCTGATGCTATTTAAATCCCCTCTATACTTTAAGACCCAACTGGAAGACTACTCTCTTCACAAAGCTTTCCCTGACTCCCTAATTCTTGTTTCTTGCCCTTAGTTTATCTGATACTACTTAATTGCTAGTTATTTTCTGTGTTCTCAATTATTTTACTTATTTTGGCCATGAACTTGTTCTCTATCTAGATTTTTTTCAAAGGCATAAATTATGCCATATATATATATATATATATATATATATATATATATATATGTATTTATTTCTTTCCTGAGTCATACATAATACCTAGAACAGTGGTTAATAGCAGTATATGTCAGCTTATAAGGTTAGATCTACAGAAGAAATTTATTACTCTGATACTCTGGTATAAAGCATAACTTAGTAATGTTAGTCAGTGTTCTGGTAGAAAATAGATGACATACTCAGATGAGGTAACTGAGATGAGTTTAATTTAAATAGGTGTCTCTAGGTTAAAATAAACCAACAATGGATGGTGAAGCACCCCAAGACTAGCAATAATGAGAGTCATTATCATCCCTAGGCTTGAAGAGGCAAAAGAAGGACCATTACTGAAACCCACATGGAAACTATGTAGAAAAGGCTGCCTGGGGCTGGGCGTGGTGGCTCACGCCTGTAATCCCAGCACTTTGGAAGGCCAAGGTGGGTGGATAATGAGGTCAGGAGATTGAGACCATCCTGACTGACATAGTGAAACCCCGTCTCTACTAAAAATACAAAAATTAGCTGGGCATGGTGGTGTGTGCCTGTAATCCCAGCTACTCAGGAGGCTGAGGCAGGAGAATTGCTTGAACCAGGGAGTCAGAGGTTGCAGTGAGCTGAGATGGCGCCACTGCACTCCAGCCTGGTGACGGAGCTAGACTCCATCTCAAAAAAAAAAAAAAAAAAAAGAAAAGCCTGCCTGACAAGAACTCTGGCCTTTCTATGATCTGACAGGGGAGCACCAGAGGGAATATATATACCCCAGCCTCACGCTTTTCCAGTCCTTTGATCTCCACCTGATGCTTTCCATTGGCAGACAATATTGGAAGCCAAAAGGCAAGAGAGCCTTGATGTAGCAGTCCAAAAGTCAGCCTCCTGGGAATTAGAGCAAAGTTAAGAAGGTAAAGAGTAGACTCTGGAATGTGGAGCAAAGAATATCCAGCACTGTAATCATATCAAGAGAGTGTTTCAGTTACAGTTAATGTTTTATGCCTGTTTGTGCTGTTTTTATTTCTTGAAAGGCACCTATGTTTTTCTAGTCTAATTCAGTTACTAACATCCAAGAACATTGTATGATTGATGCATTGCATATGAAACGCAGCTACTGTCCTCTTTTCTTGTGGTATTAACTTGTGTAGTATTGTTAAATGTGTCTTCTTAATTTATTTTTTTATATTTTTCTATTGCTTGTACAGTGCATAGGTAGAATACATGGAACTGTCCACATAGCCATTAGGAAAACTGTACCTTCACCATTCCAACTACATATTTTTTCTAAATCAATCAGCGTTGCTCATTTTTCTTTTTGTGTCATTTTCATAGACAAGTGGTTTTCAGTCTTATTGTGTATATGGTCCTCAATGCAGACATTTTGATTCAAGCAGGTTTAAGATGAGGCCTGAGCGTCTATTCTTTTAAAAAAAACCTTTCAGATATTTCAGATGCACAATAAATGAGAACTACTTGCCCAGGTTATCATTTTGACCCAGGTGTTGTTGCTGCTCCTTCCCCACTCCCCAATATATATCATACTTTTTAGTAACTAAGGCTTAAATGGAAATCGAATGCTACTTTATGTGCTCTTCAAAGCAAAATAAATGTTTCATATTTTTCATATTCACAAATACTTATGGGATAGAAAATATGTGGTTTGCAGATTCCTAATAAAAAATTTAATTTTTTAAATAAAATATTTCAAATTTACGATATAGAGAATAATATACTGAACATCTGTGTGTTCTCACCACTTAGTATTAGAAAATATTAATGTTTTACTATTTTTCCTTTTTTGTTTTAAAAATAAAAATGCAGATAAAATTTAAGCCCCCTTTGGTTTCTTCCTAGAGGTTACTATTCTAAACTTGGTGTCTGTCATTCCTGTGCATGTTCTTATGCTTTTGCTACACATGCATGTATCAATAAACAAAATATTACTTTGTTTTACATGCTTTAAAACTTTTTATAAATCTTACTGTGCTGTGTTATTCTTTAATGTGTATATTTCTGCAGCCTTTTTACTTAAAATAACTTTGATTTTTTTCTAGATACATACAGCTTTATTACTTTTCATTGCTATATAGTATTCCATTGTATGAATGAACAAATATTTATCAAATCAATTGATGCACATTTGGGTTGTTTCCAGTTTTTTTATATTATTGCAAAGTGTTGCTAAAATGAACATTCCCATATGATATGTTTCCTTATTCATATACAAACCTAGAAGTAGAACTGCACATCCATGGATAGACATATTTTATTTTATCAGACATTATCAAATTGCTTTCCAAAATGATTGTGCCTAGTTATACCTCCCCGTAGCAGTTTTTGAGATTCTTCTTGTTGCTCCAGATCATTTTTATAGTTGGTATTGTAAGACTTTTTAATTTTTCCCAGTGTGATGAGTGTGAACGGGAACCTTGTTTTATTTTTCATTTTCCTGATTTCTGGTGAGGTTGAACACTTTTTATATAATTGTTGGCCATTTGGCTTTCCTCCTCTAGGAACTGCACTTCCATACTCCTTGTTCATTTTTCTGCTGGATAATTTTCTTTTAAAAAATTTGTTTTGTAGAATTAATTGTAGCTATTAACCATTTGCTTATATTTGCAGATTTCTTCTTCCAGTCTGTGGGTTGTCATTAATTTTGTCTTTTCTTATACTGAAGTTAAAATTTTATCAGTGTTTCACTTTGCCATTTTATTCTACTCTGTTTTTTGAAACATGACCCAGCCTATAGTCACAAGTTTGAGCTCAAGGTTTGCAGCTTTCTGTAATATCTTACTTTCAAAATTTGTTTGTAGATAAGGCAGGGTATAAATAAATAAATGAAGAAGTAAACATGCCATACAATTGCTCATTAAAATTTGTGTAAAATTATGAATTTTTAAAAAATTATGTGAAGACTCCTTCTGGTTCAGAAATGGCAGCTAGCAGCCTCCAGTGTACCATTTTCTCATTTTTCATTAAGTTCCTATGAAGATGTAGAATAAAATCAAAATTTACCACAAAACCAAAACTTAAAAACTTCAAAAACACAGAAAGCAGGAGGAAGTACCTTAATTAAGAAGCATATGGTCTTAGGTTGAGAGGAATTTCTCTACTTTAGCACCTGCATACCCCACCCTTGCCTCAAGATATAAACAACCTGATAGATACAAGCTAAGAGGCATTATTCTTCCCCTGTAGTCAATTCCTTCATAGAACTTCTACCAACGGCAAAATGGAAAGACATCCCTTTTCGCCTCTCAGATTCTCAGATACTACTCTGTGAGGCAGAAACTGCTGAATTTCTTTCATTTCCTGTGTTCCCAGCAAATTCCAGGAAGCTACTAGGCAGAAGGGGAATTTGTCATGTTGTATTAGGGTTCTCTAGAGGGGCAGAACTAACAAGTCTGGATCCCAAAACCTCAAAAGTAGGGAAGCCAACAATGCAGCCTTCAGTCTGTCGCTGAAGGCTTGAGAGCCCATGGCAAACCACTGGTATAGGTCCAAGAGTCCAAAAGCTGAAGAACTTGGAGTCTGATGTTCGAGGGTAGGAAGTATCCAGCACACAAGAAAAATGAAGGCTGGATGACTCAGCAAGCCTGCTCCTTCCACGTTCTTCTGCCTGCTTTGTTCTAGCCTCGCTGGCAGCTGATTAGATGGTGCCACCCAAATTAAGGGTGAGTCTGTCTGTCTTTCCCGGTCCACTGACTCAAATGTTAATCTCCTTTGGTAACACCCTCACAGACACACCCAGGAACAATACTTTGCATCCTACAATCCAATCAAGTTGACACTCAGTATTAACCATCACACGTGGGTACCACAAAGCATTTGCAGAAGTTAAAATTTTATCAGTGTTTCACTTTGCCATTTTATCCTACTCTGACACAAAAAGAACCCTGTTGATTATGTGTGGTAGCAATGGCAATTACAGTTTTTTAAATGGGTTTCCTCTCCCAGAAAAACAGGTAGGCAATAAAGGGTATTGAAAAATGCCCTCTCTGAAAAATATTGAGCTAAAAATCAGGTGGTAAAGGCCTGTTAAGGATAGGTGAACAGGACTGAGTGCTTTGTATGTCAGCAACCTTTGCCTAGATAGGAGCAGATGGGCAGAAAAGTGATCATGGGTAGTTTCCCTCAGCTTGTCTGTTTGACACCAAAGTCTGGGCAGATCTCTCTGTAATCTCGCTGTGTGTACGAAGAAAAATAAAGCAGCCTGAAATGAAACCTCTGAAATACTATGGAACAAGGGAAGATTTATTATTGAAAATAATTGTAATAAAACATTAATTTCAGTAATTGATAGTGTTTATGAACACCGTGTTTTATATCAGTAGTGCTCAATCTGTGTTTCAGGGATTCTGCAAATAGTGAAATATTTAACCCCTTAATTGCTTTGGTCAGGTTAACATTTTGGGGTTCCTTATAAGATTTTGTATGAGGGAAAAGTGCAACTGCTACTGTCTTTTTTTTTTTTTTTTTTTTTTTGAGACAGAGTCTCGCTCTGTCTTCCAGGCTGGAGTGCAGTGGCACATCTTAGCTCACTGCAAGCTCCGCCTTCCAGGTTCACACCATTCTCCTGCCTCAGCCTCCCGAGTAGCTGGGACTACAGGCGCCCACCACCACGCCTGGCTAATTTTTTTGTATTTTTAATAGAGACGGAGTTTCACTGTGTTAGCCAGGATGGTCTTGATCTCCTGACCTCGTGATCTGCCCGCTTTGGCCTCCCAAAGTCCTGGGATTACAGCTACTTTCTTAAATAATGTGATTCACAAAAAATTTATTTTAAAGAAATTTCACAAAATGAATCAATCCAATTGCTTTAGAGGATCTTCACTAATCACCATTAAATATTTTATTGTGAAACTAGGGTTGTTGAATTTACTAACAGTCATGAGTAACTTCAGAATGTAGGAAACATTAGTGTCTGGAAACATTCAAAGAAAACAAGCTAAATTGCATACTTCAGGAGCCTCCAAGGGCCTCAGTGAATGAGAAGACAGAAGAAATAACTGGGACAGCTTGGCTGTTTTAGTATTATAAGCTAAATCTTTATCTTAGCGTAAGATCTAAGAGTATTACTGAATTTCAGGGAGATTCATGCTGAAGGACTATATAGAACAGCTGTCTCCAGAGGCATTTACTGCCAGATAGTAGTAAGTTTATACGAGAATAAGTGATAGCAAATTGAGTATGTCTTGATGCAGATTCCATACTCCTGAAGAAAGGGAGAAAAGTACACAAAAGCAAAGAAAAAGTTTAAAGTAAAGAAGGCCACCAGTATTCATATGGTAAGATAGTAATGTGTGCAGAGTCTTTGCAGACCCTGTCAATGTATTGGACCCTGTTTTATTTTTAGAATGGCTAAAGGAGAGTACTTCCGATGTCACGTAAAAGGTGATCAAGACTGAATATAGATCTTGACATTCCATCTCGGAGCTAGTTGCTGCTTCCATTCCTTACCTTCTGCTACTGTAGCCGGCTAAGATGCCAGCAGGTTGGGGAGGACAACCAATGATGTTTGTTGCATCCTCCATTTCAGTATGTGACCATCAGCTTAGAATTCTCTGTCAAAACTTCAATGCATCTCACTCTTCTCATCCTTAGAAATCTCAAGACTAGAAAATAAGAACATCTTCCTCACAAAGTGATGGGAATAATTTCAGAAGTCACTTAACTTCTAGGACTCAGTTTCCTCATCTATAAAATGGAGTTAACAGTCCCTACCTCATAGGAATGTCTTGATGATTAAGGGAACTAATGCCACTTAATAAGTACTACACTAAAAAATGATAGCTAGTTTAAAAAATAATATTAATGCTTTGATTTCATGTTTTATATATGGAAATTTTAGTTTCAAATATATGAAGGATATACCACTTTCTGGCCTATTGCCTATTAAAAAGGGAGAAAGTATACCTTTTTTTTTTTTTTTTTTTTTTTTTTGACTCAGTCTCTCTCTATTGCCCAAGCTGGAGTGTTGTGGCACTATCTTGTCTCACTGCAACCTCCACCTCCCTGGTTCAAGCAATTCTCATGTCTCAACCTCTTGAGTAGCTGGGATTACAGGCGTGTGCCACCACACCTGGCTAATTTTTGTATTTTTAGTAGAGATAAGGTTTCACCTTCTTGGCCAGGCTTGTCTTGAATTCTTGGCCTCAAGTGATCTGCCCGCCTTGGCCGCTGAAAGTGCTGGGGTTACAGGCGTGAGCCACTGTTCCCAGTCAAAAAGTATACATTTTTTGATGGATAGTTTCATAAACAGCATAGTAACATATAGTTATCAAACCACATATGATGTCCTGAAACTCAGACTGTGTTCTTTAATGGATTTTCTAAAACATCAGTCTCTATAATAGCTTTATTAGGCTGCATTGGGCACCCCCAAATTCATGTGTTGAAGGCCTAATTCCTAGTACCTCCGAACATGGCTATTTGGAGGATAGGGACTTGAAAGAGGTGATTAAGTTAAAATGAGTTTGTTAGTGTGGGCCCTAATCCAATCTGACTGGTATCCTTATACATAGAACAAATTTGGACACATAAAGACCTACTGGTTATGTGTGCCTACAGAGGAAAGATCATGTGAGGACACATTGAGAAGACAGCCATCTGCAGCCCAAGGAGAGAGGTCACAGAAGAAACCAAACCTGCTGATGTCTTGATTTTTGGCTTCTAGTCTCCAGAACTGTGAGACAATAAGTTTCTGTTGTTTAAACTACCCAGTCTGTGGTACTTTGTTATGGTAGTACTAGCAAACTCATACCGTTGTCCTGTTTTTAGTGATTTTGGTTTGATCTTTGAGTGTTAGTGGGAACAGCCTTATTTGCCCATTATAAAGTACTTTATTATCTTTTTTTTCTAATTGTTTAACATCTATTGATGGTTTTGTCTAGATCCATTATTTCATCGGGGTCAAAAATGGTAATTTTAATATAATCACCCTTCATTTTTTAGCACTGTGCTTCTATACTGAAGAATTTTTGCTCACCAACTATTTGGTTACCGTGAAATAGTCTGTATTGCAAAGGTACAATAACTGCTTGATTGGATTCTTTCTCTTTTTAAATTCATTTTTAGATTCTGACATCCTCCATATCACCTGAGAATCCTAAAATTTCAGGTTTGGGGATTTGAATTTATACTATTAGGGTGAGCCAAAGACTTCCAAACTGAGAAATTTATATAAAGTATCCCTGGGCTGGTGATGCCTTTGGAACACCTGGCGGATATGGTGTGAAACTCTGTTTCCAGGAGGGGCAGATTCTCAAGGTCACATGCTAGTCTTCAATCCATGAGGAAATGAATGAGAGTTAATATATCCCCAGAAAATTTAGGTAAACCCAGGGCTGAGTCTTTGGTCTTTTCTCTGTCCATGCTCACAACCTTGTAGATATCATTTATTTTCATGGCTTTAGAGAACCATCCCACATTTAAATCTTTTGTTCAGAGATCTCATACCTAAATATATCACAAACCAAACTCCTGACTGTCCTTTCTGTTTCACTGGCACCCTTTCCCTTACCCGTTGATGGCAGTTTCATCTTTACAGTTGCTTATGACAAAGAATTTGGAGATCCTTAGATCCTCATAGACTCTACATCCAATCTGTCTGGAAATCATCTCTGCTTTACTTTCAGCATATATCTAGAATTTGATGATAACTTAACACCTTCACTGCTATCACCTTAATCTAACTTTTGGCTATATTCCTGTAGCAGCATTTTTCATCATAACAGTGTTTGTCTGGTAGATTAGTTAGTTGATACTTTTCATAAACATAGTCCTGTTTTACACTCAGAGTTTTATTTAAAAATAAATATGATAATTCATTTAAAAAGTACTGCTTTATCTCATTTTTCTTTTCTTTATGTAATTATGAGTAAATTAAGAGTTTACTAGGGAAAGGGCAGAAGCTTGTAGAAGCGTATTGTATACTAGGACAAGCATTTTGATTCAACCAGAAGCATATGAGTATGTAAATCATAATTTAGTTTCTAATTAGGTTTTTTTCCCATGTAATTCAACCTAATGTATTTAAACATTGGTTTGGCTCTTAGGTGAATTTAAATGAAATAAAGAATGTGGTTTATACCTGATATGTTTGGATTTCCTTTCAATGCCCAAAGAGAGAACAGTAGCTCTAATTGCCACAAATTCATTTCAGCAACATATATAGTCACATACAAGGCAGCCTGTGGTATTGAGGGGGACTACAAAAACTTGAGCTACTGCTTATGCCCTATCTCTGGGAGTTTACAAGTAGAGGAAGAATCAGATGTACTCATTAGTGTGTTATCTGGTGATGCAAAGACATAAGTACAACATAAAGGCATAAGTAACAGATGAACAAAGGTATCAGATGAACAAAGGTAAAAGCTGTTTAGGAACAGAGCAAACAATAAAAGTGCTAGGAATGTAAAACTCTCTTTTGGGGAAGATGGTGGGATAAGTAAGTAAACAAGCCCAAGTCTCTCGGCTTCCCAGGCAGTGCTTTATTGGCCAGTGTTTTATCTGCTAGGAAATACCTGCTTTTTTTTCTCCATTATCTGGCAATTTTTTGGAGCCGTATCTTTTGAGGTAACCTAGTATAGTTGCCTCTGCATCAAACAAAATGTCTCTGTATGTGACAATTCCTCTTGCCCTGAAGTAAAAAGGATTTTGAAGCCAAGTCAGTGTGCTTGTCTGTGCAGCCACCTTTCATCTGAATCCTTTCTTGATTACTGATACATCAAGAAGAATATATCTAGTAAGAGTATGGCAAATCAGACAAATACTTATTATCAACATTTGGTTAAAACAACACTTTATGTCATATTAATATATTTAACATAAGGTAAATATGTTTTAGCCCGTATTTCCCCTTCTAAGAAGTCAGCCTGAGAAGCACTTGGGAGGAAGAAGGCTCCATTTGACCTCAGGCTCAAGTCTTTATTTAGATGTTTTCCTTTGAGAACCCTGACAATTTTTGCCTGTTCTCTCCCAGTCAACTGGCTTAGAACCCCTCTCACCCTCTCATATGCTTTCATAGCACGTGTCTTTGTTATTCTTTATGTTCTGGGACAAAATAATAGTTTCTCAGCAAATAATTATTGAATATTAACTGAAAAGAAATTTCCTGATTTTATTTTCTTCTTTACTGTATCTTTATGGTCCAATCAGAAATATTATTGGGACCTTCATTAAAATTATATTTAGATGTATCATGTCCTGGATTGCTCAAGAATCTCCAAAAATAATGAAAACTCTTCTTTGGAGCCAGAACTTGTATACTCATCATATGATGATTTCTGAGAGTCCCATGTAAATACCGACATGCACACAACATTTTGGAAAGTGTATTTCAGCATTTTGTACAACTCTCTTAATTCCGCATGCAATTTCTACCTTTTCATATATTTTTCCCATAAGAAAGTAGTGTGTTAGAAGTCAGTGAATATATGGGTCCTGCTTATTATTACTTTCATTCTTCTTTAAAATTCACTATTTTATGAAAGACAGGTAGCAATTAAAATGGACAAAACTAATCAGAACACATGTCTGCATTTCTTCAGTAATATTTTATAATTCTTAAAGATGTCACTTGGATTGAAATACTGCAGTGGGCATTCAAGACTAAGTGCCTGAGATATATTTGTGAGAAAAAGGAAAATGAGTCAGTTTACAAGAATAAAGAAGTGCTATTCAACTTTAATTGAAGTATGTGACTTAAGAACCTATGGGACAGGATATGAAGTACTGGTAGCAAGTACAATGACAAATTCATACTACTTTTTGTCATTAAGGTTGTTTATTATGCATTGCACTCTGCCTAACTCAACAAACCCAGAGAAGGTAGAAGAAAAGTAGAAATAAGGAAGGTGAGAGGTGGCTAGATGGAGATAGGAAAAATACTTATAGATGTGAACACCAAAGCATATGCAGAACCATTTAAACTATTGAAGTTGATTTTATCATGTTCAAACACAGAAGTATGTAACACCAACAATTATTTAAGAAGACTGTGGTCTCTCTCTCTGTAATTCGTGTTGGACAGTTTAAGTTCATAAATTAGCAGTTTCAAATGCAGTTTTCATTACTGCAGCATAGAATTATAAAATGACAGTTTAGAAATCACCTGACACCGTCTATTTGTGTAGATGAAGTATCTGATATCTTTCACAAAGATTGAACAGTAATATGAGAGGGATCCCAGATTACAAACTGTCTTTCACCAAATAATACAGGTACTTGAAATATTCATTGAACTAAGTAAGTAAGGCACATACATTCCATAGGCATCTGGCCATAACTGTGAGAAGCTGTTTTAATTTTTACTTAACATAGGAATACTTTTTGTGTCCTAAGGTGTTCTTAAATGATTCACGAACAAATTAGGTGATTGTCTGTTTTGCAAGTTCAGCCATTTTACGTTTTTGCAGCATTTCACAGATCATTGACTGTAGTGTTGCTAGTATTTCTTTGCTGTGGCCTGCTTGGATTTGGACTCCTTTTATTTCAGTTCTTCCGTGCTCACAATAGGCATCAAGAAGATTCAATATCAGTAGGGTGAGCTGACATGTAATTAGTTTTACAAAATAATTAATATCTGTGCAGCTCATCTGACAGAGTTATTATGTATGATGTTCTGCTCATGTTAACAGCCACGGATGCCAAAGCCCATTTCAACAAAGCAGTTGTGGGTTACTGTTGGGATTGCTATGCCCTGTGTAACAATGAGATTTCCCTTACATTAAGGACATGCTATTTCTTTATATCTACAAAAGGAATGTTCTTTCTCATTTTCTGGAGACATAAGGTCCTGAGCACTTACAGTATACAACCTTTAGGTGATTAATTATGCTAAACTTAATGGTTACAAATACATTATGGTTCTCGTAAACAAAAAAAAAAGTACATATTTTTAAGTGCCGTGCCCAGGAGGTATGGATAGTTTAAAAAAAATTTGGAAATATTATTTGCCCTGAGATGGTTTGAACTGGCTAAATTATTTAAGCATTTTATTTTCTAAGTTGGTATGCTTTGCTCCTTTCATAAATTTATCAATTTTACCTCACTTGAATTTTTATCTTAAGTTTTAAGAAAGATATTGATAATTGCTAAGGGAGCTCTAAGTTCTTTGGTCATTTCTCTTCTTGATTTTTCTTTCTTGTTCACTAACAGGATTTTTACCCTTTGAGAAATATTTGGTGGGTTTTCTTTGTGCCGTGACTTTATTCTATGCAGGAAGTATAACAGAAAAGACACGTAATAAACATGAGCATTCTAATAATGGCAAAATTGGGAGGACTGGCTTGGGTTCTATAGGTACTGTTATGGACTGAATTGTGTCCCTCACCGCCTGCCCCAAAATTCATATGTTAAAGCCTTAACTCCCAATGTGACTATATTTGGACATGAGGTCATAAAGGGAAAGTTAAGGTTAAATGAGGTCACAGGGTGAAACCCCAATCTAATAGGACTAGTGTAATTGTAAGAAGAGGAAGAGACATCTGAAGTATACACAAACAGAGGAAAGGACATATGAGGACTCAGCAGGAAAGTGGCCATCTGCAGGCCAAGAAGAGAGGTCTTACCAGAAAGAAACCCTGCCAATACCTTGATCTTAGACTTTCAGCCTCCATAACTATGAGACAATAAATTTCTTTGGTTTAAGCCACCCAGTCTATGGTATTGTGTTATGGTAGCCCAAGCAGAATAGTGCATATTTTGGTACTGTGAATTGGTATTCTTCTGTAACAAACACATAAAAATGGAGAAACACTTTGGAATTAGGTAACATATGGAGGCTGGAAGAGTTTTGATGCCTCTGTTAGAAAAAGCCTAGATTAACTTGAAGGAATCATTGGTAGGAATGTGGATGTTAAAGGTGATTCTGGTGAAGTCTCAGACAGAAGTGAGGACTGTGTTATGGGAAATTGGAAGAAGGTAGTCCTTGTTATAAAGTGGCAAAAAAAGAAAAAAAGAAAAGAAAAACCTTGGCTGAATTGTATTCTAGTGCTTTGTGGAAGGTAGAACTTGTGAGTGATGACCTTGAATATTTAGCAGAGGAGATTTGTAAGCGAAGTGTTGAAGATGTGGCCCGGTTTCTCCTTACCGCTTACAGTCAACTCAAAAGGAGAAAGATGAATTATACAAGGAATTTTAAGCTAAAGGGAACCAGAAATTAAGATTCTGAAAATTCTCAGCCTGTTTATATTGCATAATAAATACTGGAAAGCATGTTTTGGAGAGGACACTCACTGTATCGTTGGACAATCTTTCCATCCATAATACTATGATGGGATTATAGCAGCAGAGATACTGCCATTTTGGATTAAAGGAGACAAGACAGGACAAAATAAAGGAAGGCTTTCAGACTTCTGGGATTCTACAGAAAAGGACCATAGGCCTATCTGGCTATGAATATGCCTTATCCTTCAACAAAAGATAAGGACCCGAAGATGATACAGAGATGCCTCCACAGGCCCAGAGCACACAGACTCACAGGGCTAAGGCTGTTTCTTCCTCAGTTTGAGTATAGGGCCATCTCTTCAGTTTTAGCAGTTGAATATTTGTATACTTGTGTCCATAGCCTTAGGGGCAAGGCTGCCACCCAGAGCCAAGGGAGCAGGTCTGCCATCTCAGTGGGCCGAGAAAACAAAGCCGCTGTTATGGTGGGCCTGTAGGTCAGACCATTAAGCCAGAAAGGATTATTATTGTGCCTTAATTTGTCTTGCTAGGTAATGAACTTGCTTGCAACCTGTCATCCCTTTCTTTGTTCTGATTTCTCCCTTTTAGAATGGGAATGGCAACCCTATGCATGTGCCACCATTGTATTTTAGAAGCATATACATTGCATGCTTTCACAGTTTCACAGCTGGAGAGGAATTTTGCCTCGTGATTAGTTATACCTTGAGTCTCATCCATACCTGATTTAGATGATATTTAGATGCGACTTTGGATTTGGAGTTGATGCTAACATGAGTTAAGACTTTTGGGAGCTGTTGGGATGGAGTGGATGTTTTTTTGCATGTGAAGAGGACATGAATTTGGGGGTCCAGAGGGAGGAATGTTACAGATTGAATTGTGTCCTCTCCCCTAAATCCATATGTTGAAGTTCTAACCCCCAATTTGGAGATAAGGTTTTTAAGGAGGTAATTAATGTTAAATGAGGTCAAAAGGGTGGGGCTGTAACCCAGTAGGACTCCTGTTCCTAAGAGGAGGAGACACCAGAAGTACACATGCACAGAGGAAAGGCCATGTGAGGACACAGTAAGAATGTGGCTGTCTGCAAGCCAAAATGAGAAGCCTCACCAGAAAACAACCCTACCAACATCTTAATTTTGAATTTCCAGCATTCAGAGCTGTGAGAAAATAATTTTCTGTTGTTTAAGCCCCCTAGTCTGTGGTATTCTGTTATTGAAACCCAAGCAGACTAGTACATATATCATACTGATGAAGTATAACTTTTTTTACATTTAGAAAAGCAGCGTTGATACTAAATTTCAAAAGAAGGGTGTAAAAACCCAAGACAAAAGTAAACTTCTCCTTTTTTTGTTAATGAATACCAGTAACTTTGAGTAGATGGTATTGTTATTAGATGTCAAAATAGTTTTTTAAATTTGTAGACTATTTTTAGAGCAGTCTGTTTATAGAAAAAATGAGCAGAAAGTTACAGAAAGTTCCCATTTATTTCTGTATGGAAAGTACAGAACACTTCCTCTTACCATGCAGTTTCTCCTATCATTAACGTTTTGTATTAATGTGGTACACTTGTTACAATTGATCAATGAATATTAACTAAAATTAATAATTTACATTAGGATTTATTCTTGGAGTTGTATAGTTCTGTGGATGTTGACAAATGTATAACATCATGTGTCCACCATTACAATATCATACAGTATTGTTTTACTGCCCTAAAATTCTCCTGCATTTCACCTATTCATCCTTCTCCTCCCCCCAGATACTTAGATATTAATACAAGGTGATGAGACTGCTAGAAAGCACTAATTGGAAATTGTCTTTCTTTACTATTCTGATAGAAAATATAGACTATTTCACAAAGGTCAATGCATGAAATACAAACATATTTTTTCTGTTGTCTAATGACTTTAAAGACTAATATGTCAGTGTTTAATTGGCTTATGTTTTGCTATTGAATTTTAGAAGATTTTTATGTTTTTATATTAGCACCTTATCTAAATGGTTTCCAAATATTTTTATCCCATTCCATAAGTTGCCTTTTCACTCTGTTGATTGTTTCCTTTGCTGTGCAGAACTTTTTGGTTTAATGTAGTTTTACTTGTCTATTTTTGGTTTTATTGCCTGTCCATTTTGTGTCAAATTCAAGAAATGCTTTCCAAGACTAATGCCAAAAAACTTTCTCTGTTTTCTTCCAGGAGTTTTACAGGTTCAGATATTACTGTTTAAGTGTTTAATTCATTTCGAGTTGATTTTTGCATATGGTGTAAGATAGGGGTCCAATTTTATTTTTTTTGCATGTGGGTGTCCAGTTTTCTCACCATCATTTGTTGAAGAAACTGTCCTATTCACCCACTGTGGTCTTGACACCCTTGTCAAAGATCACTTGATCATATATGCCTGATTTTGAGATAGCAAACAAACAAAACAATTAAAAATGGGTAATAGACTTGAATAGACATTTTTGCTAAGAAGACATACAAATGGCCACTAGATACATGAAAGGGTTCTTAATATCAGTAATCATCAGGGAAAGGCAGTTCAGAATTACAATGAAATATTGTCTCACACCTGTTAGGATATTACCAAATAAAAGGTAAGGGTTGGCCAGGATGTAGAGAAATTTTGTACACATTTGGTGGGAATATCGAATGGTGTAGTCACTATTAAAAACAGTATGGAGTTGCCAGGCGCAGTGGCTCACTCCTGTAATCCCAGCACTTTGGGAGGCTGAGGCTGGCGGATCGTGAGGTCAGGAGTTCGAAGTCAGCTTGACCAACACAGTGAAACCCTGTGTCTAGTACAAATACAAAAATTACCTGGGCGTGGTGGCGCGTGCCTGTAATCCCAGCTACTCAGGAGGCTGAGGCAGGAGAATCACTTGAACCCAGGAAGCGGAGGTTGCTGTGAGCCGAGATCGCGCCACTGCACTCCAGCCTGGGCGACAGAGTGAGACTCCATCTCAAAAAACAAACAAACAAAACACAGTATGGAGGTCTTCAGAAAATTAAAAGTAGAACTACCACATGATCCAGCAATCCTATGTCTGATGTATATACAGAATAATTGAAGTAACAGTCTCAAAGAGATAATTGCATCCTCATGTTCATTTCAGCATTATTCAGAGTAGCCAAAATAAGGGGAGAAAAAACCAGGTGCCTATTGACAAATGAATGCATGCAGAAAGTGTGGCATGTATATATATATATATATATATATATATATATATATAAAATGAAACATTCAGCATCGAAAAAGAAGGCAATCCTACCATTTGTAAAATGGATGCACCTAGAGAACATTATGCTAAGTGAAATAAGGCAGTCACAGAAGGGCAAATACATTATTATACTTATATGAGGTTATCTAAGATAGTCAAACTCATAGATGCAGGGAATAGAATTGTGACTGTCGGGATGGGGGAAAGGAAATCAGTAACTGTTGCTTAATGGGTATACAGTTTTAGGTATGTAAGATGAATAAGTTCTACAGATCTGATGTGCAATATATTACCTATAGTTAACAGTACAGTATTATGCACTTTAAAATATGTTAAGAGGATAGATTTCATTTTAAGTGTTCTTAACCAAAACCAAACCCTACAAAGAACAAGGAAATTTTTGGAAGTGATGGATATATCAAGTACCTTGATTGTGGTGGTAGAATCTTGGGCATATACATATGTCCAAACTCATCAAAATGTATATATTAAATATATGCAATTTTTGTATACCAATTGTATCTTAATAAAGCTTTTTTTAAAAAAAATTAACATCAGTCCATATAAAGGATAGCAAATCACAAAGTTATCTGTTTTGAGAGGTTCTCAGCATTACATTAGATCTTTCTATCTTGGCCCATTCCCAATTGTTTAGGATTTGGATTATGAAAGTCGTCTTTAGCATTTAACCAGTTCTTTGGTAGTGACAAGGGCTGGTACTGTTTATCCACATATAAATTTATCTGTTATATATCACTTTTATAATGAAAGATCAGCCTGGGTTCATTTCCACACTTTCTTGTTCTCCAGTTTTTCCTTGGTGATAGATAAGTAATCCCTGTATGGGCAATGGTGGGAAAACACATCTGTGATTTCTTGTCTCATTGCAAGGGCTTGACTTTTACCTATCCGAAAACCTTGACCTTTTAACCAGGGCCCAATAATAAGAGTTGTCACTGTAGACACTGCCCCATATTGGGCACCCTTTACCTACTGTTATCAAACAGAGGCAAGCATGAGGTTATATTGATGAGAGGAAAAGAGGGAAAGGAAGAGAGACACACTTTAAAGTTACAAGTTTTTTTTTTTATTATACTTTAAGTTTTAGGGTACATGTGCACAACGTGCAGGTTTGTTGCATATGTATACATGTGCCATGTTGGTGTGCTGCACCCATTAACTCGTCATTTAACATTAGGTATATCTCCTAATGCTATCCCTCCCTTTTCCCCCCACCCCACAACAGTCCCCGGTGTGTGATGTTCCCCTTCCTGTGTCCATGTGTTCTCATTGTTCAATTCCCACCTATGAGTGAGAACATGCAGTGTTTGGTTTTTTGTCCTTGCGATAGTTTGCTGAGAATGATGGTTTCCAGCTTCATCCATGTCCCTACAAAGGACAAGAACTCATCCTTTTTTATGGCTGCATAGTATTCCATGGTGTATATGGGCCACATTTTCTTAATCCAATCTATCATTGTTGGACATTTGGGTTGGTTCCAAGTCTTTGCTATTGTGAATAGTGCCACAATAAACATCCGTGTGCATGTGTCTTTATAGCAGCATGATTTATAATCCTTTGGATATATACCCAGTAATGGGATGGCTGGGTCAAATGGTATTTCTAGTTCCAGATCCCTGAGGACTCGCCATACTGACTTCCACAATGGTTGAACTAGTTTACAGTCCCACCAACAGTGTAAAAGTGTTCCTATTTCTCCACATCCTCTCCAGCACCTATTGTTTCCTGACTTTTTAATGATCACCATTCAAACTGGTGTGAGATGGTATCTCGTTGTTTTGATTTGCATTTCTCTGTTGGCCAGTGATGATGAGCATTTTTTCATGTGTCTTTTGGCTGCATAAATGTCTTCTTTTGAGAAGTGTCTGTTCATATCCTTCGCCCACTTTTTGATGGGGTTGTTTGTTTTTTTCTTGTTTACAAGTTACAAGTTTTAAAAGAAATTTTCATATTGAAATATACAGATAGGAAAATGAACAGATCACAAGTATACAGCAAATGAATTTTCACAAACTGAACATGTATATATGTATGTAAAATACCAGTACCCAGAGTAGGAAAACTAGTAGTATGTTAGAAATTAGTATATTTCTAGCACCACAGAAGCTTATCAGGTATTATGTTAGCTTATTTATAAATTTAACATTGTATCCCAGGAGATTCTTTTTTTGAGTAGTACAGTTTCTCCTTCAAATAAGGAAAACTGTATAGGAAAATGTTTTCCATGATCTTATCCTCACCAGTTATCCTAGTGACAAATGTACATATTGGGGGTAGAGTGTCTTCTAGCTGATTAGTAATACTGAAAGTATTTCATGTAAGTCTAAAAGTTGAATTTAAACATTTTTAAACCAAGCATATTTACTAATATAGGAAAGTTTTATATACCAAGTGTATGAAAGTTATGTAGTTAAAATCATCGTAGTAAGCAAATTGTTATTAACCACCTCCTGTGTAGTTAGGAAATAAAGAAATACCATGTGAAAGGGGTGTGTTCTCCCCAGTTCCTCAGCATCAGGGAACAAACTTGCTAACTGTTGTTATTTATGTGCAGTAAGTCCTCACTTAATGTCATTGATAAGTTCTTGGAAACTGCAACTTTAATCAGAATTTAGTATAATGAAACCAATTTTACCATTGGCTAATTGATATAAATAAGAGTTAATTGCCTATGGCATATTTCTGGCCACAAAAACATCAAACTTTTAAGTAAAGACCAAAACACTTCTAATATTAAACATTAAAGTAAATGTGAGCTATACAGACATTTAAGAAATCAAGACATGTAAGAAAATAAGATCAATATTCACCCAGTTATTCTAGTTTAGGGTTGTAGGTGGCAGAAACCTAATCTGTCAGCTCAGGGTGCAAGGTGGGAACCAGCCCTGGACAGGGCACCATTCCATCACAGGGTACACTCCCACCATCTCAGATTGGCACCATTAAGACATGCCAATTAATCTAACATGTATATCTTTGGGACGTGGGAGGAAACTGCAGTGCCCACAGAAAACCCGCACAGATATGGGGAGAGCTTGCAAACTCCACACAGTGACTGTGGTCAGGAATTGATTATTTTTCTCATCAGTGTTACAATGGAAATTGACTTTCTTTTCCTTGTCAATTTTATAACTGATATTGAATAAAACAATGTTATTCAAGGGCCTGTTGTATTTCTAACAAGATGGAAACACCTGTAACCTAAAAACCAAAAATGATGTCATGTATTAACAGGCACTTAGTTTTTTTTTTTTTCCCACCATTAACGCTTTCGGATGCTATAACTCTTATTTACTAGCATTAGCTAGGAGTCCTGCTACAAATTTGAATAATAGGGCAAATAGCATCATTATGTTCTCCCTGATTTTAATGGAATGATTTTAAAGTTTCACCATCAAGTATTATATAATTGCTAATGTTTTCGATAAACTCCCTTTCTCTCAGGTTAAGGAAGTTTCCTTCTATTGCTAGGGTGGTGTTTTTTGGTTTTGTTTTTCATTTCTGACTAAATGTTGAATTTCACTGAGAGTTATATTTTTTGCAGCTTTTAAGATGAGCATGTTTTTTCTTTTAATCTTTTATTTCGGTATATTGAATAGTTTTTCACCCAATTTTGACCATTCTTGAATTCCTGAAAGTAATCTTACTTGGTCAAAATGTATTATTATTTTAATTCATTGATGGATTCTGTTGGCTAATATTTTATTTAGAATTTTAGCATCTATGTTTATAAATAGTTTGGTTCATATTTTTCTCATATTCTCCTTGTCTAGTTTTATATTTCCTTGTCTAGTTAATATATCAAAGTTATATTACTCTTATAGAATTATTTTGAGGAGCTGTTTTTTCTTTTCTGTTTTCTGGACTACAGTTTATAGGTTATAAAGATTATTTCTTAAAAGATTGGTAAAATTTGGCAGTTACAGCATTTATGCTTATATCCCCCCTCCAAATTGCTTTGGAGAAGGTATCTGAGTTCTGTTTCAATTTTAAAAATCGTTTTATTCGTATTTTCTAACTTTAGGTTAATTTTAATTTATAATTTTGTCCACCTCATCTCAAGTTTCAATTTATGAATAACAAATAAAAAGGTCAGCAAAGACTAGAGACCCACGAATGTAGAATTATTACTGTGTCAAATGCTGGTATTTCACCATAAAGTGTAGCAAATAGCAAAGGATAGACAAAGAAATGCAACTTCGTTATGGAGGTTATAATTCCAGTGCTTGGTATTATAAAAAATTTCAACCTAATCTGTTATAAATATGTTTCTCCATAGGGACTCATCTTTCGTTCCTAAGTATTTTAAAGAATGTTATTGAGAAGTAAGATTTTCAAAAACAACACTTTTGAGATAGCTGTTTTGCATAAAGTAGCATTTCTCAAAATGTGCTTCATGCCGCTGGTGTCTGTGAGACCTTTTCAAAGAATGCGGTCAAAACTGTTTTCTTGGTAATATTAAGATGTTGTTTGCCTTTTTCACTGTATTGACATTTGCACAAATAATACAAAAGCAATAGTGGGTAAAACTGCGGGTCCCTTAGCAAAATCAAGGCAATGGTGACAATCTATACTAGGAGTCCTTTTATTCTTTACCACCATATAGATGCAAAAAACCTGTTTATCGAAGCAGTAAATAATATTGTATTAAATCTTTTCTTTTAAGTACATCTTTTTAAAAATATTCTTTGTGGGAAAAAATGAGAAGAACCCATAGAGCACTTGTGCAGTCTACTGATGGCTGATGATGATCTTGAGGAAAAACCCATGTTCAGTTGTTTTAGTTGAGAGTTGAAGTCAGTACCTTTTCGTGGCACATTATTTTTTACTTGAATGATTGGCAAACTGTATATTCAGACATGGATATTTGGCAGTATTGTAAGTGATAAATTTGAACTTTATACAAAGATTACATCCTAGAAACATTGAATTAGAATCTCTTAGATTGTGGCCCACTGACTTGCATTTAAGTAAATTCAAGGTGTTCCTTATACTATATATTTGAGGAGGTGACATTGAACCAAGATCTAAATGATGAGAAAGGAGCCAACCATGCAGAGACCCAGGAGAGGTGAGGAGGTCTAGAAAAAGGTTATCCAGTAGAAATACAACACAAGCCTTACCTATAAAGCCACATAAACAAGTTCAAAGAAACAGGTTAAATTAATTTTATAATACATTTTCCTTAACTCGGTATATTAAAAGTATTATTTCAACATGTACTTAAAAATATTGAGATATTTTACATTCTTTTTTTCTACGAAGACTTCAAAATCTGGACATCTCAATTTAGATAACTCACATTTCAAGCACTCAATAAACATGTCTGGCTAGTAGCTACTGTATAGAATAGCTCAGATCTATGAAGAGTGAACAGCCAGTACAAAGGCCCTGAAGGAGATTCATAGAGAGATGTGCATTGGCATTTGGAAATTGAAAATACTGGTTTAGAGCTTTGGAACAAGACCAAAACTAGATCTATAGATGTAAAAATCATTGATACGAAAGCATTGTCACACAGAGTGAATACAGTTTTCAGTGTTTAAATGAAGACTTAAAACAATCTCCTACAGGGTTTTTTTCCTACTACATAGTTGTACCCCAAGAAGGCATGGAAAAATTTCAGGGAGAAGAGGGCAGGTATTTCAGGGTTGGAGGGCACAGGCAGATGTAGAGTTTCTCCATACTTGATTCTGGTATGAATCCTCCCTGCAGTCCCTATCCTGGCTGAGGACCACTGGTTAAAAGGGAGATGAAGATAAAAGAGGCTAAGAAGGGTAAGAGAGGAAAGAAGAATACTAAAGAAGTTAAGTGTGTTCGTGCTTCAACAATGAAGAAAGGGGAGGGCAGAACATTTGCAAATTAAACAATTTTTTTTTTTTTTGAGACGGAGTTTCGCTCTTGTTGCCCAGGCTGGAGTGCAGTGGCACGATCTCGGCCCACTGCCACCTCTGTCTCCCGAGTTCAAGCAATTCTCCTGCCTCAGCCTCCCAAGTAGCTGGGACTACAGGCATGTTGCCACCACACACGGCTAAATTTTTGTATTTTTAGTAGAGACAGAGTTTCACCATGTTGGCCAGGCTGGTTTCGAACTCCTGACCTCAGATGATCCACCCGCCTTGGCCTCCCAGAGTGCTGGGATTACGGGCGTGAGCCACCACGCCCGGCCAAATTAAATGATTTTTGGTGGTCATTGAGGTCATAGTTAAAATGGAGTGGTCAACTGGGCTAAGATGCATTCTGAAGATGGGTCAGTAGAGACAGAACTGCAGCCTGTCTACTTGAAGGTCTGAACTAGAGGGGCTTGCTGTGCCCTCTGAGCCAGAGTTCTTTAAGTCCTACCTTTAAAGTTGATTACTGTCTGTCCATGTTCCCTCTCTTATAGTTGCATTTTACTTAACTGTTAATAGTATGCATGTCTCCGTGTTCACCCTGACCATACTGTAGATTCCCTCGGGTAATTTTTTTTAAATGTCCATTTCTACCTGCATCCCCATCTCAGAATCAGTAAAAATTTCTAGGAGTGGGTCCTAGGCATCACTGTTCTTTTAAAGCTTCCCAAGTGATTCTATGTGCTACAGTTGAAAAACTGTTGATCTGTAGCATAGTGAGCACCTCTGAGACAGAAAGAAAGTTTTACTCATTTTCATGTTCCCAGAGTTTGACTCATTGTCTGGCACATAGGTAGCTTTCAATAAGTGTTGGACGAATGAGAACTGAATGAACAAATGAGGAAATGTGGCCAGGGAACTAGGCAGGCCCATGTGGGTAGCCTGATAAATTAATGTTGCCTTTCTTTGTAATGGATAATTACCAGACAAGTTATTTAACACCCTGTACCTATTTTGGAATTGTTATGTATTAGTGTGAAACTATTATCCCAAATTGGCTTAAAGTATTGACATAAAATCTCAGGTGCAAAAATAGATTACAAATTTGGTGGGGCTGTTCTCTGAGTCTTGCTTGATTATATACAAGATGTAGTATATAGTTAACTGTTCCAATAAGTACAATATAGTGGAGACTTTGTCGCTTTCAGGATAAAGGAATTTTGCCATCAATTTAAGGTAGGCACTTCCAATTTTCACAGAATTAACAACTCAGTAAATCCTATTTTTAAAATTTAATGGTATGACTATTCAAAACATGCTACTTATAAGAATATTTAGTTCTTTGTCATGACTCTTTAAAACCACTGTAGGCCAGATGCAGTGGTTCACGCCTGTAATCTCAGGACTTTAGGAGGCTGAGGCAGGGGGATTGCTTGGAAAGCCAGGAATTTGATACTAGCCTGTGCTACCAAGCAAGACCCTGTCTCTACAGAAAGTAAAAAAAATAAAATAAAAAATAAAAAATATTAGCCAAGTGTGGTGGTGCACTCCTATAGTCCCTGGTACTCAGGAGACTGAGGCAAGAGGATTGCTTGAGCCCAGGAGTTCGAGGCTATAGTGAGCTATGATTGTGCCACGGTACCCCAGCCTGGGTGACAAGAGTGAGACCCTGTCTAAAAACAAACAAACAAAAAAACTACTGCAGTAACTTATTGAATTGACTCTACAGATTGTGTTTACCACTTTTAGTGAGAGACAAATGAAAAGCAGTAGATACAAAACTTTGTGCACAAAGAAAATAAGCTGGTAGTCATTAACATAATGTATCATCATAATTAATTGGGATTTTCAATCTCAGATGTAATGTATAGAGTGCCCCAAACCTAAGACCTGATAACTGGTAGGTACCTTAATAAATGATAGTTCCCTGCTTTACTGTCCACTTGTAGCTAATGCCATGTTAAGGATTTAGAAAGTCCAGTTTATCTGACAGTTTAACATTCTAAAAATGCACTAATGTTTCCGCAGATGAAAAGAAGCAAAGAATTGATAACTAAAAATCATAGTCAAGAGGAAACAAGTATTCTTCGTTGTTGGAAATGTAGAAAATGTATAGCAAGCTCTGGTTGTTTTATGGAGTATCTTGAGAATCAAGTGATTAAGGTGAGTATTGGTAACTCCAGTCTTCAGTTTCCTGGTAGAGGAGTGCTGTGGGCCTATCCACACACATGCACACTTATTCTTCTCTACCTTATTAAGAATATTTATAGTTCTTTGTCATGACTCTTTGTCTCTCACCTTATTTCACCTGACCCACTGAAAACATTCTAAAATGGTATTCAAAAAGCATCCCCTTCCAAGGTTAAAATTAATTTTGCCTTTAATTACGAATGTTAATATGACCTTAATGTTTTAAGTGCAATGTTATAGGCATAAGCTGAAGATAATAGTCAATGTTTTTTATTCCCACTATGAGTGAGCCTCAGTAATCACTGCACAATTAAATTCAGAATCCTAGTAAGAATTGGAAACTTGTTATATAGGTTTTTTTTGTATTCACTATGGGCCTAGAAAAGAAAGTTTATGTGTTAATATAAAAGTAACCCATAGGAAAACCTGAATAATATTCAAGTGTGTGTTTGGTCATCCTGATTAAAAAATGAGTGTTTTTAAACAACAAAAATAAAAATTTCTTCTCTAAGAGCAGTATCAAAGAGGCATGAACTAGAAAGTAATTAATGGAGTTTGGCAGAAATTCTAAATTTAACAGACAGAGTGACTGTAATCACCTGTCATTGTTTTCTTCCGCTTCTTTGGGAGACATACTCAGCTTTTTGGTTTTCGTTTGTTTCGTTGTTTTACCTCAGTTAGATTTGATCATGATGGTTTCCCTTCCACTTTAACAAATTAGCTAGTCTAAACTGATAATAGTAGATAACTTTGATTGCATACTTACTACATGCCAAATACTTATTTTGGAGATGGAGTCTTGCTCTGTCACCCAGGCTGGAGTGCAGTGGCGTGATCTTGGCTCACTGCAACCTCCACCTCCTGGGTTCAAGTGATTCTCCTGCCTCAGCCTCCCAAGTAGCTGGGATTACAGGTGCCTGCCACCATGCCTGGCTAATTTTTGTATTTTTTAGTAGAGATGGGGTTTCACCATATTGGTCAGGCTGGTCTCGAACCGAATACTTTTTAATGACTTGAAATAACATTTTAATTAGGAAAATATCCAAAACTTTTTATGCTAAGAGTATTTTGGTGGATATAACTTATATGTAGTACAAAAATTAAATGTACAACTTGATAAGTTTTATCAGCCCTGCCATGAATCAGATCAAGATATGCATTTGCATCACCCCAGGAATTTTTGTCTTGCCCTTCTGCAGGCAGTGGTCTCCCTCTCACTGATGTCTTTCACCATAGTCTAGGTTTGCTTGTTCTTTACATTCCTTCAAATGGAATAATACAGCATGCATTCTTTTGTGCCTGACTTATTTGTGTCAGCGTAGTGTTTTAGAGATTTATGTTTTGCATGTGTCAGTAGTGTGTTCCTTTTTTCTCCTGAGCTATGTGCCATTTATGAATATACCACAGTTTATCAATTTTTTTCTGCTGAAGGACATTGGCATTCGTTCCAGTTTTAAGTTATGAATAAAACTGCTATCAAAATTTTTATAAATTTTGTGGTCATGTTTTATTATTTCTGTTTAATATATGCATAGGAATGGATTTTTGGGGTCATGGGGGTAGGTATAGTTTAATTTCTTAAGAAATTGTTAGTAGTTTTTCAAAGTTTATGTTCACTTTCGGTAGCAACATATGAGAATTCCAGTTACATCTTTGCCAATACTTAGTATTTTCCGTCTTTATAATTTTAGCCATTCTGATGGACGTATAGTGGTATATCATTACAGCTTTAATTTTCATTTCCTTGGTGACTAATGATGTAGCGTACTTTTTTATGTACTTGCTGGTTAGGAACTGTTTTAAATGCTTTAAAAATATTATTCATTCCTTACAGTAACTCTTTGAGGAAGATAACCTATCATCTCCATTTGCTAGATAAGGAAACTGAGGCACAGAAGATTAGGTAATTTTCCCAAGTTCACACTGCTACTAAGAAGTGCAGCTGCAATTGGACTGGGCAATGAGGCTCCAGAGCCAGTGCTCATAACCTCCACACTCTCTGCTGCCTTTGCTCTTCCTTCAGGATATCATATGATGTCACTTCTTCTCACTGGAGTGGCTGATCCTTTTATTTACCTGGAGAACTCCCACTTACTCATTCATTAAAACATATTTAATGACCTAGAACAATTCTAGCACTGCTGTAGGATGTATTGGGATGGATAGTGGAAGAGTGATACAGAGTTGAAAAAATATACTCTGGTCCTTAGGATCTCTAAAGTCTTGTTGAAAATAGGCCAACCAGTGTAGCCTGATCTGAGGAGTACTCTAACAGAGGAATGCAAACAAAATTCTGCCTGGGCTGGTCACAGGAGACTTTGCAGAAAAGATAATATGTGAACATATATATGTTTGTGTCTTACAGATTTTAAAGTATAATTTGTAGACCATAAAATTCACCCATTGTTAGATAATAACTTAATGATTTTTAGTTGTGTAACCACCACTACATTGCAATTTTGAGCTATTTTCATTACCCCATAAAGTTTCCTCAGGCCTATTTGTCCTGCTCCCATCCCCAGGCAACATACCAATCTTATTTCTGTCTCTGTAGATTTATATGTAAAATAAAATGTATAAACATAATAAAAGATGTAAACCATTGAAAATACCTTATAAAGTAAAAATATATTCATTTATATAAAATTGCATCTGTAATTGAAAATACATAAAAATTATGTACTAAATATATATAAAATACACACAAATTATTTTAAAATGAAGGGATAATTCAATATCATGGTTAAGTCTTAGCAGAAGGAGTAATATGAAGCAGTGACTCTGAGGGGGGCTTCTAAAGTAATGTTAATGTTAAATTGCTTAATCTTGGTAGTGGGCATATTGGTATTTTCTTTTCTTTAAATTCCCTTTATAAAACATATTTTATATTTTATAAATCTGTATACATTATCAAAATATTAAAAATGAACATGAAAGGATCCTTTAAAGGAAACTGCAAAAGAAATTATTAGAACCCCAAAGTAATTTTATCAGTACTGTGCTGAAAGGTTGCTAAATTTATCACCTATTAAAGTAACTGTACAGTTAAAAATAAGCCATATATATAATAAGTGTTTATGAACTTTCTGTAAATGAAATTACACTGTGATTATTCTGGAAATTGCTGTTTTTACTCAGTATCACCATGTCGAGTGTAGATTTAGTTCATTTTCACTTCTGGATAGTATTCCAGAATATACTCTGGTCCTTAGGATCTCTAAAGTCTTGTTGAAATTCTTGTTGAAAGATCTCTAAAGTCTTTGTTGATAGTCATTTGGGTTACATCTATTTGTCTTGCTCTTATAATCAGTGCTACTGTGAACTTTCTTATGCATATCTTTGCACACATTGGCATTAGTATTACTAGAAATGGAGTTCCAGCATCATAGGGTATGTGCATGTTCAACTTTACTGGGCAATGCTGTTTTCAAATGACAGTCTCACCAACAATAGTTCAGCATTGCTGTAATTTCACGTCTTCACCAACATTTAACATCTCATTCTCAGAGGTCAATTGTGTTTTCTGCAAAATGTCTTTTTTTCTTGCCTATTTTTCTATTAGGATGTTTTGTTTTTGATACTTGGAGATTCTGTGTTCTAAATACCAACCTTTTTTTGGTTATTGTATTGCAACTATTTTTTTCCCAGTTTATGTAACTTATATTTCATTCTTGTGGTGTCTTTGTTGAAAAGAAATTCATAATTTGATGAATGTATTAGTTCTGTCCTTTATGTGTTGTACTGTTTAAGAAAATCTATATTGTGAGGGGAAATGTTTTTTCCTCTCCTTCTACTGAATACCAAAGTTAGGCAAGTTTCCTTGTGTGCCCTCTGAGAAACAGGTTTCTCATTTACCCTCATACTGAGGTTATAATCAGCTTTATGTAGGGAGTTTCTCCTTAGGTTCTTTCCATCCTGAGGGTGCCCTGGGCTGTATCTCCTGTCTTCCGCATGCAGACATGAAATGGCTCTCAGAACAACATAGAGAATAAGGAAACTGGGGAAACAACATCAATAGCTGTTGACTCCAGGACCAATTGCCTTCTTTAGCCCTGACCATTGCCAGGAAATGGAAGTCTCACATTCTTTGTCTCAGCCCTCCCAAAGCTAGGAACTGGACACTAGAATTGCTGTGATGTTTGCTGCAGAATAATCATGTACCTCCAAAACCAAATTTGCCACAAGAAACAGTACAAATGCAGCCATCAGTTCTGCTTTTGTAATGTTGTGTGGGTGTATCAGGTTTGTCAAAGTTAGCTTGGTGTGGAATTTGAATTGTAAGGGAAACTGGGATATTTGAGCTTTAGTTATCCAGCCACTGGCATGCTGTAAGACATGAGAAAGGCAATTTAGAATGGAGTTTTCAGACAATCTACAACGTCCACAAGGAGAAAGGGGGACTTCGACCTTGCATCCAGACCTGAGATAGATGAAATGTGGGCAAAAACCAAAAACAAAATAACAGCAACAAAGACCCTAAAGATGTAGAAATAAAATAACAGAAATGGTCTCCATTTGTGCAATCTGTGTTAGGGAGTGGCGTCCTTAGTTTTAGTTAGTTTTGTTATGGTTTTGGACATGTGAAGTTTATGTGGCCTGTAGAATATTCAAATATTTTAGGAGGCTGCTCGGTTCTATGGATGTGGGATTCAGAAGAGAGATCTGAACTAAAACTGTGGATCATCAGCATATAAGTTTTAGGTGAAGCTGTGAGAGTAGATGAGATTACCATGCAGTGTATGAATGGAGTGAGAGTTAAGTAGTTCCTATCATACAGGAACATTTATAGGATAGACAGAAAAAGAGAAGCTCTCACAAAGGAGAAAAAAAAAGAGTGAAAAAAATAGAACCGAAAATAGGAGAGAGCAGTAGTTACTATCATATAGGAACACTTACAGGATAGACAGAAAAAGAGAAGCTCCACAAAGGAGAAGAAAAAGAGTGAAAAAATAGAACCGAAAATTAGGATACAATATTATGGAAGTCAAGGGACGAACATTCTCTAGGAAAAAAAAAGTGTTGATGATTCGTGTTAAATGTTAAATGAGATCTAGAAGATCAGACATTTCCTTCAGTGTGCAGATTGTATACTGCACAATTCTAGAGGGAGCTAGTTTGTGAAAGGTTTGCCCTGGATTTGTGCAGTTAGCATACAAACTATATATCCATATGTAAAGACCCTAAATGAGAGTTAAAAGTGTCCATTGGTTTTAAAAGAAATCGTTGGTCAACATTCATTGTAGTTATGAGACTTTTAGGGGCAGTTACCAAATTCTACTGGGTTCAGATAATTGGGAGCTGAGGGATGGTCAAACACTTACAATAAAACACTTTAATTATTAGGTTATGACTTCTTCCATCACCAGGCTATGAAGTATTTCATCTGTATAACACCATTGCCAATGCAGTGGCTGACATGAATAGGACTGATGAATGTTGAATTGATTATTAGAGTATATACCTCCTCCCTCATGTTTTTTGGTTAGATAATTTGCTTATTTTCTCTCTGGCTTTATTATTCTGGTGGTATTTTTCCTTCAATGGCTGTAATACTGAAATAAATATTTTTATGCTTATTACATTTTTAATACTTTGTGTTCGCTCTTCTTAGTGATACCGTATATTTGTTCCATACTAGTCTTAGCACATGCTATGCTATGGACTGAATTGTATGCCCTCCAAGTGCATATTTTAAAGGTGCAGTGTGACTATATCTGGAGATAGGGTCTTTAGGAGTTAATGAAGGTTAAATGAGAGCATAAAGATGGGGCCTTAATCCAATAGGACTGTGGCTCTATAAAAGGAAGAAAAGAGAAAGAGATCCTGTGAGGACACAGTGAGTAAGCAGCCACCTGCAGGCTAGAAAGAGAGCCCTCGCCAGAGCCAGAACATGCTGGCACCCTGATCTCAAACCTTCAGCCTCTAGAACTGAGAGAAAATAAGTTGCTATTGTTTAAGTCATTCAGTCTCTGGTATTTTGTGATGGCATCCCAAGCAGACTAAGACCACACACGTCCTGTAATAGGAACTGGAAACTCAAAGATGAGCAGAAGAGAAATGGTATGTCCTTATGAAGTTTTCAGGATTTATCATTTAATCTTCTATTAATATTATAACAATTATAAATGTATTCTAATTATATTATAATCATATTAAAAGTTTGATATTTATAACTTAATAGTGAAATAATTTAATATTTATAATATTGACCAGTTATGTAAATATTAAATATTGATTACTCATATAGATATAAATTATTAGCTGTTTAAGTGGCAAAAAGGAAAAGTATAGGAAGCCATAAGAGTAGGATATAGATAGAATGCTGGACCTAGCTGTAAGGCTTTTCTGAGGAAGTGACCTGTGTAGAGATATGATGGATAAGTGAGGACAGTACAGGTGGGAGAACATTCCAAGATTCAGGACCAGCGTGTTCAAAGGCCCTGTGGTGGATCTCCGGAACTAAAATAGATTGCCACTATTGGAGTTCAGAGATGAAGAGGGAGTTTGGCAAGATCTGAGAGTAGAAAGTTGGGTGTTGTTCAAATCATGTATGGTCTTGTAAGTCAAAGACTTTGATCTTTATCGTAGGAGCTGGCAAGTCAGTGGGAGGAAGTAACATGACTTTTGAATTTTAAGATTATTTTGGTAATAGTGTGAAGAGTGAATTAGAAAGGTACCAAGAATTGAGGCAGGGAGCCTGTTTGTTTTTTAAGTGAGGCTTTCATTTTTTTCAATTCATTGTGACCTTTTGATTATAAAAAGTTTTTACCCTTAAAGTACCTTCTCAAAGTACAAATAGACAAACTAGGCAGTCCAATAGAATTGTGGTTCCTTTACATTTGTGACACTTTAGACAATTAATAATGTTAATTTAAATGACATTTTTGTTACATAGTCTTTTCCCTGTGGTGTTAGCTGCGGTAGTCAAATAATATAGTTGGCTCACATTTAAAGAATTAGCTGAAGGAATGTTATTGCTTACTTTGGAAATGCAAAGGGTTAAACATCTTCCAAAATATTATGTAATAATATTATCAACTTTTTACATGTAACTTGTTACACTTAATTAAAAATATTAAAGATCACATAATGATAAAAAATAAGGCATCAAATTTGTAATTTTAAAATTAAGTGATATTTTTCTGTTATAGAAACTGAGAATATTCCCAACACTTAAAGAAAAAATTAAAATAATACATTGGCTCCCTCTGCTGCTTGAACAAATTATTTCATTTACAAACATAATGTTGTCAACATTTTTCTGACATTATTACATGAAATTGCTATTACTTTCTCCTCCTTTTCCTTCCTCCTTCCTCCGTGTGGGAGATTTGAGACAGAAAGAAAATCTGTTTAGTAATTTTTTTACAATCCTGGTAAAACAGTTCTAATTTTCAGTCAAATTTTTCCCGAGGAGATAACTTGTTGTGCTAATACTTTGATGGCTTTAAATTCCTAAAATTGGGTTGCCTCCAGTTTCATCACTCATCTTAAAATATGTCCATCAAAACTTGTTTTATCATTTATATATTTGTGTGATTTTAAAAAATTAACTGACTTAAAACTTAATAGTTGATACATCCTCTTTACTTGTAGAATTATATTGGAAATAAATATTACAAATAAAAATGTATTTTTTCTAAGACTGTGTTGGTAAATACAGGTGAAAGTAGTTGGCAGTTTCATTTATAGTTGAGGTGTCTGTGTTTACCCTGGTCCATGTGTAAAGTTTTCAGAAAACGAAACAATGCTATAAATTCAACCCAGCTTTTTATGCTTTCCTACCTGTATGAATTGCTATTCCTCTCTTTTTGGTTGTGAGGAGATGAAGGTATACTTTAAATTTTAGCTATTTAAAAGAAAAAAATATATGCTGTTTTATATTATTTTTTCTCAAATGAAGGAGGTTGGGTTGAGGGGTACAAAAGGAGAATCAGCTGTGGAATTTTTTCTAAACATACCTCTCCCTACATAAATTTATTTTAGTTAATTTAAAAATAAGATATGCTTCAGTTTTAGTTTTATAAGCGTTAGAGAAGAATAGCAGTATCATACCTTAAAGCATACACAGGCTAGAGATATAAGAAAGTTTATTGCCCTAAAAACTATAGTATTTTATATGGCATAAGAGGCAATGTGGAAGCTTGGGATCGCTTGTTTCAGTGTTCTTATCTGTAAGACAGTAAAAACTCTTAAAACGGTGCCTGTGCATAGTGAGCACAATATAAATATTTGTTATTTAGTGAAAATAAAAAGAATAAGTACATTGTAAAACTTTCTTCTACCTACAACTGTGACTCCAGTGTTTATTCTCATAGGAGTATTCATAAAGCATTTCCAAAATTTATAGTGGGTAGTGGTTTTTTCGTGTTATGATCAATGCTATGTGATTAAAAAATGATCAATTTATATGATTAAATGAAATAATGAAATGTACATAGTAAAATAAGAAGTAGGACAGTGAAATATTAATACATTAATACAAATAATAGATGTACCTTTATGCAACACAGTCCCTGGCATATTAATAAGTATGTCTCTACATGCTTTGTGTGGTCAACACTGTGTTTAGTAATCACTAAATAAATATTGATAGGCTGAGTGCCATTAACTTACTTTGACATTGATAATCTATTATTCTACCAGTGTAGAAATTTCCTCCCTCTCTCTGTCACTGCCACCCTTCTTTCCTTCCTCTGTATGTAGACATAATCCTGAAAAGTCAGAACAAAATTCTGGATCTGATAATGAAAAGATTACTTCATTTGTCAATTCTAGTTTGTATTCTCTGTAAGATTGTTTTAAAGAATTCATTAGAGTTATGCTAATCTTCATAATTGTCAGCTCCTAATGAAAAGAGCTAGTGTGTGTGAGTATGGATGTTTCACAAAATTAATTCTACTTTTTCAAAAACTGTATCCATACCTTTATTTTGTTTCTGGGGCAAAATAGATAAAGCTATACTGTTTAGTTTTATTGAGTCACTTCCAATAGGTTTCCCAAGTTTCTTTAAAAATTTTGTGTATGAGTTGGAGAGAAAAGCTAGTCATGACTGAACTGTTATTGTAAATTAATCACTATTAGAACTTAGAAAAGGCAGATGACAGAAGCACACAAAATCAAACACTAAAAAAAGATGTCTCTGGGTTCTTAAGTTTAGCGTGTATGAAGATCATAAGTAGGGATTTATTTATAGACACTCTTAGGTGTGTCCCAGGAGTATAAATTTTTAGTAAGTAACCCAACTTATGTCTAATGCTAGTGATCTAGGGACCACATTTTGTGAAATACTCTTCTAAGGTGGCTCTTCACAGAGTTCATGATCTTGATGCAGGCTCTTTCCTTCAGTGCTAGTCAAAAGAGAACCTTGGACTTACCAGAGTGTTGATACTCTCTCTCAAACTCTCTGTAGAAATTGGCATCCACAGATGTCTTAGAATAATTAAAGTTTGGAACCCTAGGATTATCAATGATTGAATGTGCTAGAATTTCTCTTTTGAGGGGGAAAATCTGATAACATCTGTTTATATTTGTATTATGTTGTGGGTTTATGAAAAATAATTCTAGGGTGTTTGTTTTCATGCAGTTTGCTTGCTGGTGAACAGTGGAGATAGAATGTGACTTAAAGTTTCTCTTCTCTTGCTAAAATTGAAGATTTACCTTTCAAAAGACCTATTAGTCTGTCATATGCTTATCCATATACAGACTTGCACTGAAGTACACCTCTTCCTGCCCTGTTTATTAGATGAATTGGTAAACTTATTCAGAGGGCCAATTTCAAATGCAGTTTTGAAGATACCTTTCTCCTGGTATAGGGGATGGCACTGTTATAGGACTAACAGTTTCATATGCCCGTGTAGTAACAGATCAATACACTGAGATAGCAGGATTTGCAGCAGAGAAAGAATGTCATGATTGCAAGGTGTCCAGTGAGGAGATGGGAAGAGACCCTCAAATCCTTCATCTTCCTGAGGAGTTCTGGGCTGGGAGTTTTAAGGAAACCATGGAGAGTGAGGAGCTGGAAAATTGGGGTGGCTGATTGGTTGGGGAATGAGGGATGAAGTCATCAGGATGTGGAAACTACATTCTTTGGTGAGTCAGCTTCTGGTGGTATCCTTCTTTCAGAGCAGCTGGCATCAATGGGGTTTTTCAGACCAGCTGGTGTTAATAGTTTCATTGGTATGCAGGACCTAGAGGAATATCTCAAAGGGAAAACTAGAGGAATATCTCAAAGGGAAAACTTTGAGTTTCATAATGTTCAAGTTGTTACCTATAGAGCAGTTAAGGGAAACTATAATCTAGGATCTATGGGATTTGGGGCAATAGGCAGCAAACAGCCATGAGGAAGCAGGTCAGACAGCAAGCAGACCTGGGGATTAATGCTCAATGTGCTGCAAGCTTGGTTTATTTTTGTTTGTCCCCCTCTTCTTCCTTGGCTAATTTATAAAGTTTATAAGGACAGTTTTAGCATCTCTCATGTAAGAGTCTTATGACATACTTTATGGGAGGTCAGAAAATCCTTCCTAGGTTATTGACCTGCTTCAGGCGAAAAGGGCAGGGGGAAGGTTAGTGAGACCTTCCTGCATCCGCTGTTTTTCAGTATGCCAAGGAGGCCTGTTTTGGGGTAGTGTGTCCTGAATCCCATCATTCTGTTCCTCCATCTTTCTGCACATCCATCCAGCATCTTGATAGAGAATAGAGCAACTTTATTCTGTCATTAATAGAATTCAGATAGAATAGAGATTTGGGGCTGGAGAAAGTTGCCATGAAAGACACTATTTTGTCTCACATGCAGAAAAAGACACTAGATGTGTTCATTCAGTAACTAACTGCTAAATTGTAAATTTCATTTGATGACCTCAATGAGATGGAAGGGCTTTGTCTTAAATCACAGGTCGTTATTCCCTGAAGAAATTTTTAAAAAATCTTTTTTTGTGGGCTTGTTTTTTTATTATGGGAGTTAGGAAGGGAAGGCAGTGTATATTTGCCTTCTAGCTAAAATAGAATTTGTATTTTTGAGTTTTACTTAAATATGAAACCTGTGAAATAAATTCTGAACTGGTAATTAGTAATATCATTTATTTTTATTTAACAGGATAAAGATGATTCAGTTGATGCTCAAAATATTTGTCATGTGTGGCACATGAATGTAGAAGCCCTTCCAGAATGGATAAGCTGCCTAATCCAAAAAGTAAGTTCTTAGTTTCTGAGTAAAATTAAGAATATACAACCTTCAGAATGTTTTTGTCCTCCTTTTAGAGCTATTTTTCTTAGATGCATTCCTTGGCCAACCTCTTACTGCTCCTCACTCCCATTACCTCTCTTCACACTTCTTTTCTCCTTTCTCCGCTTTATATACCTACCTGTGTTTTACGCACACACACACACATGCACACACACACATAATATATGTTACTTTTAAATATACAGAAGCATATATATGACATATATATTATTATACACACACATATACATATTTACCTAAATACACATATAGCTTATTTAACTTGTTAATTGCCTAGCTCCCACCCTAGAATATAAGCACCATGAAGTCAGGGACTTTTATATTTTGTTCATTTGTATTTCCCAGCACCAAGAATAAGTCCTGTTGAATAAATGGAATATTCTGTATGTGTTATTCATATGTATACATATATACATAAATGCACAAGCATACAAAATAAATAGGATAATTAATGACCCTCATTGGTATAATCAAAATGAAAATTCTACACTTTAAAGGATCCTTAATGAAATATTATAAGAGCAAGAACTGACCTGGTATGTGTAGTTATTTTTCACAATTCAAAACTCCTGTCTTAGAAAATTATAAGTAGTAGGACTTTGGAAATATATAATTACATTTCTCCACTGAGCAGCTTAATTATTTGTTAAAAAATAACATTTGATAGATATCCCTTTTCACACTGTAACAGTTTTCTAGGAGAATGCCAGTGCACTGTTTATAAGTGTCCTGAACTTAACAAAATATATTAGGACACTGCAGATATTTCACTATCTCAGTTGGAAAGATAATTTTAAGACAGTTCATTATTAATTTCCAATCTAAGCATAGAAAATGCACTGTCTGATGTATGCAATCAGTATATTTTGGTTGTATGTAAAAAGCCAGGAAGAGCTTTATTCTGTTGGTTGGGTAACGTTCCCTCCCACAGTGCTTGGTATGCAAGAAGTGTATCAAAACAGATACTTTTCTGTGAGATTTTACTTGCAAATTAAGCTCTGTCCACTGATTTGCTTCCTGGTTCCATAGCATATTTTTCTTTAGTTCACACTGTATCCATATTCAACCTATTGTTCAAGAGACTCTCATTTAGAATTCTTAGGAATATTGTTTGGATGGGCATGATTTGCAATATGTTATCATTCTAGAACTTTGGCGCTGCTTATCTTTATTTCTTGGAAGGCTTGTTTTATTTGCTGTTCAGTCTACTAATCAGAAAACAGAAAGCTAGCCTTTTCTGTGGCATAGAAAACTTTCATGTGGCTGGCTTTAAAGAAAAAAAAATTTCTCTTCAGTTACTTTATAATGAAAGCACTGTCTTTATTCTTCTTTATTACCTGTAGGCCCAGTGGACAGTTGGAAAACTGAATTGTCCTTTCTGTGGGGCCCGTTTAGGGGGCTTTAATTTTGTCAGCACTCCAAAATGTTCCTGTGGCCAGCTTGCAGCTGTACATCTCTCCAAGAGCCGGACTGATTATCAGCCAACACAGGCAGGCAGACTAATGAGACCATCAGTGAAATACTTGTCACATCCTAGAGTTCAGTCAGGTTGTGACAAGGAAGCTCTGCTGACAGGTGGTGGCTCTGAAAACAGAAATCACAGGCTTTTAAACATGGCCCGAAATAATAATGACCCTGGAAGATTAA
Organism: Homo sapiens; assembly: GCF_000001405.40. Lineage (NCBI taxonomy): Eukaryota > Metazoa > Chordata > Mammalia > Primates > Hominidae > Homo > Homo sapiens. Next base: position 64,213,862 of record NC_000005.10, read on the forward strand.
CAGAAGCACTCTGCCTGGAGGTGCGACCAACATATTTTGAGATGAAGAACGAAAAACTGCTGTCCAAAGCATCAGAACCAAAATACCAGCTTTTTGTTCCCCAGCTTGTGACTGGCAGATGCGCTACAAGAGCTTTTCATAGAAAATCACATAGTTTGGATCTGAACATCAGTGAGAAACTGACTTTATTACCCACTTTATATGAAATACATAGTAAGACTACTGCCTATTCCAGACTAAATGAAACACAGCCTATTGACCTTTCAGGCTTGCCTTTACAATCTAGTAAAAATAGCTATTCCTTTCAGAATCCATCCAGTTTTGATCCTAGTATGCTGCTGCAAAGATTTTCAGTGGCCCCCCATGAGACCCAGACACAAAGAGGAGGAGAATTTCAGTGTGGTCTAGAAGCTGCTTCAGTGTATTCTGACCATACTAATACTAACAATCTGACTTTCCTGATGGACCTGCCCTCAGCTGGCAGGAGCATGCCGGAGGCCTCAGACCAGGAAGAGCACCTCTCCCCTCTGGACTTCCTGCACTCAGCCAATTTTTCATTGGGCAGCATTAATCAGAGGCTTAATAAGAGAGAAAGGAGCAAGTTGAAGAATCTAAGAAGGAAACAACGAAGGCGTGAAAGATGGCTACAGAAGCAGGTAATATTTTTCAAAAGAGTTTACTAAAAATCTGTATTATAAATACTGGAGTTTGGGGAGTGGAGCTAACTTTCAACATCTGTATAATAAAAACTTGGTTTTAGTAATTCTGGAAATGCTATTTCTCTCTGAGTGCACTCAGTAATCATGCAGCCATATTATAATTGGCATGTATAACCCAGTCTCTATGCTTCATGCATGTTTAGAAAAAACCTCTTTTGTGCAATTTTTCGCAATTCTAATATTTTAGAGGGATATTAATCTCTAATTAACACTGGATTGTTTTTTACTATATTTTAAATGTATGACATATTAGGATTGTTTTGCAGCGGTTTTATTTTGGGTTGAAAAAATGTTTTTTTTAAATTTTGGGTTGAAAAAATGTTTCAGTAAATTCAATCAGGTGACAAAGTCATTCACTTTTCATCACATTTATAATAGCTTAAGTGGGTATTTCAAGAAGCCTTAATCATGGGCTCACACGATCTAGTTATGATTAACTGTGCTAAATTGTGAAAATTATCTAAAGGGTAATTTACCCTTATTGTAATTTCGTAGGAGACTATGCTTCTCTATGATTTGATCTACTTCAGTACCCATAGTAATATGCTCCAGAGTAGGATGTGCGAAGGAACTGAACAGTAAATGTTAGGTGCTGTGGAAAGAAAGCAATTAAAGCCAATGGATGAGATGCTCATGAACATTTGAAAGTTCGAACCAATATGTTTCTGAATAAACTTTTTTTTTTGCAAATTGACTTTATTATCTACTTATTCATAATAGTGTCCTTATTAATCAGTGTGTTGTAAACAGAACTAAAATACAGAAAGCTGCAACTTGATATATTAGTTTTTTCTTTTAAAAATAGTTAAGTGAACTCATTATGGCTTATTCTAGTTTTGACTCAATGAAATAAAACTACTGCATTGAATGCTTCAGATTGAGTGTTTTTGTCATCTTTCAGTTACATAGTATAATTATTTCTATAGGTAATTTTTTATTATATTTTTGGTTGCTAAAACGCATTTCAGTTTGGTTTGTTTACAAGTGATAGTATAATGTGACATCAAAGTATATATTACAGAATGTAAAAAATGAATGTGTTTTAGCATCATTATAACATACTTCATAGTTTAACTTAAACTGTAAAATTCAAAATTTTCATTGAGACTCGAGCTATACATAGGTAAATTGGAAGTGATCATATGTTAAGTGAATATTCAGAAAGAATATTTTCAAAATGATTAATGTAATGTGGAGGGCTCTAAAATCTGTAGCAAATAGAAATGAAAAAGAAGTATGAAAATTATACTTTGTACTGTAAATATATGCAGATAACATCTGCAATTTAAAAATGTGTTTAATTCTTAGGCTAGGTAGTTTTGAAAACCTCAGCTACATGATTGATCATTTTCCATCATAGGAATACTCTTATACACAGTTTAGAGCAAAGCAAGTACAAAGTTAATGTGTTTTTTTTTTGTATAGATGAAGTTATTTGTATTCATTCACATACATATGATATAGCTTAATTGATCAGAATTAATGAGTCTTAGACCTGTTGTCACAGGTCAGTGTAGGGAGTGACATGGCAGGATCCTACAGAGTTTGATTGGTAGCACAGAAGCTACAGGCAAACAAATACCCAGTGTTTATTTAGCACAGTAAATTTTAAAGTGTATGGCAGCACAGAAATTTTGTGTTAGTGATATAAGTATACATCGCAGTTAGAACCAGAATAATTACAATTTTTAAGTCTGTTTTGCTAATTCAAGCAAAAAGACAAATCCTAGAAAGAGTAAATATCTGAGATAAATTAATGGCATAGCTGTGCAGTTCATTCCATATTTAATAAAGATTATGTAAACACTTACTAAAGCTTGTTTGTGATACTGTGTCTTTGAGTAATGACTTCAGTACAGATCAATCTTGCCCTTTTTAAAATGAGGATAAACATACAATATGTAAAGTAAAAGTTACTATTATTAATGATAGTTTTTTAAAAATTTAAAATAATTGGTTGATATATCTGGATTTCCAACTTTCACTTGAAGTTTTTAATAAATGTTTGTAAGCTAGACATCTTTCAGTAATCTATGCCATGACAGAAAGTATTAATGACAGTACAGAAAGTTATTTAAATATTTGAATCTTAGGGATGTAAATGAGATTGATATTAAAGCAGACATTACAGCCAGTTTTCAGGGTTTTTGTTTAGCAAAAGTTAATTGAGCATCTACTTTGGGGAAAGACGTAGCACTGAGCCACATTTAACCAGCAAACCTCTTTTTTATCCAGCATAGTCCTTTTGTTTTTCATTTTTATTTTTTAAATTATCATGCAATAAAATTATTCTCTACATACAGCTTTATGACTTACACACATGTAAAGGTTTATATAATGACCAACACAATGGACATACAGAACATTTTGATCACTCTCAAAACTCTCTTGTGCTATATACCTTTATAATCACATGCTCATCCCGTCCCTAATCCCTGAAAACCACTGATGTGTTCTCCATTATTTTAGTTTTGTCTTTTTGATAATGTTGTAAAATATTAATATACTGTTAAAATATAGAATCCTATAGTATACAACCTTGAGACTGGCCTCTTTTACTCAGTAAAATTGCCTATAGATTCATGCAAGTTGTTTGCATATATTTATAGTTTGTTCTTTTTTATTGCTCAGTAGTATTCCATTGTATGAATGATCCACAGTTTATCCATTCAGCTGCTGAAGGACAAGTGGATTGTTTTAGGTTTTGCAAATTATGAATAGAACTTTTACAGACATTCATGTGCTTATTTTTGTGTGAACCTAATTTTTTATTTCTCTAGGGTAAATACTCAGGAGTGGGATTGCTGGATCATATGGTAAGTATATATTTACTTATATGAGAAATTGTCAAATTGTTTTCCAGAATGGCTGTACCATTTTGCATTCCAAGCAGCAAAGACTTCCATTTTCTGTGCGTCCTTGAAAGCAAGCACTGGTATTCTCAGTGTTTTAAAATTTTAGTCATTCAAATACATAGACAGTTGTATCACATCATGACTTTAATTTGCTTTTCCTTAAGGATGCTGAACATATGTGCTTATTTTACATTTGTATATATTCTTTAGTTAAGTGTCTTCAAATCTTTTGGGCTGGTGTGGCAGCTTATGTCTATAATCCCAGCACTTTTGAGAGGCCAAGGCAGGAGGATTGCTTGAGTTCAGGAGTTCAAGACCAGCCTGGGCAACATAGCAAAACCTTATCTCTACAAAAAAAAAAATTAAAAAAAAATTAGCTGAGCGTGGTGGTGTGTGCCTGTAGTCCTAGCTACTTGGAGGCTGAGGTCAGAAGATTGCTTGAGCCCAGGAGTCCAAGGCTACAGTGAGCTATGATTACACCACCGCACTCCAGCCTGTCTCAAAAAATACAAAAACAATCTTTTACTCACTTTTTAATTGGGTTATTTTCTTTCTTTTAAGGGTTCTTTATATATTTGGGATACAAGTGTTTCATTTGATATGTGATTTGTAAATATTTTCTCTCAGTCTATAGCTTTTCTTTTTATTCTCTTAATTTTTTTCCTGTAGAGCCAACCTGTTTAATTTTTATGACGTCCTATTTCTCAAAAAACGTTTTAATAGATTATGCTTTTGGTGTTGTATCTAAGAACTCTGCCTCGTACTAGGTTATGAAGATTTTCTCCTATGGTTTCTTCAAAAAGTTTTATAGTTTTAAGTTTTACATAAAATTGAGAATTAGGATTCATTTAAAATTAATTTGTAATAAGTTGTGAGACTTAAGGGGTATATTATTTTACATAGAGATCCTCAGTTGTTTCAGCACCAGTTGTTGAAAACAATGTCCTTCCTTCATTGAAATGCATTTGCAGCTTTGTCAAAAATAAGTTGTCTGAAAATGTGTGGGTATATTTCTGGACTCTGTTCTGTACAGTTCATATTTATGTCTGTGCTTTTGTTAGTACCCCTTTTTTCCTGTGACTTTGTTATTCTTTTTCAAAATGGTTTAGCTATTTTAATTTTTTGACTTTCCATATAAAACTTAAAATCAGTCTGTTTATATTTATAAAACATCATGTTGGGATTTTGATTGGAATTATATTGAAGCTATAGATAAACTTGGGGAGAATTGAAATCTTTACTATGTTGACTCTCGTAATACGTGAACATGGTATGTCTTTCTTTTTAAGTCTTTGATTTCTTTCATCAGCATTTTGCAGTTTCCAGCATTCAGAACCTGTGCATGTTTATTTAGATTTATACCAAGTATTTTTTCTTTTGAGAGGAGTTATTGTTATTTAAAATTTTTTTGACTCACAATTATATATTGCTAATGTTTAAAAACACTATTTTTGTTTTGACTTTGTATCTTGTGTTATTAAGAGTATACATTCTTGACGTTTCTTGTCAGATTTATTCCTATTATTTTTAATGCTGTTGCTAAATGCTAATGTTTTATTAAATCATAGTTTCCAATTCTTCATTATAGTATAATGCTGAATGGAGGTGTTGAGAGCAGAAATCCTTGTCTTCTTCCTGATATTAGCATGAAAGCATTCATTCACCAGTAAATATAATGTCAGTTGTATGCTCTTTTTCAGGTTGAGGACATTTTCTTCCATTTCTGGTTTGCTGATAGTATTCTCATGAATGGATGTTGAATTCTGTAGAATGCTTTTTCTGTATGAGTTTGATATGATCATGTGTTTTCAATGTTAATAATAATTCACTATCAAATATTGAGATAGTCTTGCATTCCCGCCATAAACTACACTTTGTTATACTATATTATTATGTGTATTACTAGATACTATTTGCCAATCATTTTTGAGGATTTTTTATGCCTCCGTCGTTGAAGAATATTAGTCTGAAATTGTCTCTGTTTTTTGTAATGTCTTTGTCTGATTTTGGTACTAGGGTATGATGGCCTTATGAAATGAGTTAGTTGTCTTTTTTTTGTTTTCTGGAAAATAATGAGGATAACATTTTTTTTTCAATTGACATGGAGTCTTGCTCTGTCACCAGGCTGGAGTGCAGTGGCGCGATCTCAGCTCACTGCAACCCCTGCCTCCCAGGTTCAAGTGATTCTTCTGCCTCAGCCTCCTGAGAGCTGGGACTACAAGCGCACGCCACCACGCTCAGCTAATTTTTTTTTTTTGTATTTTTAGTAGAGATGGGGTTTCACCATGTTGGCCAGAATGGTCTCTATCTCCTGACCTCATGATCCGCCTGCCTCAGCCTCCCAAAGTGCTAGGATTACAGGCGTGAGCCACCGCGCCTGGCCGAGGATAACATTTTTTTACTTAAATCCCCAGTGTTTCATAGTGAAACTACCTGAGCCTGGAGATGTGTTTGTTGAAAGGCATTTAACTATGAATGCAATTTCTTTAATAATTACAGGACAATCCAGGTTATCTACTTCATATGGGGTAAATTTTGATGTTGTTTTTGAAGAATTATCTAAGTTGTCAAAATTACATGTTTAACATTGTTCATAATATTCCTTATTTGTTATTTTAATGTCTGTTGGGTCTGTAATGATAACCTCTTTTCAATCCTGATAATGATGGCTTCTCTCCTTTTTTTAGTCTTGCTGGAGGTTTATTAAGTTTATTGATATTTTTAAGGAAACAGCTTTAGGTTTCAATTGTTTTTATTGATTTTAAAATTGTTTTACTGTTTTCAAAATTTGTTTATATGTAAATATGTATATATTTACATATATTTCTTCTCTTTACTTCCTTTGCTTTGAATTTATTTGTCCTTCTTTTATAATATTTTTATGATAGAAACTTCTATTACTGATTTGAGATTTTTTCTTACCTAATCATTTAATGCTATAAATTTCCTTTACTGTATTAGCTGTATACTATAAATTTTATTATGTGATATTTTTATTTTGATGCAGTTAAAACTTTTTCTGATTTGTTTTGCAACTTCATTTGGTCCATCTAGTTTATCTAAGTTATTAGTGTATTCAGGAAATTGCCAGTATATCAGCATTTTGAGGAAATTAATAAAAATTTTAATCCTAGAACAAAACATTTTTTTCGCTGAATTGAGAGAAACTAAAGCTACCATTAGTATAGTTGCATAGTATTTCCTAATATTTCTAAATAATTCTATTTAAACAGCATTTCATTCTACTATATTTGTATTTCTTACCTTTAGGCCTATTTAATATAAATAAAAGAAAATGTCTCTTTAAGGCCACAGGAAGCTGTTGTGAAAAGAGGCAGTTTTTCCTTATGTGTCTGTGGAGTATTATACTTGAAAATTAAAATAATTGACCATATATCATGGTTTGTAATAAATCACTGAGTCATCTACAGTAATTCTATTACATTATTTTCAGTGAGCTAAATGAATTAAGATGACTTGTATTATTAAAAGGGTGTGATTTAGACACTACGCATAATAGAAGCTAATAAATTATATTAAAGACCTGCTTATTTGGTTTTATCTAGCAAAGACATATCTTCTACAAAGGCACTAAGTTTCATTTTCATGGATCTGCATATAGAGATCATTTTGAAATTTTTACAGTTTTTAAAGGAGCCCATTTAATATTTCATCTCTTGATTCATCATCTTAAAATCTTATACAAATCACACTCCAAATATATATTTGATTATGCAGTAGAATTAAAATAGTGATCCAAATATTGGAGAATTATTCCCCATTCATTCTCCTCTTCCTCAAGCAGAAAATTAATGGTTATTGAAATGAAAAGCTTCAGTAATGGAAATATGACAATTTTGAGTTTATAATACACATTTCTTATGGTTTTATTAAACATAGAAAGTCACAAAATAGTCGTTTAGTAAAGAAGACAATCAATAGATTAAAAGAGCATCATGACCTTTAGTCATATATTGAAACAGATCATTATTTATTGCTCACTCTACTTTGTGTCAAATTATTATTTCAGTATAAGTTTGTTACTCTGTTTTATGAATGTAAAAATACCTAGGGCATACTCAGTAAGTTGATAATTCTAATTTTATTCTACCTTCTAGGAAGTCATCATCTACTAGAATAAGATATAAATGTGCAGTCAAGTTAAATAAATAAAACTAAATATCTTAATTTGGCCTTTCTGCTAACATCCAGCTAAATGAGCAGGTGTGGAACAAAATAATGTATGATTGATAATGCCTTTACCTGAAGTAATTATATAGATCTAATTTTCTAATGCTTAGCACAGTACTTTGTACATAATAGATGCTCAAGTATTTTTTAAAGGGTCTTTTTTATTTTAGGATAGTTTTGGATTTATAGAAAAGCTTTGAAGATAGTACAGGGAGTTCCCAAATGCTCCACACGTAGTCTTCTGGATTGTTCATATCTTACATTAGTATGATACATTTGTCACATTTTATGAACCAATATCAATACATTATTAATAGTATTTATACTGTATTCAGATTTATTTAGTTTTTACCTAATAAGTCTTTTTTTTGTTGTTTCAGAATCTCATCTAGGATACCACATTACAATTAGTTGTCATGTCTCATTAGGTTCCTCTTGGCTGTGACAGTTTCTCAGACTTTCTCTGTTTTTGATGACCTTGACAGTTTTGAGGAGTACTGGTTAGTTATTTTGTAAAAGGCCCCTCAACTGAGATTTGTCTGATGTTTTCCCCATGATTAGACTGGGCTTATCGGTTGTGTCATGGGTTCCCAAAACTACTGTATTTGATGATTCACTAAGAGGACTCATAGAACTAAGCATGAATTCATACTTCCAGCTATGTTTTTTTTTAATTATACTTTAAGTTTTAGGGTACATGTGCACAATGTGCACGTTAGTTACATATGTATACATGTGCCATGTTGGTGTGCTGCACCCATTAACTCATCTTACAACAAAAGGATATAAACCAACATCAGCAAAGGGAGGGGGTACATGGGGGTGAAATCTGGAGGAAACCAGGTGCAAGCTTCCAAGAGTTCTCGCCCCATGGAGTTACACAGAATGTGCTAAATTCCCTCAACAGTAAGTTATGACAACAGGTGTGAAATGCTGTGCACCAGGAAGGTCATTATAGACTCAGTAGCTAAGGTTTTTATTGGGAGCTGGTCACATAGGTACCCACTGTCTGACACATACCAAAATTCCAAACTTCTGGAAGGAAAACAGGTGTTAAGCATAAATCACATTGTAGTTTGGGCACAGTGAGTCACTATTATCAATTAGGATGATGGGAGCTCTCCCAAAATTCAAGTTTCTGGATGACACAAGGGCCAGCCTTGTAAATGAAGACAAATATGCTATGTTATCTCTTCTCTGCACATGAGTTTCGGGGAGGAAGACTACAGAGATAAAATGCCATTCTTTATTAGAAGAATACATACTATCAACATGAGTTATCACTGTTGATGTTAACTTGAGAATGTTTTGTAACAGAGGAAAAATAATTGTCACACTTACATATCCCTTACATTAGTTTTCTATTGCTGCTATAACAAATCACTATAAACATTGGTTAAAATAACACAGTTTTATCATCTTATAGTTCTGAAGGTCACAAATCTGAAAATGGGCCTTGTGGGGCTGATATCAATATGTTGACAGGGTAGTATTTCTTCTGGAGGCTCTATAATAGAATCTGTTCCTTTCTTTTTCCAGCTTCTAGAGTCTACCCTCATTTCTTGGCTTGTGGCCCCCTTCCAGCCATATGGCATCACTACAACTCCTATTTTCTTTCATCACATCTTCTTTCTGACCCTTTAAGGACCCTTGTGATTACATTGGGTCTACCTGAATAATCCAAGGTAATTTTCCCATCTCAGGGTCCTTAACTTAATCATAGCTGCAAAGTCCCCTTTCCCATGTAAGGTAGTACATTCACAGGATCTTAGATTAGGACCTGGACATCTTTGGGGAGTCATTATTCTGCCTGCCTCACCTTTCTGGATGCCAGTTATTTTTCTGAGTGCATTATTTCATTTAATTTGACACAATTTTAGAGATAATTTCTATTATTATCCCTATTTTATAGATGGAGAAACTGAGTCTCTGGTTAAATAACTTCCCTAGGCCTACAAACCTAGTATGTGATAATAGACCTGTGTCCCAAAGTTTGTGCCCTTAACCATTATTCCACAGCCTTTCAAGAAAGAAAGTTTTTCTCCCACATATTTTATCTTTTTTTTTGATGATTCAGAAAACATTTTACTATCATATATCTTTATTCTTCATTCATCCTTTCCTTCATGTAACTAATGATCACTTGGTAGTTTACTCTTTGCCAGAAACTGTGTCAAGTATTGAGGATACAACAATGAATGAAATATCATCGCTTCCTGGAAATGGAAGTAGAGGGGGGGAGACACGTGAATTTCAGTAATCATTTTCTTGGGTATTTGCAGAAATGCCATATTGTAGAGAATTTTGGACAGCAGTTTACTTAATATGGGATTGCTTTGGCCAAGACCTTGAGATGCAACTGCGAATTCTAAAGTAGTCACAAAGGAGCAAGCATGATTGGCTCTGTTAGATTTTCTTCAGTTGATCTAGGTTGGGGTGTGTGTGTGTGTGTGTGTGTGTGTGTGTGTGTGTGTGTGTACATACATATTTATATCTCAAGTTATTCCAGGGTCAAAAACTATTGAAAGGAAGAGAGGTAAACAAAAGGAATTTAAAGAGGTTTAGACTTGAGTTGATAGAGTCCTTGACAAAGGATTTATTAACAGCAGCAAAGAAAATTCTGATGGATGTTATAGAGGGAAAGACAGCTGATTTCAGTGGTTGCCAGGCCAACAAAGGTAGATAAAGAACCATACTGGGAGAGAGAAAATATTTTGATCCTATGCTGTCCAACACCTAATATAGGCCCTGGCAGTAAAATGGTATAAATATTTATGTCCAAGTAATGTTTAGTTCATTTATATAGCTTTTCTTACCCTGCTATTGAGAGAATGAGAGTTTTGATTACGAGCAAGGGGGAAAGAGAATGGGAGGGAGAAGTTGTAGTGGTGAGGTGATGACAGCAGGTTAATATTTAATGAGCTTTATTGTATGCTAGGTACAGTGGGAGGTATTTTACTTGCATTACCAGATTTACATGAGCTACTAGGTCACTGGAGTATAGGAAAGGTCTGAGAAAAGAGCACTGACGTCCTCAGGCACTGGGGGGAAATGTCAGTTGGGAGGTAGGAGAACAGCAAAGATGCATGCTGTCTTTCCCAAGTGCTGTGGTTTGAACATGTCACCTCCAAAATGCATATGTTGCCTATGTGATAGTATTCACAGATGGGGCCTTTAAAGGATAATTAGGCCTGAGGACTCCTTCTTCATTAATGGAATTAAAGCCCTTTTGAAACAGGCTGTATACAGTGTTCGGCTAGCTTGCTCTCTTACCCTTCCACCTTCTGCCATGTGAGGATGCAGCAAGGAGGCCTTCACCACACCAAATGCTGGTCCCTTGACCTTGGGCTGCTGGCCTCCCAAACTGTGAGAAAATCATTTTCTTGTCTCAATAAATTACCCAGTCTTGGGCATTCTGTTACTAGCAACCCAAAAGGAATAAGATGCTAAGTTTTATGTAAAGCCAGCTTGTTAGGGGAAAAAATCAGAATCATCAGCTAGTCTCAGAGTAGTAACACACACAGAAAACTGGAACTAACCATTTTGGTCTGAGCTTAGTGCTAGCTGTGTTTGATGAATAGAACTAGGTGATGGCTTCAGCTCTTTTGGCCTTACGCATAGGAAAAACTATCTTTTTTTCATTCTAAATCTGCACATTTGGCCCGGCCGCCCCGTCTGGGAAGTGTGGAGCGCCTCTGCCCAGCCGCCCCGTCTGGGAAGTGAGGAGCGCCTCTGCCCGGCCGCCCTGTCTGGGAAGTGAGGAGCGCCTCTGCCTGGCCGCCCATCGTCTGGGATGTGAGGAGCGCCTCTGCCCAGCCGGCCATCGTCTGGGATGTGAGGAGTGCCTCTGCCTGGCCGCCCTCCGTCTGGGAGGTGAGGAGCGCCTCTGCCCGGCCGCCCTTCGTCTGGGAGGTGAGGAGCGCCTCTGCCTGGCTGCCCCGTCTGGGAGGAAGTGAGCGCCTCTGCCTAGCCGCCCTGTCTGGGAGGTGAGGAGCGTCTCTGCCCGGCCGCCCCGTCTGGGAAGTGAGGAGCGCCTCTGCCCGGCTGCCCCGTCTGGGAAGTGAGGAGCGCCTCTGCCTGGCCGCCCCGTCTGGGAAGTGAGGAGCGCCTCTGCCTGGCCACCCTTCGTCTGAGATGTGAGGAGCACCTCTGCCCAGCCTCCCTTTGGCTGGGAGGTGAGGAGTGCCTCTGCCCGGCCGCCCCGTCTGGGATGAAGCGAGCGCCTCTGCCCGGCCGCCCCGTCTGGGAAGTGAGGAGTGCCTCTGCCCGGCCACCCCATCTGGCCACCCCATCTGGGAAGTGAGGAGCGCCTCTGCCCGGCTGCCCCGTCTGGGAAGTGAGGAGCGCCTCTGCCCGGCCGCCCCTTCTGGGAAGTGAGGAGCGCCTCTGCCCGGCCGCCCCGTCTGGGAAGTGAGGAGCGCCTCTGCCTGGCCGCCCCATCTGGGAAGTGAGGAGCGCCTCTGCCTGGCTGCCCCATCTGGGAAGTGAGGAGTGCCTCTGCCCGGCTGCCCCATCTGGGAGGTGTACCCCACAGCTCCGAAGAGGCAGCGACCATCGAGAACGGGCCATGATGACAATGGCGGTTTTGTCGAAAAGAAAAGGGGGAAATGTGGGGAAAAGAAAGATCAGATTGTTACTGTGTCTGTGTAGAAAGAAGTAGACATAGGAGACTCCATTTTGTTCTGTACTAAGAAAAATTCTTCTGCCTTGGGATGCTGTTGATCTATAACCTTACCCCCAACCCCATGCTCTCTGAAACATGTGCTGTGTCAACTCAGGGTTAAATGGATTAAGGGCGGTGCAAGATGTGCTTTGTTAAACAGATGCTTGAAGGCAGCATGCTCGTTAAGAGTCATCACCACTCCCTAATCTCAAGTACCCAGGGACACAAACACTGCTGAAGGCCGCAGGGACCTCTGCCTAGGAAAACCAGAGACCTTTGTTCACGTGTTTATCTGCTGACCTTCTCTCCATTATTATCCTATGACCCTGCCACATCCCCCTCTCTGAGAAACACCCAAGAATGATCAATAAATACTAAAAAAAAAAAAAGAAAAAATTTTTGTTGTTTTAAGCCACATTTGTGATATTTTGCTACAGCAGCCACAGCACAGATATAGCTGGTAACAGAGTTCTTTAGCCTCCAAAATACAAGCCTGGGGTAAATAACTATTGAATTTGGCCACATGGAAATCAGGAAGAATGTAATAAGCATCATCGATGGATGGGATGACCTGGGAGATCGTGGCAAGTTTAAAGCTAATTGGAAGTTGGCAACCAAAAAGTCCTGTCTTGCAAATTGCCAGGAAATTGCCAAGAAAACCTTTAGAAAACATGATTAAAGATGGAGAAACCCGGCTGACTCCCTGGTTTCTGAAGAGGTGCTTAGGCATTTAAATGAGACTGACGAGACTTCACACTGTACCCTTCAGAAGGGCAGACACTCACGAGATCGTCAACCACGGCTCCCTCGCTGGGAGGCAGACACAGAGCTGGAGGCAGCGGCCACAAACTAGGTGGGCAGAGAGGCGTCAGCATCGGGACTTGCAGGAGGCCCTGGGAAGGAACAGGCAGCGGTGGGGCCTGGACAGCCTTGGGGAAAGGAAGTTACTTGGAGGAGACCAGGGGCTTGCATTTGGGCCAAAACCAAGGACGAGATCAGCTGGTCCCAGGGAACTCTGGAGCCCAGCACCCCACCATGGGTGCAGGGGCCTGACAACCCAACAGAAGGCTGTGGGTACCGGGCACCAGCCTGTGGGGGGTCTGAAGGCTGCTGCCCAGCCACACATGTCCTGGTCCCGAACAAAGGGTTCAAGAGGCACCTGGAGCCCCGCCCTCCTCAGAGCAGCCTCTTAGCCTCAGCTGGTTGTTGGCCTTTGGTCACCCCACATGCCCTGACAGTGGGGCCTGGCCTCAGAAAGGGGCCCCTCCATTTGTACTTTCTATCTGATCCTTGACACAGTGCTAACACCAAAGACCAAACCCGAATCTTGGTTCACATACTCTGCAAAGAAATGACTAAGACTAGTTCTTCTGGAGGTCAGTTTTAGAACATGTTTATTCTAACTTAATTCTGCCTTATCTCTGTGCACCAAGAAAACTATCTGCACATGTGTAGTAAAATGTGAAGGTACCTTCATTTTGTTTGTACACTAAACTTTTAAGAAATATCTCACTTTTAAAATAAATAAATAAATAAAAAATAAATCTGCACATTTGGTTTTATTTACCATGTCAACCAAGATGTACACTGCCAACCTGTTTTTCTCTCTCATTGCTCCATGTCTGCCCTTACCCATTTTTAAAACCATAGTCACTTGCTGGTAGTGCTTCCTTGTCCTGCCTTGTCCCATGTGGAGATGCAAATCTCACCTACTCCTCTCACGTGTGGAGACCTTACAATATCAGCCTCCATGTGCCCCCAAACTTGGGAGGTACCTGGAATCCTCTCCTTGGCTCAGCATACCAACTGTAATTATCACCTGGGATTCCTTTTTACAAAGTAATATTTTAAAGTTAATATTTAATCTTAGAAGCAATATAATAGTGTCAGAGGGCTGAAAACTGAAAATATATGTAAGCATCAATCATTAGGAGGCCAAATTTGGTCAGGCACGGTGGCTCTTGCCTGAAATCCTAGCCTTTGGGAGGCTGACGCAAGAGGACTGCTTGAGCCCAGGAGTTCAAGGCCAGCTGGAGCAACATAGTGAGACCCCCATCTCTACAAAAAATGTATACTTAGCTGGGCATGGTTATGCAAGCCTATAGTCCCAGCTACTGGAGAGGATGAGGTGGGAGGATCGCTTGAGTCCGGGAGGTTGAGACTGCAGTAAGCCATGATGGTACCATTGCACCCCATCCTGGATGACAGAACAATACCCTGTCTCAAAAATAAAATAAAATGCCAAATTTGAGAGCGTTGTTATCTATGAAGGGGAAGGAGAATGTAATCTGGAATGCTATTAATTATGTTTTATTTCTTAAGCTGGGCAGTATTATCACAGATGTTATTTTCTGTTCTATTTTATGTCTCCAGTATTTTGTAAAACGTTAAAAAAATCATTATAAGTCATTACCCTAATATTATACCCTTTTTATTCATTTCTTGGTGCAGAAGCTTAGATCACTCACCTTTGTTCTCCTTGTAAAGCCAGAGGGAAAATCTCCAACAGACCATATAGCCAAGTATTATTTTACCTAAGAGGCCCAATTTCAAAATAATGCTTTTAAGATAATCTATCAGAATAAAAATTGAATGATAATCCATGACCAAAACTTTCTATTACTGCTTTTTTTTTTTTTTTTTTTTTTTTGAGACAAGGTCTCACTCTGTCACCCAGGTTGGAGTGCAGTGGCGTGATCTCGGCTCACTGCAACTTCTGCCTCCTTAGCTCAAGTGATCCTCTCACCTCAGCCCCCCAAGTAGGTGCAACTACAGGCACACATCACCAAGCCCAGCTAAGTTATTGTGTATTTTTTGTAGAGATGCGGTCTCACTATATTGCCCAGGCTGGTCTTGAATTCCTGGACTCAAGTGACTCAGCCACCTCAGCCTCCCAAAGTGCTGGGATTACAGGCTTGAGGCACTGCACCTGGCCTAAAACTTTCTACTAAAAAATAATTACATATCTGTGCTGTCCTGAAATATGCTATTTAGCTCTTAAATTCTGTACTTTTGTGACCCTCTCTGAAGTGCTGGTTTATTAACGGTGAAATGGATCATCTTGTTTTTCAACACTAGAGGGCACCAAATTCTCTTCTAGAGCAAAACAATCAATGTTTTCCACCAAAGAACTTCATTTACTAGGGTAGAATATGGATTGGTATATTTTCAGTCGTTTGATAACCAAAAACGTAAGAGATTTTGTGCTTTATGATAAAGGGTTTAGAGAATCATAGTAAGGCTTTCTCTTGCTATGAATCTGTCTCTAGCTAAGAATCTGTCAATGCTTTTGCTAAACTGCTTTTCAGGAACATTTATTGTATGTTTGTCCAGAGGGAATAAAACAGCTACTCTGGGTTAATGCTTGGGATAACTTATTTTTAAGGGTTAGGGTTAGACACATCGTTTATTCTGGTTTTAAGTTTCAGGTAGCATGTGCAGTTTTCTGAAAATAGGCATTTCCCCTAAATTCAGGATAAAATCAATAGCCGGTATTGTGCTTCAGTGTGAATTGGGGTGCTGGTAGAGAGGAGTGAAATGATGTTAGCTAGTAGGTTACAGTGAGCCATTCATATACATTGATGTTTAGCAGAGTTTCTTAACTTGGGTTTGATAAATCATCCTTTTATTCTTCAATAAAAGTGATTGGAACAAGGTCACACCAGTCAATGACTTCTTGTCACTAATTATACCTTTTTTTGTCCAATTAAAACATTTAAAGATATTTTTGCATTGTACATTAAATTATTTCTGGTTGCTGAATTTTTCTCCTTTTATCTCTAGCCACAACAATGGGTAGTCTATTTAGGTTGTCTAATCTGTAGGAAATACAAATGAGGCAACTTCTATAAAGCAGCAGCATAATCCAGTGAGATAAATGCCAAGCATGTATTTTAAGGAAATGAAGGTACTAGCACTCTCTGTGTACTTTGATACTATGTTCATTTGCTATTGCCACTGTCACAAATTACCACAAATTAAGTTGTTTAAAACACACACATTTATTACAGTTCTGTAGGTAAGAAGTTGGAAATGGTTGTCATTGGACTAAAATCAAGGTGTTAGCAGGATTGCATTTCTTTCTGCAGGCTCCAGGGGAGAGTCTGTTTTCTTGCCTTTTCTGGCATCTAGAGTCTGAACCTTGGCTCATACAAAACTTCCATATTCAAAGCCAGCAGTAGCTGGTTGCATCTTTCTCACAATGTCATCTCTTTGTTTCTGACTCTTGTGTCTTCTTTTTCCTCATTTAAGGACCCTGTGATTACACTTGGACCCACCCACTTCAATCATGATAATCTCCTTATTTTAATGTCAACTAGTTAGCAGCCTTAATTCCATTTGCAATCTTAATTCCCCACTGCCATTTACAGGTTCCAGAGATTAGGATGTGGGCCTCTTTGAAGTGGGGAGGGAAATATTATTCTGC
The DNA here is from genome assembly GCF_000001405.40 of Homo sapiens. NCBI lineage: Eukaryota > Metazoa > Chordata > Mammalia > Primates > Hominidae > Homo > Homo sapiens. Next base: position 64,230,716 of record NC_000005.10, read on the forward strand.
TTACCACAGATAGTTTTGGTGGAATTCTTGAGTCAGGCCAACCTTGAAAGAGAAGAGGTAGCTACTATTTACAGGTCTTGACAGCTTCTAGAAAAATTAGTGTTTTCTCTAACTTTCTTTGGAATTTCCACATTATTCACTTCTCTAGTTTTTCTTGGGGTTCTGAAAGTGAGTATGGGTTCTAGGAGGTATAATTCATTAATTATGTATCCACCATTAGTATCATAATTTGACATAAATGATCAGATTGGTCCATTGGGTCTTGCCTAAGTAGCATAAAGGGCAATTAAGTTTAGATGGCAGAGCTGGATCAAGAAAGGTAAAAGGCACAAGGCATTGTTTGAAAAGGTTCAGTGGGCTCTGAAAAGAGAAAGCTGCATGAAAGCAAGGGCTGCTTAGGTAAAAGGTATGGCACTAAAGATAATATTGACCTACCTCACAGTGTTGCCTGGAGCCAATCTGAGTAAAGAAACATTAGACAATAAATCACATCTTCTTGGTACATAAATAACACATATGTAGCACAAAGCTATGCCAAGATCTTCAGACTGCTAGGGTCCATTTCAGTCCATAGAAATAATGGCATTCACAGACTAGAGGTTTATTAATGACAAAGACAATAGATTTCATTTGGGATGCCTGTGTGTGTGAGGTTTTTACACTTACTAATGAGCAAAGTGCCCTGAAAATCCAGTTTTCCTCATGTTATTTTGAATAAACTAAGTATATGTGCCACACACTCTTTATTTATCCTCAAATGGTGCAAATTTAATGAAAACTGGATGCCACAAACTTGCTGAGTTTGATAAGGAAGAGTTGTGCTCTCTTTCGGTTAATTCGTTAGTTATATAGGTCCCAAATCATTATGCGAAATATTGAAGCCAGAAGTTTGAGTTAGCCTTTAAACTTTAATCAGTAATAGTTTGGGGAATAGTGTATGTTGTGACATGTTTAAGATTCTCTTCTTACTCAGAAGCTAATTGCTGAATTTTGCTGTACCAGCAATCTCTGGAGAATTCTGTGCCATCTCCTTGATGCAGTGCTATCATCTCACTTATATTAGGTGAATGCGTTTATTATTGGGGTTAAGCTTAAGGAAGAAAGAAAATAAAGCAGTGTTCCAGAGCAAAAAGCTTTTGCAGCCACTACAGATATTTATGAGTCAAAGAGTAGTGCTCCCCTTAGCACACTTGAAATTATAGGAAAATGTTCCTTTATTTTAAGTGACCAGTCTTTGTGTTAGGCTATTTTGCTTTTTAGTAACACTTAGATTTTATTACAGTTTTGGACTACACACTTGAGAAGTCAAAAGTCTTTGACTGCTTGATTGGCACCTAATAGTAACTGTTGTCATACTAAGTGCCAGACGTTTCCTGTCTATTAGATAGTAATAAATACTGAGAATGTAATGGCTTCACCTTTATAAGGGTCGCAGAGCATAAGGGTTTATATTTCTAGCCTTTTGAAAGAGATTTACCTTAGGAACATATTTAGGGAAGAGATGGATATTTTAATCTCTTTGGATTGGTTTCTTTATGCCTTAAAGGAATGTGTAGTGCAGTGGTTCTCAAATGTTCATCTGTGGACCAGCTGCATCAGAATCACTAGGGGAGTTTTTTTACAATTTCTGCAGACATTGTAAGTGTTATAAGTCTGGGATAGGCCCCAGACAGTTTTTTTGTTTGTTTGATTCAAGGCTGGAGTGTAGTGGTGTGATCAGAGCTCACTGCAGCCTTGAACTCCTGGACTCAAGTGACCAGACAATTTGTATAAGCACGCTGGTTAATCCAAGTGTGTAGCCAGGCTTGGTAACTCTTACATGTTTGTTCAAAAGTTTAGGAGAATATTTCCTCCTTTATGTTACTAGACTAATGTCTGTCAAAAGTCATAAGATTGATATTGAAGAATGAAAATGAATAAACCTTCTTAAATGGTATGCCACCTCTAAAGGATTGACTTCAAAAATATTTTTACGTGGGAGTCAAAAGAATGGCAATAATGATAGATAATAACAGCAGTAGTAACAAAAACAATAAACATTTACATAGTGTCTACTGTGTGCCAGGTACTGCTCCAATCCCTTTGGATATATTATTCACTCAATGTTCAAGGCAGCCTGTAAGGTGTTTACTTTATTATTGCCATTTTACAGATGGAAGTTAGATATTTTGTCTGGGGTCACCAAACTAGTAAGTGATGAAGCTTGAAATCAAACCTTGGCCATGAGGCTTAAGAAGTTGTGCTCTTAACCAATATGCTCCATCCTCTGCATATCTCATGATTTGGTTATGCTGTGGAGGTCCATAATGAGAAGCAACATAGTTAAGTTGGCTTAAACCATGGGCTTTTGAGGCAGACACTGCACAGCACTGGCAAAGGAATCATTTAGGTGAATTAATTACCCTTTCTGGGGCTTAGTTTTCTCATCCAAAAAAATGGAATGTAAAATATATTACTATAAGGTTGTTGGTAAGACTAAATTAAGAAATGTTTACAAAATGTTGAACACATGGATCTTACATAAGTACCCAATCATTGGTAGCTATAATTATTTTAAGTGTTAAAGCATTAGACAGTCAAGAAGCCTAAAAAATGAAAAATTATTGGCAAACAGGACTGTCTAGAATGCATTGGCAGGTTAGATTTCAGCAGTTATAGGACTGTGTAGCAAATACAACAGCCAACATAAATAATTTTAAGGAAGCTAGAAATGAAAGAAATTAAAAATTAACGAGAAATTAATTACCATTGAGAAACATAATTACAAATGACAAAAAGGGATGGCTTTTGCTTATGGACTATATACGTACATTCTTTCCTAATTATCATGGGAATTGTGTGCAAGCCACTGAGAAGAAGCTATAGACCAATGTGTATTGAGTAATATACGCCAAAATCTATGAAGGAAACTGATAGGATTGGGAGCTGGAAGAAGACAAAAATTTGGCCACTGTGCCCATGGAGTAGCCATTGTTTTATTCCTTTACGGCCCTAACAAACTTGCTTTCACTTACTCTGGGGACTTGCCCCAGATTCTTTCTTGTGCGAGGTCCATTTAAAAGAAAAAGAAAAATTCAATAACCTTTCTGAAGATTGCAGAGTCACAGAGTGTTAGAACTGGAAAGGAACACTATGCCTGGTTCTTCTTCACTGCCACTAGAATTGAGACCCACTGCCCTAAATAATTTCCTAGTATTCCAGATGAATGCCCTGGTCTGGTTCAGAAAACTTATCATACTACATGGCTTGTAAGTTGGAGAGAGGCAGTATAATATATTGGAAAGAAAGTTAGAAATGTCAGTAGTTTGATATTGGAGTCCTAACTCCCCTGGTGATTTAGCTGTATGCTCTTGTGCAACATGCTTAATTCAGCTGTCTTGGTTTCTTCTGTGTGTTTACTACCTTGTCCACAGAAACTAAGAAATAAATCTCATTTTTTTTCCTGTTAAAAACGAATTAAAGTTTACTAACCAAGCACAGTGGCTCACGCCTATAATCACAGCACTTTGGATGCCGAGGTGGGTGCATCACTTGAGATCAGGAGTTCAAGATCTGCCTGGCCAACATGGCGAAACCCCGTCTCTACTAAAAAATACAAAAATTAGCTGGGTGTGGTGGCATGTGCCTGTAGTCCCAGCTACTCAGGACGTTGAGGCAGGAGAATCGCGTGAACCCGGGAGGCAGAGGCTGCAGTGAGCCAAGATCGCGCCAGTGCACTCCAGCATGGGCAAAAGAATGAGACTCTGTCTCAAAAATAAAAATAAATAAAGTTTACGAACATGATCAGTGACAATACCATGACCTTAGGCTTTCTAATTCATAGTCTTATGTGGCTGAGCTTTCCAAATGGCAGTTACCCGTTCTTTTTTTTTTTTTTTTTTTTTTTTTTTTTTTTTTTTTTTGAGAAGGAGTCTCACTCTGTCGCCCAGGCTGGAGTGCCGTGGCGCCATCTTGGCTCACTGCAAGCTCCGCCTCCCGGGTTCACCCCATTCTCCGGCCTCAGCCTCCCGAGTAGCTGGGACTACAGGCGCCCGCCACCACGCCTGGCTAATTTTTTGTATTTTTAGTAGAGACAGGGTTTCACCGTGTTAGCCAGGATGGTCTCGATCTCCTGACCTCATGATCCACCCTCCTTGGCCTCCCGAGGCGCTGGGATTACAGGCGTGAGCCACTGCGCCCAGCTACCCCTTCTTATTTTACCTTAATTCTACATAATGTTTTTGTTTAAGATATTCCTTTAAAGGGCTATGCCATAATGTTAAGCAAAAAACAAAGCAGGGGACTGGTGGGGTAGCTCACACTTGTAATCCCAGTACTTTGGGAGGCCAGGGCAGGAGGATCACTTTATCCCAGGAGTTTGAGACCAGCCCTGGCCATGTACCAAGACCCAGTTTCTACAAAAAAACAAAAATAAAAAAATTAGCTGGGCATGTTGGCCTGCACTGTAGTCCCAGCTACTCAGAAGTCTGAGGTGGGAGGGTCACTTGAGCCTGGGAGGTCAAGGCTGCAGTGAGCCATGGTTGTGCCACTGCACTCCAGCCTGAGCAACTGGGCAAGACCCTGTCTCAAACAAACAAACATAAAACACCAAAGCAGGCTATATGAGTATCTTTACAGATAATTAAATCATTGATCACAATCAAAAGAATTGCAAGAAAACATATCAAAGATTTACAAAGATCTTTTTTTCTACTAAATACTTAAAATAAGCATGAATTTCTTTTATTACAATAAATAAACAACACTGTTTCCCCTTAGGATAAATATATACATTTGCCAAGGTAGCCATACTCTCAGATGGGTTTTCACATTCATTTTGTGAAAATAGCTATTCTCATACTGATACTAGATCCACCTACAATTCCAAAGTTTTCTAGGATAGACAACACCGTATTGAAGTTCTTACCACTTTTCCTGAATTTCTATCTAAATTCCAAATCTCATCTCAAATTGTAATCCCCACGTGGGAGGGGATTACAGGGTGGGACCTGGTGGGAGGTGATTGGATAATGGGAGTGGATTTCCCCCTTGCTGTTCTTATGATAGTGAGTGAGTTCTCACAAGATCTGGTTGTTTAATGTGTCTGGAGCTTCTCCCTTCTTTCTCCTGTCACCATGTAAGACATGCCTTACTTCCCCTTTACCTTCCACCATGATTGCAAGTTTCCTGGGTCCTCCCTAGCCATGTGGAACTGTGAGTTAATTAAACATTCTTTCTTTACAAATTACCCAGTCCCAGGTAGTACATTTATAGCAGTGTAAGAAAAGACTAATACAGAGAATTGGTACGAGCAGAGTAAGGTACTGCTATAAAGATAGCCTGAAAATGTGGAAGCAACTTTGGAACTGGGTAATAGGCAGAGGTTGGAACAGTTTGGAGGGCTCAGAAGAAGACAGGAAGATGTGGGAAAGTTTGAAACTTCCTAGAGCCTTGTTGAATGGTTTTAACCAACATGCTGATAGTTATATGGACAGTGAAGTCTAGGCTAAGGCTGAGTTGGTCTCAGGTGGAGATGAGGATCTTACTGGGAACTGGAGTAAAGGTCACTTTTGCTATGCTTTAGCAAAGAGACTGGCAGCATTTTGCCCCTGCCCTAGAGATCTGTGGAACTTTGAACTTGTGAGAGATGATTTATGGTACCTGGCAGAAGAAATTTCGAAGCAGCAAAGCATTCAAGAGGTGACCTGGTTTATTCTGAAAGTGTTCAGTTATATGCATTCACAAAGAGATGGTTTGAAATGGGAACTTATGTTTAAAAGGGAAGCAAACTATAAAGATTTGGAAATTTTGCTGCCTGACCATGTGGTAGAAAAGAAAAACCCATTTTCTGAGGAGGAATGCAAGCCCACTGCAGAAATTTGCATAAGTAATGAGAAGATGAATATTAATAACCAAGACAATGAGGAAAATATCTCCACGGCACGTCAGAGATCTTTGTGGCAGCCCCTCCCATCACAGGCCCAGAGGTCTAGGAGGGAAAAATGGCTTCGTGAGCCATTCCAGGCCCCCTGCTGCTCTGTGCGGCTTCAGGCCTTGATGTCCTGTGTCCCAGCTGCTCTAGCCCCAGATGTGGCTAAAAGGGGTCAAGGAACAGCTCAGGCTGTTGCTTCAGAGGGTGAAAGCCCCAAGCCTTGGCGGCTTCCACATGGTGTTGGGCCTGTGGGTGTGCAGAAAAGAATTGAGCTTCGAGAACCTCCACCTAGATTTCAGAGTATATATGGAAATGCCTGGATGTCCAGGCAAAAGTCTGCTGCAGGAACATAGCCCCCATGGAGAACCTCTACACAGGCAATGCAGAGGGGAAATATGGGGTTGGAGCCCCCACACAGAGTCTCCACTGGAGCACTGCCTAGGGGAACTGAGAAGAGGGCCACTGTCCTCCAGACCCCAGAATGCTAGATCCACTGACAGCTTGCACCTTGAGCTTGGAAAAACCACAGGCATTCAGCGCCAGTGTGTGAAAACAGACACAGGGGCTGTACCCATTAGATCCACAGGAGCAGAGCTGCCTAAGGCTGTGGGAGCCCACTCATTGCATCAGCATGCCCTGTATGTGAGACCTGGAGTCAAAGGAGATGTTAGAGCTTTAAGATTTATTGACTGCCCGGCCAGGTGTCAGGCTTGTATAGGGCCTGTGTCCTCTTTTTTTTTTATTTTTATTTTTGGCCAATTTCTCCCATTTGGAATGGGAACATTTACCCAATGTTGTACCCCAATTGTATCTTGGAAGGAACAAACTTGTTTTTGATTTTATAGGCTCATAGGTGGGAGGGACTTGCCTTGTCTCAGATGAGATTTTGGAATTGGACTTTTGAGTTAATGCTGGAATGATTTAAGACTTTGGGGGATGGCTGGGAAGGCATGATTGGTTTTGAAATGTGAAAGGGACATGAGATTTGGGAAGGGCCAGAGGCAGAATGATATGGTTTGGCCGTGTGTCCCCACCGAAATCTCATCTCAAATTGTAATCCCCACGTATTGAGGAAGAGATTGGGTGGGAAGTGATTGGATCATGGGGGTGGATTTCTCCCTCACTGTTTTTGTGATAGTGAGTTCTCTTGAGATCTGGTTGTTTGATAAATGTCTGGCACTTCTCTCTCTCTCTCTGTCTCTCTCTCTCTCTTTCTCTTCCCCACCAACCCCGCTTTCACTCTCCTGCTGCCATGTACAATGTACCTTTCTTCCCCTTTACCTTCCTCCATGATTGCAAGTTTCCTGGGGCCTCCCTAGCTATGTGGAACTGTGAGTTAATTAATCCTCCTTTCTTTACAAATTATCCAGTCTCAGGTAGTATCTTTATAGCAGTGTGAGAACAGACTAATACAGTCTATGAACTTGACGAGTTTTAGATACCTCATATAAGTGGAACCATACAGTATATGACTTTCCATGACTGGCTTATTCACTTAGCATAGTGTTTCAGTGTTCAACCATGTTTTTGCATATTGCAACATTTCCTTCTTTTTTTAAGGCTGTATAGTACCCATTATATGTTTATCCCACATTTTCTTTATGCATTAACCTGTTAATGGACATTTGGGTTGTTTCCACAAGTTGCCTAGTGTGAATAGTGCTACAGTGAACATAGGAAATCTAATATCTATTTGAGATCCTGATTTTAATTCTTTTGGAGAAATACTCGAGTGGGATCACTGGATCATATGGCAGTTCTATTTTTATTATTTAAAGACCCTTTATACTCTTCTCTATAGTGGCTATACCATTTTTCATTATCATCAACAGTATGCAGGGGTTCCCTTTTCTCCACACCCTCACTAACATTTGTTGTCTTTTGGTTTCTTTTGGTAATAGCCATTCTGATAGGTGTGAGGTGATATCTCACTCTGGTTTTAATTTACATTTCTCTGTTCATTAGTGACATTCAAAATTTTTATATACCTGTTGTTCATTTGCATGTCTTCTTTGGAAAAATGTCTATTCAGTCCTTAGCCCATTTTTAAATTGGGTTATTTTTTACTACTGAGTTGTAGGAGCTCCTTATATACTTTGGAGATTAACCCCTTATCAGAGATATGGTTTGCAAATATGTTCTCCCTTTCTATAGATTACCTTTACACGCTGTTGATTGTTTTCTTTGCCGTATAGAAGTTGTTTGAGTTTGATTAGTCCCACTTATTTATTTTTGTTTCTGTTGCCCATGCTTTTGTTGTCATATTCATGAAATCATTCCTAAGGAGACCCTGAAGTTCTTAACATTCAATAATCTCATTTCATCACTCTGAGATATTAGTTTAACCATGAGGTGGATGAAATGGCTAATAATTTTGAGGAATAATTTTATAATGATGATTCATGCTTTATGGGTGTTTTGTCTGATTTTGCTTTTGGAAAATTTATCATTTCTTCTTCTAGTTAAATATAATTTTTAAGGAAAGTATTTGAGTATTATTTTGACCCATGTATATGGTTCTCCCAGCAGCACCTTAGATGTAGGTACTTTATAAATAGTATACTTCAGGGCTTGCTACTCAAGGTGGGATTCATAGATAAGTGGCATTGGCATCACCTGAAAACTTGTTAGAAACATACGTACCTACTGAATTATAATCTGCATGTTAATACATTCCCCAGGTGACTCATATGCTCTTTAATGTTTGAGAATCATTGCTTTCAGCTGTTTTGTTCTCAGCTTATTTCAGCTTTATAGACAGCTTACTTTGCTCCTAGTAGTAATTGCTTTTGCTGCACGTTACATTTTCCTGTCTGCTAGTAGATAATGCACTTTTTTGGAAGAGCTTGCTTTTTAAAATGTGTCTGGTTTGAAACAAGAATGGAGTAGTCTATTTCAAAAGACAATTGTCTTTTGAAATAACGTTTCTCAGTTGAGTTAAGAGCTGTTGTATTGATTATGGCATTTTAGAGGTAGCTGAATTATTAATTTGGCTTCATTTGGCAGATAGAACAGTTTAAAATCAGCGATTTTATGAAACATGGTGTTTTATGTCATGAGTCTGTTATCATTGTCTTAAATATATGCTAGTGCTAATAAATATATCTCCTTGGATATAAATAACGATCATCTTAAAAAATAAACATTACCTTCATCTGAAAATGGTTACTTTGCAAATTCATTGTTTCAGGGGAACAGATCTGTACCTTAAATGACAAATGTCATAAAAGTTCTACTTGGCATTACAATTGTTTGCTAAATATAACAAAATGTATTTTTATGTTACCTTTCCAAATCTTTAATTAAATGTCTAATGTACTGCTCACCTATATACAGGTATTCCTCACTATTTAAACTCAGGAACCAAATGGGTTTGAACATATTTTCAGAAATACACATTTGCCCTATGTATTCTTGCTCTTCACTCTCTGAACTCATTAACTGAGGAACCAAATAGATTTGAATAGGAAGGGTTCCCCATGTCCTTCTTCTGCACAAACCATCAGCATAATAGATATCCATAGACTATAATATATAACAGCATTTCATTGTTTGCTTTTCTCAAAATCTTAACAAAATGTTCTCATAGTATATTAAATATAGAAATGCCCTATTAACCATATCTTCTTTTTGAAGACTCAAAATGCAGATCAGTATAATAAAGGCTGCAGTAGGTCCTCTATGAATTAAATCTGATAAAATTTGCTTTATCCAGCATTTTTCACACAACTATATGACAAGGATTAGCAGGCCATATGCCTAAATGAGGAGGACATAATATATTTATAATAGAGTCTATGAAAGCCTTACCTAATATGAACCTCAGATTCCTTAAAATCATTACTAAACTTTGTTATTGCAGTTAAACATGCTAACATGTGTACCTGATATGCAGTCATTGGTTTTAGCTTCACAGTGGAAATTGGGTGACAGAGTTACTTCAGCACTTTTAACCATGATGATTCCCTAAAAGTGTGGTTTTACAATATCCTGTGATATGCCCTCTCAGGTGGCATCACTGATTACTTACCCCCTCATTCACTCTCCTATACCTATAATCGTCTTCTCACCATCTTCCTAGCATACCAAACACTTACTGTTTCTTCTGCCTGGAAGGCTCTGCCCTGAGGTATCCACATAAGTCCCTTACCTCATTCACATCTCTACTCAAATGTCACTTCCTTAGAAAGACCCTTATTAGACTACCCTTTCTGAAGTAGTGACCTACCTACCTTACATCTACATTCTTAATTTCTCTACTTAGTGTGGTTTTTCTTCATAGTACTTATTGCCACCTAATACATATTTTAATCTTTTTCTACCCTACTGGACTATAAATCTCACAAGAAAAAGGTGTTTTGGGTTGTATTTACTACTGTACAAATAATAATTCAATGTTATTGAATGAATGACATTTTATTAAGTATATATAAATGAGATTCATATGTTGGTCTCTCCCAGTTGTATTTTTAACATTAGATACATGATTTGGAACTATGCAAATATAATACAAATACAATAGTGGAAGACATTGTTAGTTCACTAACTTAGCACCTATTTCCAGCCTCCTTCTTTGCCTGCCTTTACTGTAGAAGACCCCTTCCCAAAAAACAAAGACACAAATTCTAAATATTTTACTCATTTTGCCAGTCTCCTTGTAGCTAGGATTGACTGTGTGTCATTATTCAGATCAGTGAGAAATAAGCAGACATCTGCTGGGGTCTTCTGGGAAAGCTTTCTCTTATGTACAAAAGGGACAGATGTGGCTGATCCAGACACCTTTTCTTTCTGTCTTAAACAAGAACCCATTGCCTAAACCTGTGGAAGCCAGTCTTGCAGCCTACAAGTTCAGACATTTTAGTACATAAGGAAATGAACCCCAATTTATTTGAGCTGCATATGATAACTTATTCTATTTATTGCATTTGACAGCTTTCTTAACTAATACAAAAGTCTTTGGGAGGAGGGTATGCTCAGTATTTGGCACACAGTAGATGAGTCTTATACATCAATTTGAACAACTATCTGTGTACTAAAATATCTTCATAAGAGCTAAGGAAACCAGGTGAAAAGCTGTAGTACTTGGTTGTAGCACAATAATAATATTAATTTTAAAAAGACTCATTGAAGAGGGTAGGAAGGACAGTTTTTCATTACCCACATTACTCCTCCGCAAACCCTAGGCAGCACAACACAGAGAGAGATACTGTTTTCCTGGGGGAAAAAGAGGGAAGTGAGCACAAGACTTTGCCATGGATGCTAACACCAGGCCCACCACAGCATTCAGCAGAACCCCACAGCCCCATGTTCCAGGCTGGTACTCACTGACAGATCCTCTAAAACCACCCTCAAGCTTACATGGTTGACTTAGTCTCTAGTCCTCCCACCCTCCTGCACTGGACTGATTCCACTGGCCTCAGGTTCCAGAAAGCCCTCAGTGGCAGGCAGCTCTCAGAGGCCCCAGCCTTCTGACACAATCCAGTGCTATGCTGTTTACATCTGTCCTGGGTTTCAGCCCTACCCTACTGCCATGTCTGCCATATTGGGCTCTGGGCTTCTGTCAGCCCTACACTGATCGTGGCTGCTTCTGGCACCCCAGCACCACCTACATCTGCCACAGAGCTTTCCCAGACAAAGCCAGTCTGTGAAGACTGGAATAAGTAACTCCTACTTCAGCTGTGCAGAGATCAGTGCATGAGAACAGAGATCAAGAACAATCAGAGAAATGTAATATAACCAGATGGACAACATAAGGTGTCAGTGACCCTAATTAAATGCATGTATGAAGTGCCTGACAACTCAAAATCACTGTTTTTAAGAAGCTCACTGAACCTCAGAAAATACAGAGAAACAATTAAAAAAACTGAAGGAAACTGTAAGTGACCAGGACGAGAAATGTAATAAGGTGAAGTAATAATACTATAATCAAAACAGATATTTTGGAGCTGAAAAGTTTTGGGCATCATCAAAAGAACAAATCTTCAAGTTATAGGAGTTCAAGAATGAGAAGAGAAAGATAAAGGGAAAGAAAGCTTATCTAAAGAAACCTTTCAACCTGGAAAAAGATGTAAATAATACAGGTAAAGGAAAGACAAAGATCTCGAATCAGATTCAATCCAAGTAAGACTGCCTCAAGACATATAATAATCACATTATTGGGATCCCAGATTGAAGATGGCCGAATAGGAACAGCTCCGGTCTGCAGCTCCCAATAAGATGAACACAGAAGGTGGGTGATTTCTGCATTTCCAACTGAGTTACCCAGTTCATCTCACTGGAACTGGTTAGAGAGTGGGTGCAGCCCACAGAGGGTGAGCCAAAGCAGGGTGGGGCATCACCTCACCTGAGAAGCACAAAGGGTCAGGGAAGTCCCTCCCCTAGCCAAGGGAAGCGTGAGGGACTGTGACTTGAGGAACAGTGCACTCTGGCCCAGATACTACACTTTTCCCACAGTCTTTGCAACCTGTTGACCAGGAGATTCCCTCAGGTGCCTACACCAACAGAGCCCTGGGTTTCAAGCACAAAACTGGGTGGCCATTTGAGCAGACATTGAGCTACCTGCAGGAGATTTTTTTTCATACCACAGTGGCACCTGGAATGCCAGTGAGACAGAACCGTTCACTCCCCTGGAAAGGGGGCTGAAGTCAGGGAGCCAAGTGGTCTAGCTCAGTGGATCCCACCCCCATGGAGCCAGCTAAGATTCACTGGCTCAAAATTATTGCTGCCAGCACAGCAGTCTGAAGTTGACCTGGGACTCTCAAGCTTGGTCAGGGGAGGGGTGTCTGCCATAACTGAGGCTTGAGTAGGCGGTTTTCCCCTCATAATGTAAACAAAGACGCCTGGAAGTTTGAACTGGGTGGGGCTCACTGCAGCTCAGCAAAGCTGCTGTAGCCAGACTGCCTCTCTAGATTCCTTCTCACTGGACAGGGCATCTCTGAAAGAAAGGCAGCAGCCCCAGTCATGGGCTTATAGATACTTCTATACTCCCATCACCCTAGGACAGAGCAGCTGGGGGAAGGGGTGGCTGTGGGCACAGCTTCAGCAGACTGAAACGTTCCTGCCTGCCAGCTCTGAAGAGAGCAGCGGATCTCCCATCACAGTGCTCAAGCTCTGCTAAGGGACAGACTGCCTCCTCAAGTGGGTCCCTGACCCCCGAGTCTCCTGACTGGGACACACCTCCCAGCAGGGTGGACAGACACCTCATACAGGACAGTTCTGGCTAGCATCTGGTGGGTGCCCCTCTGGGACAAAGCTTCCAGAGAAAGGAACAGGCAGCAATCTTTGCTGTTCTGCAGTCTTTGCCAGTGATACCCAGGCAAACAGGGTCTGTAGTGGACCTCCAGCAAACTCCAGCAGACCTGCAGCAGAGGGGCCTGACTGTTAGAAGGAAAACTAACAAGCAGACAGGAACAGCATCAACATCAACAAAAAGGACGTTCACGTAGAAACCCCATCCAAAGGTCACCAACATCAAAACCGAAGGTAGATAAATCCACGAAGATGAGGAAAAAACAGGACAAAAAGGCTGAAAATTCCAAAAACCAGAATGCCTCTTCTCCTCCAAAGGATCACAACTCCTTACCAGCAAGGGAACAAAACTGGATGGAGAATGAGTTTGATGAATTGACAGAAGTAGGCTTCAGAAGGTGGGTAATAACAAACTCTTCCAAGCTAAAGGAGCATATTCTAACCCAACGCAAGGAAGCTAAGAACCTTGAAAAAAAGAGAAATTGCTAACTAGAATAACAAGTTTGGAGAGGAACATAAATGACCTGATGGAGCTGAAAAAAAACAGCATGAAAAGTTTGTGAAGCATACACAAGTATCAATAGCCAAATCAATCAAGTCGAAGAAAGGATATCAGAGATTGAAGGTCAACTTAATGAAATAAGGTATGAAGACAACATTAGAGAAAAAAGAATGAAAAGGAACAAACAAAAGACTCCAAGAAATGGGACTATGTGAAAAGACCAAACCTACATTTGATTGGTGTACCTGAAAGTGACGGGGAGAATGGAACCAAGTTGAAAAACACTCTTCAAGATATTATCCAGGAGAACTTCCCCAACCTAGCAAGACAGGCCAACATTCAAATTCAGGAAATACAGAGAGCACCACAAAGATATTCCTCAAGAAGAGCAACCCCAAGACACATAATCCTCAGATTCACCAAGGTTGAAATGAAGGAAAAAACGTTAAGGGCAGCCAGAGAGAAAGGTCGGGTTACCCACAAAGGGAAGCCCATGAGACTAACAGTGGATTTCTCTGCAGAAAGCCTACAAGCCAGAAGAGAGTGAGGGCAAATATTCAACATTCTTAAAGAAAAGAATTTTCAACACAGAATTTCATATTCAGCCAAACTAAGCTTCATAAGCAAAGGAGAAATAAAATCCTTTACAGACAAGAAAATTCTGAGAGATTTTGTCACCACCAGGCCTGCCTTACAAGTGCTCCTGAAGGAAGCACTAAATATCGAATGGAAAAACTGGTACCAGCCGCTGCAAAAACATACCAAATTGTAAAGGCCATCAACACTATGAAGAAACTGCAACAACTAATGACACTGTGAAGAAACCACATCAACTAACAGGCAAAATAACCAGCTAGCATAATAACGACAGGATCAAATTCACACATAACAATATTAACCTTAAATATAAATGGGCTAAATGCCCTAATTAAAAGACACAGACTGGCAAATTGGATAAAGAGTCTAGACCCATCAGTGTGCTGTATTCAGGAGACCAATCTCACATGCAAAGACACACATAAGCTCAAAACAAAGCAATGGAGGAATATTTAACAAGCACATGGAAAGCAAAAAAAGCAGGGGTTGCAATCCTAGTCTCTGATAAAACAGACTTTAAACCAACAGAGATCAAAAAAGACAAAGAAGGGCATTACATAATTGTAAAGGATTAATGCAACAAGAAGAGCTAACTATCCTAAATATATATGCACCCAATATGGGAGCACCAAGATTCATAAAGCAAGTTCTTAGAGACCTACAAAGAGACTTAGACTCCCACACAATACTAGAGGGAGACTTTAACACCCCACTATCAATATTACACAGATCAACGAGACAGAAAATTTACAAGGATATTCAGGACTTGAACCCAGCTCTGGACCAAGTGGATCTAATAGACATCTACAGAACTTTCCACCCCAGATCAACAGAATATACATTCTTCTAAACACCACATAGCACTTATTCTAAAATCGACCACATAATTGGAAGTAAAACACTCCTCACCAAATGCAAAATAATGGAAATCATAACGAACAGTCTCTCAGATGACAGTGCAATCAAATTAGAACTCAAGAAACTCACTCAAAACCACACAACTACATGGCAACTGAACATCCTGTTCCTGAATGACTACTGGGTAAATAACAAAATTAAGGCAGAAATAAGAAAGTTTTTTGAAACCAATGAGAAAAAAGACACAATGTCAACATACCGGAATTTCTGGGATGCAGCTAAAGCAGTGTTTAAAGGGAAATTTATAGCACTAAATGTCCACAGGAGAAAGTGGGAAAGATCTAAAATCGACACCCTAACATCACAATTAAAAGTACTAGAGAAACGAGCAAAGAAATTCAAAAGCTAGCAGAAGACGAGTAATAACTAAGATTAGAGCAGAATTGAAGGAGAAGAGACACGAAAAACCCTTCAAGAAATCAAGGAATCCAGGAGTTGGTTTTGTGAAAAGATTAACAAAATAGACTGCTAGCCAGACTAATAAAGAAGAAAAGACAGAAAAATAAAATAGACACTATAAAAAATGATAAAGGGGATATCACTAGTGATCCCACAGAAATACAAACTACTATCAGAGAATACTATAAACACCTCTATGCAAATAAACTAGAAAATCTAGAAGAAATGGATAAATTCCTGGACACATACACCCTCCTCAGACTAAACCAGGAAGATATTCTATCCCTGAATAGACCAATAACAAGTTCTGAAATTGAGGCAATAATTAATAGCCTACCAACCAAAAAAAGCCCAGGACCAGATGGATTCACATCTGAATTCTACCAGAGGTACAAAGAGGAGCTAGTACCATTCCTTCTGAAACTATTCCAAACAATAGAAAAAGAGGGATTCCTCCCAAACTCATTTTATGGGGCCAGCATAATCCTGATATCAAAACCTGACAGACACACAAGAAAAAAGGAAAGTTCAGGCCAATATCCTGATGAACATCTATGAGAAAATCCTCAATAATATACTGGTAAACCGGAATCAGCAGCACATCAAAAAGCTTACCCACCACGATCAAGTCAGCTTCATCCCTGGGATGCAAGCCTGGTTCAACATATGCAAATTAATCAATGTAATCCATCACATAAACAGAACCAATGACAAAAATTACATGATTATCTCAATAGATGCAGAAAAGGCCTTCAGTAAAATTCAACACCACCACTTCATGCTAAAAACTCTCAATAAACTGAGTATTGATGGAACATATCTCAAAATAATAAGAGCTATTTATGACAAACCCACAGCCAATATCATACTGAATGGGCAAAAGCTGGAAGCATTCCCTTCGAAAACCAGCACAAGACAAGAATGCCCTCTCTCACCACTCCGATTCAGTACAGTATTGGAAGTTGTGGCCAGGGTAATCAAGCAAGGGAAAGAAATAAAGAGTGTTCAGATAGGAAGAGAGGAAGTCAAATTGTCTCTGTTTGCAGATGACATGATTGTATACATAGAAAATCCCATCGTCTCAGCCCAAAATCTCCTTAAGCTTATAAGCAACTTCAGCAAAATCTCAGGATACAAAATCAATGTGCAAAAATCACAAGCATTCCTATACACCAATAATAGAAAAACAGCCAAATCATGAGTGAACTCCCATTCACAATTGCTTCAAAGAGAATAAAATACCTAGGAATCCAACTTACAAGGGATGTGAAGGACCTCTTCAAGGAGAACTACAAACCACTGCTCATGGACATAAGAGAGGACACAAACAAATGGAAGAACATTCCATGCTTGTGGATAGGAAGAATCAATATCGTGAAAATGACCATAGTGCACAAAGTAATTTATAGATTCAATGCTATCCTCATCAAGCTACCATTGACTTTCTTCACAGAATTAATAAAACTACTTTAAATTTCTTATGGAACCAAGATGGAGCCTGAATATCCAAGACAATCCTAAGCGAAAAGAACAAAGCTGGAACTATCACGCTACCTGACTTTAAACCATACTACAATGCTACAGTAACCAAAACAGCATGGTACTCGTACCAAAACAGATATATAGACCAATGGAAGAGAACAGAGGCCTCAGTAATAATGCCACACATCTAAAACCATCTGATCTTTGACAAACCTGACAAAAACAAGGAATGGGGAAAGAATTCCTCATTTAATAAATGTTTTTGGGAAACTAGCTAGCCATACGCAGAAAACTGAAACTGGACCCAATCCTTACACCTTATACAAAAATTAACTCAAGGTGGATTAAAGGCCTAAACGTAAGACCTAAAACCATAAAAGCTCTAGAAGAAAACATAGGCAGTACCATCCAGGACATAGGCGTGGGCAAAGACTTCATGACTAAAACACCAAAAGCCGTGGCAACAAAAGCCAAAATAGACAAATGGGCCTAATTAAACTAAAGAGCTTCTGCTCAGCAAAGGAAACTATGATCAGAGTGAACAGGCAACCTACAGAATGGAAGAAAATTTTTGCAATCTATCCATCTGACAAAGGGCTAATACCCAGAATCTACAAAGAACTTGAACAAATTTACAAGAAAAAAACAACCTCATCAAAAAGCAGGCAAAGGCTTTGAAAAGACACTTCTCAAAAGAAGACAACAAATGTGCAGCCAACAAATATATGAAAAAATGCTCATCATCACGGTCATTAGAGAAATGCAAATCAAAACCACAATGAGGTACCATCTCACACCAGTTAGAATGGCGATCATTAAAAAGTCAGGAATCAACAGATTCTGGAGAGGTTGTGGAGAAATAGGAATGCCTTTACACTGTTGGTGGGAGTGTAAATTAGTTCAACCATTGTGGAAGACAGTATGGCGATTCCTCAAGGATCTAAAACCAGAAATACCTTTTGACCCAGCAGTCTCATTGCTGTGTATATACTCAAAAGATTATAAATCATTCTATAAAGACACATGCACACATATGTTTATTTGCAGCACTATTCACTATAGCAAAGACTTGGAACCAACCCAAATACCCTTCAGTGAAAGACTGGATAAAGAAAATGTGGCACATATACATCATGGAATACAATGCAGTCATAAAAAAGGGTGAATTCATTTCCTCTCCAGGGACGAGGATGAAGCTGGAAACTATCACTCTCAGCAGACTAACACAGGAATAGAAAACCAAACACTGCATGTTTTCACTCATAAGTGGGAGTTGAACAATGAGAACACATAGACACAGGCAGGGTAACATCACACACCGGGGCCTGTCAGGAGAGGGTGGCTAATGGAGGGATAGCGTTAGGAGAAATACCTAATGTAGGTGACGGGTTAATTGGTGCAGCAAATGACCGTGGCATGTGTATAGCTATGTAACAATCCTGCACATTCTGCACATGTATTCTAGAACTTAAAGTATAATAAAAAAAGAAAAAATAAGCTCACTGTCAAAACTTAAAGACAGAGAGGATTCTAAAAGCAGCAAGAGAAAGAAGCAAATAACTTGTAAGGGAGTTTCCATAAGGCTAGCAGCAGGCTTCTCAGCCGAAACCTTACAGGCCAGGATAGAGTGGGATGATTTAGTCAAAGTGCTAAAGGAAAATACACTATTGTGAATACTATACTTAGAAAAGCTGTCCTTCACAAATGAAGGAGAGAGGAGGCTTTCCCAGACAAACAGAATCTAATGGAATTACCATCAAATCTGCCTTATAAGAAATGCTAAAGGGACATTCTGCCAACAGGAGACTAACTTGACTTCTAAAGACACATGTAGGCTGAAAGTGAAGGGATAGAAAATGATATTCCATGCAAAGGGAAACCAAAAGTGAGCAGGAGTAGCTATACTTATATCAGATAAAATAGACTTTAATTCAAAAATTGTAAAAAGAGAAAAACATGGTCATTATGTAATGGCAAAGGGGTCAATTTAGCAATCCTTATAATAGTTGTACATATATATGCACCCAATATCTTAACACCTAAGTATATAAAGTAAATATTAACAGATCAAGTGGGAGAGATGAACTGCAATACAATAATAGTATGGAACTTCCACACTTGATTTTCAGCAAAGGACAGATCATCCATCAATAAGGAAACATAAAACTTAAACTACTCTAGATCAAATGGACTTAACAGGCATATAGGAAACATTTTATTCAACAGGTGCAGAATACACATTTTTTTCTCAACTGCACATGGAACATTCTCCAGGATAGTATAAATGTTAGGCCACACAACAAGTCTCAACACATTTTTAAAAATTGAAATACTATTAAGTGTCTTCTCTGTCCATGTAGTGTAAAACCAGAAACCAATAATATGCTGAACTTTAGAAAATTTACAAATACATGGAAGTTAAACAATGTGCTCCTGAACAACCAATGGGTTAGTGAAAAAATTAAAAGGGAAATTTAAAAAATTGTTGTGGGATACAGCAAAAGCCATTATAAGAGGGAAGTTTGTAGCAACAAATGTCTACTTCATAAAAAAGAACAGAAATCTCAACCTAGCATTGAACCTCAAGGAACTAGAAACAAGAACAAACTAAACCCAAAGTTAGTAGAAGGAAGGAAATAATATCAGGGCAGAAATCAATGAAATGTACACTAGGAAAATAATAGAAAAGATCAACAATACCAAATATTGGGGGTTTTTTTAAAGAGAAAATCAACAAACCATTAGCTGGGCTAACAGCAGAAAATGAGAAGACTCAAATAAATTTAATCAGAAATGAAAAAGGAGATATTACAACTGATAAAACATACAGAGGATCATAAGACACTATTATGAACAATTATACACCAACAAATTGGATAACCTACAAGATATGGATAAATTCCTTTATGCATACAACCTACCAAGCCTAAATCAGAAATAAAAAGTGTCCCATCAAAGAAAAGCCTAGGACCTGATGGCTTCACTGCTGAATGCTACCAAATATTTAATGAAGGACTAATACCAAATCTTCTCAAACTGATTCAAGAAATTGAAGAGGAGGGAATACTTTCAAACTCATTTATAATGCCACAATCACCCTGACATCAAAGCCAGACAGACACACTACAATAAAAAGAGAAAACTACAGTCCAATAAAGCTGACGAACATAGATGCAAAAATCCTCAGTAAAATACTAGCAAACTGAAGTCAACATCACATTAAAAAGATCATTCACTATGATCAAATGGTATTCATCCCAGGGAAGCAAGTGTATTTCAACATACATAAATAAATAAATGTGATACATCATGTTAACAGAATGACAGAAAAAACATATTCTTTTGATATAGAAAAAGCATTTGAGAAAATTCAACATTTTATGATAATAGCTCAACAAATTAGGTATACAAGGAATTTATCTCAACACAACACAGACCATATTTGACGAGCCCACAACTAACATCATACACAATGGGGAAAAAGTGAAAGCTTTTGCTCTAAGATTTGCAACAAGACAAGAGTGCCAGTGTCACCACTTTTTATCGTTACCATACTGGCGACCCTAGCCATAGCAATTAGGCAAGAAAAAGAAATGAAAGGAATTCAAATTGTCCCTGTTTGCAGATGACATGCTTTTTGAAATTAATTAGTTAGCTAGTTAATTAATTAATTTTTAGAGGTAGGGTCTCATTCTGTTACCCAGGCTGGTGCCATCATTAGCTCACTGCAGCCTGAAACTCCTGGGCTCGAGCAAGCCTCCTGCCTCAGCCTTCTGAGTGGGTAGGACTACAAGCATGTACCACCACACCTGGCTAATTTTTTTAATTTTTTATATTGTAGGCATAGGATACTGTGTTACCCGGGATGGTCTGGCCTCAGGCAATCTTCCCACCTTGGCCTCCCAGGTGACGTTGCCTTATACACAGAAAATCTTAAAGACCCCATAAAAAACTTTTGAACTAACAAAAGAATTCAGTAACGATACAGAATACAAAATCAACATTTAAAAACTAGCATTTCTACACACAGTGAACTATCTGAAAAACCAGTAAAAACAGCCCCATTTACACTTGCTACAGAAAAAAATACCTAGAAATAAGTTGAACCAAGGAGGTGAAAGATCTGCACACTGAAAACTATAAAATATTGATGAAGGAAATTGGAGAAAAAGACAAATAAGTGGAAAATATCTCATACACATGGATTGGATTTTAAGTGTCCATGCTATACAGAGTGTTCTATAGATTTCACAAAAATACAAAAAAAATCCCTAATATTTATATGAAACTAGAAAAGATCCCAAACAACCAAAACAATCTGGAGCAAAAAGAACAAAACTACCTTTCTTCAAAATATACTACAGATCTATAGCAACCAAAACCACATAGTACTAGCATAAAAACAAACACATATACCAATGGATCAGTATAGAGAGCTCAGAAATAAATCCATGCATGTACAGCCAGCTGATTTTCAACAAAGGTGCCAAGAACACACAACAGGGAAAGGCCAGTTAGGGGAGGGGGAAGTTGAGGAGATATTGGTCAAAGGATACAAAATTTCAGTTAGGAGAAATTAGTTTAAAAGATACATCATATGACATGGTGGCCATAGTTAATAAATTGTATTTTTGAAAAATGTCAGGAGAGTGGACGTAAAGTGTTCTCACCACAAAAATGATAACTGTGAGGTAATACATATATTAATTATCTAGATTTAGTCATTTCATAATTATATATACTACAAATAATCATATTTTGCATAGGGAATACATACAAGGTTTTTTGTCAATTAAAAAGAAACCAGAGCCTGGGAAGATGGCAGGTCTCATAGAAATGCCATCTTTCAGTTCCAGCTGTTAAGTATACAGATGGATGGGCATGAGGACAGCTGCCCAGAATGTAGTGGTCCTGAGCATGGAAAACTAAACTTCCTGTGCCTCAAAGAGATCAAGGACATATCTGAGAAGAAAACAGTGGATCTAAAGAGGCTTCATGACATGGGGGTTGGAAGCCTTGTGGAACACAGGTTTTAGTAGTAGATGCTGGGGCACAGTGATGAGGACGATGAAGGGCAGGTTAGATCTCAGCAGAGCCAGTATTAACAGAAGACATTCATGAACCATTCACCACCATCACCATCACCACCCCCCGCCCCAGCACACACACACCTCAAATGACCTCATTCATGTTTGCTCTGTACCTCCCCGAGAGTGATCAAGGATGGGATAAAGGAAGGAAAAGATACAAGGAGAGAATCCTGAAACTATTTACCACTAAAAAACTGAGTTTTAAACTATAAGCCAATGATTTGCCTTGAAGATTGTTGTCCTAGTCTACACAGAGAAAATCAGAGCTAAATAAACAAATTACGTCCCCTTGCTAAGAAATCATTACATTTCTGAGTTTGTCAGCTTTGAAATTCACACTTGCTAGACTTAAACATTTATGAAGCTATGAACCTTCATTCTATGAGTTTTTCTTAATTCCAAAAACTAAGGCATGTCAATGAAGTTTCTATCTCCTGTAAAATAGAAGAAATTTGTTAGCTGAGCTTTCAATTTCTATGAATTTTTCACATTGTTTATATCCCTCTTGTCATTTAACCATCACAACTAGTGTTCTCTGTAAATTATTTCAATACTAATATTTATTTTTCTTCAAAGGCCAAATAAATTAAAAACTTTAAATTTTCACAGGTTTCCCGTTTTGGAGAAATAAAATTTGATCCCCTGTAGTTTAATATTTTGCTACCAAAATATCACTGAGATTGAAATTTTTCAATCTGTAAAAATCTGATTTAGTTTCTCTGGTTCCTCGTTTTTTGTGCTTCATTCCATTAAACTGTTAAAGACAATAGAGTCTCAGGAGTTTTATGCACAGGCAAAACTGAAATCAGTAAGATGTTGACATAAATAATATAGTTAGTACTAGAATAACTTTCATTTTTTTCTTGAGTCTTTATCCTGAAAGTGCTTGTAATAAGTGGAGTTCCTTCATTATAACCCCAAGGTCACCTATAAAAGCTCTGAATTAAAGTAATATCGGCATATTAAACTTTTAAACAAACCTGATATGTGGTAGTCTAAGAGATCAAGCAGCTTAGGATGGCCATTTTAGAACATTATCTTGCATATAGTAAGCATTTAATAAATACTAGCTATTTTATTAAAAGTGAACTTATTTTTTATATTAAATTTACCCTTACCACTAAAGGGTGGACCCTCTCTTCTCTAACTTCACATATATGTAATGATCACCTAAACATTTGGATATCCTGAGCTTGCAAACTAGGCCTTAATTTCACTATTTCAACTCTGATAAACAGAAATTATTTAAAAATTCTATTCATTCACATAAAAGGTTGAAAAATCAAGATTATGAAGGCAAGTTGTTTTTAAGGTTAAAGACAGCTAAAATCTCTAGGAAGCTAAACCTTTCAAGTCCACCTTTAGCTGTTTTAAGATGCTAGTTAAGAAGCAATGTTGGAATGCTGACAAATGGAGCCTGATGACAGGATGAAAATGAAGATTGTGGAAGTGGTGTTTCATCTAATAATTCCTCTTCCTCAGAGATTGGCAGAACCATATTGGTGCCTTGTTTCTGGTAATGTATGGCTCTTCAAACAAGAATTGTTTATTTCTTCTTTTGTTTAAATAACAAAAAAGTATTTTATGCCTTGGGGAGATCAGGAAATCTCTGGCATTTTGCAACATGCTTTTTATAGAATATTATGTTTAAAAATTTAGGAGATTGGGGCTGGAGAAAAATGAATTTATAAATGGACATCAAATAAATTGAGTTTTGTAATGAAGCAATCATAAAGCAAGCCATACTATTAATAAAAATATAGATAGGGACAGTCTCTTAAGATTATCCATTCTTTTTATATAATCTTTTTATTTGGATATTGTGTATCAAAATGGACTTAGCTAATTATAGAGTAGGCGAAGCTTATTCTATCTTTGCATAAAATAATATGCCTAAGGAAATGTATAGAACAACAGTGCAGGAGACTTTCATTCCTGTTTTTCTCCAGCCATTAATACTAAAAGGTAACTTTCTGGATTCACAGGTTTATGAGGGTGCTTAGAAAGACATTTGGTCAGTACATCTGAGCCATTTGAAGTGATATCTGATATCTTTCTCTTTGGGGGAGGAGAGCCCCATTTTCTTAGAAGAACAACCTCCAGTTGTTCCTTACTACATTTTCCCCACAAGCAAATCACATTCTCCATATTTCTAAAGAAAGATCACAATTGTTTTGAACTAACTTTCTTAAAAACATTTTTTAAGATAGTAGCCATGAGGTGATTCTGAATCTTAATTTTTTAAAAAAATTATTAAACCATTATCTAAAAAATGTTGACATTGGTTAAAGCTTCACAATTCTTGGTATATTTTATTTATCCAGCATTTCTGAACACTTTCTTTTTTTATTATTATTATACTTTAAGTTCTAGGGTACATGTGCACAACGTGCAGGTTTGTTGCATATGTATACATGTGCCATGTTAGTGTGCTGCACCCATTAACTCGTCATTTACATTAGGTATATCTCCAAATGCTATCCCCCTCGCCCCAGCCCCACAACAGGCCCTGGTGTGTGATCTTCCCCTTCCTGTGTCCAGGTGTTCTCATTGTTCAATTCCCACCTATGAGTGAGAACATGTGGTGTATGGTTTTTTGTCCTTGCGATAGTTTGCTGAGAATGATGGTTTCCAGCTTCATCCATGTCCCTACTAAGGACATGAACTCATCATTTTTTATGGCTGCATAGTATTCCATGGTGTATATGTGCCACATTTTCTTAATCCAATCTATCATTGTTGGACATTTGGGTTGGTTCCAAGTCTTTGCTATTGTGAATAGTGCCACAATAAACATACATATGCATGTGTCGTTATAGCAGCATGATTTATAATCCTTTGGGTATATACCCAGTAATGGGATGGCTGGGTCAAATGGTATTTCTAGTTCCAGATCCCTGAGGAATCGCCACACTGTCTTCCACAATGGTTGAACTAGTTTACATTCCCACAAACAGTGTAAAAGTGTTCCTATTTCTCCACATCCTCTCCAGCACCTATTGTTTCCTGACTTTTTAATGATTGCCATTCAAACTGGTGTAAGATGGTATCTCATTGTGGTTTTGATTTGCATTTCTCTGATGGCCAGTGATGATGAGCATTTTTTCATGTGTCTTTTGGCTGCATAAATGTCTTCTTTTGAGAAGTGTCTGTTCATATCCTTCGCCCACTTGTTGATGGGGTTGTTTGTTTTTTTCTTGTAAATTTGTTTGAGTTCATTGTAGATTCTGGATATTAGCCCTTTGTCAGATGAGTAGATTGCAAAAATTTTCTCCCATTCTGTAGGTTGCCTGTTCACTCTGATGGTAGTTTCTTTTGCTGTGCAGAAGCTCCTTAGTTTAATTAGATCCCATTTGTCAATTTTGGCTTTTGTTGCCATTGCTTTTGGTGTTTTAGACATGAAGTCCTTGCCCGTGCCTATGTCCTGAATTGTATTGCCTAGGTTTTCTTCTTCGGTTTTTATGGTTTTAGATCTAACATTTAAGTCTTTAATCCATCTTGAATGAATTTTTGTATAAGGTGTAAGGAAGGGAATCCAGTTTCAGCTTTCTACATATGGCTAGCCAGTTTCCCCAGCACCATTTATTAAATAGGGAATCCTTTCCCCATTGCTTGTTTCTGTCAGGTTTGTCAAAGATCAGATGGTTGTAGGTGTGTAGTATTATTTCTGAGGGCTCTGTTCTGTTCCATTGGTCTATATCTCTGTTTTGGTACCAGTACCATGCTGTTTTGTTTACTGCAGCCTTGCAGTATAGTTTGAATTCAGGTAGCGTGATGCCTCCAGCTTTGTTCTTTTGGCTTAGGATTGACTTGGCAATGTGGGCTCTTTTTTGGTTCCATA
Organism: Homo sapiens; assembly: GCF_000001405.40. Taxonomy (NCBI): domain Eukaryota; kingdom Metazoa; phylum Chordata; class Mammalia; order Primates; family Hominidae; genus Homo; species Homo sapiens. Next base: position 64,256,704 of record NC_000005.10, read on the forward strand.
TGAAATTTAAAGTAGTTTTTTCCAATTCTGTGAAGAAAGCCATTGGTAGCTTGATGGGGATGACATTGAATCTATAAATTACCTTGGGCAGTATGGCCACTTTCACGATATTGATTCTTCCTATCCACAAGCATGGAATGTTCTTCCATTTGTTTGTGTCCTCTTTTATTTCGTTGAGCAGTGGTTTGTAGTTCTTCTTGAAGAGGTCCTTCACGTCCCTTGTAAGTTGGATTCCTAGGTATTTTATTATCTTTGAAGCAATTGTGAATGGGAGTTCACTCCTGATTTGGCTCTCTGTTTGTCTGTTATTGGTGTATAAGAATGCTTGTGATTTTTGCACATTGATTTTGTATCCTGAGACTTTGCTGAAGTTGCTTATCAGCTTAAGGAGATTTTGGGCTGAGATGATGGGGTTTTTTAGATATACAATCATGTCATCTGCAAACAGGAACAATTTGACTTCCTATTTTCCTAATTGAATACCCTTTATGTATTTCTCCTCCCTGATTGCCCTGGCCAGAACTTCCAACACTACGTTGAATAGGAGTGGTGAGAGAGGGCATCCTTGTCTTGTGCCAGTTTTCAAAGGGAATGCTTCCAGCTTTTGCCCATTCAGTATGATATTGGCTGTGGGTCTGTCATAAATAGCTCTTATTATTTTGAGATATGTTCCATCAATACATAATTTATTGAGAGTTTTTAGCATGAACGGCTGTTGAATTTTGTCAAAGGCATTTTCTGCATCTGTTGAGATAATCATGTGGTTTTTGTCTTTGGTTCTGTTTATATGCTGGATTACATTTATTGATTTGCGTATGTTGAACCAGCCTTGCATCCCAGGGATGAAGCCCACTTGATCATGGTGGATAAGCTTTTTGATGTGCTGCTGAATTCGGTTTGCCAGTATTTTATTGAGGATTTTTGCATCAATCTTCATCAGGGATATTGGTCTAAAATTCTCTTTTTTGTGTGTGTGTCTCTGCCAGGCTTTGGTATCAGGATGATGCTGGCCTCATAAAATGAGTTAGGGAGGATTCCCTCTTTTTCTATTGATTGGAATAGTTTCAGAACCCACACAATAATAATGGGAGACTTTAACACCCCACAGTCAACATTAGAGAGATCAACGAGACAGAAAGTTAACAAGGATATACAGGAATTGAACTCAGCTCTGAACACTTTCTGTGTGTCAGATACTCTTCTCAGGGCCACGGAAACAAAGAAAAGGACATAGTGCTTGCTGCCTAGGAAAGCTGAGAAGGAGATAAAGGAAGTGATGACATCCTAATTTGGCCAGTGCCATAAAAGAAGGAATAACAGCAAACTTTGCATGGGAAAGGCAGAGGGTCAGAAGGGATTTCTTCATGAGAGTCCTTACATGAAATCTTGTGGGACAGTCAGGAGTTGACAAGTGAGGCTGAGAAGAGAGAAAGGAGAGTGTATGGCCTTCCAGGGACTAACCACATGTTCTTGTAACATTGGTAGAATGAATATGGGGACACTTATGACTGGATATCAAGGTAGGAAGTATGTAGAGACCAAAACTAAAAGACCATTTTGTGCCTTACAAGGAAATTTAAAAAAAGATTAAGAAAGACCTAGTAAGGTTGTGTTTTGAATTCAGTCTGGCAGAAGTATGGAGGATGAATGTGGGAAGGGAGGTGGATAAGGTCAGAGAAACTAGTTAGAAGTTATTCTGGTAAGAGAGGTTGAGTTACTGAACCAATAAAATGATATGATGCATTGACAAATTTGAGAGAGACTGAGTCCCAGCAGAATTTGGCAGCTAGTTAGATATAATGGTTGAGAGTGAGAGAGAATAATTAAGGTTTTTTTTCTTTTAGATGAATGGGGGTGCTATTCCCTTGGATTGTAAAGGAACAGTTTTGGGAGGGCAGTGAAGCAAGGAATGCTAGACATATTGAGATTGACATGCCTGTGGGGTGTGAGATATATAGGTAGATATATTGAACAGTTGGCTTTATACATATGTATGTTTAGAGTTTAGAAGATAACTCTGGGCTGAGATATACTTTGAAAAACATTTTCTCTTAGATAATAACTGATTAGTCATAGGTGACAAGTGAGTAGTTTAATGGAAGGAGAGTGGGTAATGTGAAAAATGAAAAGACTTGTAGATACAGCTTGTGGAACACCATCATTAAGGGATGGAATAAAGAAACAAGAGGTGTTAGGCTAGGCAGTGCTTGTCAGAGAGTAGGTTGTTTGAACTTGAAAGCCAAGTAGGTAGGATATTTTTAAGTGATAGCAGACAAGAGGACAGCAGTGGGTAGGAGAAGAAGCTTATATAGCCACATGTGAGTATATTGTTTGTTTGTTTGTTTGTTTGTTTTTGTCCTCAGAGGTAGAAGAGCACTAATTTGAAAGAGGAATTAAATGGGGCGGGAGTGGGTGGAATACTAACCACCTCCTTTCTCTTGAGGAACATGCTGTTGGAGGAGCCATCTTTCATAAGAAGGCTGTATAAGTGATGTGCTGGGGAGGAAAAGGTTTCATGCAAGGCAAGGAAATATCTGCATGTCTGAAGAGGCTGAGAATCCCGACAGTAAGGGGATGCCCAGGGCATGTTGGAAAGGGTTTTGGGGGGAACAGTGAAAGAATGATTTGGAAAGAGCAAAGTATGAGGGTGATTTTTTGGAAGAGATCAGTGTCTAGAGAAGCAGAATACTCTGCTCTAAGCCTGTTCTGATTTAGAGAGATTTCCTTAGTCATCAGACTTGATCCTGGGAAAACTAGTCAAGTATAGACCTTGTGATGTTCAACTCACACAGCTTAGCTCTGTATCTACTCACCAAGACTTCTTAGAGACTTACTCCTATTGTCTGAACTTTAATACAGACATAACTTGTTTTTTCAAATTTAAGTTAGCATTTTGTTTTATGATTATAAGAGTACTATATGCTCTTATAAAATTCAGGCCAGGCACAGTGGCTCACACCTGTAATCCCAGCACTTTGGGAGGCCGAGGTGGGTGGCTCACCTGAGGTCAGGAGTTCGAAACCAGCCCGACCAACATGGAGAAGCCCCATCTCTACTAAAATACAAAATTAGCCGGGCGTGGTGGTGCATGCCTATAATCCCAGCTACTCGGGAGGCTGAGGCAGGAGAATCACTTGAACCCGGGAGGCGGAGGTTGTGGTGAGCCAAGATCACGCCATTGAACTCCACCCTGGGCAACAAGAGCAAAACTCCGTCTCAACAACAACAACAAAAAAATTAAAAAAATTCAAACCCTATGAAAAGAAGAAAAATCTTTGACTATCCTAATCATCCTAGCACCAAAAAAGCAATTATTATTATTTTAGGATGTCCTCATTTCTTATTGACTTTATACATACACAATTTTATATACTCACAAATAAATGTACAGATATAATAGTACGTATCTATAGGCACATATGTAATTTACATATTTATACATATTTATGCATATAGATATTTCGCCCAACAGACGTAATGTGACATAGTCTTGTGAACTGTTTTCCCCCTCAAATTAATGGGCCCTCGTGGCAGTTTTTCTAGGTCTGTGATTTACATCATCATTTTCAGTAGCTACACAATATTTTATTTTACGGTTATGCAGTAGTCTCTGTAATTATCCTTCTATTAATGAATTTTAAAAATTGCTTCCAGTTTTTTATTGTAACTGATTTTAGAGTTATTTGTAAAAGAATAGTCTTTCTTTTGAAGTAAATTATTTCATATTTAAGAAAGAAATTAATTTCTTCAATATTGGGTTAAAAGTCTTGGATTTCATGACAGATGCTATCTGAGTAGGTCATGTTACTTCTGTATCTTCAGTTTTCTCATCTGTGAAATTATCTATTAATTTAGAATAACCAATCCCTCAATTCCTTTCAGCATTGACACTTAGGTGGACTTGCCTATTTCTCTCTGTTGATGACTACTTCTAGAGAGGTAATTAAACATATTTGCACAGAGCAAAGGCCTTGGAATCAAATCAATTTAGGGTTGAACCATGGTTCTACAACTAACTGGCTGTATGAGATCTTCAGCTTTGTTTAACATCTCATCTCTGAGCCTCAGTTTTCTCATATGTAAAATGGGAATGTTAATCCCTGTCTTAAAAGACTGTGGTAGGGTATTATATACAATTTTCTTAGCACAATGCTTTCCACATAGTAAGTACTATTGTTTATATTGTTGTATGTTCTTTCCGTCATGAACAAATCATCTAGCTTAGTTCAGTTTCCTCTTTTTTTTTTTTTTGGCTGTATTTTGGGTTGGATTTAATCCAACAGTCATGCTCATACTGAATGCAAACAAGTATTTTAATGTTCCAAATAGGAAAAAACCTAAAGAAGATACATTTCTTTGATGTCATACAGATTTATTTAAGCACATGCAGAAATAGTAGATTTAACAATTTTGGCTTTCTAGTTCTGTTGTAAATCAGAAATCATTCACTGATCATTTGGCATATCATATCTACGTACAACATCAGCCTTGGAGAGAAGTGACTCTTCATTTGTCAGTTTTATCCTTTTGGATTCAGATTAAGCCAACATTTTCATTCAGGAAAAAGAGATTATAAATGGTGGCTATACCATTTTTGCAAATTCATGTCAACCTAACAAGGCTTAATTTCATTTCCTAGCATCCACCTTTCAACACAGAAAATCCTCAAGCCTGGGTAATCCTGATGAGACAATCTTAGCCTTGCTTTGATAAAGCACCTGCGAAATTGGACTGGGTTAAAGAATGGTATCGCTACTTCTTTCAAAAAAATTTTTTAAGTGTCCTTTTACATATTCCTAATACCAATGCCTTTCATTCATTGGGTTTCAGAATATTTTAAATATTTCCTATGAGGTTATAGGATGTTATTTATTTTTGAAAAAAATATCTCTTATCACACACAGTGAACTCACTGACCCTCTCCCTACCTTCGTTGTGTTTCTTTCTGAAAATGCTATTATCTGGTTGAATGTTACAAACATATGTTTTAAGTAGGGATTTCTTTTGAGTCTCTTATAAATCAATATCAGGTGGAAAGAAACAAAGCTGCTCAAGTGAGAACAACCAAAGGCTATTTATTCAGAATTTGCTGTAGCTAAGGAGTCATCCACCATCACTTGCGTTTGGTGTTTGGCAGACCCTCAAAGGCAGGCAGATGAATGAGAACGTTTTATAGTGGAAAAAAGTGAAAGCTGTAGGTATACCTCGATTGGATTCTGTTGGCATGGGGAAGCTTTAGGAGTTAATACAAGTTCAGAGTCTTATTGACCAGAACAAAGCTATATTGTTACTGACTTCATGGCCAGTATTATCCCTGTTCTCAAGAACTTCTTGTGAAGTATCATTTTATTGTTATACTTACCAAATAATTTTTTGCATTTAGATGACTTTGGGCAGCTTTTACACCTGAGGGAGGATTCCCCCTGTGATCTTCCTTTGCAGTGGTAACTTACTAAGGGGATACAAATTGCTTTAATCAAATAGGAAGATTAAAGGGGTAAATAATATATATATTTCAAAGCTAGATATAAATCTTGAATTATCCATTCTTTAAGATTACTTTCTTCCCTTTGTTATATACATAAATAAGTAAAAGCAGTTTGGGGGAATCAGGAGAATGACAAGACCATCAATTAATGCATCTGTGTGTCATCTATGCACTGGGCACTGTGCTGGATGCCTTTCATATACCAACTTGTACATTGCTCATTTCGTATTTCAAAATCGGACAGCCTTAGCACCACTCTTTGAATCTAAGGAATTTTTAGAAATTGATCACCCGTCTCTTTTACCATGGCATAGAGTCCAAACTACCAATGAGTGTGAATTTGAAATATGTGTGATTTACCAGTAACAGGCTGTTAAATAATGAAAAAATCCTCAGTTAATTTCTTCATATTGCCTAAATAGGGAAAAATTGAGACTGTTAATTTTCAGAAACACAGTGCCACTGATGAATGAGAAACATGCACTCATTCAAGAGACTTTTCCCTGAGTTGCAGAGGATTTTTGGTTTTTTGTAATTCTCATGTAGAAAATTCATTTTGGCCTTATTTATTTTGAGCATTAAAGTCCTCAAAAGGGGCTCCCCAACATTTTTGTGAGCCACAGGTACTTTTTATTTTCCCTCTAACCTTCCCTACGTTCTCCAAAGGAATATTTGTGGTATACTGACAGTGATGTCTCTGCCTAACCAAAAACTCCCACTGCAAAATATGTGCTTCTGTAGAAGATGCTGGTTCAAATATCCTGTTCTCTAGGAGTCCCAACAAGATGTAAAATAGAAGTGAATATAATGGCCACAAATATGGTGTAGCATTATAGCCAGACAGATTTAGAAATAAGTCCTGGCCCTAAAACTTCTATCTCTGTGATACTGAATAAGTCACTTGTCGGAGAATGAGTTTCCTTGAAGGGAGCATGATAAGGATATTCAGGGGATTAATAAAATTCTGTTTATTTATTCACCTGGTTGGTGGTTAGTCTGGTGTTTACAGTTTGTTAGAATTCATTGTGCATTTGTGAATTTTCTCTATGTGAGTAACACTTCAATTAAAACAGCAGTGTGCTGGGGAATATTTCTCCAGTGAGAAGCCCCAATTTGTAACACTTGCCGGTCTCCATGGTGTAAATATTCTCGCCACACCTGAATTCATTAATATGAAATCACTGAATGAAGAGTTGGGAAGAGATGTGCACAGTTAGCTCTTTTGAGTTAGTATGAGTTGTCTCTAGCACATCCCTAGATAAAATATGTTTAAAAGAAAATTAACTATGTAATGAACCTTTTAACTGTGTTATTTTTTAACTTCCTTCAGATTTTGCTTAGCTGTTTTGAAGTGAAAAAGCAATTGACGGAATGGCTTCATGAAAACCTGTTTTTTAATGTAAAATACTTGTTTCCTCAGCTGCACAAAATTGAATTTTTCATAATCCATAATTCATGACAAAACATCATTGATCCACATATTAATTTTATTTTACCTAATTTACTTACTTGGTTTTTTTAATTTATTATTTGATGAAGTCTTGTGAACCCACTGCCTAACTCAAAAACTAGAACAGCCTTAGTCACATCTATTTTTTATTTCGTTTTAGTTACTTTAGTTACATCACATACACACTTGCATACAGATGTGCAATCAGTATGTTTAGTCTTGTCTATTTTTGACTTTTACATAAACAGCTTAGTGTTTTGGGCTAATGTTTTGATTTAACCTTGTGTTACTAAGATTCACCTATATTGTTAGTTTTCAAATTTAGTTTATTCATTTCCATGGCATAATTCTACTGGCCTTTTACCTAGTGTTTGCTGTGGCCTGATTTACTTCAGTCTCCATATAGTAGTCTAACTTTCCTCAAAAGCAGGTATGTTGTGCTTTGTTTTGGTCCCCTTTTTCACAATTTGATGGATTATGAAATCTCTCTCCTCTCTTTTCCCTTATTGCCTTCTATCCAATATACATGTTCTTTGGCAAATGAATGTGTTTTCCCCAAAATAGGTCATAAGAAACATCTTTTTTTTATTTCTTTAAGTTCTGGGATACATGCGCAGAATGTGCAAGTTTGTTACATAGGTATACATATGCCATGGTGGTATTCTGCACCCATCAACCCATCATCTAGGTTTTAAGCCCCACATGCATTAGGTATTTATTCTAATGCTATCCCTCCCCTTGCCTCCCACCCCCGACAGGCCCCAGTGTGTGGTATTCCCCTCCCGGTGTCCATGTGTTCTCATTGTTCAGTTCCCACTTATGAGTGAGAACATGCAGTGTTTTGTTTTCTGTTCCTGTGTTAGTTTGCTGAGAATGATGGTTTCCAGCTTCATCCATGTCCCTGCAAAGAACATGAACTGATTCTTTTTTGTGGCTGTATAATATTCCATGGTGTATATGTGCCACATTTACTTTATCCAGTCTATCATTGATGGGCATTTGGGTTGGTTCCACATCTTTGCTGTTGTAAATAGTGCTGCAGTAAACATACATGTGCATATGTCTCTATAGTAGAATGATTTATAATCCTTTGGGTATATACCCAATAATGGGATTGCTGGGTCAAATGGTATTTTTGGTTCTAGATCCTTGAGGAATTGCCACATTGTCTTCCTCAATGGTTGAACTAATTTACACTCCCACCAACAATGTAAAAGCATTCCTACTTCACATCCTCTCCAGCATCTGTTATTTCCTGACTTTTTAATGATCACCATTCTAACTGGCTTGAGATGGTATCTCATTGTGGTTTTGATTTGCATTTCTCTAATGACTAGTGATGATGAGCTTTTTTCATATGTTTGTTGGCTGCATAAGTGTCTTCTTTTGTAAAGTTTCTGTTCATGTCCTTCGCATACTTTTTGATGAGGTTGTTTGTTTTTTCTTGTAAATTTGTTTAAGTTCCTTGTAAATTCTGGATATTAGCCCTCTGTCAGATGGGTAGATTGCAAAAATTTTCTTCCATTCTGTAGGTTGCCTGTTCACTCTGATGATAGTTTCCTTTAATGTGCAGAAGCTCTTTAGTTTAATTAGATCCCATTTATCAATTCTAGCTTTTGTTGCCATGGCTTTTGGTGTTTTAGTCATGAAGTCTTTGCCCATGCCTATGTCCTGGATGGCATTGTCTATGTTTTCTTCTATGGTTTTTATGGTTTTCAGTCTTACGTTTAGGTCTTTAATCCATCTTAAGTTAATTTTTGTGTAAGGTGTAAGGGAGGGGTCCAGTTTCAGTTTTCTGCATGTGGCTAGCCAGTTTTCCCAACACAATTTATTAAATAGGGAATCCTTTCCCCATTGCTCATTTTTGTCAGGTTTGTCAAAGATCAGATGGCTGTAGATGTGCGGTATTACTTCTGAGGCCTGTGTTCTGTTTCATTGGTCTATATTTCTATTTTGGTACCAGTACCATGCTGTTTTGGTTTCTGTAGCCTTGTAGTATAGTTTGAAGTCAGGTAGCGTGATGCCTCCAGCTTTGTTCTTTTTGCTTAGGATTGTCTTGCTAGACAGGCTCTTTTTTGGTGCCATATGAAATTTAAAGTAGTTTTTTCTAATTCTGTGAAAAAATGTCAGTGGTAGTTTGGGAATAGCATTGAATCTAAATTACTTTGGGCAGTATGGCCATTTTCACGATACTGATTCTTTCTATCCATGAGGATGAGATGTTTTTCCACTTGTTTGTGTCCTCTTATTTCCTTGAGCAGTGGTTTGCAGTTCTCCTTCAAGAGGTCCTTCACGTCCCTTGTAAGTTGTATTCCTAGGTATTTTATCCTCTTAGTAGCAATTGTGAATAGGAGTTCACTCATGATTTGGCTCACTGTTTGTCTATTATTGGTGTATAAGAATGCTTATGATTTTTGCACATTGATTTAGTATTCTGAGACTTTGCTGAAGTTGTTTATCAGCTTAAAGAGTTTTTGGGCTGAAACAATGGGGTTTTCCAGATATACAATCATGTTATCTGCAAACAGAGACAATTTGACTTCCTCTCTTCCTATGTGAATACGCTTTATTTATTTCTTTTGCCTGATTGCCCTAGGCAGGGCAATCTTAATATGTGTCAATGCCACATAGAAAAGAAATGTGTGTGGGATTCTATGAGGGTTGCCAAGGAAGTTCTGTTACTAGCAAAACTGAGAGTTGAAAGTGACACCAGGTTCACATTTAAATATCGAATTCATTTATTGGTTATAACTATAATAGTTATAATATACAGGCTTCTTCTTTTATAAAGTTATTACCATTATAATGTATATCTCTTGTATGTAATTGAATGGAAAAATTGTTGCTAAGGGAATGACCCCAGAATATTATAGGCTACTAGTAGCCAGAAACATGTGTTTGCACTAAAAGGGATATTGCTCACTCAAGATAATTACCTGTTATCAAAATTTCATCACTGTATTTCTTCGAATTGTAGGAAAAGACATAAGGTGGCTTTATGCTACAAGTTTAACTGCTCTAAGCAGATTTTAAAAGAAAATCTTGTAACAATCAAAATTTAAATAATGCAGGGTAAAAAACTATTAATTCAAAATTAAGGGGAGGGAGTAGAGAGTAGGTGTAAATCGAGAAAAGGACAGGACAGATAGATGTGTATTTATTTATATATAAAACAATAAGACCTCAGTCCCTTATTACAGTTCCAAAATTCAAAAACTACTGAAAGCCAAAAGTTCAGGAGTTTTCATAATTCACTTATTTGCAAAACCTGTACTGTTCTGAATGTATGTGGCAGCAAAACCTGACTTGAACTATTTGTTGCTTGGATTTATTCTACTTAGCATATATTTTCATATTTTTGCTGAAGAAATATTAGTATGTTTAATTTTAGGATGCTGCATCAGACTGTGGTGAGACATTATATCATATTCAGCTTCTCTACCTGTCTGAAATTTTAAAATTTCTGAATTCTGAAACATCTCTGATCCTAAGGGTTCTATTAACAGATGATAAACTGTAGTTAAGAAATTTTTCGCCCAGACCATGGTTTCTTAACCTGTTTTGTACCATCAGTCTCTTTGGCAGGCTGTTAAAGCCTATAGATACTTTCTTTAAAACAAGATTTTAAATGCATAAAATAAACTACAGGCTTAAGAAAGTAATTACACTGAAAAAGTTTTTTTTTCACTTTGATTCTTTTATTTATTTATTTATTTATTTGTTATTATACTTTAAGTTTTAGGGTACATGTGCACATTGTGCAGGTTAGTTACATATGTATACATGTGCCATGCTGGTGTGCTGCACCCACTAATTCGTCATCTAGCATTAGGTATATCTCCCAATGCTATCCCTCCCCACTCCCCCCACCCCACAACAGTCCCCAGAGTGTGATGTTCCCCTTCCTGTGTCCATGTGATCTCATTGTTCAATTCCCACCTATGAGTGAGAATATGCGGTGTTTGGTTTTTTGTTCTTGAGATAGTTTACTGAGAATGATGGTTTCCAATTTCATCCATGTCCCTACAAAGGACATGAACTCATCATTTTTTATGGCTGCATGAAAAGTTTTTAAAATATTAAAACTCATGATATAGTAATATATGTGCTTCTTTATTAAGGCATTAAATAGAAGTATCTAGTTATGGCTGTAATTGTTACTGTAAAGTCTTTGCAATGATTAGTGTAAGTAATATTGGGATATCTGCAGTCACTGGAAGTATCTTTAATTTCTGGTGACAGTGTCACAGGTAGTGCTGATACTGCTGTGATTTGTCTTCTACATTTATCATTGAAGGATATGATACAATTTAAATAGAGATTAGGTAGATAATTATGTTTGTAATTATTTTTCCTATCCAAGTTCATAGAACACCTCTCCCCTTGCATTTTATCCATGGGTCACAGTTTAAGAAACCTTGATTTCTTGAAACATGATTACAAATCTATTGACCATAAATATATCTGTCTTCTTTATTAGTTTCCAATGTTTATTCATTTAGGTTCACAAGGTGGTGATGGTGAAGTTCAAATTATGCCTTTACTTTTAGCTAGCGTTATTTTAGACAGTTCCTACCTTATTTGGGTTTTACTTTACAATAGACACAGCAGCAGAGAGTGTGAATTTATAGGCTGAATTATAGTAACTACATTACTACAATTTAGAGTGTATTCTCTTCCAGCCAGATTATAAATTAAGAGGCAATGAAATATTTTCATTTGTCTTTTCTCCTTTTTTTAGTGTCCATGACATTTCATTTCAAATAAATGAAAAAGAGATACTTTTTTTCCTTTTCTATTATAAATTTCCCTATATCTTAGGTAGAGAGAATTTGCATAGAGGGGCAAGAACCTACTTGTGTATGTATGCTCTGCTGACATTTCAACATTGACATTTCTAATACTACCAGCTAAGTGATTCCTTAACTTTTAAAATCAAAATACCCCTTATACATGGAGGAGGAGAACATACCAAAGTAAGATTTTGAATCTTTCAACTTTTAAGAACCATCTGATTAATTCCAAAGGAACCAAGGCATTCTAATTTCCTTCAAATGCAAAATTTAATCTCTGTTGTTGCTCATCTACAGTGCTGCAGCCAAAAACCTAGTCCATCACCGTGTCATATTTGGACTGCTACATCAACCTTGGGGAACGTGTCCTGACTTCAGTCCCTCTAAACTTCTGTTAGTTTTATGCAGAGCTGCCAGCTCTTCCTTGAACATGACTTTTTATCACAAGAGCCCTTCTCTGAAACCTATATTGATTCATAGCACAGCATAAAAATTCTCTATCAGGAAACCCCCAACCCTCTTACTTATTACTTCTAATGTCTCTACCTTTTGTTGCATACCTACATCCAGATTGCTAGTTCCCATGTCCATACCCTTGCTCATACCATCCTTACCTCTCTTATATTCTTTCCTTCCCATCTTTAATAGTCTAAATCTCACTTCCTTTGAGGAATGATTTCAAACAGTCCATCCAATGATACATTGTTAAATTAACTCCAGCGTGCTCTAGTCACTTTTTTGGAAATGCCTTTAATATTTTATACTGTCTTCATTTATGTATTCTCCCATGGAAAATTATCACACCTCTCTTATTTTGAGACAGGGTCTCACTCTGTCACCTGGACTGGAGTGCAGTGCAGTGGCACAGTCATTGCTCACTGCAGCCTCGAACTCCTGGGCCCACGCAATCTGTTGTAATTTTAAAAGAGGAAGTGTGTGATAGTTTTGCTCTCCCTAACATTTCCCGTGATAGCTTTGTCATTGCCAGCAGCAGCACACTTGCAGCAAATTTGAGGTACTTCTTTGTTTCCATGTGCCTCATAGAATACTACCGTCTCTTTTTTTGGCATCCCTGTGTGCCCAAGTAAAAGCCTGAAAATTATTTATTCCTTTCTATGTAGAAGTGGAAATGATTTTCAAAAAACCTTACTGAAGGCCCTGCTATGTTTGTCTGAGATAAATTACTCTTATAATAAGCCACATTTAAGCTAAGCTGTGGGACATCAGAGTAAATCACATGGCTTTGGAAATTGTGATTATGACCACATTTATTCAGCTCTGATATTATCTTCAAACTTCAAAGTTTATTTTTGAAGTAAAGCTGATTTTCAATGGAGTACCAAACATTTTGGCATGTATTTGAAACAATGTATTTTGGCATATGTTTGGCATGTATTTGAAATTTTGGCACGTATTTAAAACTTTAGTTCGGAACTTAAAGGTAGCCATCAATTTTCAGGCACTCACTACAGGAAATGCTACAGGCATTCATTGCCTGGCTGAAATCCATGGGCCAGGTCAACCCAGGTCTCCATAATGCCATTCTGATATAAGTTACCTATTCTGTCTCTTCCTCCTTCCCAGTAACAATAACACACACACACACACACACACAAAAGCCTTTAGTGGATCGTAAATCAGTGTATTTCACAGAAATACATGAAAAGATTCTAATATCTTTTCATAGAATATTTCATGGAATAAGTGGGTAAACCATTGTATTAATATTTGCCTTGTCTATTTTTATTACATTTTTAGAGGAGACTACCGTAATTGATAACTAGCGCCACCCAAGTGAAGAGAAGTTAAATGGTAGGCTTCACTGTTACCAGATTTTACATCACCAAAGCTGTGTGGTCTATATCCTTTTATCTTCAATTTGACAGTAATTTGCTGGACCAGGAAAAGGGAAATTAATTGAGTAAATGCACTATTTATTTCCCTGTATAGTCATCTAAACAATAAGCAAACCACTGCAAAATGTTCTTACCTTCCTTCCCCAGGAATTTCAGGGATTCTGGATTATATTTGCTGAATGTGCTCATGGCCTTAAGCACATTTATTTTATGTGCTCATGTCATGCTGTTTATGTATATAGTCTCATTTAATTCTTACAACAGTTCTGTGAGGGAAGTGGCATTCTTCCCATTGTGCTGATAAGTACATTGAGACTCAGAGAGGTTGAGTAATTTGTCTAAGATCACAAAATCTAGTAAGTGGAAAAGTTGAGAATTCACTTACACCTTTCTGAAGCAGTATTTTTTAAGGATTTAAAAATTTATTTCTGTATATTACCTGTAATTGCTAGCTATTTGACTATTTTGCTTCTCTCATGTAGCTTTTCAGTTACTGAGGAAAGGATATAATTTCAAAATCAGTTGCTCATATTAAATTGTATCTGAAAGGAAATTCAAATAATTTTAATGAAAACAAGAAAGTGACCAAGATATAATCACAAAATACCTGATGTGTTTTTTGTTTATCCTGCACCATTGAAATATCAGCTTATAATCATATAAATACTTGAAATTGACTTCTTTAAATGTAATTCTTAGTCATTGATTCCTACTAGAGTTGAAGAAAACAAAACAGAATAAAATACTTGATTTGAAGGAAACATATTTCATTTGCTTGGTAATATTTCATGTGCTTGGTAATGATTGATTTTCTGTATCTGTGTATCTGAACTAAAAGTAAATAGCTAAATTAGTGAATGTAGAAAGTAAATAAAAAACTACAACTAAGTGTGAACCAGATTATTGCATTAAATAAAAATCACAAAGTGTACATTGTATGAATACCTACTGTTAGTATTTTCTGGCATTTTAATTAAACTGAACCCTCTTTAATGTGGAACATTTGACAGGTATATGTTGCTATTGAATATTTAATTAATACATGTTGTCACTTTCATTTTTTATATTTTATTTGATTTTCATGACCAAAGTATGAAAAGTAATTATAGTATATGTTGTATAACAACACTGCATTCAATAATGGACCACATATAAAATAGTCATCCCATAAGACAGTAACATTCTGTATATGTTTGTAGCCTAGGAGCAATAGGCTATATCATATATCCTAGGTGTGTAGTAGGATATACTATCTAAGTTTGTGTAAGAACACTCTATGGCTTTCACACAATGACAAAATTGCCTAACGACACATTTCTCAGAACATATTCCATGGTTCTGAGAATACACCCCACAGTGGATACAATGGAGTGAATAAAATGTGACTTATCTTAGTAACATGTTGCTGACTAGCCTAAAGAGCCATAATATATCTCAAGATTATTTGTGCTTTTCTAGGAATTTTAGTTTTATTTAAAGAAACAATTAGTTGGCAATCTAGAGTAGCAGTTATGAGTTTTTTGGTTTTTATTTTTTGTTTTCTCACTGTGACACAAATGAAGGAGGATTTCACACACATTCTCAGGAACATTCCCAGGTTTATGCACGTTTCCCACCTCACCAGCAATAACCCTTCCTCTTCTTTCCCAGTCAAAGAAGAAAATCAGAATGCAGTAAATTTAGAATATATAAAATACAATAGACTAGAAATAAGGAATTTTAAAACTAACTATTAAACACATATTGTAACTTCTCTTTCATTCAACAAATATTAAGTGAATGGCTACTACATAATAGATAATGTACTAGACATAGAGCTTAAGGTCTAGTGAGAGTGGCACACATTAATCAAGCCCTCTTTCACAAATATGTAAAATTCAAACTATGATAAATGCTAAGAAGAAGGACACGTTTCTATGAGGACATATAAGTAGGGGACCTATTTTAGTTTGAGGAGTCAGGGAAGGCTTTCCAAATTGAAAAAGTGTCCTTTTGGCCAAGATCTAGTAAATGAGTAGGAGTTAACTAGGTAAAGAAGTATGAGGGCCAAACATTACAGACAAACAGACCAATGTGTGCCAAGGTCTGTATCCCAGAGAAGAATGGTACATTTAAGGAAGTAAAAGAAGGACATGCTGAGGCTCAGAGGGCAATGGTATGGGTGGTGAGAGATGAAATAGATGAGGTTAGAGTGGAGTAGGAGGGACCATGATACAGATGTTGGTCTTTAGCCTAAGAACAGTTGGAAGATATTGAAGGTTTTTAAACTATGGAGTGGCGTGATAAGAATGACAGTTTGAAAAAAAGCATTTTGACACAGTATGCAAAAATTATTAGATGCAAGAAAGGATGGTAACGAAAATTAATAGCTTATTGAAGTAGTCCAAGTGAGAGAGAGTGGTGGTTATAAACGTAGAAAGACAGGAATGGAGAAATTCAGAGACTAGGATGAAAAGGATTTACTAAGTTGGGAAGAAATGTCAAGGATAATACCTAGGGTACTAGCTTGTGGAGCTGGATGAATTGAATTAGTTAAAGAAAATTAAAAGTAGTTTGGTTATGGAGAGAAGATTGTGAGTTCAGTATGGATGTATTGAATTGAGGTGCCTTTAAGACATCACAATGAAAATATCCAAAAGACACTTAAATGTCTAGTTTTGGAGGTCAAAAAAAAGGTCAAGGCTGGAGTACTAAATCTGAAGTTTATCTGTATACAAATATTGACAGAAGCTGTAGGTCCATTGCCTAGGGTAAAGAAGCCAGCCAAAACCCACCAAAACCAAGATGGTAATGAAAGTGACCTCAGGTTGTCCTCACTCCTCATGATGCACTAATTATAATATATTAGCATGCTAAAAAACACTCTCACCAGCACCATGACACTTTACAGATGCCAAGGGAATGTCAGGAAGTTACTCTATACGGTCTAAAAAGGGAAGGAACCCTCAGTTCTGGGGGGAATTGCCCACCCTTTTCCTGGAAAACTCATGAATAATCCACCCCTTGTTTAGCATGTAATCAAGAAATAACCATAAAAATAGCCAACCAGCAGCCCTCAGGACTGCTCTGCCTGTGAAATAGCCATTCTTTTATTCCTTTACTTCCTTAATAAACTTGCTTTCACTTAAAACAGAAGAGAAAAAAAAGAGAAGGCAGCTTAAGACCAAGCATTAAGGAACTCCAACTTTATGGAAGGATAAACAAAGACATACTTGAAGAATGAGCAAGGAGTTAGGAGAAAAGAATGTTGTATCATAAAGATGAAAAAAAAGTAACACCTATTTCAAGATATTTGAAAAAAGAGGTCAAGAAAGATAAAAACTGAAAAATATCTGTTGGCTCTAGTAACAGCAGAAAGTGGGTTGAAGAACGTTTGAAGAAGTAAGAAAACTAAGAAAAAAAGTACAGGCAATTCATTTGATAAGTTTGGCTGTGACAGGAAGAAGAAAGAGGGAGGTCACTGAAAGAAAAGGCACAAGACTAAGAAAATTTTATTTTATTTTTTAAATGTGAGAAGCCACTAGAGACAAATTGTAGATCCAGGAAGAATTTGAAAGGAATGGTGAAGGTTTCAAAAGAGTCATATCAGAGAGCAGCTAAGTGACTTTAATAAGGTGGCCAGAAAAAAACATATTGGAATTGTTCCCACAGATTTGACACTAGAGTTGAGAACTGCCAATCTAAAAGAGTTCAATTTAGTTTAGTTATTAGGAAATTGCACAGAGCATTATGTGAAAGAGATTTTCAGAGAAGCCCTGATTTTAGTGCTGAATTGGATGATTTTTTAAAAATTATTTATAGCCCTATACCATTCTTAGGATGTTTCAAGGAGTCTCTACCTTGTCTCTCTAAAATTAACTGAGAATCTTAACGGTTAATCATTCCATACATTTTTTTTAGTTTTCCAGTTTACTAATTTTGTCTTCTTTAACCCAGCTTTTCATATGTAAAATCTCCATTTGGGTACTTTTTTCAAATTCACTTATTCTTTTTTATTATGTCCTGTTCTTGCCTTATCGACTATATTTCTTTTTTTAAATCTCTTAACACGCTCATTTTTAAAAGTTCCTTATATATTTCTCGGTTATATAGTCTTCAAAAGTGAATTCTTCTGGTTATATGTCTGCTTATACTTGTTCGTTGGCAGTTGATTTTCTGGCATGTTTCGTAATTTATAATTGTGAGTTTATCTTTAGTGGGCATTGTTTCTGTATGTCTTGGCTGTTCTGAATTATGGAAGCAATTCTGTGGGGCCAGTTTTGTGTTTGATTTTCTGTGATCTTATGGCTTTTACCAGTAAAAGACTTGTTTTAATGTTATTTTCTCTGTTCAGGGTTTCCAAGCTCCTTGAGAAGTGCTAATTCAGCCTCACAGCCACAAATCGTGCAGATTTGGAGTGCTAGTTCTCCTGGTGACTCTCTTTCTATCCTTTGTCCAGAGTGACTGGCTTCTACTGTACTGTATTCCTCAGACCAAACAGCCTTCCTAGCTTGCTGCTATACATAGAGTGTAGAATTTTGACTCCTATATCTCTCTACCATAAACATCAGGGTTTTAAACCTTTTATCTAGCATTTTAATCTAATTAGCACTGGAGAAATACTTCCTGCATCAGCATGGTCCTCCATATTGACTAAAGAATTTGTGGGCTATATAAAAACTTTTCTAGTTGTTTCTTAAAATATATGGTTTGATGACTGATATGGAAGTTAGCATATGTTAGAAATCCAAAACTGTCAAATTTGGAATGTGTATAAATGCACATTTGAAGCCATATTCTGAGACTAGAATTACAAATTCTTTTGACACAACAATGACATTTATAAAAATTTATGTTTCTTTAAGAATTAGAAATTAAAAGAATTCTGTAACATACATGTCTGTATATTTAAAGTAACTTCCATATGCTCTTAATCACTGGTGTTTTCTGATAACCTTAATATCTAAACTTTTCCCATGACATAATGTGGACTTTGTGTCAGGCATATGAAAAATAAGAATAAGATTTAGAGAATAAGATATAGAATTCTCTAAATCTTATTCTCTAAATCTTATTCTTATTTTTCATATGCCTGACACAAAGTCCACATTAGTCCATAGTAGAATAAGATGTAGAGAGAAGTAGGCATCCTTCAAGTTTGTGTGTGAAGAGGTTAAATGATATAATGAAAAGAGAGGAAAGGAAATAATTTAAGAATGAATGACAGTCCACAAAGTCACATATTTAGAAAATATACTTTTTATTACTTTTAATTAAGTTATTTATACATAATACAGTGAATATAATGGGTACTTGCTGAATTAATTAATTTCTATATTAAGCCCAGTTTCTATGAGGAGGTAGAAACTAAGTCTTAATAAATACAGGGCCTTCTTCTCTCTTTTCTCCCTGGGTCTGGGTCCTAAGATTCTAGTGCCTTTGAGTGCCAGTATGTTGGCAAGGATGAATATTTGGCTTGTCTGATGCTTTCTGAGCTATAGCCCTCCAGGTCACTGTACTTTCTTTATTCTGCTAACTAAAAGATGTTTACTATTTACTCAGTACTAAATCAGTGACATCTTCTGCTACTCCCCTACCACCCTAAGCATGAGAAAATTCTGAGACCTTGCTTTCTCTTTAGAGTGTATTCTGGAAGTGGGATGAAGTGAGCTTCCCTGCTGACAAAACTCCAAACCTTATGGAATGTTCTATCCTGTCATTCTCCCACCAATTATAAGCTGAGGCAAATATGTTGCAGAGTACCTTCCCAGAGATCCATCAGCATCTTGCCCCAACCCCATAGAATCTTTGTCTACTATGTGTTGAGCATAAGGGGATGGGGAAAAGAGGAGCAGGAAAAAGACCTTCCAAATCTATTATTTATGCTCAGAATCATGGGCTTCTGAAAATCAAAGGCCAAAAATTTAATAATTTAATTTCTTTGTTATCCACATACTGTTGTGTCATCCATTCCTTGAGCATTTTCTGCTTCTGCCTGAATGGAGAGGAAGGGTCATGGATAACCAGAACTGGGAACAAAAAATACATTGGTGTGTGTGTGTGTGTGTGTGTGTGTGTGTGTGTGTGTGTACAAAAACCACATTGGTGTGTGTGTGTGTGTGTTTATTTATTTTCTCCACAAAGAAACAAAGGAGAAAGGAATAAAGCAGGAAAAGAGGCCCAAGAGATTTAGTAAAGGAGAGAAAAGACTAAATGACCTCTTTATTCTTTAAAGTAATGTATGACATGCCTGTGACTGAAGATTTAACAGATCTAGAACCAGTGGACAAGTATAACGATTGTTGCTGGGGAGGCTGAAAAATGAATTTTGTTATGGAGCCATGTTCTCTCTCAGTGATAGCTCAATGGGATTTCTCACCTACCTAGAAATCAGAAACTAAGAACTTTGATTTATTAAAAAAATTTAAAAATAAATGAGGGAATACAAATCAAAATAATGTAAACTCAGGGGATATGATTATTTTAAGTCTTATAAGGAAAAAAATCAGAATTATTCTTTATAAAACCAGCGTATTTTATTCCACTCAAATGAAAATTACCTTCTGATTATTTTGCTTTCGAAATGTCTTATATTACCAACGCAAGCACCTGGTTCAGGCCCTTGATATCCATGCCTTAATAACCCTCCTTCTGCCATTTAACACTCACAATCTTGAAGATATCTTCTCTTCATGTTTTTCTCCCTTTTTAAAGAATTAATTCATAGGTCCTACTTGCTCAGCATGTTCGCTGTAGCATCCCTAGTGCCTTGGGTATTCTTGCTATGGATGGAATTACATCTTCCCAAAATTCATATGTTTAAACCCTAATCCCCAATGTGATATTTGGAGACCGAGCTTTTAAGGTTAAATGAAGTTAGGATCCTAATACAATAGGATGGGTGGTCTTAAAAAAAAAAAAGGGGAAAAAAAAAAAAAGAGACCGCAGAGAGTGGAAGGAGGAACAAGTCTAAGACAGTAGGGAAGGGGAAAGGCAAGCAAAATGGAAAGAAGTAAAAGCTGAATATAAAAAGCAGGAATGAGATCATCCTGTTTATGTAAAATATGTATCTAAGTTAAAAACAAGTGGAAAAGATTGATCAATATATGCTGACTTATATTCATGGTATGTTGGTAAGGGAAAAATAAATAAGCAGTGTACTTATGGGCACACATGCTTTTGTATTTTGTGTGAGCCAAGGAAAGGTATGAGAGGAGTTACCAATGTTGCCTCAAGGATGGTTGTTTCTGGAAGGTAGGGGCTGGGCAGGTGGGATGGAGGTGGTTATAGTGATTTTAGCTGTAAATAACAAAAACAGGATTGACAGGGGCTTGGCAAGTTGATGTTTATTTTTCTCATAAGTGTAGTAGTTTCTGCAGTCAGGGATACAGACTAATTTTGTGTCTTCATTCCTTCTGTTCTCATGCATGTTGCCTCATTTTGCAAGATGACTGACACAAATGGAAATACCAGGGACAAATCATGTTCGAGGAAGGGAAAAGGAATAGTGTCAGCTCCTTCTTCTCCTTTCATCAGGAAATCAAAAGCTTACACAGAACCTTTGAGCATACTTTTCCTTTGGTCTCATTGGCCAAAGCTGGGCCAACTCTAGCTGAAGAATGCCTAGGTAAACAACTATTTAGGCTTTCTGCATTCTATAATGGAGAATATTTTTATAAAGAAGAAGAGGGCTGGGGAAAGTATTGGTTTATCCAACCAAGAGTATCTGTGACAGTTTGTTTTGCCTTAATCAGTATTATATTTCATTGTTTCATTGTTTGCTATAATGTGTTCATTTTACAGTTAGAAAATAAATGTCTAATTTAGAACTTGCCATCACTCAACTAGTTGATCTCTCAGCCTAAAAATGTGAGATTGCTGAGTGTCGAAATGGCATGTGAAAAAGAGGAAGGAAGAAGATGGTGGAAGACAATGGCAGGGCCTGCACTTTTAACGTAATGATCTCATCCACCGGTTAGTAATCATGATTTGGCCAGTTACCTGTAAACTGATTTACCTGATGTGTAAATCCTTTCCCAGAGACTAGATGGCAGTTTCTCTGGACTGAGAAAGAGTGGAGATTTTTAATAGTCTCAAGAGACACAGACAGCAAGCTCTTCCAGATTCTATTTTAAAAGATCTGTCTTGCAGTAGTAGAGAGCCTAAGTTGTACAAATTGTGAGACAGGAGGAAATGCTAAGTCCAGACAAGAGATTATGAGAACTGAACTGAGGTGGTAACAGTGGCAAAAGATAAAGGGAGTAAAGTATAAGAAAAGTTAAGCAAGTAAAATGTACGTGAACTGATGGCTAGTGAAATGTAGAAAGAGATAATAATGGAAGAATCTAAAATGATTACTAAATTTCCTTCTTAGATGAATAATAATTGGATCGTGGTAACAGTAATTAAGATTTTGGGTGAGGTATAGGTTTAAAGGAAAAGTTAACTTACCTTTGAACATGTTATGCCTGCCTTTGCCTGTGTGGCAAATCCACAGAGAGATGGATATCTATTTATTTAAATTTTTGTAGAGATGGGGGTCTCATTGTGTTGTTGCCTAGGCTGGTCTCAAACTCCTGGCCTCAAACTGTCTTCCTGCCTTGACCTCCCAAAGTGCTGGGATTGCAGGTGTGAGCTGCTGTGCCTGGTATGATGGATATCTAATAGATAGATTAATGGTTTGGGGGTTTAGGAGAGTGGTCCCAGCCAAAGCTAGAGATTGAATCATTAGATTAACAAGTAGTGGTTGAAACCATAGTAATTAAAGATATGACTACTCAAGGAGAATGTATACTGTTAGAAATGAAAAGAACCAAGGCTGGGCCCTATAACATACCAACATTTAATGGTTTGCCAAGGGAAAAGCCAGAAAAACAAAGAGTTAGAAGCTAAAAGGAGACTCTATTCAAGTGGCATCCCTGAACTGGATAACTTTAAGAGATTGGCCAACAATATTAAATGCTGCAGAATTATTGAGTACAATGAGAACTAAAAATAGAGTTTTAGATATGGCAATTGGGTCACAGATTTTTGGCTATAGCAATTTTATTTTAATAGTGGGTACTGGGAAAGAATAGACAGAAGTGATCAGGAACTCTACTCTGAAGGGAAGGAAAGAAGTGACTATGGCTAGATGAAAATGTAGCATCCAGAGAGGGGTTTTTCTGTTGTTGTTTTTTGTTTGTTTTTTGTTTTTTGAATAGGAGGGATTTGTACATGTGTGTCTCCTTTAGGGAAGGCCATGTCAAGAGAGAAATGATGATCTTATTTTAAAAAAGTATTTAAAAGTATGCTTATACATAGGAAAAATCTCTAGGAAGATACATACTTAAATATTAGTAATTCTGGCTAATGGGTGTCTTTTATTTTTTCTACTTTTTTATATCAGTTAATTTTTCACAATGAATATTTATTGAGAATCTAAACACATTTTAGACTATTTAGAGTTATCTTTAATCCTACTACATCCTATGATGAGTTAATGAAAGGTTGACTGGGTGCTTTTATTACCAATATGTCCTCAAAAATATAGTCCATTTTTGGCCAGACGTGGTGGCTCACATCTTTAATCCCAGCACTTTGGAAAGCCAAGGCATGTGGATCACTTGAGGTCAGGAGTTCAAGACCAGCCTGGCCAACATGGTGAAACCCCATCTCTGCTAAAAATACAAAAATTAGCCGGGCGTGGTGGTGCACGCCTGTAGTCCCAGATACGTAGGAGGCTGAGGCAGGAGAATCACTTGAATCACCTATGTATATATGAGATGGTATGTCAGTGTGGTTTTTGATTTGTACTTAATGATTAGTAATGTTGAACATTTTTTTTCATATGCTAGTTGGCCATGTGTATGTCTTCTTTTGACAAGTGTCTGTTCATGTCCTTTGCCCATTTTTTAATGGAGTTGTTTTTTCCTTGTTAAGTTTCTTTCAGATTCTGGATATTAGACCTTTGTTGGATGCATAGTTTGCAAATATTTTCTTCCATTCTATAGATTGTCTGATTAGTCTATTGATTGTTTTTTTGGCTGTGCAGAAGTTCTTTAGTTTAATTACATCATATTTGTCAATTTTTGTTTTTGCTGCTGTTGCTTTGTCTTTGTAATGAAATCTTTGCCAGGGCCTATGACCAGAATGGTATTTCCTAAGTTTTCTTCTAGGGTTTTATAGTTTTATGGTTTATATTTAAGTCTTGAATCCATCTTGAGTTGATTTTTATATTGTAAATAAGGTGTCCAGTGTTAATCTTCTGCTATGGCTATCCAGTTGTCCCAGTATGATTTATTGAATAGGGAGTCTTTTCCTCATTGTTTTTTTTTTGTCGACTTTGTTGAAGATCAGATGGTTTTAGGTGTGCAGCTTTTTTCTGGTCTCTCTGTACTGTTACATTGGTCTGCGTGTCTGTTTTTGTATCAGTACCATGCTGTTTTGGTTACTGTAGCCTTGTAGTATAGTTTAAAGTAGTGTGATACCTCCAGCTTTGTACCCTTTGCTTAGGATTGCTTTGGGTATTCTAACTCTTTTTGGTTCCATATGCATTTTAGAATAGTTTTTCCTAATTCTGTGGAAAATGTCATTGGTAGTTTGATAGAAATAGCATTAAATCTGTAAATTGCTTTGGGCTGTATGGCCATTTTAATAACATTGATTCTTTGTATCCCCTGTCCATGAGCATGGGATGTTTTTCCATTTGTATTTGTCATGTCTGATTTCTTTCAGCAGTGTTTTGAAATTTTCATTGCAGAGATCTTTCACCTCCCTGGTTAGCTGTATTCCTAGGTATTTTTGTGTGTGTGGTTATTGTGAATGGGATTGCATCCTTGATTTCACACTAGACTCAGACAGTGTTGGAATATAGAAATGCTGCTGATTTTTGTACATTGATTTTATATCCTGAAACTTTGCTGAAGTTATTTATCAGATCTAGGAGCTTTTGGGCAGAGACTGTGGGGTTTTCTGTATATAAAATCATATCATCCATGAAGATAGTTTGACTTCCTCTGTTATTATTTGGATGTCTTTTGTTTCTTTCTCTTGCCTGATTGCTCTGGCTAGGACTTCCAGTACTATGTTGACTAGGCATGATGAGAATGGGAATCCTTGTCTTATTCCAGTTCTTAAGCAGAATGCTTCCAGCTTTTGCCTATTCAGGATAATGTTGGCTGTGGGTTTGTCATAGATGACTCCTGTTATTTTGAGGTATGTTCCTTCAGTGCCTAGTTGCCTAGTTTGTTGAGGACTTTTTTTTTTGAGATGGAGTCTTGTTCTGTTGCCCAGGCTGGAGTGAAGTGGCATGATGTCAGCTCACTGCAACCTCTGCCTCCCAGGTTCAAGCAATTCTCCTGCCTCAGCCTCCTGAGTAGCTGGGATTACAGGTATGCGCCACCATGCCTGGCTAATTTTGTATTTTCAGTAGAGACAAGGTTTCACCATGTTGGCCAGGCTGGTCTCGAACTCCTGACCTTGTGATCCACCCGCCTTGGCATCGCAAAGTGCTGGGATTACAGGTCTAAGCCACCGTGCCTCGCTGAGGATTTTTAACATGAAGGGATGTTAAATTTTATCAAAAGCCTTTTCTGCATCTATTCAGATGATCATGTGGTTTTTCCTTTTAGTTCTGTTTATGTGATGAATCGCATTTATTGATTTGCATATGTTGGACCTACCTTGCATCCCAGGGATAAAGCCTACTTGATCATGGTGGATTAGCTTTTTGATGTACTACTGAATTTGGTTTGCAAGTATTTTGTTGAGGATTTTTGCATCCGTGTTCATCAAGGATATTGCCCTGAACTTCTCTTTTTTGTTGTTGTTGTATCTCCTCCTCAATTTTTTGGAATAGTTTCATTAGTAATGGTACCAGCTCCTCTTCATATGTCTGGTAGAATTCAGCTGTGAACTTCTCTGGTCTGGTACTTTTTCTGGTTGGTAGGCTTTTTATTACTGATTCAATTTCAGAACTCATTATTGGTCTGTTCAGAGTTTTAATTTCTTCCTAGTTCATTCTTGGGAGGTTGTATGTTTCCAGCAATTTATCTATTTTTAGATTTTCTAGTTTGTGTGCATAGAGGTGTTTGTAATAGTCTCTGAGGGTTATTTGTATTTGTGTGGGGTCTGTAGTAATGTCCCCTTTGTTGATTCTAATTGTGTTTATTGGATCTTCTCCTTTTATACTAATGTAGCTAGTGGTCTGTTAATCTTCCATATTCTTTCAAAGATCAAACTTCTTGTTTTGTTGATCTTTTGTATGGTTTTCACATCTCAGTTTCATTCAGTTCAGCTCTGATTTTGGTTATTTATTGTCTTCTAGCTTTGGAGTTGTTTTGCTGTTATTTCTCTAGTTCCTCTAGGTATGATGTTAGGTTGTTAATTTGAGATCTAATTTTTTTATGTGGGTGTTTAGCATTATGAACTTTCCTCTTAACACTGTTTTAGTTGTTTTCCTGAGATTCTGGTATGTTATATCTTTATCCTCATTTGTTTTAAATAATTTCTTGATTTCTGCCTTATTCAGAAGCAGGTTGTTTAATTTGCATGTGACTATATGCTTTTCATTGACTTTAGTATTGATTTCTATCTTTATTGTGCTGTGGTTCAAGAGTGTGGTTGTTATGATTTCAGTTTCTTCAATTTGAGAATTGTTTTGTGGTTGATCATGTGGTTATTTTAGAGTATGTGCCATATGCAGATGTGAAAACTTCATGTTCTGTTGTTTTGGGGTGGAGAGTTCTGTAGATGCCTGTTAGGTTCATTTGGTCATATGTTAAGTTCAAGTTTAGATATCTTTGAGTTTTCCACCTCAGTCATTTGTCTAATATTACTAGCACAATGTTGAAGCCACCTTGTATTATTGTGTGGTTATCTAAGGTTCTTTATAGGTCTCTAAGAACTTGTTTTATGAATCTGGGTGCTCCAGTATTGGGTGCATGTGTATTTAGGATAGATACATCTTGTTGTTGAATTGAACTCTTTACTGTCTTGTAATGCCTTATCTTTTTTGATTGTTGTTGGTTTAAAGTTTGTTTTATCTGCTTTTTTTGTGTTTTCTGTTTACTTGGTAGATTTTTCTTCATCCCTTTCCTTTAAGCTTGTGGGTGTTACTGGATATAAGATGGGTCTCTTGAAGACAGCATACAGTTGGGTCTTGCTTCTTTATCTAGTTTGTCACTCTGTGCCTTCTAATTAGGGCATTTAGCTTGTTTACTGATATGGTTTGGCTCTGTGTCCCCACTCAAATTTCACCTTGAATTATAATCCTCATAATCTGCACATGTCAAGGGCAGGACCAGGTGGAGGTAATTGAATCATGGGGGCAGTTTCCCTCATGATGTTCTCATGATATGAAGGAGTTCTCATGAGATCTGATGGTTTTATAAGTGTCTGGCATTTCCCATGCTTGCACTTCTCCTTCCTACCACCTTGTGATGAAGGTGCCTTGCTTCCCCTTTGCCTTCTGCCATGATTGTAAATTTTCTGAGGCCTCCCCAACCATGCGGAACTGTAAGTTAATTAAACCTCTTTCCTTTATAAATTACACAGTCTTAGATATTTCTTTATTAGCAATATGAGAACAGACTAATATGTTTGTGTTCAGTTTTAAAATTGGTAGGTGCACATTTGATCCTATCATTGTGTGTTGTTAGCTGGTTATTATGCAAGCTTGATTCTGTAGTTCCTTCATAATATCAATGGTTTATGTACTTAAGTATTTTGTGGTGGCCGGTAGTTATCTTTCATTTTCATGTTTAGCACTCCCTTCAGGACATCTTGTAAGGTAGATCTGGTGGTAACAAAATCTCTTGACATTTGCTTGCTTGAAAAGGATCTTATTTCTCCTTCACTTTTGAAGCTTTATTTGGCTGGATTTGAAATTCTAGATCGGAATTTCTTTTCTTTAGGCATGTTGAATATAAGCCCCCAATCTCTTCTAGCTTGTAGGGTTTCTACTGAAAGGTCCACTGTTGGCCTGATGGGATTCCCTTGTAGGTGACCTCCATCTTCTCTCTAGCTGCCTGTAATATTTTTTCTTTCATGTTGACCTTGAAGAATCTGATGACTGTGTATCTTCAGGATGGTTATCTTGTACACTGTCTTGCAGAGATTCCCTGCATTTTTGTGAATATGAATGTTGACCTCTCATGAGGTTAGGGAATTTTCTTGGATGATATGCTCAAATTTGGTTTCCAAGTTGCTTGATGTCTCCATTTCACCAATGCCAACGAGTTGTAGATTTAGTCTCTTTTCATAATCCCACATATCTCAGAGGTTTTGTTCATTATTTTTTCTTTATTTTGTCTGATTGAATTAATTCAGAGAACCAGTCTGAGATTCTTTCCTGAACCTTATCTATTCTGCTGTTAAAACTTGGAATTCTATTATGAAATTCTTGTAGTGAGTTTTTAATCCCTATCAGATCAGTTTGGTTCTCTCTTAAAAGGGCCATTTCATCTTTACTATTTTATTGTATTTCTTAGATTCCTTGGATTGGACTTCCACTCTCTCCTGAATCTTTATGATCATCATTCCTGTCTATATTCTGAATTCTGTGTCTGTCATTTCAGCCAATTCAGCCTGCTTAAGAATCATTGCTGGGAAACTAGTGCAGTCATTTGGAGGTAAGAAGACAGTTTGGCTTCTTGAGTTGTGAGAGTTCTTGCACTGTTTCTTTCTCATCTGTGTGAGCTGATGTTTAATCTTTGAAGCTGTTGTCCTTTGTATGGGGATTTTGGTTTTATTTTCGTTGGTGCCTTTGAGGGTCTGATCATGGCATATGGTGGGTTCACCTCAGTGGCTTCCTTTCTGGAAGATTTCACAGAACCAAGGCTCAGCTCAGCACTCCTGGGCTACAAGCTCCAGCTCTGGGGTGGGGCTGGTACCAGGCTGCTGCTTTGTTTTCTGGTCCCTAGTGTTTAAGAACCCACTGCACTGGAGAGACCAAGATGTTCCCAGTCCACTGGTCATTATACTTTGTTTGGGGGTGCTGGCCACAGTGCTTCATCTGATCAGTGACAGCAGAACCTGTGCTCACTCACTTGCATGCCGTTGTCACTAGCAGCAGCAGCAGGTTGTATACATATCAGCTGGGGTGGGTAGCAGCACTGGGATCAGGTTGGCAGCATCCTTGCACAGATGCCAGCGGGGGAGAGGAGGCAAGGTCTACCCATGCTCATGTGCCAGCAAAGCAGTGAGTTTGGCTGCAGGCAAGTGCATGCCAGCAAAGTGGTGGGAGTAGGTTGCAGTGGGGGTAGACCACAGGTGGACAGGTGTGCATCATGTGGGTCAAGTCAGCTGGAGCTCTCTGATGGTTAGGTGCACTCTGCCAGTGAAAGAGCTATGATGAGGGACTCCCGGGAGCACCATGGTTGGGCATCAGAGA
Source organism: Homo sapiens (assembly GCF_000001405.40). NCBI lineage: Eukaryota > Metazoa > Chordata > Mammalia > Primates > Hominidae > Homo > Homo sapiens. Next base: position 64,285,643 of record NC_000005.10, read on the forward strand.
CTGTGTTGCAGGCAGACGCAGCTAGGCTGGGGCCCCCACACAGGCCAGGAGATAGAGGGTGCTCAGATTGGACTATCTCTGTCCTACAGTCAAGACCTACCCTGCTCTGTCTAGGTCCGACAGTCACCCAAATGCTAAAGCCACCTTGAAGAGCATGGTGAGCCTTGGGGAAGGGACATCCCTGGCCCTGCTCCACTGTAGCTTTTCCTGTGCCAGACCCGCTGTGCTCCTCACAGGCTGGAGTCCTGCCCCTGCCATCTCTCTAAGCAGCTCTCCCTGCCAGCTGAAGTGTCTGTAGGGGTCGTAGGGTCTCCTGCAGCCAGGAATCCAGATGTGCATAGCAAGCGTGGGCCACTCCCACCTGCTCAACCCCCCCTTCCCCAGGAACTGCTTGAAATCAGGAACAAGTCCCAGTATGGGTTCCAATCTCCCTCCCACTTCATCCCAGCATCTGCCTCCTCCCTCCATACACTTACCCTCAATGCCTTAGGAATTTTCTAATCTGGAAGGTTTTGTATGATGACTTGCAACCTCAGAAATAGTTTTTAATAATATGGTGTCATTTAGATTAACAAGTATGTATTTAAGGAAACATCATTTATTTGAAGTTTTTGTAACCAGAACTATGGAGAACCTTGAAGGTGCCAGGCTGAAACCATAGAACCACTGCTCTGTGACATGAGCTATATAAAGACATAAGTTTCAAGAAAAAAGCACATAGTTACCAGAAGACTTGAAGATTAAATTTCTGTGATCAATGCACTAGCAGGCTATAAAAGCCCAAACCCTTAACTCCAATACCCTAACAATACAGAAAAGGGGTATAATCATCAAATAATAGATAAGGGGGAACAATTATGAAGTATTATAAAGATGAGAAGGCAGAAGAAGCAGTATTGGACCTGAAAAATTGAATCACCCCTGAATTGCTGAGTTGACTCTTTATCACTTTTTTCAAGCAAACTAAATCCTTCAATCAGTTCTAAGAATATTAATCTTTTCCATTGTGCGAAGCACTCTATTCTAGAGGCTTAAAATGAATACAGAAGTACCAAAAGTGTGGCTTCTTCAGTTTACAATCCAGTTAAGGTATTAACTATATATATGAGAATATGAATATGAATTTCACAAGAAATACAGCAGAGAACCACAGGAGTTCTGGAAGAGGAAGAGTGGTGGCAAGGAAAGTTACAGAGGCTTGAAAACAAGACCTGTTCATCACAGAGGAAATCACCTGTGGCAGAATATAAAGGGCAAACTGGAAGGGGAAATTAGGGCAAGAAGATAATAGAAGACGTCAAATGCTAATCTTAAAAAAGTCCAGATTTATTTATTTATTTATGAAATGAAGTCTTGCTCTGTTACCCAGGCTAGAGTGCAGTGGTGTGATCTCAGCTCACTGCAACCTCCACCTCCCAGCCTCAAGCAGTTCTCCTGCCTCAGCCTCCCGAGTAGCTAGAATTACAGGCACCTGCCACCACACCTGGCTGATTTTTGTATTTTTAGTAGAGCTGGGGTTTCACCATCTTGGCCGGGCTGGTCTCGAACTCCTGACCTCATGATCCACCCACTTCGGCCTCCCAAAGTGCTGGGATTACAGACGTGAGCCACCGTGCCTAGTCCGAATTTATTTTTACATTGTTAAATCTACTACTTGAAAAATCAGGTTACCATAGTCAAATGAAGGAAGGAAAACCCAGCACAAATATAGTTATTATTAATGGTTTACTAAATTCCATTGCCAATTAATTCTCAGAATGAGTGCACATCCAGAATATCTAGTTGACCCACCATTGCCTATGGAGGATTCTCTTAAGTTTCCAGGTTATCCGGGAACACAGATGTCCTCTGGTAAATGTGCCTGCCTCTCAGTATCTGCAATTAATTTACACTCCCATCAACAGTGTAAAAGCATTCCTCTTTCTCCACAACCTTGCCAGCATATATTGTTTCTGGACTTTTTAATAATTGCCATTCTGACTGGCGTGCAATGGTATCTCATTGTGGTTTTGATTTATATTTTTCTAACAGTGACGTTGAGCTTTTTTTCATATGTTTGTTGGCCACGTGAATGTCTTCTTTTGAGAAGTGTCTGTTTATGTCCTTTGCCCACTTTTTGATGGTACTATTTTTTTCTTGTAAATTTAAGTTCCTTGTAGACTCTGGATATTAGATAGATTGCAAAAGTTTTCTCCCATTCTTTAGGTTGTCGGTTCACTCTGATGATAGCTTCTTTTTGTGTGCAGAAGCTCCTTAGTTTAATTAAATCACATTTGGCAATTTTTTGCTTTTTTTGCAATTGCTATTGGCATTTTCATCATGAAATCTTTACCCGTGCCTATGTCCTGAATGGTATTGCCTAGATTTTCTTCCAGAGTTTTTATAGTTTTGAGTTATACATTTAAATATTTAATCCATGTTGTCTTAATTTTTGTATAAAGTGTAAGGAAGGGATCCAGTTTCAGTTTTCTGCATATGGCTAGCCTGTTCTCCCGGCACCATTTATTAAGTAGGGAATCCTTTCCCCATTGTTTGTTTTTGTCAGGGTTGTTGAAGATCAGATGGTTGAAGGTGTGGTCTTACTTCTGAGTTCACTATTCTGTTCCATTGGTCTATGTGTGTGCTTTTGTACCAGTACCATGCTTTTTTGGTTACTGTGGCCTTGTAGTATAGTTTGAAGTTGGGTAGTGTGATGCCTCCAGCTTTGTTCTTTTTGCTTAGGATTGCCTTTGCTATTTGGGCTCTTTTTTAGTTACATATGAATTTTTAAATAGTTTCTTCTAATTCAGTGAAGAATGCCACTGATAAGTGGGAATAGCAATGAATCTATAAATTACTTGGAGCGGTATGGCCATTTTCACGATATGATTCTTCCTATCCATGAGGATGAAATGTTTTTCCTTTAGTTTGTGTCCTCTTATTTCATTGAGCAGTGGTTTGTAGTTCTCCTTGAAGAAGTCCTTCACGTCCCTTGTTAGCTGTATTCCTAGGTATTTTATTCTCTTTGTAGCAATTGTGAATGGGAGTTCATTCATGATTTGGCTCTCTGCCCACCTGTTGTTGGTTTATAGGAATGCTAGTGATTTTTGCACAGTGATTTTGTATCCTGAGACTTAGCTGAAGTTGTTTATCAGCTTAAGATTTTGGCCTGAGATGATGGGGTTTTCTAGATATAGGATCATGTCATCTGCAAACAAAGATAATTTGACTTCTTCTCTCCCTATTTGAATACCTTTTATTTCTTTCTCTTGCCTGATTGCCCTGACCAGAACTTCTAATACTATGTTGAATAGGAGTGGTGAGAGAGGGCATCCTTATCTTGTACCGGTTTTCAAGGGGAATGCTTCCAGCTTTTGCCCATTCGGTATGATACTGGATGTGGGTTTGTCATATATCGCTCTTATTATTTTGAGGTATGTTCCTTCAATACCTAGTTTGTTGAGAATTTTTAACATAAAGGGATGTTGAATTTTATCGAAGGCCTTTTTTGCATCTATTGAGATAATCATGTGGTTTTTGTCTTTAGTTCTGGTTATGTGAGAAATCACATTTATTGATCTGAATACATTGAACCACCCAAGAATCCTAGGGATAAAACCTACTTGATTGTAGTGTATTAGCTTTTTGATGTGCTGCTGGATTCTGTTTGCCAGTATTTTGTTAGGGATTTTTGCATTAATGTTCATCAGAGATATTGGCCTGAAGTTTCCTGTTTTTGTTGTATCTCTGCCAGATTTTGGTATCAGGATGATACTGGTCTCATAAAATGAGTTAGGGAGGAGTTCCCATTTTTCAATTGTTTTGAATAGTTTTAGTATAAATAGTACTAGCTCTTCTTTGTACCTCTGGTAATATTCAGCTGTAATCCTCCTGGTCCTGGGCTTTTATTGGTTGGTAGGCTCTTTATTACTGCCTCAATTTCAGAACTCATTATTGGTCTATTCAGGGATTCAGTTTCTTCCTGGTTCAGTCTTGGGAGGGTGTATGTGTCTAGGAACGTATTCATGTCTTCTAGATTTTCTAGTTTATGTGCATAGAGGTATTTATAGTATTCTCTGTTGGTTGTTTGTATTTCTGTGGGGTCAGTGGTCATATCTCCCTTATCATTTCTGATTGTGTTTCTTTGATTGTTCTCTCTTCTGTTCTTTATTAGTGTAGCTAGTGGTCTATTTTATTAATTTTCTCAAAAAACCATCTCTTGGATTTGTTTATTTTTTTTGAAAGGTTTTTTTTATGTCTGTCTCCTTCAGCTCTGATTTTGGTTATTTCTTGTCTTCTGCTAGCTTTAGGGTTTGTTTGCTCTTGGTTCTCTAGTTATTTTACTTGTGATGTTAGGTTGTTAATTTGAGGTTTTTCTACCTTTTTATGTGGGCATTTAGTTGTATAATTTTCCCTCTTAACACGGCTTTATCTGCACCCTTGAGATTCTGGTATGTTGTCTCTTTGTTCTCATTAGTTTCAAAGAACTTTTTGATTTCTGCCTTAATTTCATTATTTACCCAGGAGACATTCAGGAACAGATAGTTCCGTTTCCATGTAATTGTGTGGTTTTGAGTGAATGTCTTAGTCTTGAGATCTAAGATTTTGCTGTGGTCTGAAAGACTGTTATGATTTCAATTATTTTGCATTTGCTGAGGAGTGTTTTACTTCCGATTATTTGATCAATTTTAGAGTAAGTGCCATGTGGCGATGAGAATAATGTATATTCTGTTGGTTTGGGGTGGAGAGTTTTGTAGATATCTATCAGATATGCTTGATCCAGAGCTGAGTTTAGGTCCTGAATATATTTGTTAATTTTCTGTCTCAGTGATCTGTGTAATATTGTCAGTGAGGTGTTAAAGTCACCTACTGTTACTTTGTGGAAGTCTAAGTCCCTTTGTAGGTCTCTAAGAACTTGCTTTATAAATCTCAGTGTTCCTTTATTGGGTACATATATATATTTAGGATAGTTAGCTCTTTTTGTTGAATTGAACCATTTACCATTGTGTAATGCCCTTCCTTGTCTTTTTTAATCTTTGTTTAAAGTCCATTTTATCAGAAACTAGGACTGCAACCCCTGCCTTTTTCAGTTTTCCATTGTCTTGGTAAAATTTCCTCCATCCCTTTAGTTTGAGCCTACATGTGTCTTTGCATGTGAGATGGGTTTCTTGAAGACAGCATACTGATATGTCTTCACTCTTTATCCAGCTTGCCATTCTGTGTCTTTTAATTGGGGCATTTAGCTCATTTACGTCTAAAGTTAATATTGTTATTTTGCAGACTTGTTTATGTGGTTGCTTCATAGTGTCACTAGTTGTGTACTTCAGTGTGTTTTGTAGTGGCCCATAACAGTTTTTCTTTCCACATTTAGTGCTTCCTTCAGGAGCTCTTGCAAGGCAGGCCTGGTGGTGACAAATTCCCTCAGCATTTGCTTGTCTGAAAAGGACTTATTTCTCCTTCACTTATGAATCTTAGTTTGGCCAGATATGGAATTCTAGGTTGGAAATTCTTTTCTTTATGTATGTTGAATATTGGCCTCCAATATTTTCTGACTTGTAGAGTTTCCACTGAAGGGTCTGCTGTTACTCTGATGGGTTTCCCTTTGTAGATGACCTGGCCTCCTCTCTGGCTGCCCTTAACATTTTTTATTTCAACCTTAGATAATCTGATGATTATGTGTCTTGGGTTGATCTTATCAAGGAGTGTTTTACTGGGGTTCTCTGGATTTCCTGAATTGGAATGTTGGCCTTCTTGTTAGGGAAATTCTCCTGGATGGCATTCTGAAGTATGTTTTCTTTTTTTTTTTTTTTTTTTTTTTTTTGAGGCGGAGTCTCGATCTGTTGCCCAGGCTGGAGTGCAGTGGTGCGATCTTGGCTCACTGCAAGCTCCGCCTGCCGGGTTCACACCATTCTCCTGTCTCAGCCTCCTGAGTAGCTGGGACAACAAGTGCCCACCACCGCACCCGGCTAATTTTTTTTTGTATTTTTAGTAGAGACGGGGTTTCACCGTGTTAGCCAGAATGGTCTCGATCTCCTGACCTCATGATCCACCCGCCTCGGCCTCGCAAAGTGCTAGGATTACAGGCGTGAGCCACCGTGCCCGGCCCTGAAGTATGTTTTCTAATATGGTTCCATTCTCCTTGTCTCTTTCAGGTACCCAAATCAGTTGTAGGTTTGGTCTTTTTACATAGTTTCATGTTTCTTGAAGGTTTTATTCATTCCTTTTCATTCTTCTCTATTCTTATCTGCCTGTCTTATTTCAGAAAGACAGTCTTCAAGCTCTGAGATTCTGTCCTTCGCTTGATCTCTTCTGCTGTCGTGGTTATATTGTGAATTTCTTATGTTTTTTTAGCTCCATCAGGTCAGTTATGCTTCTCTCTAAGCTGGTTTTTCTGGTTATCAACTCCTGTATTATTTTGTCATGATTCTTAGCTTCTTTGCATTGGGTGAGAACATGCTCCTTTAGCTTAGCAAAGTTCATTATTATCACCTTGTGAAGCCTGCTTCCATCAATTCAGCCATCTCTGCCTCAGCCCAGTTCGTGCCCTTGCTGGTAAGGTGCTGCGGTCATTTGGAGTAGAAAAGGCACTCTGGCCTTTTGAGTTTTCAGCATTTTTGCATTGATTCTGTCTTATTTTTGTGGGCTTGTCTGCCTTTGATTTTTAAGGTTGCTGACCTCTGAATGGGGTTTTGGGGGTCTTTTTTCTTGATGTTGTTGCTGCCTTATTTTCTTTTAACAACCAGGCCATTATTTTATAGGGCTGCTGTGGCTTGCTGGGGGATTGCTCAGCAATCCTAGTTGCGTTGGTTTTCCGCTTACCTGGAGGTATCATCAGTGAAGGCTGCAAAACAGCAAAAGTGGCAGCCTGCTTCTTCCTCTGGGAGCTCCATCCCTGGTGGGGATGCTAACCTGTTTCTGGCTTGGATGCTCCTGTAGGAGGTGTCTGGATACCTCTGTTGGGAGGTCTCACCCAGTCACGAGGGATGGGATCAGGGACCCACTTAAAGAAATAGGCTGGCTGATTTTGAGAACAGCAGCTGTGCTGCACTGGGAAACCCTTCCTTGTCCAGACCACCTAGACTCTGCAGAGCCAGCATGCTGGAAAGGCTGAGTCAACTGAACCACAGAGATATCAGCAGCCCCTCCCCCATGGGGCTTCATTCCATAGGGAGATCAGAGTTCTGTCCATATAATCCCGGCTGGAGTTGCTGAAATTCCCACAGTGAGGCCCCACCCAGTGAGGAGGGATGCATTGGGGTCCCACTCAAAGAAGCGGTCTGGCCACAATCTGGCACAGCAGATGTGCTACATTGTGGGCACTCTTCCTTGTCCAGACTGCCTGGATTCCCCAGAGCCAGCAGGCTGGAACAGCAGAGTCCACCTAACCACAGAAATGGTGGTCCCTCCTCACCCTGTCTACTCTGTCTCAGGCAGTTTTCCAGCCTGTTGCGCTGGGTTGGCTGGAATTCCAAACCAGTGGGTCTTAACTTGTGAGGGGAGCTCCTGATCTGTGGGTTGCAAAGATCCATGGGAGGAGTGTGGTTTCCCAGGTGGGTTCACACAATCACTCACTGCTTCCCTTGGCTTGGGGTAGGTGTGCTTTTGGCTCTGTGTTGCTCCTGCTCCTGGGGGGGCTGTTGTCCCACTCTGCTTTTCTTCATTCTTCATGGGTTGAGTTGTCTGCCTAGTCAGTCCAAATGCAAGAACCTGGATATTTCAGTTGAAGGTGAAGAATTCACTCGCCATTTTCATTCCTCTCTGTGAGAGCCACGGACCGCAGCTGCTTCTAATCGGCCACCTTGTCCCCTCCTATGATTGAAACTCTTCTTACAACATATTAAAACACAGCTCCTGCTTTTCATTTTTTATGAGAATATTATTTTAATTTTATTTTAAATCTAAACTTGCACTATTATGTAATCATTAAATATATTATTCTGAGAGGAAAATTCTTAATCTACCATAGTAGCTGAGAATGTAGAATAATTTTAACTACTGTATAATTACAAATATTATTTTAAATTAAAAATATATATTAAAATATTCGCAATGTATTATTTGGAAAGTTGGGTAATAGGTGATTTATTGGTGATCTACTTAGTATTACTTCCAGAGTTATGTACTTTATTTCTCACTGTCATATCAAAGAAAGCACTGTTTCTTTTGCCAGAAACAGCTTTATCCTAACTTGTGAACTTCAGTTAAATCTTAGTGTATATTCCGTATTTTTTCTGAAAAGTGAAATATTTTGAAAGTTAAAGTAGAATATTGCTACTAAACAATCATGCAGTACATCCTTTTTAAAAAGACTTCTTATTATCATGCATAGTCATATTCACTTTATAATGTAAACATATTCTTTAAAAATGCATATTTTTAGCTATGTATGCGTGATGCATGGGCCTACATACTTCAAAATGACCTGCAGGAATCAAGTAGAACGATCTCCAACAATTGTAGACTTCTTTTCTAACCACCTGCCTACCGTTTTGGTTTAGGGGGTTGTTTTTGAGTGACATTTTAAAAATCAATAATAACTGAATGGTACATTTAAAAATAATTTAAAGGGTATAATTGGATTGTTTATAACTCAAAGGATTAAAAAAGTTTAACAAGTTTGTAACTCAAACTTTGCAAAAGGGTAAATGCTTGAGGGGATGGATACCCCATTCTCCATGATGTGCATATTTCACATTAAATGCATGTATCAAAACATCTCATTTGCCCCATAAATATATACACCTGCTATATACACACAAAAGTTAAAAATAAAATTCTATATTTCAAAGAAGAAAAATATCTGGGGGGTGGCAAATAGCCACATGCTAAGAGCATTTTAATCTATTTAAACTTTAATGTAATTTTAAAGTTATAGCAACCATGTATTACTTTTTTTGTAAATGATTAATATGTACACTGCATTAGTATATTTTTCTACCTTAAAAATTACATTATTAAAACAAAAACTTTGAAAAAGCTAAAGACCCTTTAACCAGTGCTTCCAATTTAGATCCTCTCCCTCTTCCCACAGAATATATATGTATTCATAAAAACATATAACATTGTTCTTCCTGCATTATTTTACAAAAGTGGTATCATACTATATTAAATTGTGCTGTCATAGTTCATTACTGATGAATTATATTGTATGACTGTCTCTTTTTTTGCTGTAAACTTTACCTACAATGAAATCCATAAATCTTAGATGTTCATTCACTGAATTGTAACAAATGCAGACACCTGTGTAACCCAATCCTCACCAAGACATAAAGCGTATTACTCTGGAAAGTTTCTTTATTCCCCTCTCGTTCAATTTTTGTCCCATCTTTCAGAGGCAACCACTATTCTGATTTTTTAATCACAGATTAATCTCACTTGTCCTGTAACAAAAATAGAATCATATGCTATGTAATCTTTGTGTAAGGTTTTTAAATGTAAGTGTTATGTTTTAGGGTTTCATCCATGATGTTGAGTATATAAGTTTTTTCCTGGTTATTGCTGAGTAGCATTTCATTATGTGAATATACTACAGCATGTTTATTTGTGCTTCCAGAAATCCTCCTAGTCTCAACTATCTCTAGCCATTTGGCCACTTGTTCTGGCCTAGCAACCACCTCAAAAAACAATTCAGCCTGGGCTCTGCCCATCTGCTACTCCAGCAAGCAGAATAATAGCACTTGCCACCTGGGGCATCTCTGTTGCCACTGAAGCATGAGATGCAATGAGACCTAGTTGGTTCTCGTGTGTGTGTAACCTGTCAGTGATGTGGTATTAATGCTCTATGGGGAAAACCTTGGACCATGAGGAGATGGGCCTCAGAAGATAAATTATTCTCCTTTCATCCTTCAGTGGTCTGTAGCTCATAATGCATAAGGTTGGAACATAATCGTTCATGGGGGCCTTTCAAAAGATTGTACTTGATACTAATTAAAGGCCTACTCAGAAATCCATGTCCTGATACTTGTTCTGTCTCCCTAACTCCCTTTTTTACCCACCCCTGTGCTTCCTAATAAAGTAGTATCAGGTAAACTTTTGCCTCAGTTCTATTTCTTGGGGAACCCCAGGTAATGCATCCTATATGCAGACATTTAGGTTAGTTTTTGTCTTTTTTCTTTTACTTACCTGAAGTGTTTCTCTAGAGTCTTGCTAGTTTTTAAAGTATGTTGAAGTATGATTTTCTCCTTTATCAATCCTCAAAATTTGTCTTACATACTGAGCATCTTCTATGTGTCAGGCACTCTTCTAAGTTATAGGAACACATTGGTTAAACATAATATTCATGATTCCTGCTTGATGGGCAGAAGTTATATAGGAATGTTATAGGGTTATTGATTAGCCATTTCTAGTCACTTCTGTCCGCTTGCTTCCATTGTTTTGCTCTGCCAGTAGCAGAAATTAAGAGTATTTCTAGAAACATTAATATTGGTGTATGTATAGTAGGTTTAGATTTAAAGACCTTTATTCCTAACATGACTACAGGCTACTTCAGACAACTATGACAGGGACTTGAAAATGGACAGTAGACTTCCTATAGAGAGGATCTGGAGGGCACTTAGGTCCACGGAAATTTCTAAAGTATGACTACTAACATACCATGATTAGCCCCTGATATTTACCCTATCTTACTTGCTCCACTGCTTTGTTGCTGAATGAAAACATAGACAACAGGAAGTGGGAAATAGGTTTTGAACAGTTTAGTTCAAAATAAAGTGTGGGTGAACATGGTTAAGTCATGGGAATATTCTTAAATATGCTCAATTTGACATTGGTGTCTTTAGGTAGTTAAATGTTGCAAATTTTATTGACTCAAGACAAAAATTCCATCCAAATGTTAAACAAGAAGTTTTAATCTGCTCCATGATCAAGCTTTAAGAAGCATGTGGACTCTCTGAAGTTTTGTGCAATACAGCATATATAGAAACTATGTGCATTTTTCTAGGGAGAGGATCTATAGCTTTCAGAAGAATCTCAGTAGGATTCTTTTGGGGTGAGGGGGAAGCAAGCAAAAGGTTGGATTTGCTCCATTTCCTAGGGTCAAAAAAAAAAAAGGAAAATGATTAAGAGTTAATGAGTCAGATGTGCTGCTGCACAGGTAATTAGAATTTTGTTTTGCAACCTGTGCTCTCCTGTCCCAGGCTTTGGAGGGAAATGCATAGTTGGAGCTTCTGCTACCTCTTTTCCAAGACTTGTACTGTCTGCCTGGATGTCAGGAGGTACCATTTTCTCTACTTCTCTTGAAATGGAGGTTTGATTTTGTATGGGAAAGGCCTTTCCACTCTTTGTGGAACTCTCACACTTCATTCATCTGGTTTTTTGGTAGGAAAAGAGTGACTTTTCTGTTTCTTATAAACTTACACAAAGGAAACTATAGCCAGACATTAAATTATATGACAAAATGTAGCCAGATGTTATGAAGATAGTAATGTGTATATAAAATAAATATTATAGAATTCCAGTCGATAACTACTAGATATAAATAACAGTTCAGGACAGGAACCACTGAAAATAAAGTAATAAATTTAAATTACTCTGATTATTAGTCTCATTAAATGGTCATATATGCTATTCTTTTAATGTTTTGTACACTGGTTGAGATAGCTTGGTTTCTCTTCATGGTTACTTTTTGTTTTTAAATTTGTGGACAGATATTCTGGTAAATTTCTCACAAAAGGCCTGGTTTCTTACATTTTTCAGTGCTTTATAGAAAGTGCCAAGGCCTATATGTCCAGTCTATTCTCTCTATAAACCGATTATTTTATAGTAGTTGAATTTTATTTCTAATTTTTATAAATCCCTCAAAATTTGGCTCGAGTTTCAATTTATTAGAAGAAGGGCTTCTTTTTTTGGTATTTTGTTGATTTTTATTTTAAATTTTTAAATTTTTTCCTTTATATAAATTCATGGGTTACAATTGCAGTTTTGTTGCATACATAGACTCAGACTACAATTACCATGATACCAACTATAGTCTCAAGTGTGTTCTTTCACCAAGGTTAGTTCACAACATGTTTAATTATCTCATAATATTTAGGGCTTCTTAAAAGCATTTGAGAGCAATAAAAAAAGTTTCCAGTTTTTAACTGCAGCAGAAGAAATAGACCTGACTTCGAAGTTGAGTTCACTGTCTAGTTTCTTAAGGGACTTCAGGAGAAAGCTTCCAAACTTGGTTACTTGAAATGACAGGAAAATTAAAAAGATATTTAAATAGTACATTTGTTTTATGGTAATGAAATTGTATTTAGTCCATTTCAAAACATTATTATATAAAAGGATATTTTCTCTTTTTAACTTTTAAGTTCGGGGGTACATGTGCAGGATGTGCAGGTTTGTTAGAAATGTGTGTCACGGGGGTTTGTTATACAGATTATTTCATCACCCAGGTGTAAAGTCTAGTACCCATTAGTTATTTTTCCTGATCTTCTCCCTCCTCCCACCCACCATGTATCCATGTGTTCTCATGATGTAGCTCCCACTTATAATTGAGAACATGTAGTATTTGGTTTTCTACTCCTGCATTAGTTTGCTAAGGATAATGGCCTCCAGCTCCATCGATGTCCCTGCAAAGGACATGATCTCATTCCTTTTTATGGCTGCATAGTATTCCATGGTGTAAATGTACATTTTCTTTATCCAGTCTATCATTTAGATCAAGTCCATGTCTGCTATTATGAATAGTGCTGCAGTAAACATGCCCATGCCTATGTCCAGGTTGGCATTGCCTAGGTTGTCTTCCAGGGTTTTTATAGTTTTTGTGTTTTATATTTAAGTCTTCAATCCATCTTGAGTTAATTTTTATATATGGTAAGGGGTCCAGTTTCAATTTTCTGCATATGGCTAGCCATAAAAGGATATTTTCTTATAGCTATGTCTTACTCCTTTATGCAGTGAAACTTTCTTACTGAGGGGTATTATTCCAGAAATAGAATATAATGCCTTATTCTGCATTAAGCATACTACAATGGACTGAATGTTTGTGTTCCTCCTCCTTCACTTCATGTGTTGAAATTGTTAAATGGAAACTCTTAGACAAATTTAAATTTTAATTGAGTTTATTCAGCAAAGAAAAACAAACCAAAGCAAAACAAAACAAAAATGGTTCAAGAATTAGCCAGTCCGCTGAACCAGAGCAGGTTCAAAGAACTCCAGCCAATAATGTGATCTGACAGCATTTATAGAAAGTGGAAGTGCAGTGCAGAGACAACTTTATTGGTTACTGTTTAATTAGTTCCAGAGCCTCTTGCAATTAACTAAAGCTCAGCTGCTATAGCTAAACTCCCTATTGATTTGGTCTGCTAGGCTTAGTGCAGGAGCCTAGTCCAAATCAGTGGCCTCCCACAAATTTTATTTGACAAAATCCTAAGCCCCAAGGTGATGGTGTTGTTAGTATGGCCTTTGGTAGGTATTAATAATTAGGTAACAGGGCAGAGCAACTATAAACAGAATTAGTGTCTTTTAATGAGGACCAAGAGAGCTCCCTTGTCCTTTGCGCCATGCGAGGACACAGCAAAAAGATAGTTTTCTGTCTATAACCAAGGAATCAGGCCCTTACCAGACACTGAATCTGCAAATTCCTTGATCTTGGACTTCCCAGGATCCAGAACTTTGAGATATAAATTTCTGTTGTTTATAAGCCATTCAATTTATGGTATTTCTTTATAATAGTCTGAGTAGATTAATTTTTCTTGGCAACTCAGGGTCATGATTTATCAAAATAGTCATTATCCTATGCCTGTACAGCAATGATCTCAGTAGTTACTGGGTTATTGTTACATATACAAATAGACACCAGTTAAACATTCATCTTCTTTTCTGTCTTTAATTATTTAATTACAGAAAATGCCTCCAAACAGCTCTTTGATTTTAAAATAACAAATGTGCTTGTCTGTTATTTGACATTCTGTTATATTGTTATAGTATTTTAAAAATTGATTTAAATATCTAGGCCTAGCCTCTGAGACTGATTCTTAACAAGAGGTATGTGTTAGTATCATCTTTTAAAAAGTATATTTGTCCAAGCCTTACCCTAGAAGATTTTGACTCAGTAGGCTTGTTTTGGAAGTTGGCTGTGATTTCTCTGAAGTGTCAAAGTGAATTTTTATGAACAGTCAACTTTGGTAACTGCTGATTTAGGGAAATACAGTAGTCCTCCTGTATCTGTGGTTTCACTTTCCATGGTTTCAGCTACCTGTAGTCAACTGTACTCCAAAACTATTAAATAGGAAATTTCATAAATAAATGGTTCATAAGTTTTTAAGTTGCATGCTGTTCCATGTAGCATGGTAAAACCTTGTGCAGTCCCCCTAGATCCTGCCCAGGATGTGAATAATCCTTTTGTCCAGTGTATCGGTGGTATGTACACTCCCTGCCCATTAGTCACTTAGTAGTTGGCTCAGTTATCAGATTGACTGCCACTGTGTCATGGTGCTTGTGTTCAGGTAACCCTTATTTTACTTACTGATGATCCCAAAGCACAGAAGTAGTACTACTGGCAATTTGAATACACCAAAGAGAAGCCATAAAGTGCTTCTTTTAAGTGAAAAGGTGAAAATTCTCGACCTAATAGGAAAAGAAAAAAAAATTGTATTGCTAAGACCTAAGGTAAGAATGAGTATTTTGTGTGTGACATTGTGAAGGAAAAAAATTTGTGCTAGTTTTGCTGTCACACCTCAAATTGCGAAAGTTAAACCCACAATGCTTAAGTACTTCCACAGACAGTTCCTGACTTAACGATGGTTAGACATTTCAGTTTTATTGTGGGTTTATCTGGACATAACTCTGCTGTAAGTCGAGGATCATCTGGATTTATGATGGTTCGAATTACAATTTTTTAATTTACAATGGGTTAACTGGCATATTTATTTCCGACTTACAGTGGCTTTTTTGGGATGTTACTTCTTCATAAATCATGGAGCATCTGTATGGAATTTGGTACTAGCTGTGGTTTCAGGCATCTACTGGGGATCTTGAATGTATTCCCCTCAGATAAGCGGGGGACTACTATACATTGTTCAAATATCTGAGAATTAAGCCATTAAGGGCCAGATCTTGAGCATTTAAGTACTAGTGAGTATGGCACAAACATTAGATTCTCCCACTTCTTCCTACTCTCCCCTGCCATTGCACAGCTAAGGGAGAGATGCTTTAAGGCTTCAGAGGCACTATGTTGAGGATCATTTTATTCTCTAGTAAAGTGTCTCTCCATGTATTACTAACTCTTTTCCTTACTATATCTCCTATTCATTACCCTTGTAAGCAGTAAATAGTTACCAAGTTTTATACCCATACAACTGTTTTTTCATTGCTTTCATTCCTCATTGGTATATTTGGAAAAATTGCTACTGTATGCCCAGGAGCTCCTGCCTCACTCTCAAAGACATCACAAACCCAGATATTTCCAGAAAGCTAAATTCCAGATTGTTAAAGGTCTTTTGTCTCTTTCTTACAAAACAATTTTTCTGTCACAGTACTGTAATATACACTGTAAAACAGTAAAGATTCATTGCTGAGTAGGAATAAATAATAGAATTCCAGAGTGTACTATTTCTCTTAGCCCTTCCTACTGAACAACAGCAATAAGAACAAATGGTAAATGAACAAACCCAAGTATGACAATTAAATTTATTCAATATGTTGTATTTACAAATATAAATGCAAATCTGTATTAGTATTTTAATCCTCATAGTCATTATGAACCTTATCTCAAAGGATTTGATCTGCAAACGTCAAAATTTCAGGTTTGGGTTTATTTATGAGTCTTCCAATGATCTTACTTTCAATGTTTTTATACTTAGTTCTGAAAATTAAATTAACCAAATAACTAAAAAGATGATTTTAAATTTTATTTTATGAAATGACAGATGGTTTCTGGTTAACTGTGTTTTATTTTTTGTTGCATATTTGTTAAAAAGAGAATGGTTAGATCTGGAAAATGCTGTTAAACATTCCTTCTTTTAGTTTTATGTTCAGACATTTATTATTCAGCAGTGAGTATGATGGCTTTTTAAATAACCAAATCAGTTGGAAATTAAAGCTGCTTTTAAAAATGTCTTAGTCATATATTTGTTGTATGCCACATCAGAATGTGTGTGTGTGTGTGTGTGTGTATAGTTTTCAGTCTGGTTGTTATAAGTCTCTTGGCAAGGGTAAAAGTCATGGGAGCACCAAATGATGACTCTTAAACCTTCTGTTTAGGAATGGCACATATCACTTCTATGTACATTCCATTGCCCAAAGTAAGTCAGATGGCCCAGCTTGAAGGTTAATAGGGCAGCAAAGTGTGATTCTTTTACCAGGGAATGAGAACAAATAATTGGAAGCAATAATACAACTTAACACATATACACTCTTAATATGTTTTTGACCCTCTTGGTCAAAAATATTTCTCTTTTTTACACATGTAAAATACCCACTCCACAAGGTATATAGTCATAAGTCCCATCCCAGACTCAAAGTGCAGAATTTAATGACAGCTGTTGTATCAAGTCTCCATATGGCCCTTCTTGATCCAGTGAGCTAAGAACTAAAAAGACAAATTTTCTGCCCCACATATACCCAATATACACTGCTGGAGCAGGAACAGGATAATCACAATAACTCCAATTTAGAAAGGGAAAATTGGAAGCACACAAAAGTCGCTGGTCAATAGCAATTTTGAAATCCCACTGATATATGTTGTGAAGGAATCCTACATTGTGGTAGGGATATTTATTTATTTATTTTTTTAGTTCGGATTCTGTTCTCTACCATTATATCCCTAGTCCATTGTCTCTATGGTTTTTAAACTCTGAATTTTATGTGGCTCATTCTTTTCCAGTATCTTCCTTGGCCACATCAGAAGATATTGAAGTATATATGTCTTTTTAGGGCTGAGAAACTTTTTCAGGCTACTTCATTGCCATAGAGGATTGGGGCCAAAGGGTCATTATAAATCTCAAATAGTCCAAGTCTCTTAGTCCATGCAAGAAGCTGTCATGGCAGAACTGTCTAAACCTTAGCTTTTTATGTATTTTATTCAAGGTGTTTACATGTGTCAGAAGCTATTTTGAAGATAGTTATTTTGATGACATGTCCATCTTTCTTTAGACTTAATTGCTGGCCTGTTAAACTTATAAGATTTCCATGAGAAAACATACATAGCCTCTTTCCCCTGATCTACTTTTGTCCAAGGATTTGTAGGGGCTACACTTAATCTAGAAAGAACTTGTTGAGTGCCACTTTTAATTTATGAAGAGAATATAACAAAGGACATCACAGTTATATGCAGTCAAACCTTGTATTTTTGCACTTTGCTTTATTTCACTTTGTAGATACTGTGTTTTTAACAAACAGAAGGTTTGTGACAACCCTGCATTGAGCAAGTCCATCGGCATCATTTTTCCAATAGAATGTTCTCTTTTTGTGTCTCTTTGTCACATTTTGGCAATTGTTGCAATATTTTAAACACTTTTGTTATAATATCTGTTATGGTAATCTGTGGCCAGTGAACTTTGATATTACTATTGTAATTGTTTTGGGGCATCACCAACTATGCCCATATAAGATGGTGAACTTAATCCATAACTGTTGTATGTGTTTAGACTGCTCTACTGACCAGCCATTCCCCCATCTCTCCCTTTCCTTGGGCCTCCCTGAGACACAATAATATGTAATTTAGACTAATTAATAACCCTACAGTGGTCTCTAAGTGTTCATGTGAAAGGAAGAGTCACATATGTCTCACTTTACAACAAAAGCTATAGATTAGTAAGCTTAGTGAGCAAGGCATGTGGAAAGTCAGGATATCCTAGGCCTCTTGCACCAAATAGTTAGCTAAGTTGTGAAAGCAAAGAAAAAGTTCTTGAAAGAAATTAAAAGTGCTACTCCAGTGAATACACAAATAATAAGGAAAAAACAGCCCCATTGCTGATATGAAGACAGTTCGAATGGTCTATGTAGAAGATGAAACCAGCCACAATATTCCCTTAAGCCAAAGCCTAATCCAGAGCAAGTTCCTATCATTAATTCTTTGAAAGCTGAGAGAGCACAGGAAGCTTCAGAAGAAAAGTGTGAAGCTAGCAGAGATGGGTTCATGAGGTTTAAGGAAAGAAGCTGTCTCTATAACAAAAAAGTGCAAGGGGAAGCAGTAAGTACTGGTGTAGAAGCTGCACCAAGTTATCTAGAAGGTCTAGCTAAGATCATTGATGAAGGCAACTAACTAAACAACACATTTTCAATGCAGACATAACAGCCTTCTGTTGGAAGAAGATGCCCTCTAGGACTTCATAGCCAGAGAGAAGTCAATGCCTGACTTCAAAGGATAGGCTTACTCTCTTGCTAGGGGCTAATGCAGCTGGTGACTAAGCAGAAGCCAGTGTTCAATTTACCTGTTTCATAAATCATAAGGCCCTTAAGAGTTATGCTAAATCTACTCTGCCTGTGTTCTATAAATGGAAGAACAAAGTCTGGATGACAGCACATCTGCTTACAGCATGGTATACTGAATATTTTAAGCCCACTATTGAGATCTCCTTCCCAGAAAAAAAAAGGCTTTTCAAAATATCAGTGCTTGTTGACAGTGTACCTAGTCACCAGAGAGCTCTGCTGGAGGTGTACAAGGAGATTAATGTTGTTTGTATGCCTGCTAATAAAACATACATTCTGCAGTCCATGGATCAAGGAGTAATTCTGACTTTAAAGTCTTATATTTTAAGAAATACATTTACTAAGGCTATAGCTGCCATAGATAGTGATGCCTGTGATGGATCTGGGCAAAGCACATGGAAAACCTTCTGGAAAGGATTCATCAATCTAGATGCCATAAAGACCATTCATGAGTCCTATGAGAGGGTGCAAATAACATTAACAGGAGTTTGAGAAAAGTTAATTGCAGCCCTTATGGATGACTTTTAGGGGTTCAAAACCTCAGTGGAGAAAGTAACTGCAGATGTGGTGGAAATTACAAGAGACCTAGAATTAGAAGAGGAGCCTGAAGATATGACTGAATTGCTACAATCTCATGATACAATTTGAAAAATGAGAAGTTGCTTCTTATGGATAAGCAATGAAAGTGGTGGTGTCTTGAGATGGAATCTATTCCTGGTGAAGATGCTGTGAACATGGTTGAAATGACAATTTAGGATGTTCCATAAACTTAATTGATAAAGCAGCAGCAGGATTTAAGAGGATTGACTTCAATTTTGAATGAAGTTTTACTGTGGATAATATGCTATAAAACAGCATTGCATGCTACAGATAAATTTTTGTGAAAAGAAGAGTCTAACAATGCAGAAAACTTCATTGTTGTCACAGGCACTCCTTCCTCCAGCAACCACCACCCTAATCAGTCAGTAGCCATCAGCATCAAGACAAGACCCTTCACCTCCAAAAAGGATTATGACTTACTGAAGGCTCAGATGATCATTAGTACTTTTTAGCAGTAATGTGGGTTTTAATTAAGCATGTACATTAGTTTTGTAAGCACAAAGCTATTACACACTTAATAGACTACATTATAGTGTAAACATAACTTTTGTATGCACTGGGAAACCAAACAATGTGTGTGTCTTGCTTTATTGCAATATTCACTTTAATGAAATGGTTTATTACTAAACCCGCAGTGTCTCCAAGGTGTAGGTATACTAGATTTGGTCTTTGACTCTGGGTCAGCCTTTGTTTCTCAGAGCTTATTTAACTTTTATCTTTCACTGGTTGAGCATGAGAAAAAACTGTTATCTTTAACTCTGGGGGTCCTATAATTTCTAGATTCTTCTCTTTCTTCCTTTGTTGATGTTTGAAACCAGATCATTTCCTTCTGAGCTTATCTTTTTCTTGTTGTACCATATTAAATGCAGCCAGTAGCAACCAAGGCATGTTACTGAATTTTTTTTTTTAAGCTCATTTTGCTCTATATCGTCTGCCAGTTTACTACAGGTGACAGTTTTACCATATGCGTCACCAGTGTATGAGTTCTATTTTTTATTTATATCTTTCAACCTCTAATAACAGTTTCCTAAGTCACTGCCACATATTTCAGACTATGTTACATAAGTACCTCTATTCCTGATACCAGTTTTTGTATTAGTCACTACATTAATTACTACATGTTAATGTAGTAACATTCTGCCCCTAAATCTCAGTGGCTTATAAGCAACAGAGATTTATTTATTTCTCATGTTTCATGTTGGCTGCTGCTCTGATTTAGTGACTTCTTAACTAAGGATCTAGTTAAGAGATCTAGAATGATGGAGCATCCACTATAACAGACATGTCATTATTAAGACCAAGGTAAAAGTGTCATGGTAGAACCATGCAATGACTCTTTAAGGAAATCTGTTTATACATGGTTTCAATTGCTTCCACTCACGTTCCTTTCGACAAAATAAGTCAGATAGCCTAGCTTGATATCAATGGAGTGGACATATTTTATCCTAATCCTTACAGGGATTAAAAGTAGCTAATTAGCTATAGAAAAATCTAATCTCTCACAGCTGTATTGTATTTTTATACTTTTAAAAATGTAACTTGCAGTTATTGCATTTGAAAAGAGCTAAGCTAAATAAAAAGGTAGATTTCTTGAAACCCAATTGCATAAGAATTGTTTTCTGTGAGATTGTTTATTCACAAAATAATAATATGTTTATAATTCAATCTGAGAATCAAAAACAACTGTTTGAAAGAGTATGTATTATACTGTTGATGATATCACAGTGGGAAGGCAGGTTCCAATCATAAATAATATATGTAAAAAACTGTGGAAGCTTTAACAAAAACAACATTAATTTAGGTGTCTGTTTTTGAATGAAAGGATAAAATACATAGGCTAGCCAGCATAGCAGGTAGGACATTTTGAAAAGGGAGGTAAATTTAAACTAAAACCAGAAAGATTATATGACCTATATATAAAAAGGAAATATGTACTTTTTAGTTTCCTCTAAAAAGATGTGACCATACAATAGCAAAGACTTGGAACCAACCCAAATGTCCAACAATGATAGACTGGAGTAAGAAAACATGGCACATACACACCATGGAATGCTATGCAGCCATAAAAAGTGATGAGTTCATGTCCTTTGTAGCGACATGGATGAAGCTGGAAACCATCATTCCCAGCAAACTATCACAAGGACAAAAAACCAAACACCACATATTCTCACTCATAGGTGGGAATTGAACAATGAGAACACATGGACACAGGAAGGGGAACATCACACACTGAGGACTGTTGTGGGGTGGGGGGAGGAGGGAGGGATAGCATTAGGAGATATACCTAATGCTAAATGACAAGTTAATGGGGGCAGCGCACCAGCATGGCACATGTATACATAGGTAACAAACCTGCATGTTGTGCACATGTACCCTAAAACTTAAAGTATAATAATAATAAAATAAAAAATAAAAAAATAAAAATAAAAAAAAAGATGTGACCATAAAATGGTTAATGTAATCCAAAATATCCCCCCAAATTATTGTAAAAAGCTTAACTGTGAGCCAAAGGATAGCAAATCTCTTCATGCTTTCTGTCATTTCACTTTCTGTACCCTTTGCAGGCATTAATAACCAATTATGGCTCTTTCCCATCTAGTATAAGACAAGCCCCCAGGAAATCTCAACACAATACTCTAAATATATTGGGTAGTCATTATTCATTTAATAATATCAGTATTGATTTAATTAGGTTGGCTTAGGACATGAAACCTATTTGCTATTTCTGACACTTAAGACTTGGTTAAACTGCATTTAAAAATTAGTGTTAATATTTAGACATCTATTCTTTGATTCCAAATGTATAATAGAGAAAGACAAAATGAAGATTAATTAAAAGACATGGTTGAAATCCTTATTCTCTAACTGAGAAAACAAAATATTTTAAGGCATCCAGAGAAGACTTAAAAAGCTAAGTATGAGTAAGTGTGTTGTTTAGTATAAATCTGAGTGATATACATATAGCCCTCAAAATATAGATGTTCCTCAACTTACAGTGGGGTTACATCCTGATAAACTCATAACTTAAAAATATCATAAGTCAAAAATGTATTTAATACACCTTACCTATCAAACAACATAGCTTAGCCTAGTCTACCTTAAACGTGCTCAGAATGCGTTCATTAGCAAAATCATCTAACATAAAGCCTATTTTATAATAAAGTGTTGACAATTTTCACGTAATGTATTGAATACTGCACAGAATGTGAAAAACGGAATGGTTGCATGGGGACTTGAAGTATGGTTTCTGCAGAACATGTATCACTTTTGCACCAGTGAGAAGTCAAAAAATTTCAAGTCAAACCATTATAAGTTGGGGACCATCTGTAATCTGCTAAATTGCAGGAAGCAGTATGGCTGAAGCAGGTAGTCTTCTCAGAAATGAATCTTTAATTGGACTTCGGAAGAAATTTTTAAATTTGTGGGAAATGATTAGAAAGCTTAATAGTATGAATTTTAGAAGAGCTTAATAGTATGAATCAAGATACAAATTTCAGCTATTCTAAGAAGAAAGCCAAGGCTATTCTGATTGCAGTGCAGTTATGCATAGGAAGAATGAAAGGTGAAGAGAGTCTAGTTTATGGAGAGCTTTGAATAACTGATTCAGTCAATCCTCATTATTTGTTAGTTCCACATTTGTGAATTTGCATACTCACTAAAATTTATTTGTAACTCCAAAATCAGTACTCACAGTGCTTTTGTAATCATTCGTTGACATGCACAGAACAGCAAAAAACTGTAATCTTATGTGCATATTCCCAGCTGAGGTCAAACAAGGCAACAGTCTGGCTTCTTGTTTCAGTTCTATTACTATAGACAAGTGTCATTTTGTAGTCTGTTTAGTGTCAGGTCACAGTTTTTGCATTTAAATGAGGTGTCTTTAAACAGCAACAAACATTAAACAAAGTTATATATTGATTATTTCACAAAAGTGTAGCCAGGGGCTTGGAGGAACCTAATTCTATGTTTTTCCAAGGAACAATGGTTCAGTGTTTCTGAGGAGTAAGTTTTGGTGGGAGTTGGTAGTGTTTCCTGTCATCTCTTATTCCAGAATATGGCACTTTGCCACCCAAGACTGGTTTCCTATTTTACTCCCACCTTGCTCAGAGTAAAAATATAAAGGGGGATTTTTCTGTATTCTTCAGTTACCAGTAACTTAAAATTGGAATATGCAACAACCTTTTACTAAAGTCTTAGAGATAACGACTAAGATGAGTACTTAATCTGCAGAACTAGAAACATCTTAGAATTGAATATTAAACTTCACTTTTTCTAAAAGTTCTTCAGCTGACTCCCCCATAGGCAAATGCATTCTTCTCCTAGTCCTGTTCTAGCTTGTGTTTCTGCTCTCCTCCTCCTTCTGTAACTCTCTCTTATCCATTGTTTTATAAAGCAGAATAATTTGCCCTCTTCTTTTCTCATCCTTGCTGTCCTTAACCCTCCTTCCAGCCTAATCCAGATGCCAATCTCCACGTAATCAAAAAGTCTATTAATGTATTTCCTCCAACATTAATAGATGTATTTCCATATTTTGGTGAAAATGTCATTTAACAGTCATAGGAACAAAGGCAAGGAATGTAAAAGGCCTAAAGAATTCATGAAACTTTGACTACCTGAAAGTTAAAAGAGCAGTTATATACCTTCAATGTTAGGGACTCTGGCTCAGCCAGCAGTTTTCAAAATAGGAAAATAATTTTCCACCTACTATATTAGCATAATTTATATGATTGTATGTAATTGGTAAGAAAGTATTTCTTGAATTCAGCAGAAAACATATTCACTCAGAGTACATAATGAAAGCCGTGATCCCATCAACCATAGAATTGATTTAGATTTGTTTTATATATATGAAGGAGCCAAAACAATATTTTCTTTCCCGTTTCTTCCTATATGGAAAATAGTTTGTCAGACTGTTTTAGCCTCCATAATGTAAATTTTTTTGTTTTTTTAATATTTTGGTAGAAAATACTAATATCGGACCTTTTCACCAAATGTGGTTCTAATATTGTGGTGTGTTTGTTTTAATTATTAATAATTAATACTTGGAGATCTCTTGAACTGTTTAATATTTTCTTTAATATATTGAAGTGATTTGTTTAATGTTATAATCTATCTGATTTATACCTGTTTATAGGTTCTTTATAAACAAAATAGGGATTTAGTTGCTTCTATTTTAGTAATATATATAAATAAATTCAGCAACCACTCAAACCTTTATATTTTAAAAAATCATTCAGTTTATTCTTTACCAACTCTTAGCAGTGTCAGGTTGACTGGCTTTTATATTTATATTAATTTTTCCATTCATCTTTTGGCGAAAATGTCGTTTAACAGTCAAAGGAACAAAGGCCTAGAGAATTCATAAAACTTTGACTACATGAGAGTTTCTTATAATTTACACTTAATAAGATCCTGCCAGATTTGTTGTAGTGCCCTTTCTCAGATGGGTATCTATGATGGGAATATTTTCAAACTCATTATATGAGACCAGCATTACCCTCATATCAAAAAACTTACAAGAAAACCACTAGTCGGTATCATTCATGAAGATAGATGTAAAAATCCTCAACAAAGTATTAGCAAACCAAATTCAACAAGTATAAAAAGAATTATTTATATGCCACAACCACATAGGATTTAGTCCAGGGATGCAAGTCTGGATCCACATTCAGAAATTAATATAATTTGTCATATGGCTTAAACTATTAAAAGTAAATGTTCACAATTACTTTCATTTCAGCCACTTCCCCTAGAGATCTAGGCTACAGGGGCACACATAGTCTGCCTACCATGTTATTGTAGATGACATTTTACCAAATGTTTTGTCATTGCTTAATATATGTCTCAATCTTTTAGCCTCTGAGTATCAGTCTCCTCACTGCTAAACCAGTGCCTCATATTTTAGGTTTTTGTTATGACTGCAAAATACTTTTGCAAAAAAAAAAAAAAGAAACCCTGTTACTGATATAACAGTTTTTGTAGTACTTGATAACATTAGCTGCTATAACTGATAAATACCAGATCTCAGTTGTTTTTTGTGACAAATTTTTATTTCTCACTCAAGTGAAGTCCTAATTAGCACATAGTTCTTTTGTAAATGGCAATCCAGAGATCCAGGTTCCCTCCATCTTCTAGCTCTATCATATTTCAGTATGTGACTTCTACTGCCACTCATCTGCCTCAATCTGGAAGGGGAAAGAGTGTGGAGGACCACTAATGAAAGGATTTATTGTATATGGGCTAACCCTGGAAGTGGCGCATCTCACTTCTGCTTACATTCCTTTGGTTAAAACTCAGTCACATCAGTAATTCATTTCTTCTGCCACACCTAATTCACAGGAACTCTGGATATATAATCTAGCTAAGGACCTGGGAAGAATAATGGGCTTAGTGAACAACTATAAGTAAATGGATAGTAATACACTTTTTATCACTTTCAGACTTAAAAATACCAAGAAGAATTTCATGGTAGAAATTACAGATTATTTGGGTGGGGCACAGTGGCTTACTATAATCCAAACTCTTTAGGAGGCCTAGGAGGGAGGACCACTTAATGCCAGGAATTCAATACCAGGCTGGGCAATAAAGTGACACCCCATCTCTACCAAACAAAAGAAAATAAATTACAGTTACTTTGATCTGAAATATGCTAGCTGTTAGCCTGGCTCTTTGGGATAGAGGAAGTAAGTTATGGTTGATATAGTTCAAACTAAATACTAACCAAACTGTAAAAGCATAGATCTGCATCACACATTGGAATTTACGTCACTAAGTACTTGCTTTGTGTCCAGTATGGCATGTACTAAAGTATAGTACCCAATCCTTGAGACACAAAGTCCTATGGTTTCCTGCCTCCAGGTAGGAAAAAAAATAGATGGAGATGTACATGTACATGAACTAGAGTGTGGGTCCAAAATTCTGAAAGGAGTCTGCAAGTTCTCTCCTCTTTCCTGTTTTATCTTTTTGTAACCAAACTACCTTCCTGTTTCTCAGTGGCTCCAAAGTCCTTACTGTTTTTGAAGATTTTTTCATAAACTGTTCCTTTTGCCCAAAATGTTCTTTCTCTTCTTTTCCTGGTTAATTTGTACATACCATTCAGATCTGACATGGTCTGGTTTAGTGGACATTTTTGGGAAACGTCTTCAGTATCGATTCCTACCATCTTCTACCAATAATCTCCTGATTCTCCATTAGAAAATTCACCGTTCCCCCATTTATAGCCATAACCATGTGCTCTGATTAGATTAAATGATTTAGTGTCAGTTGTCTCCCTGAGGATAGGGTTTTTCCTAAGGATAGGTAAACAAACCCTCTTCAGGCCAATGAAAGAGAATGGATATCCGATATTATGCAAGAGCCACTGGAAAAGACCCTCTTTATTTCTTTGGATAGTATGATGGTACACGTATGCGAGAGTTGCAGCTGCCAGAGCCATTTGAGGGTGCAAGGGAGAGAGAATGAAGCTGCTAGGCATTAGGAGAAAATTGTCATCACAGATAGCAGAACAAGAAAATTCAGGTTCTTAGAGATGTCCTTTAGGCTACTGAGTAAGTTCTTACCTGAAACTAGATATACTTCTGGATTTTTTCAGTGTCTTATACCAACAAATTCCATTTTAATTGTTGAGCCACATTGAGTTCCATTTTTGGCCACTTGTAACAAAAAGATTTCTAACAAGATCTCAACTTAAATAGCACATCCTCACAGATGCCTTTCTGGACTGGAGACTAATTAGAGTTCCTCCGTTTCATGGTTTCTTAGCACCCTCTTATTCTCCTCCATTAGCCTAAAAGTTCTATGCTGTATTGTCAGAGCCTGGGACAGTACCTGGTACGTAGTACACATTCAAATATTTGTTAAGCATATATAAAGATAAGAACCTGAATTAGGAAGTAGCAATGAAAATAAGAGAAAGCATCAAACCACAGGGAAGTGGAGGGGAGCATCTCTGTTCAATCAGACATTTAGCATCAAAAACTGTGTTGGTGGGGTTCATTGTAACTTGTTACTTTGCAGTGTTGTTAATCGTTCAGCATCAGTAAGGCAACATAGCTTGGAGTGGTTCCGTTTCACTGATTGTTGGTAATTATCTCTACTTTTCTGTGCTGGAAAACACCCACACAGGAACAGGAGTAGGTGGTACCAAAATCACAATACCAACTGCAGGTCCCTTAGACGTGGTTGCATGTGTGTAGGTCTGGCTCAGATTACAAAGAAAACACAGGAACCTCAAAAGCTGGTGCCGTGTTCAGTGAAACCTTACATCTGGGGTCTTCTAGTAGCTCTTCTCATTTTAAATGAAGTTATTTATCATCTAATGCGCTGTAAATAAAAGCTGATTGATCTATAAAATGGTACTATATCTGGGTGTGGCCTTTTGAAGTAAATTCAGGTTGAGTATCCCTTATCTAAAATGCTTGAGATCAGAAGTTTTTCAGACTTTGGGTATTTTCAGAATTTTGAATATTTGTATGTACATAGTAAGATATCTTGGAGATAGGACCCAAGTCTAAACATCAAATTTATGATTCATATACATATTATACATATAGCCTGAAGGTAATTTTATTTTTAACATTTTTTTAACTTTTAGGTTCAGGGATACATGTGCAGGTTTGTTAAATAGGTAAACTGTGTGTCATGAGGTTTTGTTGTATAGATTAATTAATCACCCAGATAATGAGCATGGCACCCAATAGGTAGTTTTTTGATCCTCACCTTCCTCTCTCCCTTTACCCATAAATAGGCTCCTGTGTCTGTTGTTCCCTTCTTTGTATCCATATGTACTCAATGCTTAGCTCCCATTTTTAAATGAGAACATGTGGTATCTCATTTTCTGTTCTGTGTTAGTTTGCTTAGAATAATGGCTTCCAGCTCCATCCACGTTGCTGAAAAGGACATGATCTCATTCTTTTGATAGCTGCATAGTATTCCATGGTGTATGTGTACATTTCCTTTATCCAGTCTACTATTGATGGGCATTTGGGTTCATTCCATGTCTTTGCTATTGTAAATAGTGCTGCGATGAACATAACATGTGCATGTGTCTTCATGGTAGAACAATTTATATTCCTTTGGGTATATACTCAATAATGGGATTACTGGGTTGAATGGTAATTCAGCTTTGAGTTCTTTGAGAAGTCACCAAACTGCTTTCCACAGTAGCTGAACTTGTTTACATTCCCACCAACAGTGTGTAAGTGTTCCCTTTTCTGTGCTACCTCACTAGCATCTATGATTTTTTAACTTTTTAATAATAGCCATTCTGACTGTTGTGAAATGGTATCTTGTTGTGGCTTTGATTTGCATTTATCTAATGATTAGTGATGTTGAGCATTTTTTCAAATGCTTTTTGGCCATGTGTATGTCTTCTTTGGAAAAGTGTTTGTTCATGTCCTTTGCTAACTTTTTAATGGGGTTGTTTTTTGCTTGTTGACTTAAGTTCCTTATAGAGTCTGCATATTAAACCTTTGCTGGATGCATAGTTTGAAAATACTTTGCCCCATTCTATAGGTTGTCTGTTTACTCTGTTTAACAAAGTTTTTGTACATTGAACCATTAGTAAGCAAAGGTGTCAGGTGTGAAATTTTCCACTTGTGGTGTCTTAGCACTCAAAAAGTTTCAGATTTTGGATTTTTGGATTAGGGATGCTCAACCTGTACTAAATATTTTTTCTCCTCTGTCCTAAAATCTACAGCATGCCAACATTTTTTTTTACTACTTCTTCCTCTTTGAGCTTTTATTTATTTGGGTCTCAGATAGATAGAATTTGTCATTATTTAGATCCTAAGTTGAATTTTTACCCTAAATAATCGTATTTACTATTATCATTGATATTGACAATATTGCCAATTAAGTACTCATAAACTCTAATATGGTACCTAATAGATGTCTAGTGCTCAAATCTTTGCTTTCTGTTTCCTAATGTGTCAGTTCTTATTACACCTTTTGGTCTTAAGATTCCTTTACAATCTTAAAATTTTTTGAGAGCCCAGCGAACTTTTGTCTACATGGATTATAAATATTTACCATATTAAAAATTAAAACTAAAAAATTTAAGATATTTATGCATTCATATAAAGATAATAAACTATTGCATGTTGTATAACTACTCGAGAAGAATGCCATTGTTTTACATTTTTACAAATCTCTTTAGAATTTGGCTCAATAGAAGACACATGTATTCTCATATCTGCTTCTGCATGCAGTCTATTGCCACTTGTTTTAGTTGAATTATGTGAAGAAAATCTAGCTAGACATGCAGTCAGAAAAAGGGGATAGTAGTATAATAGCTTTTCAGAATAATTGTGGATATTTGTCTTTGATAATTACAGCAAAACTTGACAAGCACTAGATTTTAAAGGCTAGTTGCAATGTAGTCTTGACACCTGATACTAACTTTAAATACTCTATTACATTAAAATCCGTGGGTCTGTCTTTGCACTTTGAGTGGTTCATTTACCCATGCATGATTTTTGTAACATCATGCATTAGACATTTGGAAGATATTCGTTTACTGAATTATCTAACTCTTCTAAATGTTGACATATTTTATTATGCAGTGTCAAAAAGTATTTGTTAATATCATCACCAGTCACTTAACAAAAGTCATTAAGTATTGGGAATCTGTAAGCAAAAACAAATTTTACAAACTTCTGACTTTTGCTTGAAAGTTCAAATTTTATCATTTTGATTGGCAGCAAATACCGTCAGTTGTTTCCCTTGGAGTGACAGATTTACTTTGTTCTTTTTTGTGAAAATGTCTACCAAATAACCAAATCTGAATAATCAGCTTGTCTGACACTTAAGTAAAAATGATGTTCTATGAAAAAAGAAGCTAATGCAGCTCACAATTCAAATAATAACCAAGATGCTTTTACTCGGCCAGCATGGTGGCTCACGCCTGTAATCTCAGCACTTTGAGAGTCTGGGGTGGGTGGATCACCTGAGGTCAGGAGTTTGAGACCAGCATGACCAACATGGTGAAACCCCTTCTCTACTAAAAATACAAAATTAGCCAGGCATAGTGGTGCATGCCTGTAATCCCAGCTATTTAGGAGGCTGAGGTTGCTTGAACCTGGGGGGCAGAGGTTGCAGTGAGCCAAGATCGTGCCATTGCACTCCAGTCTGGGCAACAAGAGCGTAACTGTCTCAAAAAAAAAAAAAAAAAAAAGATTTTTTACTCAAAATAACCATTATGCTTTGGTATACAGCTGAAATGCTTTATGGGTACTTCCCATTTCTGTCACATGCATTATTAAAAGGGCAAAAACAATAAAAATAAAAATTAATATTTTTCCAGATTGATTAAGGATATTCTTAATAGCAATGAGCTTTTCTTTTTTTCCCATAAGTGAGTATAATGACTCAGTAAAGTCTGGCCCGCTGCCTTGATTCACACTAAGGCACTAGCAATTTAACCCACTATTACTTCCACACCATCAGTACAATTGCCAACACAGTGAAAAGGGCAAATAACATCTCAGTATATTATTTTGTTGTTTTTATTTTGTTTTTTGTTAGAAACAGGGTCTTGCTATGTTGCCTAGGCTGGAATCAAATTTCTGAACTTATAGCCTCAGCCTCCAGAATAGCTGAGATCACAGGCACATGTCACTGTCCCCAGCTTTTAGTATTATTATGAGAATACTTTTGCCCTCATTAATCCTCTGAAAGGGTCTTTTTGCTCTCAGGAGTCTGTGAATCACACTTAAGAATTGTTATCCTAAAGGACCCATTAAATATTTATCTCCTACAAATACCCTATCATTTTATTTTGCTAAAGAGGAATATGATTTAATAAACTCACACCAAGATACTGCAGAAAGTGAGATGTCCCTTTCTGGAAATGTTTGTACTGCAGAAGAGGCTTAATTGCAGAGGACAATGTGTGGTCTGAGTGAATATTTATTCATCCATGCATAATTTGTTGAGAACGTACTATGGTGTTGTAATGCACTCTGATATTTAGGGTTTAAGGTAGTGACATTTTTGTGAAATTGTCCCTGCATTCTTCAGATTGCAACAGATACAAGACTTTGGATATGCTATAGCTTAGGTCACTTATTTTTAACCATTAAACTAGAAATAAAAATATATAAATCAAACACATTTAGTACTTAACCTAATA
Organism: Homo sapiens; assembly: GCF_000001405.40. Classification (NCBI taxonomy): domain Eukaryota; kingdom Metazoa; phylum Chordata; class Mammalia; order Primates; family Hominidae; genus Homo; species Homo sapiens. The sequence goes on from NC_000005.10 coordinate 64,316,712, forward strand.
TAATCTTTAAGAGTCTTGAATATATGAAATATAATTGTGTTGATGGAGAAGGCAATTTGAATGCTTATCCTTTACTTCTGTGGTATATTTCTGTAATCCAAGAGAATATTGTTGTTTATTAATTTTGCACTGAAATACAGATATGTCCCTCAATGTCCAAGGGGGATGCGTCCAGCGACCCTTCACACCCCCTGGCAAATACTAAAATCCACACATACTCAATTCCTACAGTAGGCCCTGTTGGGACCCAGATATATGAAAAGTCAGCCCTTCATATCCACAGGTTTTACTTCTCACAAATACTGCATTTTAGATTCATGTTTGATGGCAGATGCAGAACCTGCAGACATGGAGGGCCAACTATATTTATTGAAAAAAATCCACATATAAGTGGACCCACCCAGTTCAAACCCATGTCAACTATATATATGTGTGTGCGTGTGTGTGTGTGTACACACACATATACAGGCATACCTCAGAGCTATTGGTTTGGTTCCAGACCATCACAGTAAAGCAAATATCACAATAAAATGAGTTGCATGAGTTTTTTTGTTTCCCAGTGCATATAAAAAGTTATGTTTATACTGTTCTGTAGTCTATTAAGTGTGCAATAGTATTATGTGTAAAAAATGTATGTCTTAGTTTAAAAGTACTTTATTGCTAAAAAAATACTGATAGATATTAAATGAGCACATGCTATTAGGAGAAGTGATGCCAACAGACTTGTTTGTCACAGGGTTGCTACAAACCTATAATTTGTTATTTTTAAAGCAATATCTGCAAAATGCAATAAAGCCAAGCATGATCAAGTGAGGTGTATATATATGTATATTTATATATACATATATACACATACATATATATACACATATATATACATATTTATACACACACACACACACACACATATATACACACACACACACACACACACACACAGTAGTCCTGCCTTATCCACAGAGGATATGGTCCAAGACCCCCCAGTGGATGCCTGAAGCAGCAGGTAGTACCAAACCCTATATATATATATGTTTACACACATATGCTCCTCAATTTTCTATGGGTTTTTGTCCTGATAAACCCATTTTAAATTGAAAAATGTAAGTTAAAAATGCATTTAATACACCTAACTTACCAAAAAAGTGTTGCTTAGCCTAGCCTACCTTAAATGTGCTCAGAACGTTTCCATTAGTACATTTGCCCACAGTTGGGCAAAATCTTCTAACACAAAGCCTGTTTTATAATAAAGTATTGACTATCTCATGTAATTTATTAAACACTGCACTGAAAGTAAAAAACAGAATGGATCAATGGGTGCTCAAAGTATGGTTTCTACTGAATGCATATAATTTTCACACCATCCTAAGTTGAACCATTTTAAAATGGGCACCATCTGTGTTATGTGTACTGTATGTGTACTATATGTTTTTTTCTATATATACAACCTGTGATAAAGTTTAACTTAAAAATTAGTCACAGTAAGAGATTAACAATAAAAAATAGAACAATTAACTATATTCTGTAATAAAAGTTATGTGAATGTGTTCTCCCTCTTCTCTCTCAAAATATTTTATTATACCATACTCGCCAATCTGATAACTGAGACATGTATGAAATAACTAACAGGTGGTAGTATATACAAAGTGGATATACTGAACAAAGAAATGATTCACATCCTGTGTAGGATGGCAAAATATTTCATCATGCTACCTAGAATGGCACACAATTTAAAACTTATGAATTGCTTATTTCTGGAGTTTTCCATTTAATATTTTCAGGTAAATGGTAAATGAAACTACAGAAAGTGAAACCACAAATAAGGGGGAACTATTATATACACACATACATACATATATAAAATAAGACTAGGTGAAAATTTTCATTTACTTTATACATACTTTTTTAGACAATTTTTAGTGAAAGCAAAGTGATACTTATTCTGTTTCTTTTCAGCTGATAGTTAAAAGTGGGATTATAGAAAAGGGTATATTTTTAAAATAATAAATGTATCATACTGCTGGAACACAGCAATATACCATCAGTTGAACAGACTCAGGAATTTCTAGGCAGTAAAAAACAATTGGATTTGCATTTATTTAGAAAATGAAGCAAATTGATTTTTTAAATGCCCAAGAAAAAACAAACTGATATGGAATTGAGAGTTCTCATCAGAGACCTGGAATAATTTCAAGATCAAAAATCAATTAGGATGCATGACATTACGCATTTGACAAAACTCATAGAATTGTGCAAAAAAAGAGTAAGCCCTAATGTAAACTGTGGACTTCAGTTGTCAATAATGTATTAAAGTTCGTTCATCATTTGTAACAAATGTACCACACTAATGCAAGATGTTAATAATAGGCAAAACTCTGTGTGTGTGCATGTGCGTGTGTAGAGAAAGTATATGGAAATTCTCTGTACTTTCTGCACAATTTTTCTGTGAACCTAAAACTGTTGTTTAAAAAAAAAAAAAAAAACTTTGTATCTATAAAAAGGTTACCTTGAGGTTGAGTCCTCGGCCACATGCTTGTGAAGCATATACCACAATAAAGGATCCTAACCACATTTTTGACAATAAAGATTATTCTTTATTTCATTTAAAAAAATAATTTCTATAGAAGACACCACTGGGAAAATTGGTAAAATTTGATGTACTATACATTATACTATTGTGTTAATGTTTAATTTGCTGATTTTGATTATTGTGATATGCAGTGTGATTATATGAAATAATATGAATGAGAAAGAGAATATGATAAAGGCAAATGTTAACAATTGATGAACCTAAGTCTAAGGTAGAGTTATTTATACTATTCTTTGTGCCTTTTCTATAAACTTGAAATTATTTAGAAATGCACTTTTTAAAAAATTTAAAATACAAATGTTTTTCAAAGTCTAGAGCTTTCCTACTCCCATTGGGTGGGCTGGCTGAGGTCATAAGTACATCATGTACCCTGTGAGCAATGCAGAATATATGATTTAAGCTCCTGAGAGTATTATCTGGCTGAGGAAGAAGTGTTCCCTTTTAATAGGTGAGTGAGGAGTGGCATACAAGTTATAGGGATGCCTGCGGCCTTTTATTATGAAAACAAACTAGCAGCAGTCAAAACAAAACAAATATTTTGTACAGTTGAATCTTTATTTTTACAAGATTTGGCAGGTGCCATAAGATCTAGAACAGTGGGACTTTGGGGGAACTTTGTATTCATTAAAATGATCTGAACATTGTTTAAAAAAGTCAGCCAGGTAGCAGGAATTATAGGTCATGATATGAATCAGTTTTCAAAGTGTGAACCAACAGCATCAGCATTACCTGGGAACCTATTAAAAATGCAAATTCTCAGGCCCCATCCCAGATCTACTGAAGCAGAAACTCTAGGGATGGGCCCAGCATTAATTTAACAAGCTCTCCAGCTGATTTTGATAGGCAGTAAAGGTTTAGAGCCACAGGTGTGAACATTATAATTGTTACTAGATAACCTGCTAAATTGTTGGCCTAGTCTTGATCCTGCCCTTCCACTTCCCATGTAAAGAAAAGCTAGCTTTGACATTTACACTCTGACAACACCATGGGAACTCCTTCCTAAATTCAAGGACATGCCTGGTTCTTGGAGCTGGAGGGAGAAGCAGAGTCTGGAAATAGATTGATGGTGGGCATGGAAAGGCAGTTCTCATGAGTGAAGTAAGTCCTTCACTCCCTAGGAAAACATTCTATATTTTAGCAATTGTGAGAATCCTCAGCCTGTATGCTTGCTTCCCACTATATACACAAAAGGTACATGTTTATTGACATACTTCGTTCATTTAGGATTTGCAGTCAATTTCTCTATTCAGAGTAGTGATCTCTTGCAGAAAAAGACCTACACAAGTGAGGGAATCTGTGTCAGCTAACTATACTAATAAACCTAATCCCTTGTATATAAAAATAAAGCAAATATTGTCAGACTTTTGAGGAATATCAATAATGTAAAAGAAGAAACAACCTGACACAAGGAAAAACAGATCCAGAAAACAAAAGGGATATTATAAATGGTCTAATTAAGGCTGGGCGCGATGGCTCACGCCTGTAATCCCAGAACTTTGGGAGGCTGAGGCAGGCAGATCATGAGATCAGGAGTTCGAGACCATCCTGGCTAATACGGTGAAACCCTGTCTCTACTAAAAATACAAAAAATTAGCCGGGCGAGGTGGCGGGCACCTGTAGTCCCAGCCACTCGGGAGGCTGAGGCAGGAGAATGGCATGAACCCGGGAGGCGGAGCTTGCAGTGAGCCGAGATCGCGCCACTGCACTCTAACCTGGGGAACAGAGCGAGACTCCGTCTCAAAAAAAAAAAGGGAAAGAAAAATTATGAATGGGCAAAAGCTGGAAGCATTCCATTTGAAAACCAGCACAAGACAAGGATGCCCTCCTCTCACCACTCCTATTCAACATAGTATTGGAAGTTCTGGCCAGGGCAATCAGGCAAGAGGAAAAAAAAAGGGTGGGGGGTATGCAGATAGGAAGAGAGGAAATCAAATTGTCGCTGTTGCAGATGACATGATTCTATATTTAGAAATCCCCATAGTCTCAGCCCAAAACCTCCTTAAGCTGATAAGCAACTTCAGCAGACTCTCAGTATACAAAATCAATGTGCAAAAATCACAAGCATTCCTATACACCAGCAATAGACAAACAGCCAAATCATGAATGAACCCCCATTCACAGTTGGTATAAAGAGAATAAAATACCTAGGAATACAGCTAACAAGGGATGTAAAGGACCTCTTCAAGGAGAACTACAAACCACTGCTCAAGGAAATAAGAGGACACAAATAAGTAGAAAAACGTTTCATCCTCGTGGATAGGAAGAATCAGTATCATGAAAATGGCCATACTGCCCAAAGTAATTTATAGATTCAATGCTATTCTCAAACTACTATGGACATTTTTCACAGAATTAGAAAAAACTACTTTAAATTTCATAAGGAACCAAAAAAGGGCCCGTATAGCCAAGACAATCCTAAGCAAAAAGAAGAAGGCTGGAGGCATCATGCTTCTTGACTTCAAACTATACTACAAGGCTACAGTAACCAAAACAGCATGATACTAGTACCCAAACAGACATATAGACCAATGGAACAGAGACCTCAGAAATAACACCACACATCTACAACCATCTGATCTTCGACAAACCTGATAAAAACAAGCAATGGGGAAAGGATTCCCTGTTTAATAAATGGTGCTTAGAAAACTGGCTAGCCATATGCAGAAAACAAACTGGACTCCTTCCTTACACCTTATATAAAAATTAACTCAAGGTGGATTAAAGACTTAAATGTAAAACCCAAAACCACAAAAACCCTAGAAGAAAACCTAGGCAATACCATTCAGGACATAGGCATGGGCAAAGATTTAATTATGAAAACGCCAAAAGCAATTGCGACAAAGGCTAAAATTGATAAATAGGATCTAATTAAGCTAACAAGCTTCTGCATAGCAAAAGAAACTATAATCAGAGTAAACAGGCAAGCTACAAAATGGGAGAAAATTTTTTCAATCTACCCATCTGACTATGGTCTAGTATCCAGAATCTATAAGAAACTTAAATTTAAAGAAAAAAACAACCCCATCAAAAAGTGGGGAAAGGGTATGAACAGATACTTCTCACAATTTTATGCAGCCAACAAACATATGAAAAAAAGCTCAACATCACTGATCATTAGAGAAATGCAAATCAAAACTACAATGAGATACCATCTCATGCCAGTCAGAATGGCGATTATTAAAAAGTCAAGAAACAATAGATGCTGGTGGGGCTGTGGAGAAATAGGAATGCTTTTACACTGTTGGTGTATATGTGTGTATATATGTATACACGTATATATATATATAACGGAATATATATATACGTGTGTGTGTGTGTGTGTGTGTGTGTGTGTGTGTGTATAACGGAATACCATTCAGCCAATAAAAGGAATGAAATAATGGCATTCTCAGCAACCTGGATGGAACTAGAGACCATTATTCTAAGTGAAGTAACTCAGGAATGGAAAACCAAACATTGTATGTTCTCACTCATAAGTGGGAGCTTAAGCTATGAGGATGCAAAGCATAAGAATGACACAATGGACTTTGGGGACCCAGGGGGAAAGGGGGAAGGGAGTGAGGGATAAAACTGGGTTCAGTGTATACTGCTCAGGTGATGGGTGCACCAAAATCTCACACATCACTACTAAACAACTTATTCATGTAACCAAAACCACCTGTTCCCCCAAAACCTATGAAAATAAAGAACAAAATAAAAACAAAGAGGACAATAAGGAATATGAAAAAGCATTGTTAAATAAGCCAAAGAATGAAAATAAGCAGAAGAATAAAATATAGTTAAAATGCATAGATTAACAGTTTTAAGGAACATGCTCCTGACAAGTAGGGGCAGAAGGCAGTCTTTGTGTTTGGAGTTGAGAATATAATGTCTTGTTCAGAAGGGGGAGATTACAGATACTGAACTTCAACTATTTTTGTTAACACTTAAGATTAATCTTAAGAATACAAATAGGATATAGGCTGGGTGTGGTGTCTCACAGCCTGTAATCCCAGCACTTTGGGGGCCAAGGCATGTGGATCACTTGAGCCCAGGAGTTCAAGACCAGCCTGGCCAACATGATGAAACCCTGTCTCTACTAAAAATACAAAGAATAGTCGGGCACCATGCCGCATGCCTGTAATCCCAACTACTTGGGAGGCTGAGGCAGGACAATCACTTGAACCCAGGAAGCAGAGGCTCTGTGCAGAGATCACACCACTGTACTCCAGCCTGGACGACAGAGTAAGACTCGGTGTCAAAATAATAATAATAATAATAGAATATAATAACAGTAAACACTTATAGTATGTTTTATATTATAAGCACTGTTTTAAATGCTTGGTTTGAGAAAAACATTCTCAAGGCTTTAGCAAAAACTACAGAACCTGTAGAGAAAGAGCAGAAGGGATGGGGGAGGGTAGAGAAGTATGGCCGTGGCTAACATTTTTTGATAATTAATTACTATGTGCCAGGTGCCATACTAAATGTATTAAGTGGATTACCCCATTTAATCCTCACAGCAATTTCACAAATGAGGAAGTTGTGAGTTACAGGAATTCTGCTAACAAACCTTCTACTATTAATACTAACCTCTGAGCTGCCTCTTTCCTAACTACAGTAAATCCTCATTTATTTTGCTTAAAGTCACCATTTCCAAGAACCTACTGGTGATGTTTTAGGTGGATGCAAAGGTAATTGCAGTTTAGTAGCAAAGACCGCAATTACTTTTGCACCAATCTACTATCAGTGACTTCAGGCGAAATAACACCACCAATTTTACCATAGGCTAATTGATATAAATAAAGAGTTCAATTTTTACAGCCTATTTCTGATCACAAAAGCATCACCAAACTTCTAAAGACCAAAACACTTCTAATATTAAACACTGAAATAAATGTGAGCTATACATACATACATTTACAAAAGATGAATAAAACAAGATAATTACTGGAGCTTCTCCTGGCAGCTCAGGGTACAAGGCAGGAACCAGGCCTGGATGGGACACCATCCCACCACAGGGCACACTCACACACACCAACACTCACCCCAACTGGGACCATTTAGACACACCAGTGCACCTAACATGCACATCTTTGGGATATGAGAGGAAACTGGATTACCCAGAGAAAACCCCCACAAACGTGGGGACAACATGCAAACTCTGCACAGACAGAAACTCCACACAGACAGCAGCCCCAGCTGGAAATCGGTTTTTTTTCTCATCATCGTTATAACAAGACAATGTTGAATGAAATGACATTATTCAAGAACCTGCTGTATCTTTTTCCTAACAATTCCATTTGGGAGGGGAGAGAGGCTCATCATGTTTCCCCATAGCAAGGCTAATCCCATAATTACTCTCAGTTTCTTTGCTTTGCTTTCCTCCTGACACCCCTTAGGCTTTGGCTCTTTCTTTGAGGTCCAGGAAGACACAAAATATAGAATAGAGAATGTTCCACACGCAGTATGAGAATGAAGTATGACGTCTTCTGCCTTCACTTTTCATCATGCATGGATGCTCATATTAAAACTCTATAACCTTGTGACAACCAGTTTATTTGCTGTGGTAGGAATGGGGTAGATAGAGAATCTACATAATTCTGGGACTGGTACACCTAACACCTATCTAGTGTTGATTAAGCCAAAATACAGGTATACTTAATAGGTTTAGGTATATTTTAGCACTTAGCACTATGTCACAATACTAAAAAGAAAAATAGGCTTCTGGGTTTTCATGTATATTTTTAGTTTCTTGACTTTGAAAGGTAGCATTTCTGGCACTTTGAATATGCCACAGTTTATATGCTTCTCAAATATTTTTGTTCATTTTAACAAAATATAAAGGCTATCTTAAGGAAACCAATCTCATACTAAATTAAGAAAAAAGTTTTCTTATGTTTTGCAGACTTTGAATAATGAGATGAGTACAGATGAAGACAATGAATATGCAGAAGAAAAGGATAGCTACATCTGTGCAGTGTGTCTGGACGTTTATTTCAACCCTTATATGTGTTACCCTTGCCATCACATCTTCTGTGAGCCCTGCTTACGGACTCTGGCCAAAGACAATCCTTCAAGCACTCCATGCCCATTGTGTCGGACAATTATTTCTAGAGTCTTTTTCCAAACAGGTAACAATTCTCTTTCATTAACATGATTGTCTGATTATTCTACCTCTTATAGTTCTAAAGGTACTTTATAAATTAAAAAGTTACTGAAAATCACATATACCATAATTTGTTATTCTCCAGTTTATAAAACAGTACTTACCCAACTCATAAAACTGTTAGAATCATAGATGAGAATAGATCCTCATCTCGAATTCCCTACTGTACACTCAGATCCTTTCTAAAACACTGTAACTAGTAGTTGTTCAGTCTTGGACATTTCTAGTGTTAAGGAAGTTCCATTTGAAGCAGTGCTGTTGATTATTTATTCCTCATATCTGCCTTCCACTACCCCTTATTCTTTGGTTCTTGTTATTTCCTTTGGAGTCACAGAGAATAAATCCGTAAATATCTAAGTACAATTACTACATCTTTCCCCCAAACTCAAAATTTTCTCAACCTTCTTAATGTTCTTAAGGTTAAGGTCTTTCTCCTTGAACAGGAAAAAAGTCAAATTGGAGCAAGGATTTGTTGACCTAATTTTCATATAAAGATGTAATATAACACAATATTTAAAATATTAATGAAGAGATAATAATGAATGTGGAACATAGAGAATGACTAAGGGTAGAATGATAGAATTCACTACTAGGTGCTAAATATTAGGTGGGAAATTTTCTATCTTCACATTCTCCTCTCAGCCATAAAGGAGCCAAATGAGGATCTGAGTATGTACTACATTAATAGTAAAACTGAAGAGAATAAATATATGGTGCGTCTTTCTTCCCTCAAGGAAATACAAGGACCCACCTGCTACATATTTCTCTTAGGGGAAAGGGTTTAAAATGATTGCAACAGCTTTTTATTCTGGTAAAAAAAAAATTATACTCAATTATGAGTACCAAATATTGTACTACCAGAAACTAAATGGAATTATTAATATGGACAAATTTTAACTAAATCTTATTTAATAGAAACTCCTAAATATTAATATTTGCTAAGCATACATTGCTTACTATAGTGACTCACATATTGTAAAATCTATAACTCCATTTTGACAAAGTATCAGGTAAAGAAATTTTGTTTTTTGTTTATTTTTGTCTATTTTATATGCCTCTGCCATCAGGCTGCATATTCAGCTGGAGATTGGGACTTCTCAGACTAGTTTGTAACCTTTTAACAGTTCACTAGGAAAAGATGAAAATAAGATTCAAATTTACTTTGTTTCATCCATATTTCCGTGAATTTATCGAACCATCCTTGCATTTGTTGGATAAATCCCGCTTGGTCATAGTGTATCATCTTGATGTGTTGTTGGATTCCGTTTGCTAGTATTTTATTGAGGATTTTTGCATCTATTTTCATCAGGGCTATTGGACTGAAAACTTTTTTTTGTTATTGTCTGTTTTGGTATCAGAGTTATGTTGGCCTTGTAGAATGAGTTAGGAAGACTTCCCTCTGCTTCAATTTTTTGGAATGGTTTGAGAAGAATTGGTAATAATTCTTCAAAGATTCAGTAGATTTCGGCAGTGAAGGCCTCCACAGCTGGACTTTTCTATGTTGGAATATTTTTTGTTACTAATTCAATCTCATTACCTGTGATTGGTATTTGGTTTTCTACTTCCTCTTTGTTCAATCTTGGTAGGTTGTATGTGTCTAGGAATTTATACATTTCCTCTAGGTTTTGAAATTTACTGGTATATATTTTGTTGTTCATAGTAGTCTTTAATGGTCCTTTGTATTTGGTATGTGTTGTGACATCTTTTTTGTTTCTGATTTTATTTGGGTCTTTTTTTCTTAGTCTAGCTAATAGTTTGTCAATTTGGTTTATCTTTCCAAAAAACCAGCTTTTTGTTTTGTTAATTTTGTTGTTGTTTTCTTAGTCTCAATTTCATTTATTTCTACTCTGGTCTTTATTATTTCTTTCCTTCTAATTTGGGGTTTGGTTTGTTCTTGCTTTTCTGGTTTCTTGAGGTACATACATCATTAGGTCATTTATTTGAAATCCTTCTAGTGCTTTGATGTATTTATTGCTATGAACTTGCCTCTTAATACTGCTTTTGCTGTGTCCTGTAGCTTTTGGCGTATTATATTTCTATTTTCACTTGTTTCACATACTTTTTAAATTTAAATTTCTTTCTTCATACATTTGTCATTCAGGAGCATATTGTTCAATGTCCACATATTTGTATAGTTTCTAATGTTCCTCTTTTTGATGTCCAGTTTTATTCCATTGTGACCAAATAAGCTATTTGACATAACTTCAAGTTTTAAAATTTTGTTATACTTCTTTTGTTCTAACACATGGCCAACCCTAGAGAATGGTCCATGTGCTGATGAAAGGAGTGTGTAATCTACTGCTGTTGGGTGACATGTTCTGTAAATGTCTGCTAAGTCCATTGGGTCTGTGGTGCAGCTTAAATCCAATGTTTGTTAATTTTCTGTCTAGATCTGTGCAATGCTGGGAATGAGTTATTAAAGTCTCCAACTGTTATTGTATTGAGATCTATCTCTCTCTCTTTAGATCTAATAATACTTGCTTTTATCTGGGTGTTCCAGTGTTTGGATACATTTTTATAATATTTATAATTATTATATTCTCTTGCTGAACTGATTCCTTTATTGTAATTTTCCAGAAGGAGGAGGAAGAGGGAGAGGAAAAGGAAGGGAAGGGAAGGAATAATAAGAATCCTTAAGTTGCAAACTGTTCACCTTCGTTTGTATTATCTGCCATGACACACCACATGGATCTCATTTCCAAGGACATTTAGAAAGTTGTGAGTCAATTTTCCCAAGAGTTAATACAATACCACTTTTTTGGGGGGGATTTTTAACTTCTCAGAAAATACCCTGAATCATAGTTATCAGTTCTTAAGTCCTAAGAAAAAGACCAGTATTACTGTAAATGAATATGTTATTTGATAACTTCTTTCACTTTCTTCATCAATATGAATGACACTGACAAGCCCCTTCAACCAAGTGATAGTGTCATAACCATCTTACACTAAAGGGCTATAACTGGGCAGTGGGAAAAGTGGACTTTAATAAAACAGCTATGCATTGCTGCAGAAACCCTTGAGAGAATATCTAACTTGAAATGATTAACTTTTAAACATATGAAGGATTTTTAAATGCACTGTAGTCATATCAACTCTCTAGCATACATGATGAGCATGAAAATACCTTTTCTCTAACTTGTATGCTGGTTCGTGGGTGTGCAATTGGGAAGGGAGTTAGAGTTGCAGGTTTAATAGATAACTTCAGTTGCCTAGAGTAGTGTATTTTTTACATTTGTCCTTTTGTTGTTAATTGTAAACTTTGTGAATCAGTTTTCCCTTTAAATTTCTTAGGTAAAAATCAACCCAAGGCAGTGATTAAGAAAAATTGAGAAAATTTAATTCAAATCACTTGAGCCAAAGCTTAAGGCAGTTGAAGTAGGATGGAAACTGAGGAAATGCTACAGGTGATCATTGCGGGATGAAAGTAAGAGGGGATGGTTGATGGAAAGCCTAGTTTACTTCTCAGGTTAGTAACTAGCTCTGCACCAGCCTAAGAGGTTGTTCTCAGATCATGGTTTGCTTTCTATGGTTCAGATATAAAGAGTTTCTACCGTTTAAAATGAATACCATCATATATGTTCTCCAGTTGGTCTGTGTGTACTTCAAACGACTATATCCTTTTTAACTCATTAGTAAGCTTCTGAATGGTTATTTTCATATTTTTAAAATTACCTCAAGTATATAGCAATAGACTCAGGTGGTCAACCCATCACATATAGAATGAAATAGATTATGAAGTTTAAAGTTCTACAAGTGTTTTTCCTTTTCACTATCACTCCTGAGCTCAGATTACACTCTAGCTATTCTGTTGTTACACTCATAACACATTATTCTCCTTTTTTGTCCACCTGTTTATTTCTTTTAGACCACCAGTCCTCAACCTTTTTAGCATCAAGGACCGGTTTTATGGAGGACAGTTTTCCCAAGGAATTAAGCGGAGGATGGTTTCAGGATGAAACTTTTCCACCTCAGATTATTGTGCATTAGTTAGATTTTTTTTCTTTTTTTTTCTTTTTTTTTTTTTTTCCCAAGATGGAGTCTCACTTCTTCGCCCAGGCTGGAGTGCAATGGTGCCATCTCAGCTCACTGCAACCTCCACTTCCCAGGTTCAAGCAGTTCTCCTGCCTCAGCCTCCCAAGTAGCTGGGACTGCAGGTGCCTGCCACCATGCCCAGCTAATTTTTGTATTTTTAGTAGAGATGGGGTTCCACCATGTTGGCCAGGCTGGTCTTGAACTCCTGACCTCAAGTGATCCACCTGCCTCAACATCCCAAAGTGCTGGGATTACAGGCGCATTAATTAGATTCTTACAAGGAGTGTGCAACCTGTATTCCTTGCATGCGCAGTTCACAATAGGGTTCACTTCCTATGAGAATCTAATGCTGCCACTGATCTGACAGGCGGCAGAGCTCAGGCAGCAATGCTTATTTGCCTGTGGCTCACCTCCTGCTGTGTGGCCCAGTTCCTAACAGGCCATGGACTGCTACCCATTTGTGACCCAGGGGTTGGGGACCACTGTTTTAGACTACAGTTGTTTTAAGGTGAGGGACGATGTCCTATTTATCATTATATACTCTATACTGCTTGACATAGGAGCTACTCAGTAGATTTATGTTCTATGTGTAGGCATGTCAAAGTTGCACCAAATGTGAACTTGAGGAAGTTGTATTTGCTTGAGTAAAGAAAAAAATGTTGAATCTATTTTTGTCTTCACTGACTTAAAGAGGTGTGAATTGTATCAAATAGTATCAAAATACTACAGTATTCACTTGTCATTTTCTTGCCATTTTACTCAAATTAATTTCAAAATCCTATTTTCTTTTGCTTTATTCTAGAATTGAACAATGCCACAAAAACTTTCTTTACTAAAGAATATTTGAAAATAAAACAAAGCTTTCAGAAATCCAACTCTGCAAAATGGCCCCTACCAAGCTGCAGAAAAGCATTTCATCTTTTTGGAGGTAAGGAAATCTAACGCCAAAAAAAAAGTCTGGTAATTTTGTCTAAGGTCTGTTCTTAAAAGTAACTTCCTGCTGTCTCAGAAATATTAGGGGAAACATATTTCTGTATTAATCAATTTTAAATAAGGATTTTGCTAAGTATCTCCTTGCTGAAAACTACAGATGTACAAATGAAGAAAATGAAGACTATACAATAAGAGCAAATCCGAAGACTCATGACTAAATTGACTTTGCCATGCTATCACTGTTTAGTACATAGATAATGAAAATACGTCTCAAAAGTATCAGATTTGACAAAGTCATATTTATGGCAGCGGCAGCCCATCTGGAACAGCTGCTACTATGAAGCCAGCTGCAGTCGGGGAGGCACAAGCCAGGGCTGCACATTCCACAGAGCTGGCAGGAGCCAGGAACAGGTGGGAGCCCTGCCCCTTTCCAAGTTAGCAGGGTGGGAGCCCTGCCTACCCAGGCAAAGTTGCAGCCACCCAGCCATGGCTTCGGACCGAGACATCCTTGTACTCTTGGGGACTGGGGAAGCCCCCTTGCCCCTGCAGGCTCAGAAATGCCTACTCCTGCTGCCTGGCCTCTCCATGCTCCTGGCACCCACTCCAATTTCACAGCAAAGTTGAAGCCAAGCCCAGGCACTGTCGCAACCCAGCCAAGTGTGTACACTCTCAGGGCAGTCCTGACATGCCAGCCCCCTGCTGCCTAGGCCCACTCCAAACTCTGGGTGCTGACAAGCATGGGAGGAAGGCTGAGGGGAGCTGAGGGCAGCTCAGCGCAACCTGCATACACCGCTTGGCAAGAATAGCTTGGGCACTGTGGGCACCGTGGATGGCAGGTTGATGGTGGCAGGAGGCAGACAGGCTCCTGGGCAGAAAGGGGACAGGTCCCTGGTAAAGCCCCACCTTCTTCAAACCTGAAGACTGGGGGCTGGGCTGTCAGTTCTGTGGACCAGAGTGAGAACTTACAGTGCTTTTTCCAGGCCTGCCTATGGCCACCCATGAACCAGTCAGCATGCACTTCCTCCCCTCTTTAGCCCATAAAAACCCTGGACTCAGCCAGACTCAGGCAGACAGTGGGACAACCTACCTGACAATATGACCTGTGAGTCTCCTCTCCACTGAGGGCTGTAGAGACAGCGGGACAACCTGCCTGTGAATAGGAGATACCCACTGTGGGTCTCCTGAGAACTGTTCTACCACTCAGTGAAGCTCCTCTCCACCTTGCTTACCCTCCAGTTGTCTGCATACCTCATTCCTCCTGAATGTGGGACAAGAACTCAGGACCTGCTGAGTGGCAGGACTAAAAGAACTGTAACACAATAAGGGCTGAAACACACCCCCGCCCCATGCTCGCCACATTGACGGTGACAAGACAAGAAGAGCTGCAGCCCTTTGAGGAGCCCAGATGTAGAGATCCCTGAGCCAGGGCTGTGACACCCTCCTTGGGGTTCTGCAGTTCCTGGAGTCTCCAAGCTTCCAGGCACCACTGCATTTACCTCGTCCTGACTCGGGTGCCCACAGCAGAAGCCGCATGAAGTATATCTCATCCAGCCACAGCCACACACAGAGCCAACACCTGGAGCTCCCTGCCCCGCCACAGCAGCCAGCATGCCTGGCTGTGCACAGTGGCTGGACCTCACGCTTGCTCAACCACACACCCCTTGCCATTCTGCACCTGGCTTGCACTTGGCAGATGTGGGATCTGAGCCAGTAGTAAGAGCCAAGCACAGCCTGCCAGGCCAAGTGGGTTGAACTGGCCCAGCAGGCACAAGCAGTACTCAGGCAGAAGATGCCGTCAGCTACAGAGGTTTCTGGCTGGTGAAGTGACACCCTAGGGATCCTGTGACAATAGTTAACAAAGGCACCAGTACTCTGTATAAAGATTCCTAATAATGCGTTCATTAGCAGAAGCTCTATTTATTTAGTTTTAATATTTTATAGTTGTCCCACAAGTTTAAAACAAATAGAAAGTAACAGAGCCTTGGTGTCAGGGTGTCTTAGAGATGTGCAGTGGTCAAGGAATACCAATTTCTGGCTTTAGGTCTAAGTTATCAACATGACTTCAGCGATATCATAGGATCTCTGTTTTGATCTGTAAAATAGGAATAATTATGTCTTCCTCACCTAACTAATATAGTAGTAAAGATTAAATGGGCTAATGTGAAAGTACATTGTAAATTATAACTAATTGGAATATAAAAATATAAGGAATGAAGGTAATGCAATATCTAATACCTTTTTCTGCTTTGGGAATTTGTTACTATATGAACATACAATATGGACATAAAATATAATTTCATCTTTTATGAAACCGTAGTTTATCAAAGCATGAACTACTGTGCAGTTTTCGTTATTTAACAATTATGACATTATGGGACCTGGTAGAAAAGTCCAGATATGAGGAACTGTGATCTTCAGGGAACAGGAGGAACTTCTGCATAAGACCAACAAAATCAGTACAGCTACTACCTACACCAAAAGGAGGTTGGTCTTCTGCGTAAGACCAACAAGATCAGTACAGTACTACCTACACCAAAAGGAGATAGAAGCAGAGCCCCTATGATTGTGGCAAAAGAAAAATTGGTGCATGAAATTGGTACTCTCAAAGAAAGTAACATAAGAATATAACTTTACACAGTGATTTGAATGAAGAAAATAGTTTAAGGACATTATATAAGCACATACTACTTTATAAAGTGGTCAGTAACTGTAAAAATTTAATATCTAGAGATTTGGTATAGATAGGTTTTATTTTTATTTTTTACTCATTTATTTTATTTTTTTGAGACAAAGTCTGGCTCTATCGCCCAGGCTAGAGTGTAGTGGCGCAATCTCAGCTCACTACAACCTCTGCCTCCTGGGTTCAAGCAGTTCTTCTGCCTCAGCCTCCCAAGTAGCTGGGATTACAGGTGCGTGCTACCATGCCAAGCTTTTTAGTAGAGAAGGAGTTTCGTCATGTTGGCCAGGCTGGTCTTGAATAATGAATGACCTCAGGTGATCCACCCGCCTTGGCCTCCCAAAAGTGCTGGGATTATAGGCATGAGCCACTGTTCCTGGCCATAGATAGGTTTTAATAGGTCACATTTAGCCCCCAAAATATGAAATCAAATGTAAGAAATCGAGTCTTAAAGGATTTCATACCAAAGAAAAGTAAGTTTATTATTTTAAGAGTGTTCTTCAAAACAGTCCCTTGTATTCTACCTTCTATGCTATACCCAAAGTTCTAAAAGAATGGAGTACCTTCTGGATAACTCTACACTTTCCCTTGTCTTTTTGTATTCTGAGGTAGTACAGAAGCTATAATTTAAAGCAGTTGCTTCCTTGTGATTTCTTCTTGTCTTCCCCATAGGAGTTCCAAATAACTTAATTTTTTAAGTGTGTGTTTATGAAGGAGGTTCAAAGTAGCATTATTACACCACCCAACATAAGAAATATATATATTCTATCAGGAGCTCAGCTGAGCTGGGAAAGAGCTGAGTTATCAGGTGTCTGGAGTAGCCGATTAAAGTATCAAGCCAAAAATGAAGGAGTTAAGCCTTTAATCATTTACTGCAATAGTATAACCAAGAGTCTAAAACCAGAGGAAATGCTGTCTCCTCCTGTTCAATTATCTCATGCAACAGTGCACACTGGTCCAGGGCCACATAGAGCAGGGCAGAAGTAAGGATTCACTCACTGTTGAGAATGTCCCAAACAAAAGGCTCCAGCAGTTTTTCAGACCCTGAGGTCAGGAGGATTGGCAAAGAGGAAAGGCTAGGAGTAGGAAAGCAATGGGCACTGAGTCAGAGTGGAGAAAAGTGTTTCCCCCTCCAACCTCCATAAGAAAGCCTTTGTAGAGACACAGAAGGACCTCTGCCCAAGCCGTCAGATAGATATAAGTAGTAACAAAGGTGCTGGGAATATGAATATAAATACGTAAAAGTGTATATGCAGCCAGGGGAGCCTGAGAACTTGACTGCAGCTCCCTTCAGAGATTGTAATGCACTGGTTGTACAACAAATCTGGCTTTTTCCCATGAATCCTGCCAGATAAAGCCTTTGTAATGGTCTGTTGAGGCCTGAAAAAAAATCGCACATAGGATTTTAATCAGGAACTGTACTCCTCAATTACCAATATTATTGAAGCACCTTCTGTAGTTCTTCTTTGTTTACCCTGATTCCCCTGAATTTTGTATTTATCATTTCTTTGTATAAGTATACATATGTATACTTAATCATGTTACTTAATTTTGCTTGTCTTTTAACTTTTATAATGGTAGCAATGTATATATTCTGCTTTGCTTTGTCATTCAATATTTTTCTCAAATCCATTTCAGTAAGTGTGGCCACATTCTTTTTACTACTACACTGTAGTCAATTATGTGAAAATGCCCCAACCCAACTTATCCATTCTCTTGTTGATGAACAATTGAGTGGTCCAATTTTTATTATAAACAGTGTTTCTATAAACACTCTTGTGATGTCTCCTGGAACATAAGAGTTACTCTAGAATAAATGCCAGGTAGAAACTGGCTGGGTCATAGGAAAAGCACATCTTTAACTTCATAACCTACCCAAAACCGTTTTCCTAAATGGCTGTGATGATTTATCACCAGCTTTGTCTACCACATTTGGTATTTTCAGTCTTTTAGATTTTACTGATTTGATAGGTAGAAAATGATATCTCATTGGGGTTTTAATTTCCATTACTGTGATTACTGATGGGGGTTGAACATATCTTTATATGTGTATTGATCATTAAATTTCTTCATCTGTGAAATGCTTTTTTACGATTTTCTGTTGGTTGTATTTTTTTGTTGTTTAAGAATGTTAAAATATTTTCTAGTGACTTTTTTTCTGTTGG
Source organism: Homo sapiens (assembly GCF_000001405.40). Classification (NCBI taxonomy): domain Eukaryota; kingdom Metazoa; phylum Chordata; class Mammalia; order Primates; family Hominidae; genus Homo; species Homo sapiens. The sequence continues at coordinate 64,335,254 of NC_000005.10, forward strand.
TTATATGAATGGCAGTTATTGTCTCCCAGTCTGTGGGTTCTTTTTACTTTGATATATTTTAATGAATTGTAGTTCTTCAATTTCTTCATCTTTCTGGTGTGTACTTGCTTAAGAAATTCTTCTCTTTCCCCAAGGTCATAAAGATATTTTCTTATGTATTTTTCAAATAATTTGAAAGATCTTTGAAACTGATTTGTGTTAATTTTTTTTTTATTGATTTACTTTCTTTGTTGTAGGTAGAGACCCAGTTTCTTTGGATTTTTTTCCTACCACCATTTGTTGAAAATAATGTATCATTTCCTCACTGATCTACAGTACTAATCTGTCATATTTTAATTTCCACACTTGGGTCTGTTTTGAGGTCTTTGAGTCCATTGGTATAATTTTTTATTCCTATAGCAATACCATACTGTTTCAGTCACTAAAAACTTAGTAAGTTTTGATATCCCCCCTTCCAATTTGTTTTGCTGCAAGAGTGTCTTGGCCATTTTTTGGCCCTTTGCTCTTCCATATAAATTTTTAAATCACCTGGTCAAGCTGCATGAAAAACTATGTTCTACTTGGGAAATGGGGTCCTATTAAATGTATAAATCAATTTGGGGAGTATTGATACCTTAGAGTAAAAGTACTTCTATCAGTGTTGTTTATCTCTTCATTTGTTTAGATCTCCTTTGATGTCCTATAATAAAGTTTTATAATGTTTTTATAAATATCTCGCACATCTTTTGGCTAGATTTATTCCCATGTACTTGCTATGTTGTCCTCTTCTCTCCTTTTTTGAAACTTCAGTGCAGAAAAATTGTCCTAGTCACACTTAATTTATGGCATACCATCATCACTGTTCCACATACTCATTTGTTTTCTTTTTATCCCCATATCCTTCTTTCTACTTCACTCTCATCCCATAGCCAACCATTATATTGGGTTTACTTAATGTGTGTCATTTTGTGTTCTTATAGAATGTATATTGTTTCTGCACATATATTTTTAATTTGTGAAAATGGTCTTATATATTGCATTGTTTCTCTTTCACCTAGCACTGCCCTTTAGATCCATCCAAGTGGTTATGCGTACCTCTAATCTGTGACTTCTAATTAATGCTCTACTAAGGTGTGCATTTACCATATTTTGTCTATCTATTCACTTTCTAGAATACTTCCAACTCTCTGCCACAATAAAAACACTCTAATGAATATCCTACTGTGGGCTGTGAATATCTATTTGGTATATAGGCTCCAAAGCAGAATGTCTGGGTCATAGGATATGAGTATGCTTGACTAAATATTGCCAACAGTTCTCCCAAATGACTAGCCTAGACACCTATTATCAGTGTGTAAGGTTGGGAAAAATTAGCACTATGGAAAATGTTGACAGGGAATGAGAATTAGAAACCCTCATTTTAATTTACATTCATCTGATAATAGTTTAAGGTCATTTTAAATATTAGCCTTTCAGATGCCTCTTTTGTAGTTACTTTGCTTATTTTACTATGGGGGTTTCTGCCCTTATTGGTTTTATAAAATTTCTTTTATATTCTAGATATTAATTTTTTATTTACTTTAGACATTACAAATTTCTTCTGCCATTTTTATCATCTACATATTGTTTGTCCATGGTATCTTTCATTGTAAGGAATTCTTAACTTTGATATAATTAAATGTTTTTCGCTTTGTGTCTTAAATTTTTATTTAGGTTCTTCCCTATTCCCAGACCACAGAGGTTTTCACTTTGATTTTCTTTTTTTGTTGTTGTTTTTTTTTTGTTTTTGTTTTTGTTTTTGTTTTTTTTGAGACAACGTCTCACTCTGTTACCCAGGCTGGAGTGCAGTGGTATGATCGGCAGCCTCAACCTTCCAATTCAGGCAATTCTCCCACCTCAGACTCCTGAGTAGCTGGGACTACAGGAGCACACCACCATGCCTGGCTGATTTTGTTTTTGTAGACACAGGCTCTCACTATGTTGCCTAGGCTGGTCTTGAACTCCTAGCTCAAGCAATCCTCCTTCCTCGGCCTCCCAAAGTGCTAGGATTACAGGCATGAGCCACCCTGCCAAGCCTCGCTTAGATGTTTTAAATATTTATTTTGTAGTTTTACTTTTTCGGTCTTTATCTAGAATCTTCCCCTTATATTTTGTTAAAGGTTCAACATCTGTCTTTTTTCATATAATAGCCTACTTTTCTGAATATTATACAATCTTGCTGAGATTTTTATATGGTTTCCTATTGTTGTCTAGAAATATATTTTTTTGCAATCTTTTTTATTTTTTATTATACTTTAAGTTTTAGGGTACATGTGCACAATGTGCAGGTTAGTTACATAAGTATACATGTGCCGTGCTGGTGTGCTGCACCCATTAACTCATCATTTAGCATTAGATATATCTCTTAATGCTATCCCTCCACCCTCCCCCCACCCCACAACAGTCCCCAGAGTGTGATGTTCCCCTTTCTGTGTCCATGTGTTCTCATTGTTCAATTCCCACCTATGAGTGAGAACATGCGGTGTTTGGTTTTTTGTCCTTGCGATAGTTTACTGAGAATGATGATTTCCAGTTTCATCCATGTCCCTACAAAGGACATGAACTCATCTCTTTTATGGCTGCATAGTATTCCATGGTGTATATGTGCCACATTTTCTTAATCCAATCTATCATTGTTGGACATTTGGGTTGGTTCCAAGTCTTTGCTATTGTGAATAGTGCTGCAATAAACATACGTATGCATGTGTCTTTATAGCAGCATGATTTATAGTCCTTTGGGTATATACCCAGTAATGGGATGGCTGGGTCAAATGGTATTTCTAGTTCTAGATCCCTGAGGAATCGCCACACTGACTTCCACAATGGTTGAAATATATTGATATTGGTATGTTGTTATCATATTTAACAACCTTACGAAATTGTCTTATTAAGTCTAATTATTTATAAGGTTTTTGTGGCTTTCAGTGAAGACAATATTAAATAAGGACAATTTTATATCTTTCAATTTAATGCATATGCTTTTTTCTCTTTGCACTTACCAGACTTTCTGAGCTAGGACTTCTATTTGATTTTGAACGGAAAAAGTAATCATAGCATCCTGATTTTAAAAGGAATGCTTTTGGCTGGGCGCAGTGGCTCATGCCTGTAATCCCAACACTTTGGGAGGCCGAGGCAGGCGGATCACGAGGTCAGGAGATCGAGACCATCCTGGCTAACACGGTGAAACCCCGTCTCTACTAAAAATACAAAAAAATTAGCCTGGCGTGGTGGCGGGTGCCTGTAGTCCCAGCTACTCAGGAGTCTGAGGCAGGAGAATGGCGTGAATCCGGGAGGCAGAGCTTGCAGTGAGTGGAGATCGCGCCACTGCACTCCAGCCTGAGCAACAAGGCGAGACTCCATCTCAAAAAAAAAAAAAAAAGTAATGCTTTTAATATTTACAAATAGGTATAATTGTTGCTCTGTATTCTTGGTAAGTACCCTTCATCAGGTTTTAAGAATGTTCTCTCATCTGTTCCTAATTTCTAATGCCTGTAGTTTTTCTTAAATGGAGTTTAATTTTGTGGATGTTTTTTCAGCATTTCTTGAAATTATCATACGGCTTTACTTCCTCAATTTGTTAATGCACTGAATCATATTAATAGATTGTAATTGATGTTCTAATGTTAGGACATTAGAACACTGCTAGATTTGGTTTGCTAATATTTTGTCTCAGAATTTTACTTATTTATGAGTAAAATTGTATTTATTTTTTATACTGTGTTTTGTCAATTTCTTCCTAAGTTTATATATCTTTTTGCTGAGAATTTTTTTTGTGTCAAATTTGTTAGCCTTTGTTTATAATATTTTAATCTGTCTTGTATATCTAGTTATGCTCTTTGAATTCTGATTATCTACTCATTTTTCTGTGATGTTGCTGAGTATTTGTCAATTTTATTATTCCATTTAAATTACCAAATTTGAGAATTGTCTATTGTATCTTTGTTTTTATACATTCATTTCTGTTCTTTATTAAATCCTTTCTGTTACTGTCTTTGGATTTATTTTGTTATTTTTATACCATATTAAGGTGACTTTCTAAGTCAGTTTGCATCCTTTTTACTTTCTTTGAATTATTACTTAAGGCTATAAATTTCCCTTCATCACTTGTAGTATTTTTTATTCTTCATTTCTAATTATTTTTTATAATAAACCACACAATCACATACTGGTTGGATCATCTTGATTAAAAATAACAATTGTACAAAATCAGGTTTGTATTGGAAAATTAGCACCTGTGATTTCAAGTTATACCACACTATTTCATATAAGATGCCATCTATGCAACATTAATAGGTTCCCTAAGAAATTTACTTCTCAGCTTGGTTTTCATGGTTGGTAGATGGAAGTAAGGTGGAAAGGGGGATCTTATGGGAAAAAAATAGACATTCCCATATACGCCTTTGGCTTCACAAAATTAGTGGGTTTTTTTTTTTCACACACACACAAAATTGCGAAGACAAACAGTTACAGATTTTCCAGCCAAAGAAGCTTGTATAAAAGCTTGAACTCAGGCATAAAACTAGCTAATACTTGTCCTTTTCACCCTATGAAGTGTCTTACATAATCAATAAGTAAGCAGACGTTTTAAATTTTTTTCTTCTTACAAATACATATTTCATGTATTAACACATAAAATGGGTAATAAGAAAAGGAATGGAAATAATCTAGATAAATGTGAGCTATCACTCTTTAATCTCTTATCAGATACTAGTTGCATGGATGACTCTGTCAATTGTAATTCCTTTCCCTGAAATACCTACCATTTTCAGGCATTTAATCCTCAGTTTATTTGAACAGTATCCAACTGATATGGTTTCCATCTATGCTATGTTAATTTATTCCCTGAAAAACCATTCATATATATAATTACATGCATATGTATACACACATACACACACAAAGCAATGTAGCAAAGAGGTTTCACTAAAACATTTTTGCAAAAAGTTCTACATTGTTGAATTTCTTTTCTAAACATACTCAAGTCAAAGGAATTTTTAACAAGAATTAAAAATTCCATGTTTTAATTTTACTCACTGTAACAAAAACATGCAGCTGAAATGTAGGTGTCTGATATATATTTATGACAATCCATCCATTTTTCATGAAAGCCTGGAGAATTATTTTATTTGGTCATTAGTTTGCCTGAAGGTGTTAGATTGGTGCTGCAAGTTTAAACATGCTCAGTATAAATCAAAGAACTCCACATGGAAAAGAATGATTATCTCTAATAGAAAACAAAACAGTACATGCTCACACAGCATGAGTGTGAATATAACGCAGAAATCCACCTTCTCAGAAAGTTGGAGGTAAGTCAGAGAAAATTTAAAATATGCTGTAGACATGGGACTGCCTTGGAGCTGAAAGGTACATTAACCCTTACATTTCCTCTGAAACTGGAACAATTTTGTTCACAAGATAATTTTTTGAAAAGGCCTGCAAATTCTGAACTTGTTCTTTTTAGCAGAATCAGGTTCTATTTTTGTTACACAGTTTACTTATGAGTTTAGAATTTCAGAAGCCTTTTGCTTCTATATTAAGTTCATGACCCAAATGACTTATAATGCAAATTGTACATTTTGTTCAACTATCACCACTTCATAACTTATTTTAAAAATTATGAGCAGTGTTTCATTCTCTCCTTTCCTCCCTCCCTCTTCCTTTACCTCCTTCCCTCTCCCTTTACCTACTCTTTCCCTCTGACTCTTCCTTTTGCACACACACTCACAATTTTTAGTCTTTTCATTATTTCACATATATAGAACTTGCTTGTTAATTCCATATGAAATTGGATGTTGGTGGGATATGATGCCTTCATTTTAAAACACTTGCATTTATAAAAGTGCACATGTATGCTTGTGCATTAAAAATTCAACCAGTAACCACAAGACTTCTGAAATTAGCTCAAGAAATAAATTCTCCTGGTGTGAAAGCGTGGTGGCCACATAGTCCTGACCTTGGCCCAGAGCTCACAATTTTAATAATGTGTCCCAAAATAATGCTTTACCTAACTACCCTAAGGAATAAATGACACCAAGTAAAAGTGTTCAAAGATATAATAAGATGACTGATACTGGATTTTTTTATCCTTTGAGAAGAAAGGGCAGAAAGGAAGTGAAGGAGCTCAGCATAGCTCTTAACTCAAACTGGACTGTTGATATCAATAAATGGTGTCATTTAATTAAAAGAAAAGATTTCAGAAATGTTCAAGTGTTCTAAAGTTTGATCACTGTGTGACTACCTTGTTGGGGCCATGGGCAATGTATGTACTCATTGTGAATCATTCTGGGAAACTGTGGTCAGTCTGGTATAGAATATGAAGATTGAGTATGTAGGCCTTAAGTGAGATGATGGAAAACCTACTCCATTTCTGCGAGACCTCATGGTAGGTTTAGATTTATCCTATTCTACAATCATGAAGAGTAGAGTACTCTTGGGGGTGATGGTGGATACTCACTCCTGGGACACAGAGGTGAGCAAGGAGTACAAAGGTATCCTGAGGATGAATCCATGTCAGTGCAATGGCTGCAGGTTATTCTTGATGTTGTGTCATACCTTTTATACCAAATGATCAAAAATGTTATGAAAAGTTATAGCAGATCTGATCTATACAACATTTGAGACACAGTAGCAAAAGGTAGCTCAGGGCTGTCCTCTTCTGCTTCAACACTAGAAGAGTAGAAATCTCATTTGATCAGCAGCAGCAAAGATGGAAATGGCAGATCAGGAGGCCAGATTAGAGGGATGAATGTGACCTGATTCTGAGTACAACGAGAAAACAACCACAGAACCCTGAGAAAGAGCAGGGACAGATATAAGTCAAGTATATTACTTCTGGCAACAACAGGAGTGGGAATTTCTGCTTCTGAGTAGGATATAGTAAGTGGTGGCAAGCGATCACTCTCAGTGGCAATAACTGGGGGGAAATTATAAGTTACAAAAATCACATTTACAAACAAATTTGAGATATATGGAATTGAAGACTAGGTGAATTAAAACTCCAGTATGATCAGAGCCCCCTAAGAAAGCTAATATTGCCAGCTCTTTGCTTTACTGGAAGTATTTTCTGAGTCTGAGGATTAGTCTAGCCATGGGCAGAGGACTCTATGAAGGGGAATAGAAATCAGCAGAAGTTTTGATAACCATAGAGACTGACATGTCGGATTGGAAGAGGAGTCCAAACATATAGCCGATTTTCTACATGAGACATTTGCTGAGAGCTTTGGGAGTAAAAAAGGCTTAAAAAGTTGGCTAAAAAAGACAGAATGAAATCTCTTGTAGTCTCAGAGTTTAGGAATCAAGTTATCCTACAGGGAGGGACCTATAACAGATACATAATAAGAATCCTCCTTAAGATATATCTCATATTTTAAACCTATATAGGATGGATGGCTAAAGAGAAACATCCACAACCTCTGAAAAGCACAGCTTTCAGATTAGAAGAGCTAGGGACCTTATAAACTGTTAAGCAAAAAATGCAGAGAACCATGCTGTAGTAGGGAGTCCAGACCTGAAAAACAACACACTAAACACTAAAAATTTTCTGCAGTCCCATTGTGAACTCCGTAGTGCTTTGGAGATAAAGTCCCATTAAAGAAATGAGGCAGCAATAAACACAGCGTAGGTCATGTGTCCTTAAGACGTTTGAAATTAGATTGAGTATAATGAAAGTACAACCTAACTTCAAACCCAACCCTGCTTATTAATTGTTAGATTGAGGGGATGAGTCTCTCACTCTGTCTGCCTGACAAAAGAAAGGTCCAGTCCTCTCTGGAGGGAAATATCAACTTCAGTCTCCATGGATCTTTCATACAATAAAAAATTATGATATATGCAAAAGGTTAGGAAAATGTGACCACTCATCAAAAAAGAAAGTACAAAATAGAAACACATCTCCTCTTTGATCTAGATGTTGGGGTTAGCAGACTTTAAAATATCCATTAGGAAAAAAGTGTTAATGAAAATAGAGAAAAAGAATAGATAAAAAGGTAAAAAACTGCCAATAGAAAATAGAAGCTATAAAAAAAGAATAAAACAGTCTGGGACTACAAAGTGCAATAGCTGAATTAAGAACATATGATATGGCTTTAACAGCAGACTATGTGGGATATAATCTGTTGAATATGTGTAATTGGAGACCCTGAAGGAACAAGAAGGGAATAGAAAAATATAGCTGAAGAGCTAATTGTCAAGAATTTTCCAAAACTGAAGACAGACATCAGTACCTATTGATAAATCTCAGCATAGCCTAATTAGGATAAATAGAAAGAAAACCATATCTAGAGACATCATCTAGAGCAGCCAAACTGCTGAAACCCAAATATAAAGAAAAAAATCTTAAAAACATCTAGAAAAAAAAGTTACCTTCCAAGAAGCAAGGATGACTGACTTGAACAGGAACACCACAGGACCAAATGGTGGAATAACATCTTTAATGTGCTCATGGAACATTAAACATGCTGTTTAATGGCTTACTGCTAACCAAGAATTCTTTATCCAGCAAAAATATCCTTAAAAAATGAAGGTGAAATAAAGACATTTCAGGTATCCAGTAGACCTACACTACAAGAAAAACTAAAGGTAGCTCTTTAGGGCAAAAGGATCCTAGCTGGAAGCACAGAACTTTAGCAAGGAAGGTCTACTGGATACCTGAAATGTCTTTATTTCACCTTCATTTTTTAAGGATATTTTCCAAAACTGAAGACAGACATCAGTACCTATTGATAAATCTCAGCATAGCCTAATTAGGATAAATAGAAAGAAAACCATATCTAGAGACATCATCTAGAGCAGCCAAACTGCTGAAACCCAAATATAAAGAAAAAAATCTTAAAAACATCTAGAAAATAAAAAATGTAAACATTAAAAATTCATACTAAAATAGATTGGCAGATGGGTTAAGAAAAACAAGAACCAATTATATGTTGTTTATAAGAGATGGCATTTAAATATAAAGGCACAGAAAGGTTGGAAGTATAGAAAATTATATATATGTAAACAGTAATCAAAAGAAAGCAGCTGTGGCTATGTTAATGTAAAAAATTAGACTTTAAGTGAACAGGAATTATTGGAGAAAAAAGGAACATTTCATGGCAATAAAAGAGGCAATTCCATAGGAAAACATAAAACCATAAATTTGTATGCAACTTAAAGTTTCAAAATATATGAAACAAAGGTTGATAGAATTAAAACAAGAAATAGAAATAAATCTACTATCACACTTGGAGATTTCAACACATCTATCTCAGGAACTGCTAGAAAAAAAAACACACACAATGATGGTGTACAGGATCCTTCACCTGTGAAAAATAGTGGCTAATCTGAAAGTTTGGGGCTTGTGTTATTAGCAGCGGTCTCTGTGTTCAAAGTCAGTGCTTTGGAGTGGAATTGCCTATTCTTTTCCCCTTCACTTCTACTTCCTGTACTGTAGCACAGTGGTTGCCTTTCACTTTCTGAACCCAGGAAAGGCCTCTTTTAGCCAATTCACTGTTCTCATTCTCTTCTGCTTGTTACAGGTTAAATAATAGTAACCTGTCATACATTTCTGAATTCTGCTTCATCTGTGCAGCTGAGTTGATTGAATAAATGGACTGAGACTTCCAGTCTGTAGGCTTAGTTCTGTGTCTTTATTTATATGGATCCCAAGATGAAGAGTAGAGAAGGGAACAAGAAGCCCCTCCTTCTTCAAGCCAGTTTACCCGTAAGCCTTGTGTTTGGGGGATTACTAGTGATTGCCTATATTAATAAAATCAGTGTTTTGTTTCTCATTTGGCTAGTGATCCATTCATCAGAATCTAAATAATGCAATTTGCAAGGTATAACTTAAAAATGTATAGCCCCTAAAGGGCTTCTAGCCCACCTCATCATAGAGAATTATCCACCTGAGTTTATGCACCTCCAACACTCTTCTAATTTAGGAAAGCAAGGAGAGCTTTGAAATCGGGGATCCCATACTGCCCAACTCCAGGAAGCACCTTTGGCTTACTTATATATGAAGGGTGCCCTCTGGAGCTCCGCAGTGCACAGCAGAAGTGTCCGTATATGGCACTCTATGTCTTATCCTCTTTCCTAATAAATGGTTTCTACTTAGTTTTGGCTTCTTGATCCTGAGGAATGCCTCTCCACTGGGAAAGATAACTATCCATAGGGGTATTTCTTGGTCTCTGGCATAACTTTATCAGGAAATACCATAATAACCCCAACACTGATATAAGAGAAAAATAATGGAGAGATACCCAGTAAATAAAATATGTTTAAAATGTATTAATTAAAGATGGATTGAAGAGATGCAGTCTATAGTCTAAGCAATTTCTTAGTGAAATTTTCCACAATGTTCAGATCTAAATGATTTGAAAGCTAGGATTTATCTTTAAAGGCTGGGCCACTTCCAATCAACCACACTCACAGCACCTGTCATGACAGATGTAAAAAGGAACACATTATAAACAATTTGCTGTTCTTCATGTAAGTTAAGGATTGGATAATTATCTAATATAACTCACATTACTGACCAAAACCTACTATTATGTCTGAGCCATTATTCTGAATACATGTAAATCTTACAAATTTATTTTAGATCCAAAAAAATCCTTAAATTTGGAAGGAATTTTTGTTCTGATTTTTTATGTGTGTGAAGTACAATTATATTGGCAGTTAAAATATTTTTCAAAATGACATAAAATAACCAGCTTCTAGGAAATTACAGTTTGCAATCATTGATTTTTTTTTAGGGAAAGTAAAATTTGAATTTCTCAGATTAATTTCAAATCAATCAAATGAGCATTTAGTTTGATGATACTAATAAAGAGGTAAAGAACTCCAGGAGAGATAACCATCAGCATTCATAATCTTAATCTAAAATTTCAGGAATTGGGCTTCCCAAAATAGAGCAACTACAAAATAAGACCATTATTATGAAACAGAACTTTTCATCTTATCTTGGAAAATTCCAAGGTCCTCAACTCACATTGGCAGATGGAAAAAAAATATTCATGACATGAGGGAAGATAAGAGCTAAGGTTTGGTTTGTTTTTTTTTGAAACAAAAACAATTCCGGCTACTAGTTTCTATTCTTCTTTTTTTCTTTTCTTCTTTTTTTTTTTTTTTTTTTTTTTTTTTCTGAGAGAGTTTTGCTCTTGTCACCCAGGCTGTAGTGCAGTAGCACAATCTCGGCTCACTGCAACCTCCACCTCCCAGGTTCAAGTAATTCTCCTGCCTCAGGCTCCCAAGTAGCTGGGATTACAGGTGCCTGCCACCATGCCCAGCTAATCTTTGTATTTCTAGTAGAGACGGGGTTTCATCATGTTGGCCAGGCTGGTCTCAACGTCCTGACCTCAAGTGATCCACCCGCCTCGGCCTCCCAAAGTGCTGGGATTACAAGCATGAGCCACTGTCCCTGGCCTAGTTTCTGTTCTTTCATATTTACGACCTTGACTAAGTCCCAATGCCCAGGCCATATCCCAGACCAATTAATTCAGTATCTCTGGAGATGGGTCTCAAACATCAGTATTATTTAAAGCTCCCCAGATGATAACTATGTGCATCCAAAAAGTCAAGTTTATGATTACACTGCTCTAAAAGATGATAGGACTTGGGAACGTAAGAATAGAATTGTGGACTCAGAATGGAAAGGTACCTTGAAAGATTATTTTGTTTATTCTCTGACTTGTTTATTTTCTGCATATCTGAACTATGATGAAGAATGAATTAATCAGAAGAAATGCAATGTTATAAATAAAAGAGACGAACAGTGTTTGCCTTATACCGAAATAAAGTTAACTCTGGCATATAATGATACTTTAATAGTGCATGGCTATTGTCCATTTGTTTTGTATAGCATATGCAAGTTTGGTTGGAAACTACAGTGCAAATTTAAGAAATCTAAGTAATTGTACAAACTGGAGTTTAGCCAATATGCTGAGAACAACAGCACCCTGGGGAAATCACCATGGGATTTGTGAGACCACAAAATGTTTATAGTACTTCAATACTGTATTCAAGGCATTAAATTTATTTGCCTTTTTTCCAGTCTATAAAAAATTACATTCAAAAAAATCTGTAAAACAAGAGGAGTGGTTTAAAATGGATATCAAGGTAGTCCCAGAAGAAGAAAAGAAATTCCAAAAAGTAAGGTTACAACTATCTGGAGAAGAGGGAAGGGGCAGTTCCAACTTCTTTCTTTTAGGGACTTGAGGAGTATGTTAATGATCAGAAGACAAGCTTAAAAGTGTCAGACCTTTTTTGCCAGCTGGTGGAGCTACTACCATGATTTACCATCCCATAACTGTAGCTGCATTTTTCATTGTTGCAGTGCACATGAAGTAGGACATATTTATTATGACTTAAAACAGATTAATATTAAATGAGATATATACTCATAAATTTCAGCAGCTATTAGAGCATTCATTAAAATAGGATAATATGAAATGTTTTAATATTTACAGATTTATAATTTGCAGTTAAAACCTTGCAAACAACTGAGCAGTTTAGAAGTTGAAATCTTTGCCTTTACGAGTGTCAGGACTGTGTTATTAACAAAAGCAGCTTCAAATGTTATTCACTCAAAAATAAAGTGTTGCAGAAAAACTTCATAACTATGCTGGCAATGAAGTGGTTTTTGTTGGCAAAATCTTACTCTACATAAATGTTTTAGCTTTGCTAAGATTACATTGTAATAATTCAAGATTTTGTTGAGAAATAATAGATACCACTATTTTGTGAACAAGATCATTATTTTGTTAATAATAAAGGTGCTACTCCATTATAGTATCACTTAAAATATGTATCTTATGCATTTCTGGTGCACTGAAATATTGTATAGGTAGCTGGATATAATGCAAGGTTATATATAAATAATAGATTTTATAACATAAATCTAAAAATATTTCATTTTGTTCTATTAGGTTTTTCTTCAATACTACATATAAATATCCTTTTTTTCTAATAGCAAAGAGAGAAAACAATAATACATGCCACAGGTACTGTGTGTTCTTTCGTTACTTTTTTCTGGCCTGAGAAAATGAAAAGCTATAGGATAATTTCTAAAAACATTTCAAAGAGAACTTAGAATTTCAATGACTTGAAAAAGCCTTGAGTTCACTGTGAAACTTATTCTTTCAAGTTATTTTATTCTGCATTCCTTAGAGTCCTAAGAATTCACACATAAAGGATAGGTTAATATTCACTTTTAAAAGAGATTATACAAACAACTGGTGGCCATATAGGAGATTTTTCAAGCTGAATCTGATAATACAACTTCCTTTCAAATGAGCACTGATTTTGTTGGAAACACAAGCAGCAGAGCTTTGAAAAGATAAGACATAGTTGAAGCAATAGCGATTTTTTTTAATCCTCAAGAGAAAATCTCTCAACCTGATAAAATTTTTTTCTAAATTGAATTGTCATTAAATTAATGGAGTCTGATGTTTCTGAACAATATTTCCTGTTGGGATGATATTTAAAATATTAAGTACTAGTAACAAAATCTATATGTAAGTCTAAAATTATAAAACAGATTTTTTAGTTCTCTAAATGACTATTTATAAAACTGATTACCAAATGATATAACTTATTATTCAGCATGTCAAGGAATTTTTACTTGTAGATTTAGAAAGTATAGCATTATTTTGATATTAATATTGCTACTTAAATGATACCTTGTCTGAGACATGATCTAACAAGCGAGGTTCATCCAATAAGCTTAAGATTTTAACTACCTGTGAGTCATTTTCTCCTTAATTCCTTGTTTTGTTTAAAAAAGATTGCTAAATAAGTAACCTCTAAAGTGTTTCCTAAAAGGACACCTGTTGGTCAATTCTAACCCAACACTGCTTGCTATAAAACCAAATCAACACTGCTGAACATTTAGCATACATAACCAGAAGTAAATCCTCCCATTTCTTACATCAAAAAAGTCCCCTTATATTTCCAAATGTCTGTCACCACCATTCCTTGAGAAAAACTGAGGTTACAAATAGACATAAACATTAATGAGGGTTGCTTATTCTTTTAATGCCAAAGAAAGGATTTTGTTGTTGTTGTTGTTAACTTCATTTTTTTTGTATTTTATTGATACTTTTGTTTTAATAAAGTTTTTAATTGCCATTGTAATAATAATAAGTTATGACAGGCTAGTCTTCTTTCTTTTTTTTTTTTGAGTTTCTATTACTTTTTTTTATTATACTTTAAGTTCTAGGGTACATGTGCACAACGTGCAGGTTTGTTACATATGTATACATGTGCCATGTTGGTGTGCTGCACCCATTAACTCATCATTTACATTAGGTATATCTCCTAATATGCTATCTCTCCCCCCTTGCCCCCCACCACACCATGACAGGCCCCAGTGTGTGATGTTCCCCTTCCTGTGTCCAAGTGTTCTCATTGTTCAGTTGCCACCTATGAGTGAGAACATGCGGTGTTTGGTTTTTTGTCCTTGTGATAGTTTGCTGGGAATGATGGTTTCCAGCTTCATCCATGTCCCTACAAAGGACGTGAACTCATCCTTTTTTATGGCTGCATAGTATTCCATGGTGTATATGTGCCACATTTTCTTAATCCAGTCTATCATTGCTAGACATTAGGGTTGGTTCCAAGTCTTTGCTATTGTGAATAGTGTTGCAATAAACATATGTGTGTATGTGTCTTTATAGCAGCATGATTTATAATCCTTTGGGTATATACCCAGTGTATTTCTAATTCTAGATCCTTGAGGAATCACCACATTGTCTTCCACAATGGTTGAACTAGTTTACAGTCCCACCAACAGTGTAAAAGTGTTCCTATTTCTCCACATCCTCCCCAGAACCTGTTGTTTCCTGACTTTTTAATGATCACCATTCTAACAGGTGTGAGATGGTATCTCACTGTGGTTTTGATTTGCATTTCTCTGATGGCCAGTGATGATGAGCATTTTTTCATGTGTCTTTTGGGTGCATAAATGTCTTCTTTTGAGAAGTGTCTGTTCACATCCTTTGCCCACTTTGTGATGGGGTTGTTTTTTTTCTTGTAAATTTGTTTGAGTTCTTTGTAGATTCTGGATATTAGCCCTTTGTCAGATGAGTAGATTGCAAAAATTTTCTCCCGTTCTGTAGGTTGCCTGTTCACTCTGATGGTAGTTTCCTTTGCAGAAGCTCTTTAGTTTAATTAGATCCCATTTGTCAATTTTCGCTTTTGTTGCCATTGCTTTTGGTGTTTTAGACATGAAGTCCTCGCCCATGCCTATGTCCTGAATTGTATTGCCTAGATTTTCTTCTAGGGTTTTTATGGCTTTAGGTCTAACATTTAACTCTTTAATCCATTTTGAATGAATTTTTGTATAAGGTATAAGGAAGGGATCCAGTTTCAGCTTTCTACATATGGCTAGCCAGTTTTCCCAGCACCATTTATTAAATAGGGAATCCTTTCCCCATGTCTTGTTTTTGTCAGGTTTGTCAAAGATCAGATGGTTGTAGATGTGTGGTATTATTTCTGAGGGCTCTGTTCTGTTCCATTGGTCTATATCTCTGTTTTGGTACCAGTACCATGCGGTTTTGATTACTGTAGCCTTGTAGTATAGTTTGAAGTCAGGTAGCATGATGCCTCCAGCTTTGTTCTTTTGGCTTAGGATTGACTTGGCAATGCGGGCTCTTTTTTGGTTCTATATGAACTTTAAAGTAGTTTTTTCCAATTCTGTGAAGAAAGTCATTGGTAGCTTGATGGGGATGGCATTGAATCTATAAATTACCTTGGGCAGTATGGCCATTTTCACGATATTGATTCTTCCTATCCATGAGCATGGAATGTTCTTCCATTTGTTTGTGTCCTCTTTTATTTCATTGAGCAGTGGTTTGTAGTTCTCCTTGAAGAGGTCCTTCACATCCCTTGTAAGTTGGATTCCTAGGTATTTTATTCTCTTTGAAGCAATTGTGAATGGGAGTTCACTCATGATTTGGCTGTTTGTCTGTTATTGGTGTATAAGAATCCTTGTGATTTTTGTACGTTGATTATGTATCCTGAGACTGCTGAAGTTGCTTATCAGCTTAAGGAGATTTTGGGCTGAGATGATGGGGTTTTCTAAATATACAATCATGTCATCTGCAAACAGGGACAATTTGACTTCCTCTTTTCCTAATTGAATACCCTTTATTTATTTCTCCTGCCTGATTGCCCTGGCCAGAACTTCCAACCCTATGTTGAATAGGAGTGGTGAGAGAGGGCATCCCTGTCTTGTGCCAGTTTTCAAAGGGAATGCTTCCAGTTTTTGCCCATTCAGTATGATATTGGCTGTGGGTTTGTCATAAATAGCTCTTATTATTTTGAGATACATCCCATCAATACCTAATTTATTGAGAGTTTTTAGCATGAATGGTTGTTGAATTTTGTCAAAGGCCTTTTCTGCATCTATTGAGATTATCATATGGTTTTTGTCTTTGGTTCTGTTTATATGCTGGATTACATTTATTGATTTTCGTATGTTGAACCAGCCTTGCATCCCAGGGATGAAGCCCACTTGATCATGGTGGATAAGCTTTTTGATGTGCTGCTGGATTCAGTTTGCCAGTATTTTATTGAGGATTTTTGCATCAATGTTCATCAGGGATATTGGTCTAAAATTCTCTTTTTTGTGTGTCTCTGTCAGGCTTTGGTATCAGGATGATTCTGGCCTCATAAAATGAGTTAGGAGGATTCCCTCTTTTTCTATTGATTGGAATAGTTTCAGAAGGAATGGTACCAGCTCCTCCTTGTACCTCTGGTAGAATTCGGCTGTGAATCCATCTCATCCTGGACTTTTTTTTTGTTGGTAGGCTATTAATTATTGCCTCAATTTCAGAGCCTGTTATTGGTCTATTCAGGGATTCAAGTTCTTCCTGGTTTAGTCTTTGGAGGGTGTATGTGTTGAGGAATTTACCCATTTCTTCTAGATTTTCTAGTTTATTTGCATAGAGGTGTTTATAGTATTCTCTGATGGTAGTTTGTATTTCTGTGGGATCAGTGGTGATATCCCCTTTATCATTTTTTATTGCATCTATTTGATTCTTCTCTCTTTTCTTCTTTATTAGTCTTGCTAGCAGTCTATCAATTTTGTTGATCTTTTCAAAAAACCAGCTCCTGGATTCATTGATTTTTTGAAGGGTTTTTTCTGTCTCTATCTCCTTCAATTCTGCTCTCATCTTAGTTATTTCTTGCTTTCTGCTAGCTTTTGATATGTTTGCCCTTGCTTCTCTATTTCTTTTAATTGTGATGTTAGGGTGTCAATTTTAGATCTTTCCTGCTTTCTCTTGTGGGCATTTAGTGCTATAAATTTCCCTCTACACACTGCTTTAAATGTGTCCCAGAGATTCTGGTATGTTGTGTCTTTGTTCTTATTGGTTTCAAAGAACATCTTTATTTCTGCCTTCAAAGAAAGGATTTTAAAGTAAGATATATTTGTGTATTTAGAAAGAATAGATAAAATGATTTTTTAAAATAGCTGTCTTCTCAAAAAACAATTTGTTTGGAATTTTTTGATATAAAATATCAGGCTACTGAAGGAAGATTTTTGAATTTTCTTAAAGTTTGAAATACCTGAAATTCACAGTACTGTCATAGATACATAAACAGAAACTGGCTGAAGACTCAGCTCCATCACATATGTAACCCATGGCAAATGAATTAAACTCAAAGCTACGGCCTTCTTTTTTTATTTTTAATCTGTAAAATGGGGGAACATATCTATCCTAAATGACTGTTAGTTATGATCTAATATAGTCTGTTCCACAACCTAAATAAGACTCTTTGATGTATTTCCTGACAAAATATAAATTTGTAATATATTACACATTAGGTTAAATTTAAAAGTTAAAATCTCTAGGCTATATTTGCTGTTAAAACTTTACCAATGAATTTAAGTTTTTAATACATAGATACATAATTATAAATAGACTAATTGGTAATATCTAGTTTATTCTGTATTCCATATTAACAGAAGAAAAAACCTTTTCTGTTTATTACAGAAAAACTAAGTTTTGCTTCATTCATGTGGAAAAAATCCTCAATTTTGAATATAAAATGACTATTAGAAAATGTAATAGAACATAAACTGAATGCTATTAAAGTAAAACAAATAAACAAAAATTAGAGATTGTATTTACCTCAATCTTGGAAGGCAACCGTTCAATCAAAACTAATATCACTAATTGATTGCATAAGTGCTGTTTGCTTATCTTTTTAATAGAAAAATTGCCTTCTGGTATTTATTATGTTAATATATGTATTCTGGAAACAAAATAAGAAATAAGTCGTATTTAGCCTAATTGTGTCCAATTTGAAATAGTATAACATAAACCCAGAATTCATGAGTATAAATATAAATGTATGTTATATAACCTAATGTCAAGTATTATAGCCCTATTAACTAAGGAAAAAATTGAAATATGTAAATCTGTGTTTACTTTTGATATTTAAAGTCATGCAAGTTAAAAAGACATCGTAGTACCACAAAGTAAGTCTTGATACATTTTAAAAGATTGAAGCAATACAAAGTATCTTCGCTGACCGCATAGAATGAAGCTAGAAATCCATATAGAAAGAAAACTGAAAAATTCACTAATACGTGGAAATTAAAAAACACACTCAAACAACCAGTTGGGTCAAAGAAGAAAGCAAAGCACGAGGGAAATTAGAAAATACACTGATATGAATGAAAACAAAAATATGGCATACCGAAAATTTACAGGATCCAGCAACAGTAGTGCTAAAAGGGAATTTTATAGCAGTAAATGCCTCCATTAAAAAAAGAAGAAAGCTCTCAAGTCAACATAATTTTATACTTTGAACTAGAAGAATCAGCACTCTAAACCCCAAGCTAGCAGAAGGAAGGAAATAATACATGATTAGAATAGGGATTAATGAAATACAGAATAGAAAAATAGAATCAACAAAACCAAAATTTGGTCAGGAAAATATCAAAGAACTGGGCAAGCTTTTACCTACACTGACAAAGATAAAAGAGAGAGGATGCTTAATAAATAAAAAACAGTGGAGACATTACTACCACTTTTACAGAAATAAGGATTATAAGAGAATACTATAAGCAATTATATACCAAAACTTAGAGGACTTAAGTAAATGCACAAATTTATAAAAACATACAAATTATCTGAACTGAATCTAGAAGAAATAGAAAATCTCAACAGAACTATAACAAGTAAAAAGATTGAATCAGTAATCACAAACTTCCCAAGAAAGAAAAGTCCAGGACCAAATAGCTTCACTGATGAATTCTGCCAAGTATTTAAAGAAGCAACACCAATCCTTCTCAAACTGTTCAAAAAAAAAATTGAAGAAGAAATACTTCATGATTCATTCTATGAGGACAACACTACCTCAGTATGAAAGCCAAAGTTATCACAAGAAAAGAATTATAGACCACTATCCCTTTGGAATATAAATGCAAAAATTCTCTGCAAAATACTAACAGATTCTAATAGCATATTAAAAGGATTTTACATTATTACCAAATGGGATTTATCTAGGAATGCAGGAATAGTTCAACATAAAAAAAATCTATGTAATTTACCACATTAATAAAGGGGGGAAGGGATTGTTTTACTTGATACAGAAAAGCATTCGACAAAATCTAGCACCCTGTCATGATAAACACACTCAGAAGACTAGGAGTAGAAGAAGACTGCTTCAACATGACACTGGGCACTTATGAAAACCTCCTAGCTAACACCACACATTTGTGAAAAACTGAAAGCTTTCCCCCTAAAATTAGGAACAAAATGAGGATGTCCACTTTAACCACTGCTATTCAACATTGTGCTGGAAACTCTAGCTGGAACAATTTGATTTAAAAATAAATAAATAAATAAAAGGCATCCAAATTGGAAAAGAAGTAGTAAAACTATCTGTATTCTGATGTCCTAATCCTGTATACAGAAAATCCCAAAGAATTCAGAAGAAAGCTACTAGAGCTAATTAATTTAGCAACATGGCAGGTTATACGATCAGCACATAAAAATCAGTTGTTTCTGTACACTAGGAATGAACAATCCAGAAAGGACACTAAAAGCAATTCGATTTACAATAGCATCTAAAAGAATAAAATACCTAGGAATAATTTTAAGCATGGATGTTAAAAACTTGCACACTGAAAACTAAGACGTTGCTGAAGGAAATTAAAGAAGATCCAAATAAATAGACATCCTGTGTTGATGCATTAGAAGATTTAATACTGTTAAGATATCAGTACTGCCCAAGGCCATCTACAGATTTAACACAATTTCTATCAAAATTTCAACAGCGCTTTTATAGAAATGAAAAGGATGATCTTCAAATTCATCCAGAATTTTAAGGGGTCTTGCATAACCAAAAAAAATCCTGAAAAGAAGTACAGTGTTCATAATATCAAAACTTACTACAAAGCTACAGTAATCAAAACAGTGTAGTACTGCCATAAGAATAGACATATAGATCAAGGGAATAGAAAGTACAGAAATAAATTCATATATCTATGACCAGTGGATTTTTGACAAGTCTACTAATGAAGTCCATTCATCTGGGAAAGAATAGTCTCTTTGATAAATAGTGCTAGGATAGCTGATTTACATATGCAAAAGAATGAAGTTGGACCCCTTAACTCCAAGTTGATCAATGACCTAAATATAAAATTTAAAAAACATAAATCTTGTAAAATAAAGAGGGGTAAATATTTATGAACAGTGGAGTCTTAGATATGACATCAAAATCACAAGCAACAAAAGTAAATTGAACTTGATCAAAATTAAAAATTTTGAAAGGAATCACTTGAGGCCGGGAGTTCAAGACCAACCTGGGCAACATAACAAGACCCTGTCTCTAAAAAAAAAACAAATTGTAATTAGCTGAGCATGGTGGTGCATGCCTGTAGTCCTAACTACTTGGGAGGCTGACATCTGGGAGCATTTTTTGAGCCCAGGAGGTTGAGGCTGAAGTGAGCTATTGCTGTGCCACTGCACTACAGCCTGGCTGACAGAGTGAGACCATCTCAAAAAAAAAAATAAATGTGGTGTAAGGGACAGTATCAAGAAAGTAAAAAGACAACATGGCTACCTACAGAATGGAAGAAAATGGTTGCAAATCATTTCTGATAATGACTTAATATCCAGACTATATACTATATATATAAAATGTTAATAAGGAGAAATTGGAACTCTGATACATTGCTGGGAGAAATGTAAATTCCTCGAAAAGCTAATCATAGAATTACCGTATGACTCTACAGTTCTGTGTATACCCAAAAGAATTGAAAACAGGGACTCAAAAAGATAGTTGTATGCCAATGTTCATTGCAGCATTATTCACAATAGCCAAAGGTAGAAACAACCTAAATTTCCATTAGCAATTGAATGGATAAAAATGTGGTATATACATACAATAGGTAAAAAGGAGTAAAAGCCATAAAAAGGAATGATATTCTGATACATACTGCAATATGGATGAACCTTGAAGACATTATACTCAGTAAAATAAACCAAACACAAAAGGCCAAGATTGAGTGATTCCACAAATTCATATAGAAAGAAAGCAGAATAGAGATTACCAGTGGCTGGGGAAAGGGACTCATGAGTTATTGCTTAATGGCTACAGTTTCTGTTTGGGATAATGAAAAAACTTGAAAATAAATAGTGGTGATGGTTGTACAACATTGTGAATGTAGTTATTGCCACTGAGTTGTACACTTAAAATTGGTTAAAATGACAAATGTTATGTTATATATATCTTACCCAATAAAAACTATTTTTTTAAAAAAGCAGTATTCAATTCTTACCTGGTTATTGAACCGAAACAAAAAAATGTGTAATGTAGCCTAACTTTATAAACTATATTGAAATTTAAGCAGATGTTATAAGTAATGTACAATAAATTTTAACTTATTCAATATAAAAGATTAACTTTCAGAATTAATACTTTTTACTCTAGGAGCCTAAGGGTATAGGAGAAAAGATGAAATTTAAAATCTATTTTGCATTAACTTTTTAAGTATATTAACAGTAACTCTATACCTAGTTGTGACTATAAATATATCTCTCCACCTCTGCTAAGACCTACTTATATCAATCAACTTTTGACATAACAAAATTCTTATGTAATATGAAGCAGTAAAATATTGTGCTTTAACCTTTTATCCGTCCCATCATATTTGAAAGATAGGACATGTCTCCTTTTTAATACTAATTTCAAGGCTCTCTGAATTAGCCTCTAAAGAACCTGCAAAATGTCTTTCAAATATGTTCATATTAATTTTCAATTCCTGCTGAAAATATATTTGAAAGGCTTGATTTAGGACAGTCTCAAAAATATGCTAATTATTCATTTTATTCTCTAAAGTCTGTCCTTTTATGCAGGTACTCATCCATCCAAAAACATATATTGAATGTCTACCATTAGCACAACACAACCTACCAAAATTACAAAAATTAGTGAGATAACTGTTCAGAGATAGTTTTTCTATCTCTGAAACAAGCTTCAAAATAATAGAGTTCACTTTATGGTCTTTGATGGCGAATATAAATTCGAATCATATTCCGTAGCGAAAAAAAGTCATAGCCTTGTTTTCTAGGATATGAGACAGAAATCACTCTGATGTAAAATTATTTCTACAAAATAAAATTGAAGAAAAGACAAGAGTAACTTTGTAATTTTTATAACCTAAACCTGATATCAACTTGTAGATTTTCTTCACGGGTCCTTCTTGCTCTTTGATTTCACCACAGTGAATTTCTCCAAGAGCTTGTTTTTCCATGTGGGAAAACAGGTCAGATTCAACTTCCATTTTTATCACCTGTTTCTTCAGCAGTTTTATTAGTTACTTCATTGTTTTCAGTAAGAATTCATAGTGAGATTACAATTTTCACTGAACTGCTGGGTGCTCCACCCAACATCATCCTAAACCTTGGAACCCAACCTAAAACACGATGACAGAGCAGCCCCTGTCTGGTATATTGCTGGTTATTGTGGCAGAGGAAAAGAGACTGCTGCAAAGCAACTTAAACTGATAAATGCCTCTATCCAGAAACAACACACGTAACTTTCATTGGACAATCATTTTCATTGGTCAAGTCCCATGGCCTTCGTAACTTCCAGGGGACAGGGAAGCACAAACCAACCATGTAATCAGAGACTAGAATATTTCTGAAGAGCTTTAAGGGAACAGTTATGAAAGTTTTACTCCAATTTATTTGAAAACTTGGATGTAATGGATAATCTTTTATAAAAGTTATTAGAAATGGCTCAAGAAGAACTAGAAGACATGAAGAGACCAGCAAATATTAAAGAAATTGATAGGTATTTTTAAATCTGCCCATAGACCTGAAAAAAGTACAGGCCCAAGTGGTTTTATAGGCTAGATTTATCAAACCTTTAAGAATTCTATTTTTTTTTATTATACTTTAAGTTTTAGGGTACATGTGCACATTGTGCAGGTTAGTTACATATGTATACATGTGCCATGCTGGTGCGCTGCATCCACTAACTCGTCATCTAGCATTAGGTATATCTCCCAATGCTATCCCTCCCCCCACCCCACAACAGTACCCAGAGTGTGATATTCCCCTTCCTGTGTCCATGTGATCTCATTGTTCAGTTCCCACCTATGAGTGAGAATATGCGGTGTCTGGTTTTTTGTTCTTGTGATAGTTTACTGAGAATGATGATTTCCAATTTCACCCATGTCCCTACAAAGGACATGAACTCATCATTTTTTATGGCTGCATAGTATTCCATGGTGTATATGTGCCACATTTTCTTAATCCAGTCTATCATTGTTGGACATTTGGGTTGGTTCCAAGTCTTTGCTATCGTGAATAATGCCACAATAAACATACGTGTGCATGTGTCTTTATAGCAGCATGATTTATAGTCCTTTGGGTATATACCCAGTAATGGGATGGCTGGGTCAAATGGTATTTCCAGTTCTGGATCCCTGAGGAATCGCCACACTGACTTCCACAATGGTTGAACTAGTTTACAGTCCCACCAACAGTGTAAAAGTGTTCCTATTTCTCCACATCCTCTCCAGCACCTGTTGTTTCCTGACTTTTTAATGATTGCCATTCTAACTGGTGTGAGATGGTATCTCATTGTGGTTTTGATTTGCATTTCTCTGATGGCCAGTGATGATGAGCATTTTTTCATGTGTTTTTTGGCTGCATAAATGCCTTCCTTTGAGAAGTGTCTGTTCATGTCCTTCGCCCACTTTTTGATGGGGTTGTTTGTTTTTTTCTTGTAAATTTGTTTGAGTTCATTGTAGATTCTGGATATTAGCCCTTTGTCAGATGAGTAGGTTGTGAAAATGTTCTCCCATTCTGTAGGTTGCCTGTTCACTCTGATGGTAGTTTCTTTTGCTGTGCAGAAGCTCTTTAGTTTAATTAGATCCCATTTGTCAATTTTGTCTTTTGTTGCCATTGCTTTTGGTGTTTTAGACATGAAGTCCTTGCCCATGCCTATGTCCTGAATGGTAATGCCTAGGTTTTCTTCTAGGGTTTTTATGGTTTTAGGTCCAACGTTTAAGTCTTTAATCCATCTTGAATTGATTTTTGTATAAGGTGTAAGGAAGGGATCCAGTTTCAGCTTTCTACATATGGCTATCCAGTTTTCCCAGCACCATTTATTAAATAGGGAATCCTTTCCCCATTTCTTGTTTTTCTCAGGTTTGTCAAAGATCAGATAGTTGTAGATATGTGGCCTTATTTCTGAGGGCTCTGTTCTGTTCCATTGATCTATATCTCTGTTTTGGTACCAGTACCGTGCTGTTTTGGTTACTTAGCCTTGTAGTAAAGTTTGAAGTCAGGTAGTGTGATGCCTCCAGCTTTGTTCTATTGGCTTAGGATTGACTTGGTTATGCGGGCTCTTTTTTGGTTCCATATGAACTTTAAAGTAGTTTTTTCCAATTCTCTGAAGAAAGGCATTGGTAGCTTGATGGGGATGGCATTGAATCTGTAAATTACCTTGGGCAGTATGGCCATTTTCACAATATTGATTCTTCAATATACGCAAATCAATAAATGTAATCCAGCATATAAACAGAGCCAAAGACAAAAACCACATGATTATCTCAATAGATGCAGAAAAAGCCTTTGACAAAATTCAACAACCCTTCATGCTAAAAACTCTCAATAAATTAGGTATTGATGTAACACAATACTAAGAGCTATCTATGACAAACCCACAGCCAATATCATACTGAATGGGCAAAAACTGGAAGCATTCCCTTTGAAAACTGGCACAAGACAGGGATGCCCTCTCTCACCACTCCTATTCAACATAGTGTTGGAAGTTCTGGCCAGGGCAATTAAGCAGGAGAAGGAAATAAAGGGTATTCAATTAGGAAAAGAGGAAGAATTCTATTTTTATGCAAACTGTTTAAGATACTAAAAGAGATTACCAAATTACCAATGTCTAGAACTGTTAATGGCCTGACATTTTACCCTATTCGTAAGCTAACAAGTTATTTGGCCACTGTCATAGATGGTGGCAGAAGACACAAGACTTATGTGTTAGAGACAAAGGATGGTTTGTTACTCACAGCGGTAGCCAGAGTAGCAGCATTTGTGATGGATACCTGAGCCTCATTTCCCATAGGGTATCTTGATATTCATATATGCAATGGAGTGTGTTACATGGGAGATCTCTAAGCTTACAAAACTCAAATCTTTTATAATAGGCATTAAATATGCTATATTCTAATACAAACAAACCTATACTCTGCTCCAAATGGAGACACTCTGTCTTCCGAGACAGTTTGCTGTGCAAATATCTTTCAAAAATAGTCCAGAACAAAGGCAGTTAGTACTTCTGCTTGCAAGATGTGCAGGCACACATTGATCCATGGAAAATTGTCACCTAACAGCCAACATGTTTTATGAAGCCAATAAAATCATGATACACAAACCAGGTAAAAGTGTCATAAAACAGAATACTATAGACCAATCTCCTTTTTAGCATATGGATTAAAATGCCATATAAAATAGTAACAAGTTGAGTTCCTTAGTATCAAAAAACCAGTATTAAAGACATATGGAATTTATCCATATGAAGGAATGGTATATATGAGGAAAGAAAATCAATTTAATAAAATTAATATTATTCAACAGTAGAAAAATTCACAAGTTGAATTTATCACATTAACAGATTAAAGGAGAAAACCATATGAACATCTTCAGAGATACAGAGAAATTATTTTGACTTGTGAATAATGAGTATGTGGAATATTGGCACAAGAATTCAATTCTTCAGATTCCTTGAAGAGTACAATTTTCACTGCAGTGTGCCTTTTTTTCACTGGATTATATGGCAAAAAAGTGTTTGAAGTATGTGTCCTTATTATGTCTCTTACTTTAAAATAGCATAGTTAAAATGAACTATAGCATAGTTAAAATGAACTAAGAATACTGGGTACTCTTTGAACCATGTCTTAATACCAAAATAATTAACAGCTTATCACAAAGAATAAGTTATGATTATGCCTGTAAAAGTGAATTCCTGATGCAGAAGCTTCTCTTACTATTAACTCCAATCCAAATCCTTTTTTAGAATGAAGTGGTTGTGTCTATTAAAATATATACATTGACTATTATGTTATCATAATAGTTCTAAGTGTATTGTCTCCTGTACCATGCATTTTAAATGGGGACAAAAATTGGTATTTGGTGGACAAAAAAAATCTTGGATATTAGAGTGGTTTGTGATCCTCATAAGCTCAACCCTACCAGACAAAATCTTCTGCTTATTTATCCTATTAGAAAGAAATTAGAAATTTAAAATTAATTTAATAAATTTATTTTTAATTAAACTTAAATTTAATTTATTGATTAAAATAATTTTTTAACTTTTAGGTTCATGGGTACATGTGCAAGTTTGTTATATAGGTACACTCATGTCACAAGGATTTGATATACAGATTATTTCATCACTGAGGTAGTAAGCCTAGGACCCAACAGTTATTTTTCTGCTCCTCTCCCTCCTCCCACCCTTTGCCTTCTGATAGGCCCCGGTGTCTACTGTTCCCCTCTTTGTGTCCATGTGTTCTCATCATTTAGCTCTCACTTATAAGTGAGAACATGTGGTATTTGGTTTTCTGTTTCTACATTAGCTTGCTAAGGATAATGGCCTCCAGCCCCATCCATGTTCCTGCAAAGGCCATGATCTCATTCTTTTTTATGGCTGCATAGTAATCCGTAGTGTATAGATACCATATTTTCTTTATCCAGTCTACCATTCTTGGGCATTTAGGTTTATTCCACGTCTTTGCTATTGTGAATAGTGCTGCAAAGAACATACACGTGCATGTGTCTTTATGATAGAATGATTTATATTCCTTTGGGTATATACCCAGTAACGGGATTGCTGGGGTCGAATGGTAGTTCTGTTTTTAGGACTTTGAGGAATCACCACACAGCTTTCCACAATGGCTGAACTAATTTACACTCCCATCAACAGTGTATAAGCATTTCTTTTTCTCTGCAATCTCACCAGCATCTTTTATTTTTGTACTTTTCAATAATAGCCATTCTGACTGGTGTGAGATGGTATCTCATTGTGGTTTTGATTTGCATTTCTCTAATGATCAGTGATATTGAGCTTTTTTGCTGTTTCTTGGCCATATGTATGTCTTCTTTTCAAGAATGTCTGTTCATGTCCTTTGCCCACTTTTTAAAGGGGTTATTCTTTTCTTGTAAATTTAAGTGCCTTATAGAGGCTGGATATTAGACCTTTGTCAGATGCAGTTTGCAAAAATTTTCTCTCATTCTGTAGGTTGTCATTCTGTAGGTTGTCTTTTTATTCTGTTAATAGTTTCTTTTGTTGTGCAGAAGCTCTTTAGTTTAATTAGATCCCAGTTATCAGTTTTTGCTTTTGTTGCAGAATTGCTTTTGGCATCTTCATCATGAAATCTTTGCCCATTCCTGTGTCCAGAATTGTATTGCATATATTGTCTTCCAGGGTTTTTATGGTTTTGGGTTTTACATTTAAGTCTTTAACCCATTTGAATTGATTTTTATATATGGTGTAAGTAAGGGGTCCACTTCAGTCTTCTACGTGTAGCAAGCCAGTTATCCGAGCACCATTTATTGAAGAGAGAATACTTTCCCCATTGTTTGTTCATGTCAGCTTTGTTGAAAATAAGATGGTTGTAGATGTGTGGCCTTATTTTGGGGCTCTCTATTCTGTTCCATTGATCGCTATTTTTGTACTAGTACCATGCTGTTTTGGTTGCTATCGCCCTGTAGTATAGTTTGAAGGCAGCTAGCGTGATGCCTCCAGCTGTGTTCTTATTGCTTAGGATTTCCTTGGCTATTCAGGCTCTTTTTTGGTTCCATATGAACTTTAAAGTAGTTTTCTCTAGTTCTGTGAAGAATGTCATTGGTAATTTGCTAGGAACAGCATTGAATCTGTACATTGCTTTGGACAGTATGGCAATTTTAATGATATTGATTATTCCTAGCCATCACATGGAATGTTTTTCCATTTGTCTGTATCATCCCTGATTTCTTTGAGCAGTGGTTTGTAGTTTTTCTTGTAGATATCTTTCACCTTCCTGGTTAGCTGTATTCCTGGGTATTTTATTCTTTTTGTGGCAATTGTGAATGGGAGTTTGTTCTTAATTTGGCTTTCTGCTCACCTGTTGTTGGTGTATAGGGATGCTAGTGAGTTTTGCATATTGAGTTTCTATCTTGAGAATCTGCTGAATTTGCTTATCAGCTTAAGAACTTTTAGACTGAGACTATGGGGCTATCTAGATATAGAATCATGTTGTCTGCAAACAGGGATAGTTTGACTTCCTCTCTTCCTATTTGGATGCTCTTTCTTTCTTTCTCTTGCCTGATTGCTCTGTCCAGGACTTCCAATGCTTGTCAAATAAGAGTGGTTACAGAGGGCATCCTTGTCTTATGTTTTTCAAGGGGAATGCTTCCAGCTTTTGCCGATTCAGTATGATGTTGGCTGTGGTGTTGTCATAGATGGCCCTTATTATTGAGGTGTATTCCTTCAATGCCTAGTTGGTTGAGAGTTAACATGAAACAATGTTGAATTTTATTGAAAGCCTTTTCTGCATCTATTGAGATGATGGTTATTGTCTTTAGTTCTGTTTATGTGACAAATCACATTTATTGATCCACATACATTGAACTACACTTGAATCCCAGGGATAAAGCCTACTTGTTTGTGGTGGACTCGCTTTTTGATGTGCTGATAAATTCAATTTGCCAGTATTATGTTGTGGATTTTTGCATCGATGTTTGTCAAGGACATTGGCCTGAAGTTTTATTTTTTTGTTCTTGTGTCTCTGCAAGGCTTTGCTATCAGGATGATGTTGGCCTCATAGAATGCGTTGGGAAGGAGTCTCTCCTCAATTATTTTGGAATAGTTTCAGTGGGAATGGTACCAGCATTCTTTGTATATCTTACAGAATTTGGCTGTGAATCAGTCTGGTCCTGGAATTTTTTTGGTTGATAGGCTATTACTGATTCAATTTCAGAGGTCATTATTGTTTTCTTTAGGGATTCAATTTCTTTCTGGTTCAGTCTTGGGAGGGTATATGTGTCCAGGAGTTTGTCCATTTGTTGTAGATTTTCTAGTTTGTATGCATACAAGTGTCCGTAATATTCTCTAATGGTTACTTGTATTTCTGTGGAGTCAGTGGTGTAATATCCCCTTTGTTGTTTCTGATTGTTTACTTGGATCTTCTCTTTTATTATTTACTAGTCTAGCTAGTGGCCTGTCTTAATTTTTTCAAAAAAAAAAACAGCTTTTGGTTTTGTTGATCTTTTGAATGCTTTTTGTGTCTGTCTCCTTCAGTTCAGCTTTGATATTGATTATTTCTTGTCTTCTAGCTTTGGGGTTGGTTTGCTCTTGCTTCTCTAGTTGTAATGTTAGGCTGTTAATTTCAGATCTTTCTAACTTTTTGATGTGGGTGTTTAGTGCTGTAAGTTTCCCTTTTAACTCTTCTCATTAGTTTCAAAGAGCTTCTTGATTTTTGCCTTAATTTCATTATTTGCCCAAAAGTCATTCAGAAGCAGGTTGTTTAATTTCCATGTAAATATATAGTTTTGGGACCTCTTCTTATTGGATTCTGTTTTTATTGCACTGTGGTCCAGGGGTGTGGATGTTTTGATTTCAGTTTTAATTTTCTGGGAACTGTTTTATGTTCAATTGTGTGGTCAATTTTAGAGTATATGCCATGTGGCAATGACAAGAATGTATATTCTGTTGTTTGGGGGTTGAGAGTTCTGTCCATTTGGTCAAGTGTCAAGTTCAGGTCCCGAATATCTTTGTTAATTTCCCTCCTCAGTGATCTAGTACTTTCAGTGGGGTGTTGATGGCTCCCACTATTAGTGTGAGGGAGTCTGTGTCTCTTTGAAGGTCTCTAAGAGCTTGCTTTATGAATCTGGGTGCTCTTGTGTTGGGTGCATATATATTTAGGTTAAGTATTCTTATGGAATTGAACTCTTTACCGTTATGTAATGCCCCTCTTTGTCTTTTTTTATCTTTGTTGGTTTAAAGTCTTTGTGAAACTATGATTGCAACCCCTGCTTTTTTATGCTTTCCATTTGCTTGATAGATTTTTCTCCATCCCTTTATTTTGAGCTTATAGGTGTCATTGCATGTAAGATGAGTCTCTTGAAGACAGCATACCATTGGATCTTGGTTCTTTATACAGCTTGCCAAGCTGTGCCTTTTTTTAACTGGTATTTAGCATATTTACATTCAAGGTTAATATTGATATATGTGGATTTGATCCTGTTATGTTGTTAGTTGTTTATTATGCCAACCTGTTTTTATGGTTGCTTTATAGTGTCACTGGTCTGTGAACTTAGAGTTTTTGCAGTGGGTGATAACAGTCTTTCCTTTCCATATTTAATGCATCTTTCAGGAGATCTTATAAGGCTGGTATAGTGGTGACAAATTCCCTCAGTATTTGTTTGTCTGAAAAGGATATTATTTCTCCTTTGCTTATGAAGTTTAGTTTGGCCATATATGAAATTCGTGGTTGAATTTCTTTTAAGAATGTTGAATATAGACCCCCAATCTCTTCTGGCTTGTAAGGTTTCTGCTGAGAGGTCCACTGTTAGTCTGATGGACTACACTTTGTAGGTGGTCTTTCTCTCTAGCTGCCTTTAACACTTTTTATTTCATTTCCACCCTGGAGAATGTTATGATTATGTGCCTTGGGGATAACCTTCTTACTAAATATTTTGTATTCGCTGGATTTGAATGTTGGCCTCTATAGCTAGGTTGGAGGAGTTCTCGTGGATGATCTCCTGTAATATGTTTTCCAAGTTGCTTCTCTCCCCATCTCTTTCAGTAAATGAAATACAAAATATATTTAAGCACTTCAGTAACAGTTTAGATAAAGCAGAAGAAAAAATGTCAGAACTTTAAGACAGGTCTCTTGAAATAACCCAGTCAGACAAAAATAAAGAAAAAAAGAATTTTAAAAGGATGAACAAAGCCTGTGTGACATATGGGACACCATAAAGTGATCAAATATTCAAATTTTTGGTGTCCCAGAGATGAAGTGAAAACGAAAGGGATAGGAAACATATTTAATGAAATAATAGATGAGAACTTTGCAAGGCTAGAAATTTATTTACATATCAAGATACAGGAAGCTCAGAAATCCCCAAATAGACATACTGCAAAAAGGTTTCCTCCATGGTACATATGGCCAAACTATCAAGAGTCAAAGATAGAATTTTTAGAACAGGAAAAGTATCTAGTCACTTACAAGGGAACCCCAATCAGAAAACATTGGATTTCTTAGTAGAAACCTTACAGGCCAGAGAATAGAATGACATATTCAAAGTGCTGAAGAAAAAAATGGCAGCCAAGGATATTATACCTGACAAAGTTTTCCTTCAGAATTGAAGGATAAATAATGCCTTTTCCAGACAAGGAAATGCTGATGGAATTCATCACCACCAGACTGGCTCTGTAGGAAATGCTTAGGGGAGTCCTATACCTGGAAGCAAAAGAATGATATCATGAAAACACATGAAAGTAAAACCCAAATGGTAGAACAAACATACAAGAGAAAAAATACACAGGATACCACTATAGAAAACCACCAGACTACAAAGATAAACAATAAAATATTACATATACTCCATTAAAATGTACAAATATTGTGTAGCAGTAAAAAAAGTTTTTAAATCAAATCAGATATGATAGAAAGTCAGCCAAGATCAATTAGAAATTATTTAAAAACCTATTTGAAATGTAGCTCTACAAATTCTGTTTAAATATCACTTATTTCATGTTTATCTTTTTAAATTTCATGTTTTGAACCTACGTAAGTAAATATAATTTCCAAATAAACTTAATACATAAAAAATAGGATAGTTCTTGATTAAAGAGATTTGACTTTAAATGAGCATACTAATACCCAGGTAAATGCAACCTTGCCATCAGAATAAGCAGCCTGACCTAGAGAATATTTAACATTACTCAATTGTTATAATGAGTGAACCAGAGTTTGCTTCAGGCTAGAGCTTCACAGAACTTTTATCACCATAGTTGCTAGTGAGTACCAGAATTACATTTTTCTGCCTAGTTTATTATGCTGTCCCTGTTCCCTAACATGAATAAACACAGAAATACTTAAAGTAGAAAGCAGATAAGTAAAAAGCAAAAGATTAATAGGTTATCAGTCTTCAGAGAATTGAATTTTGTTTTTTAAATGACTGAGTTTATATATTGGTCAACCAAAAAAAACAAGTTGCTATTGAGCAGGTTTTTTCTCAAGCTCTAATTAGCATGTAAATACACAAAAGAAAATTGTATTTCATGATGTAATATTTCTCAGAAATGTCATATTCATTTAGTAATAAGTAGACTATAGTTGACTTTCAAGATTTGCTTTTTCTGTACCAACAAATCCCCATGCTTTGAACTCTATGGAAATTAAAGCTAAATTTCTTTAAAGGAGTATCATTATGTCTGTCTAGTTTATTCGATGCTAAAATAAGATATTCTTCTTAGAACTTTGCTCAAAGAACTAAACTGAATGAAATTCTCAAAGTATAAGATACAAGGTTAAGTTGGTGATCAGAAGTTATAAAAGCAGTTGTAAAAATAAAACATGATAAATTTAGAAAATATTCTCTTGAAAATAATTACATTTGATCCCCACAAATTTTTGAAGAAATCAGATAGTATAGATGAGAAATTCATGACCAAAAGAGTTAAATGACTTGCCCCAGCCAAGTGGCAGACCTAGGCAAATCTCCTGACTTCATATCCTGTGTTCTTTGCTACCCTGCCTTTAATGCACTGAACTAGAAGAGGCTACTCATCTGACAAAGGGCTAATATCCAGAATCTACAATGGACTCAAACAAATTTACAAGAAAAAAACAAACAACCCCATCAAAAATGGGCAAAGGATATGAACAGACAATTCTCAAAAGAAGACATTTATGCAGCCAAAAGACACATGAAAAAATGCTCATCATCACTGGCCATCAGAGAAATGCAAATCAAAACCACAATGAGATACCATCTCACACCAGTTAGAATGGCAGTCATTAAAAAGTCAGGAAACAACAGGTGCTGGAGAGGATGTGGAGAAATAGGAACACTTTTACACTGTTGGTGGGACTGTAAACTAGTTCAACCATTGTGGAAGTCAGTGTGGCGAGTCCTCAGGGATCTGGAACTAGAAATACCATTTGACCCAGCCATCCCATTACTGGGTATATACCCAAAGAACTATAAATCATGCTGCTATAAAGACACGTGCACACGTATGTTTATTGCGGCACTATTCACAATAGCAAAGACTTGGAACCAACCCAAATGTCCAACAATGATAGATTGGATTAAGAAAATGTGGCACATATACACCATGGAATACTATGCAGCCATAAAAAATGATGAGTTCATGTCCTTTGTGGGGACATGGATGAAATAGGAAATCATCATTCTCAGTAAACTCTCGCAAGGACAAAAAACCAAACACCGCATGTTCTCACTTATAGATGGGAATCGAACAGTGAGAACACATGGACACAGGAAGGGGAACATCACACTCTGGGGACTGTTGTGGGGTGGGGCGAGTGGGAAGGGATAGCATTGGGAGACATACCTAATGCTAAATGATGAGTTAATAGGTGCAGCACACTAGCATGGCACATGTATACATATGTAACTAACCTGCACATTGTGCACATGTACCCTAAAACTTAAAGTATAATAATAATAAAAAAAAAAGAAAAAACTGTCAGGAATACAACATAACTCCGCTCAGTGAAATCAGGATATGCTTTGTTTAACTGTACTTGTGTACAGCTTCTTTTCTGAGCACTAGCTTGAATTTAATGGGCTTTAATATGTTCATACATCTTCTAGGTTTCCGCAGACATGCAGCTCCAGTTACAAGAAGGCAGTTCCCACACGGTGCACACAGGATGGATTACCTGCACTTTGAGGATGATAGCCGTGGATGGTGGTTTGACATGGATATGGTGATCATATATATTTATTCAGTGAACTGGGTCATTGGATTCATTGTTTTCTGCTTTCTTTGCTATTTTTTCTTTCCGTTTTAGGAATTTCATACCTTACTACAATTGACCAATCATAAATGATGTAAATAACAATTGCTTAAACATTTTTAAATGTGCTTTGAAGTTTTTTTAATGTTGCATTATACAAATTGTTGATGTTTATAGAAAGCCTGAGAATAATGAATTTATTTATTAATGTTTTTCATGTAACAAACTAAACTTTATTCAAGAGCTAACCTACCCAGCACTTAGCAACAATGCACTATTAATTTCATAGTTGTTCTTGGGTTAGGATTTGGGGCTCTGATTTTATAATATCACTTTAATACTTATTTTGATTGTAAAAAACTGAAGTTTTCTCTCCACTTAAAAATAGTAAAAATACAAAAAGAAATGATAATCTAGGTAGATATTATCTTTACTGATAAAATATTTAGTCAATCACCACTTATTCTCAGGCAAATTATATGTATTAAAGATAAACCATATTCTCTGGGAACTAATCTAGCAGGGTATATTCAGTTTTGGTTTCTAATTGTCACTACTTATATCCCTTTCTAGTACCAAGAAAACTGACTATTCTTTTTGTACAGATCTAATTAGTACAACATTTTAAATTATTATAAACAGAATACTAAATACAAATCATGAGACTAATCCCTACCAATAAACACTTTAGCTAGCTATAAACACTTTCCAGATTGAAGGATTAATCACCAGAAGACATGAAAAATTTACCGACTTTTAGTAGTCTAAAAGAGCAATGCATGGTCCAAAATGTAATTTAGTGATTCATTTAAGTAGGAGATGGTCAAATATATTGTAAATGTGCAATAAAGAGTGGCTTTTAATTTTTTTAATGTCTGAATAAAGTATTGTTATAAATAGGCTTATCGATTTTAGAAAGAAAACCTGACATTTTTAATTACAGTAATCATTAATTTTTTTCATTATTAAAATTTAAAAATAAGAGAACTGAATCATTAGAACATGGAATTGGGGCAGGTAACCCAATTCAAAAAAGGAAAAACTGGAGCAGAGACTTAAGCTTATTTATTCAGTTATTCTGGTGGTCTTTGTGAAACCTGGGACAAAGTTTTTATTATGAATTACTAATCCAGTATTACTACACTATGATGTCATATATCTGGTAATTCAATAAGCAAACTTTTACATAAAATAGGTGACTCTCTCGTGGCACTAAAAATACTACCACTATCCAAAAACATTGGGATCAACTGGGCTTTAACAGTTTCAATCTATGAAAAGCCAAAATTTAAGCTAATTGCTACTAACTGTATTTCAATAAAAGCACTTGACTGTTGGTATGTGATGTTCTAAGAAAACTAGAAGAATGGTACTGATTTCTATTCTAATGCTGTTCTTATTATTGTGTTTTAAATTATATCTATTACAGAAAATAGTATACACTAGACATCAAATCCAGAAATCAGAACACTAAGTACAATTTAGAAACACAGATAAATTTATACTTATAAATGGATATTTATAATTACTAATTGCTCAAAGTAAACATAAGGGAAAATATCAGCTCTCTTAAAATATATAGCAAGATTGAAAACACACATATGAGGAGTTGCATTATTTTAAGAACTTTAAATTGCAGCCATTTCCTAGGCAACTTCTGGTTTATACACTCTAGAAAATATATCTTGATTCATTCCTAAATCACAATAAAGGTTTTAATTATGTATAAACTAAATAAGTATTATTATAGATACAGATCTCTCATAGGAACAAAGTTGATTCCCAATATATATTTGTTAGGTCAGTGATACATATCAGTTTATAGATCTCAGTCTACTAAATATTTATGATACCCTTAAATAAACATGAACCTTTAAATGAAGAAAGCATAATCTGGAAAAGCATTCAAAATGGATTGAGTAT
This sequence comes from Homo sapiens, assembly GCF_000001405.40. Lineage (NCBI taxonomy): Eukaryota > Metazoa > Chordata > Mammalia > Primates > Hominidae > Homo > Homo sapiens. Next base: position 64,371,684 of record NC_000005.10, read on the forward strand.
ATTTATCTTGACTAATAACTTGATCTGAAAATTATAGAATATTAAAAGAAGTAAATTCATAAAATTATAAATTACTAATCTTTAAAATATTCTTAAATTTTGTAAAAGTGGAGATAAAAACTGCTAAATATTAAGAAGTATAGCATTTCCTAGATCTACCAGCTTATAAGAAGCCAGATAAAATCTCAGATGGAAAGAAACCAGTTTCTTCTGGTATGTAGCACACAGTAGCCATTCAAAATAAAATACATGGATGAGCTTTAGAGTAAAACAAAAAATTATAATGCTCTTCCTAAGCATCTCTCACAGTAAAAACTCACTGTCCAATAAAGAGCCAAAGAAAGGAAAAGAAGAAAAATGTTAAAGTTAATGAAGCATAGTACTTGTCCCAAGTAATATTATTTAATAAGCTTAATTTTATGAGTTATCATTATCAATAATTTCTATTTCTACCAAGCTTAATTATGGTAAAGGTTAATTTTAAACATGTTCACACATTCTTTTTTAAAAAAATGCCCTAATTGAGGTATATTTCTGAATAGTTTCAGCAGGTTATTTTTTAATTTTAAAAAAGCAAATTCACAAACCTAGACCCATTTATTTTATACTCAGCAGAAGACAGGGAAATTTAAATTAGACAAAGTTGAAAAAGAATCAGAATTTATATTTTACAAAGCTTCTACCACTCTGAATCAACAAAATCAGGAATGGAAAAAAAAATTTCTGTATCTGCTGAATTATTAATGCCACTATAGTATTATATGCTAAATATGAAAGCAGTGCTGCCATCAGTTTCACTTCTGCCTTGGAATCTTGCTCCTAAGTTAGCTCTGTGGCATAACAAAATTCCAGTTAATAAAATTTTCATTTAAATGTCTTTTGTATGGCTAAATGAATATACAGATTCTTAAACATCTAATTTTTATATGGATTTCTCAAAGAATGCCTTACAGAAGAGCATTCTCTGATTAAATGCAATTACAGTTGGAGTCTTTGATTCTTCACAGAATTCTGTAGTTGAAGCCAGAAAACACTGTCATTTAGGAAAGTGTTCCTAAAGGTTTGAATGCTTTAACATGCTCAACTCTTACTTCTTGAAGTGTTTGATTGTCAGTAAATTTTCGAAGAACATTAAAGTTCTACCAATGTAGAAGCATGAGGAATAAAAGATGGTCTGGATCAAGAATGCAGGAATATGATACTTGTACTTTGTTTTTGATAATTTTCATTGCTTATAACAATGAAAAACTTTAATATTTGCAGGAGACTAATATGAAATGCTACATTTCATAACTTTTATTCTGCGTGGCAACTTTGATTTGTGGTGGCTGCCTAGAATGCTTTATTGAGAAGGATTCTGAGGTTACATCCAGGATCCAGGGGGAAAAAGTTTTCTGGATCCACTGGCATTGACCCTTATATAGAGGGGAAGGAGGGTCTTAAGGGAAAATTAGCCATCTCAGATATTTGCCATCCTTGGATAAGAGCGCAGAAAATCATTCATGTTTTAGAAACTGGTATCGCCATTTGTTGAGGGGAACAAAATGTAGTTTCCTGACTATAATTAATAATACTATGATATAGTCCAATTTAGCTATGATATAATTAATAATAAACTACTTTCCAGTCTTACACTTGTCATTTTGCCTTAAAACAGAAGCTTAATAGGACCTAATTGTGAATTACATCAATTTTTAAATCATAATGATATAGCTACAGTGTAGTTTAATTTTCTCATTTCAGAAAAAAGTGAACTGTTGTTCAAAAAATGAAGTAGAGTTCTGATTTGCAAATTCTACAGAACTAAATGGACACTACTGGCTATTCTGATTCCAATATTGCAAGTAAATCGGGCAGACAGGAATATAGTACAGAAGTCAACCTAGATCAGAAGTCAACAGCAATGCCTTTTAAACCTTCATATGCCTACATTAAATCTTGGTAAAATGTATATTTTTATTCAGAAGGTGTAGGGTAGACCTGAGATTCTGCATTGCTAATAAGCAGTCAGTGATACTGATCTGCTGCCCCATGGACCACACCTGGGATAGCAAGAAACTAAAGGAAGCACATCTGAAAAGGTGGCCATGAATCTTGCTTTCTTATCATTAACTGTCCCCAAAAGACAAATTTCACATTGTTTTTGCATTTGAGAATTACACAATACTGGTTATCCAATATAAAGGAAGAATAATGAATTATGCTATAAGTAATTTTATATAAATCTGTTGAATAAGTTTTTGACATTATCTGGCACATATTAAAGTCTAGGTATCAATATGTAAGTATTTTATTTACAATCTGTAATTCAAACTTTTTCTTTTCTTTAAACAAAAAAAAATGATTTTCCTACTTTTTCCCTATTCTCTCTCATTACCCATTCTTTCTTTGGCTATCTCTATCTAGACTCTATTCATATAGAACAAATGTGAGATAATATATAGTCACTTATAATACCACATCTGGAAATAGAAAACAAAATATACTCTGGCACTTCTGCTCACTTCTAAATTTTAGTACACATTATAACTGCAAAATCAAGAGACCTTATCGTCATCCTGGGTTATATGACTAAAATTCACTTCATCTTTCTTTCCTCATTTCCTCACCTTGTGCATAACACAAACCTTCCCATAATTCTGCTGCAATAAAATTCAATTTACAAGAAGATTGTGAATTGAAACACCTATTATCCATATATTTTCATGGTGATTCTTCATAATATAAGGAGGAGGAGCTACAGTTGTTCAATGCTAAATATATGCCAGGTACTATACAGTGTTTTGCACACAGTATCTCATTTCATATAACAACCCTAAAATACTTTTGTTACCACGTCCATTTTATAGACAAGAAGATTGGAGCTCAAAGAGGTTAACTAGCTTTCTTAAAGTCCTGTAGCTACCAGTGGTACAGCTAGGAGTCCAAACCCAGGTCTGACTAGTTCTTGAGGCTATATTCTTGTCACTGCATACACCTACAAAGTTCAATTCCTGAATTAGTTTTTCTTTAACAGTAAAAAGTAAAACAAAAATTCTACCTTAGTGAAACTTCTAGGGGTCCAGTGATCTATCTATAAAATGTCAAGATACCCCTTCCAGGGTAAAAGATAAAGTGCTGCATCTAACCCTCCTACCACTAAAATAGAGGCACAATGCCCAGGGGATCCTCTTTAGATTTTAGATGTAAAATACACCTTATTGGGGTGGCTATTCTGACCCGTTTGCCAGATGATGCAAAGAGCTGGCAGTGTAGAATATGGCCCAGACAAAAGAAGGCTCTTCAATACGTTCATGTTGCCATACAAACTGCTCTGTCAATTGGGTCACATAATCTAGCAGATCCAATGGTGCTTAAAGTATCAGTGATAGATGAGGTTGATATTTGGCGCCTTTGGCAAGCTTCATTAGGTAAATCACAGCACAGACCTTTAGGATTTTGGTGCAAAGCTACACCATCCTCTGTGGATAACTACTCTCCTTTTGAGAAACAGCTTTTGGCCTATTACTGGGCCTTAGTAAAGACAAACACTTGATCATGGGCCACTGAGTTACCCTGCTACCTGAACTTCCCATCATGAACTGGGTGTTGTCTGACAAGACATAATGTTGAGTGTGAACAGCTGTACTCTGTTATCAAAGGGAGGCAGTATATATGAGATCAGACTTGAGGAGGCCCTTAAGGCACAAGGAAGTTACATGAGGGATTTGCCAGTATGTCCATGGTCCCTATTTCCCCTACATTACCTTCTCTCTTTCAATCCATACCTAAGTCTTCCTGCCTAAGACAAGTTGACTGAGGAAGGGAAAAAAAAAAAAAGAAAAAAAAACCTCAGGTCTGGTTAACAAATGGTTCTGCATTGTATGCAAGTACCACTCAAAAGTGGACAACTGAAACTCTGCAGCCTTACTCCGGGCATCCCTGAAAGACTATAGTAAAGGAGAATCCTCCCAGTGGGCGAACTTCAAGCAGTGCCCTTGCTTGGTTATTTTTCCCAAGAGAATAAAATAGCCAGAGATACCAGTCTGTAATGAATTGACTCTGACAGATGGTTTGGCTGAAGGGTCAGGGATTTAGAAGGAACATACTTGAAAACTTGTTGGCAAGGAGGTTTGGGAAAGAGGAATTTGGATGGACCTCTTCTAGAATGACACCCAGAAATATTTGTGTCAATATGAATTCTCACTAGAGAGTTATATCAGTGGAGGAGAATTTTAACAATAAAATGGAAAGAGTGACCTGTTCTGTAGACACCAGTCAGCCTCTTTCCCCAGCTACTCTAGTTATTACCAAAACACTTTGTTCAATGGGCTCATGAACAAAGTGGCCGTGGTGGCAGGGACGGAGGCTATGCATGGGCTCAGCAACATGAATCTCTACTCACCATAACAGACACTGTTGAGGACCTAAACTGTCAGCAGCAGGGATCAACAACAAGTCCCTGATATGGTATCATTTCCTGGGGTAACAGGCTGGTGGCAGGTTTACTATGCACTGGACTGCTTTCTCATGGAAGGGAAAGCATTTTGTTCTTAGAGGAATAAACTTTTACACTGAATATGATTTTTTCTTCTGTGCCTATGATTCTTCTGCTAAAATGACCAAGTACAGACCTACAGAATGCTTTGTCCACTGTCATGTATCCCACTCAATATCAATTTTAATCAAGAACTCATTTCACAACTGATGGAAGTTACTGGTCTCCTCATTTTCCCCATAATCCCAGAGCAGCTGGTTTGACAATTGTACAAAGGCCTTTGAAGACCCAACTAAGGTAACAGGTGGTGTTACTTTGCAGGGCTGGGGCAATGTCCTCCAGAATGTGGTATGTGGCCTAAATTAGCATCTAGTATACAGTGCTATTTTTCCCATTACCAGGATTCACACATCCAAGAATCAAGACATGGAAACAGGAGAGGCCTCTTTACTACTCCTAGGGATCCACCACCAAAATGTATTCTTCCTGTCCTCATAACTTTAAAATGTGCTGGTTTAGAAGTCCTAGTTCCAGAGGGAGGAATGCTTCTACTGTAGGAACAATGATTTCACTAAACTGAAAGTTGAGACTACCACCTGGTCACTCTGGATTTTTTATGCCTCTGAATGAACAGACAAATAAGGGGGTTACTGTAATAGCTGAGGTAACTGCTCCCATCAAGAGGGGATTGGGTTGCTACTACACAATGGAGGTAAGGAAAAGTATGCCTGGAATACAGATCTTCTAACATGCTTCCTAATATTCACATCCTGTGATTCATATCAATAGAAAATTACAAAAAAACAATTCAGGCAGGACTGATAATGGCCCAGACCCTTCAAGAATAAGGGTTTGATCCCAGCTAAGGTGATTGCTGAGGGCAAAGAATATGGAATGGATAGAAGGTGGCTGTTAAAAATGCCAGCTACAACTACATGACCAGTTGAAGACTGCATTAGTTACAAGTTTTCTCTTGATGTGAACGTTTGTATAATATTAAGTATTTTTGTTTTCTTCTCTCCCTTATCCTCTTATCTAACACAAGATGTGTTAATAATAGCTAACTTTACATCACAAAATGTTTTTATGGTAGTTAATCTTAGTATTTAAATTTCAAAAGAGAAGAGGAACATTACCTGAGGATTTTGTATCCTCTTTTGAGGAAAAGGTTGGCATGTTTGCAGTTGTATATGGGATAGTTGTATCATATAGGCAGTATGTTTAAAGGAAATATGTATGGGTACCAAGTTGACAAGGGGTGGTCTGTGATGGCTTTGTGATGTGTCAGCCTGGCTAGGCTAAACTCCCTTCCCCAGAATTTCCTTTCCCCAGTGCACAGTCAACCTGGTAAAGAGCCGTAAGTCCCTTTGGGGAAATACTGAAAGAAAAGTCAACAGTATAAATTTTTGACAGTGGAGTGGGTTTCTTTCTCAAGGGGTTCTGAGTCTGTTAACTGACTCAAATTTGGAAATGAAGGAATTAACTCTATGTTTTGGAAATTCAAGCCAGACTTCTGTTTACTAGACCCAGAACTCCTCTGCTTTTACAGATCAAAAAGGAATTTAATAGGTTAACCGTCTATTTCCACTCTTGGGACATCATGAGAATTTTGATCATCATGAGAACCAACAGCTTAATCTCTTTGAGTCAAACTATTCTGGTTACTTTTTTTTTTTTTTTTTTTTTTCCGGAGACAAAGCCTCACTCTGTCGCTCAGGCTGGAGTGCAGTGGCATGATCTCAGCTCACTGCAAAGTCCGCCCCCTGAGTTCAAGTGATTCTCCTGCCTCAGCCTCTCAAAATGCTGGGATTACAGGCATGAGCCACTGAGCCCGGCCTCTGGTTACTATTTTAACTCTGCTATCCATTATGGTAACCCTGCCTATCTTATCTTTGGCAATTAAGTGTCACCACTTGACCCTTAACATCCCAGGATCTATTATCTCTATTGCATTTAGGTATCCTCATTCAATGGTAGCAGTTTACTTTATAATTTCTGACCTACAGAGAAGAGAGACTACAGAGCTTTTCAAGGATGCTGATGCTCCCTCACAAATTTATTTTTCACAGTTGTGGTGAAAGGCATGTTTTTCCAGGACTGGAGAGCAATCTTGCATGATAAATACACTCAAACATTGCAATCTCAAGCCTTTAGCTACCTTCCTCTATAATATCACAAGGCATTTCTACCTCATTTAGTGTAGGCCACCATTTTGTTCCTGGCAACCAGCCAACCAACCATCTAATTAAGCCCTTCCTAACTCCTTGAGCTAAAACATTGAGTCTCTGAATAGTGAGCCTACAAATTAAGCCTGATGACTTTATATTCCTTACACCTTGATTACACACCAATATCCATTCTCACACGTAACTCCTAGATTTCTATTTATATAAATTGAAAAAAAAGCCATGCAGTTCTTTTGGTGTATATCACACCTTTTCATGAGTCATACATTGTACCTCATTTTTTGAGGGCTGCTTCAAGTTGATTCTAGTTATAGAAACAAAAAGGGGTGTTGGGGAGTAGGTCCTGTGGATCATCAGGAGTACCTTGTAAGCAACTTCCTGAGGACTAAGCTCTCATTTTTTTTATCTTGCCCAAATTCCTATCTAAGGGGTGTGGGGAGTCATGCCCTACAAACCATAAATTCTCATCAGATGGGTTTTATTTAACCCTGTATACTGTGACTTGCTTTCCAATCTGACTCTGGCATAACAAGGAAGAAAATCAAAATATTTTACCCCAAAACGTGTTTCTCTGCCATATCTTGAAATGGTCCTGCGAAGCCATCCCTTGTGGGAAAAACCCACATTCTATCAAGAATCCCCTTTCCCCTTGTTTTCCTTCCTTCCTTTCCAGATCCAGGAGATAATCAACTAAGAGCCAGGCACCATTTTAGGTCCGATAAGAAACATTTTACAACCTGTTCTCTCTGAAGTCTGCTATCTGAGAGCTTCCTCCACACAATAAAATTTGATATCCACAATCCTTTATCTTAACCTGAACACTTCCTTTCTACTGATCCCAGGTCTTCAGATCAACTCAACCAATTGTCAACCAGAAAATGTCTGAATTTACCTATAGCCTGGAAGCCCCCTGCTTTGAATTGTCCCCCCTTTCTGAACCAAACCAGTGTATTTCTTAAATGTGTTTGATAAATGTATCATGCCTCCCTAAAATACATAAAACCAAGCTGTACCCCCGACCACCTTGAGCACATGTTCTCAGGACCTCCACAGACCATGATCACTCATATTTGGCTCAAAATAAATCTCTAAAAATATTTTACAGAGTTTGACACTTTTTATCAACAATCCTCAGGGGAGGCCATTCCAGGTTATTCAGGTAAAGGAGGACTATCCTCCCATATTAATCAGAGTTCTCCAGAAAAACAAAATATATACATATATTTATGATTTATAAATATTTATATTGTTTAAATGTATATATTTATGATATATATTATAAATATATAATTTATAAGGAAATGGGTAACATAATTCTGGAAGCTGGCAAGTCCAAAATCTGCAGAGCTGATGTCCCATTTCTAGTGCAAAGGTCAGAAGCTGCTGTAGAACCAGAAAAAAGAGCCAATGTCCCAGTTAAAGTCTGAGGCTGGCAGGCTGTTGTAGAACCAGGAACAGTTGATTTCCCAGTTCAAAGGCTGTCAAGCAGGAAAATTATCCTTCTCATGGGAGCATCAGCCTTTTGTTCTGTTTAGGCCTTCAACCGAGGATTGTAGCCCACCCACATTATGGAAGGCAATCTGCTTTCCTCAGTCTACTGATTTAAATGTTAATTATCCAAAAATGCCCTCATATAACAGAAAAATATTAAACCAAATATCTGGGCACCATGTGGCCTAGTCAAGTTGACACATTACACTTCCTCAGGCAGAACTGAAAAGACTGGTTCTATGGGCAAAGATTCAATTTCATATGGGAAGCCAAGATCCCCAGCTTTATCAGAATCTACCCATATTTCCCCACTCCCATTTGTAGAAGCCCATTCCTTCCCAATCACTGGCTAAACTTTAACAGAAGTGGTTGGGAATTCAGTTTGCCATTCACAGGAGGAAACTGTGGCTTTCATTTTCAGAAACCCCAGCCTTACAGCTACAGGATAGAGTTTCTCTGAGGGAAAATGCAGAAGTTTTCAGAACATTTAGCTAGAAATTTAGAGCCCTAAGTTCATTTTTCTATGGTCACTTTCTCTAGAGCAGTTAGGAATAACCAAACAACTCCATTCCACTCCTTGTTTTGACTAAAATGTTCTCAAGTGATTCATGCTTAGACATCTTGAATCTCACCTTCTATAGGTATTTAATTATAGTATCCAAAGGTGATAATTTGAGCAACTCTTTCACCACATCATGCCATGGACTACCAATGTCTTTTAAACAACTAGAAACAGGCTTATTAGTGCCTTAAGTTTTATCAGATTAGAAAAACAATTCCAGAAAATCAGAACCAATTCAGAGAACTCATCCTTAAGATCTTTAAGGCACCTCATCCTTAAGGCACAGGCCTCTGCATCCACTTTTGATACAAAAATCTGTGTCAGAGTCCAAACAGACAAGCAGAACCAGTAGGAGATATCTATCTATCTATGCATATATGTGTGAATATACACATACGTATAACAAGGAATTGGCTTACACAGTTTCGGAGGCTGGATAGGCAAATCCGGAGTCCACAGGGCAGAGAAGATCACAAGAAGGCTGAAGCCTCACAGACACTGGCTGAAGCTATTGTCCACAGGTTTAACTCTTTTTCCAGGAGAGGTCAACATTATATTTTAAGTACTTTCAACTGATTAAATGAGGCCCACTCAGGATAATCTTCTTGACTGATTAGGAACCTTAATTATACTCGCAAAATCTCTTCACAGCAGCAGCTAAATTAGTGTTTGATTCAGTAATTAGGAGAAGGTGTGTGGAGATCACAAAACTGCTGGTGCTCTCTTCTATCTTCCAGATCTTGAGGGAATGTATCTTATAGATCACTTATCCAGAAACTTACTGAAAAAGAAATTCAAAGGAATGTTGTTTTTTTAGCCTAGCCAAGACAACATACCACATAGCCATCACATATGCTATGCTCAACTAACTGCCCTTTCACTAAATTTTATCCTTGGCCTATTGATACAAAATTACCAACCTATAATTTAAAAATTATAGCATAACTTGTAATGATTATTCTCCAGTACCATAAAAGTGTTTAGATGTCCTGTGTAGGTGGTTTGATTATCTATTGCTGAGTAACAAACCACCCCAAATTTAATGGCTTAAAAAACATTTTATTATATCTAACAATTTTATGGGTCAAAGAATCAGGGCTCAGTTGGATGATTCTTCTCTTTCAACAGAAGTTAGCTGGTGGAATCAACGGAAGTTAACTGGTGGTATTCAGCTAACAGACACACTAATCTGGAGGGTCCAAGACAACTTCACTCATGTAACTGGTACCTTAGTAGGGATGGCTGAAAAACTAGGCCCAGCTGAGAGGGTCAAAGAAAGCTCCTAATACATGATCCCTCTCACATGGCAGTCTCAGTTACTTGTTCAGAATTAATATCAAAAAATCAAATTTTTTTAAGAGATGAGGTCTCACTCCATCACCCAGGCTGGAGTAGAGTGGCACAATCATAGCTCCCTGCACCCTTGAACTCCTGGGCTCAAGGGATCCTTCCACCTCAGCCTCCAAATATCAATAAATTATTAAAGCTGATTGTAAATTATAGTGTAACCAACTAATAGCCTATTTTTATACATGCTATCTTCTCTTTATCTTTGCTGATGCTCTTTAGTTTTCCTTTATGAAATAAAGGAATTAGCTCCCTTTATGGTTTTAATTTCCTTAATCATATTTCTATCTACTCTAAAGCTTTCATATAAAACAGTACTTCTGAACCCAGTAAAACTCAGCAATAACACATAATTACAAGGCCCCCAATTCATTTTTGCATTCAGCAAACAAAAATAGTACATATTCAATAAATATTCATTGAATAAATGAATGCACACTTATAAATCATCCTCAATTGAAGTTTTCTTCATGATCTAAAGCCCACTTAAATGCCAGCCGCATATCCTGAGGATTTCAGAATGAAGTTCTTATGAAGTAAGATTTCAGAATGAAGTAAGATTTCAGAATGAAGTTAGATTTCAGAATGAAGTTCTTTTGACCTAGGAGTTTATATACTCCTTCTAATTTAAAAATAGTGTTCAGAAATCTACCTGATATCTGATTATTCAAATAAAAGCTAACACTGCTGCTGGAAACAAAGTTTTCTACTGATCTGCTTTCTATTGTCATGGATTTCAGAGATAATTGGTATATATGTATGTGAGCACATCCATTTCTACTTATGGCTAATAGAAGGCTAAAAGCAGAGGAGAAAGTAAATGAAACTAGCACCACCACAATTCTTTCTACCACATAAACCTGCACTTATGGTTCTGTTAATTATTACTTCCAATCTAGACCCTAATTGGGTGTGTCCTTTTCTTTCTATGACAGGAAAAGGCACACATGGCCTCCATAGAAATGTACCTTTGCCCTAATTATGATATGTAGATCTTTGAGAAAAGACAGGAAGACTTAAAGGATGATGTGTTTTACTTCCAAAAATTATAAACTTAAAACTGTCAGAGATGAGATATAATTAGGAAAGACCATTATTTTATCAAGCAATTAACCAATTATAAATTCATTATAAATTTGGTACCATCTGGTTTTAAATTATTGTGAAGAGAATTTTTATCATAGTTTATTGATAAATGCTACAATATACCCTCTCATTTTTTTCTACTAAGACTAAAGACTGCTGTAATTGAAATAACAGGTAAGCAAAGTACATAAGTTCACATTGTCTGTTTCATTAAGATGAAAAACTCAGGACTTCTAAAAAGAAAGTATTTAATATCCCTTTGTATACCTTACAACTTCATCATCATCTTTACTGGAACAAAGAGTAGTAATGATCAGTGTTATATACACATTTATCTTATTTTCCCCTATTCTGAATCAAGTATGAGTGACAATAGAGAGTGAAATTAAGTGGCTTTAAACCAATGGAAGGAAAAGGACATGTATTTCATTCAGACAGAAAAAAAAGATGAAAAGCAAAAATGGATAATGTATAAATAAGTACTTTGAAAAGGTTAGCATGGAAGTCATTTAATCTGGAAACAGTATGCAGCATATATATGTCAATCACAAACATGTTCATTAGTGTACATAAATTGTTCCCTGTATAACACACTACTTGTTTTAATCTTAAAGAAATACCAAAAATCAAATTACTCAAAGCCTCAGGCTTCCAATGTGTCTCCAAATAACTAATATAGTATCCACAAATATATATACAAACACTACAATGGGTTCTGATTAAAGAGAAACAACACAGAGACCAAGAAAAAAATATACATCTGATTTTCACTATAATTGGTACATTGGTAGAATAGAAAAACTGGACGGATGTGGGATTTTGCATAAAAGCAGAGAAGTATGAGAAAAGGAATAATCAGAAAATACAAAAAAGACTGGGGCAGGGGGTGGGGAGTGAATGAGAAGCACATATGACTGACCATGAGCAGATCTGCTAGCAGTGATGACATGGCAATCAGGGCAATCAGTAATGATGACAGAGATGGCAAGGAGAAGACTTGGCCAATGGAAAGATGCCAACAATGAAAAGAAATAAAATGGTTTTGCAATAGGAGAGAAGAAAGAAACAAAGCCATATGTACTTTTCTATTTTCCCTCTACCAGTTTATGTAAAAGACCGAAAGCAACCAGATTCTAGAAGGAAGGGAGGCAAGGAGGAAAGGAAAAATGGAGGGAGGGAAGGAGACAGGAAGAGAGGGAGGGAGGGAGAGAGGGAGGGAGAGAAAGAAGGAGAAAGAGAGGGAGGAATGAAAGCAAGCAAGAGAGAAAGAGACTTGGATGGCCTAATGCTTTAGGTTGACCAAAGATGGTCACACAATCACAATCTGCAATCTAAGGGAGGAGGTTCCAATTCTGGGTTAGAGATAAGCACACCCCACCCTGTATATCCTAATGAATACATCAATAAAACCTGAACAGAACAGATGGAACAGATATATGGGAGATTTTGAGTAGTAAACTGCTGCAGTTGGATTCTGGAAAAAGAACAGAATTTGTAATGTCGCTGAACTGACAGTGAGTTTACTAATTTTTTTTCCTCCAGTAACTCTCAGCCTAACTTTAACATACCAGAAGTGGGCAGAAACATGTAGGCAGAGAGAGCTCCAAGAGAAGCCCACTAGCTCTGGCTGCAAGCAGAGAAAAAGAACTACAAAAGCTCAGAAAGACTGCTTCTTTCCACCACATCAAGCCCCCAAGCAATACAATGGTGGTGTCAACAGGCAGAGGCAACAGGAGACTGCAAGAGCCAAAACTCTAAAAGAGAGGAGCTGTCGTTCAAAGAGTGTATGAAAACTCCTCATTGCCTTTTTCTCCCTTAGTTCCCCTTCCCCACTACCACTTGATCCTTGATGTGGGGTACTTGAAGAAGTATATGGCAATGTGTGGTAACTAAAGTGTTGGCTTTCTGGCTGAACAACTAAAAAGAGGAGTCTTGAGGAACCAGAAAGTTTGAGGGAGATGGTGGAGAGGTGAAAGCTCAGGAAAGCAAACCCACAAAGTCATTTATGAACTCCTAAGCTCACCCAAGAGCTGCATAAGTGTGGACCTTATCCTATTCAGCATAATGGTGACTGAAAACTGAACAGACAGACCATAGCCAAGGTCCAAGACTGACCACTGGGTGGCACACATCCAGGAAAGATAAATCATACTATAAAGACTTTGAAAATGGAACTGACATTGAAACCACAGCCTACAGAGGAGGGTTGGAACCAGTGGCCTGAATCTAAGCAGGTTGACTGCCTGCTTAAAACAAAACTATTTAACAGTCTCCATAGAAATGAAATAAGATCAGATTCAAAATGTCTAGCATAGCCTAGTAATTTGGGGTAATAAATTACTAGGTAACTAGAATTACCTCGTTCTTTGCTGGGTAACCTGAAATTACCTGGCAAATAACTAGGAAAATGCCAAAGCACCAGGTAAAAGATAATCAAAGAATGCCAGTGTTAAAATAACACAGATGTTGAACTTTTCAAATATTTTAAAGCAGCCATTATAAAAATGCTCCAGCAAGCAATCAAAAGAATTCTTGAAACCAATGAGAAAATAGTAAATATTTGCACTGAAATTGATAATATGAAAAAAAATCAAAAGAAAAGTTTGACCTGAAAATAAAATAATCAAAATTTAAAATTCATTGGATAGCAAGGAAGGGAGGCAAGGAGGGAAGGAGGGTGGGAGAGAGGGAGACATTCAATAGCAGAATGTCAATAACAGAAAAAAAAATCAGTGAACTAGCAAATATGTTTGTTCTGAATCAGTCTGAACAAAGAGGAAAAAATGATTTTTTTTAAATAACTGAACAGAGCCTCATGGACCTATAAGACTATAACAAAAAGTCTAATTTTGTGTTATAACAGTCTCAGAAATACAGAAGAAACAGGGTGATGCTAAAAAAAAAAAAACTTAAGGAAATAATGACAGAAAACTTTGCAAATTTGATGACAGACAAACATATAGATTTAAAAGCACAGCAAACCCAAAAAGGAGAAATCCAAAGAAATTAGTCCTAGGCACATCAAAATCAAACTGCTGAAAATAAAAGACAACCAGAGAAAAACAATGCTGTATACATAAAGGAAAAATAATTTTAAAGACTAAAAATTTTCATCAGAAATCCTGGAGTTTAAAAAGGAGCGGAACAAGAGATTTAAAGAGCTGAAAGAAAAGAACTGTCCACCAAGAACTCCATGTCCAGCAAAAATATTCTTCAGGAATGGAGGCATTCTCAGATAAGGAAAAACTAAGATAATTAATTGTCAGCAGTCATGCTTTCAAAGAAATTCTGAAGCAACTTCTTCAGACAAAAGGGAAATGAGACCAGAAAATAAATTTGGAAAATCATAAATGAAGAAAAAGCAATAGAAATGGAAAATATCTGGGTAAATAGGAAACTATATTTCTTTTAAGTTGTCTAAAATATGTTTAAACAGTTGAAAGAAAAATTATAATACCTTGTGATGAGATTTACGATGTAACTACATGTAATGTATAAGAACACTACAACATAAAGAGGAGAGAATACATAGTACTACATATTGGGAAAGTTTCTGTATTCCACTTTAAGTAACAAGAATATTGATTCTAAATAGTCTGTGAAAAGTTAAATACACATATAGGAAGCCCTGGAGCAACTACTTAAAAAAATATAAAAACACTATACATTAAAGCTGGACACTAAAAATATTGAAATAACCCCAAAGAAGGCAGGAAAAGTAAAACAAAGGAATGGAAAACAAAGAGAATAAACAAAAAAATACTAAAATTTTAGAAATACTCCAAACATTGAAATAATTAGAGGCAAATTCAACCTACAAAAGGCAAGACAGAAATTGTGGAATGGATCTTTTTTAAACACATGAACCAACTATACACAGTCTATAAGTAACTAACTTCAAATATATAATGACATGGTTCAGTTAAAAGTTAAAGGATAAAAAATATATACCATAGAAACACTAGTCAAAAGAAAGCTAGACTGGATATACTTATACCAGCCAAAGTATACTACAGAGCAAAGTGAATTACCAGTGATAGAGATATTATATCAGAGAACAATAAACTTTTTCTATAAAAGCCCAGATAAATATTTTAGTCTCGGCAAGCCGTATAGTCTCTATTGCAAAAGTATAATTCTGACACTGTGGTACAAAACAAACCATAAAAAATACATAAATGAATAGGCTTGAATGTAGTCTAATAAAATTTTATTTACAATAACAGATGGCAGGCTGGATTTTGGCCTGCCATAGTTTGAGTCAGAGTTTACGGAGCCCAATACTTTATATAAAAGTAAAATGGTCCACTGGTCAACAAGATATAACGTTGCATATGTATCAACAGAGCTACAAATACATGAAGCAAAACCTGACAGAACTAAAAGAAGAAACAAAACCACAATTACAGTTGGAGAGTTGAATATTCTTCACTCAGACAGACAGAAGTAGTTAACAGAAAATTTTTTAGGATAGAGAAGAACTGAACCCAATTGATTTAATTGACATTTACAGAATATTTCTCCTACAACAGTGGGATATATAATATATTCTGTTCAAGTATACATGGAACGTTAATCAAGGCAGACCATATCCAGGGTCATAAAATTCTTTCAATATCAAAGAACTGAAATCCTACAACATATATTTTCTAACTATAATAAAATTAAACTAGAAATCAGTAGTAAAGGTAACAAGAAAATCTTAGAAATTAAATTACATACTTCTAAATAATCCATAGTTCAAAGGAAGTCTCAAGGAAAATTTAAAAATATTCTAAACAAAAATAAGAATATAGCATATCAAAATCTGTGTGATACAGCTAAAGTAGTCCTTAGAGTGAAACTTACAGCATGAAATGCTCATATTAAAATAGAACAATGATCTCAAATCTACAAGTTAAGCTTCCACCACAAGAAACAAGAAAAAGAGAAAAATAAACCCAAAGCAATGTAAAGAAGATAGTGACATAAATAAGAGCAGAAATCAGTGAAACTGAAAACAGAAATCAATAAAGGAAATCAATGAAATAAAAAACTGATTATCTAAAAAGATCAATAAATTATTGTTAATTATCAAGAAAGACTGACCAAGACTAAAAGAAAGAAGATACAAGTTACCAATATCAGATGTAAAAAAGGGCTTTTACTACATACCCTACAGACATTATAAAATATAATAAAGGAATACTATGAAAAACTCTACATAAGGAAATTCAACAACTTAAATAAAATGAACCAATTCCTCAAAAACCACAACCTGCCCAGACTCACCCAAAATGAACCAAACAGTACTATATTAAGAAATTTTGGCCGGGTGCGATGGCTCACGCCTGTAATCCCAGCACTTTGGGAGGCCGAGGCGGGCGGATCACGAGGTCAGGAGATCGAGACCATCCTGGCTAACACGGTGAAACCCCGTCTCTACTAAAAATACAAAAAATTAGCCGGGCACGGTGGCGGGCGCCTGTAGCCTGTAGTCCCAGCTACTCGGGAGGCTGAGGCAGGAGAATGGTGTGAACCCGGGAGGCGAAGCTTGCAGTGAGCTGAGATAGCGCCACTGCACTCCGGCCTGGGCGAAAGAGTGAGACTCCATCTCAAAAAAAAAAAAAAGAAAAAAGAAAAAAAAGAAAGAAATTTTATCTGTCGTCAAAATCCTTCCAAAGAAGAAATCTCTAGACTCAAATGGTTTCACTGGTGAATTATACCAAACATTTTATTTTATTTTATTTTATTTTATTTTTTGAAACAGAGTCTCACTCTGTCACCCAGGCTGGAGTGCAGTGGCATCATCTCGGCTCACTGCAATCTCCACCTCCCAGTTTCAAGCGATTCTCCTGCACCAGCCTCCTAAGTAGCCGGTATTATAGGCACCTGCCATCATGCCTGGCTAATTTTTGTATTTTTGCAGAGACAGGGTTTCACTATGTTGGCCAGGCTGATCTTGAACTCCTGACTTCAAGTGATCCGCCCACCTCAGGCTTTCCAAAGTGCTGGGATTACAGGTGTGAGCCACCACGCCTGGCCTCCAAACATTTTAAAAAGAAATAATATCACTACTGTATTCCATAAAATAGAAGAGAAAGAAACACTACCTATTTTATGGGACCAGCATTACCTTCATATTCAACCAGACAAAGACAGTATAGAAAAAGAAAACTACACAACAATATTCTTCATATAGAAGTGGAAAAAAAAAGCCTTAACAATATCCATTCAAATCCAACAATACACCAAAAAATGAATACACCGTGACTAGGGTTTATTCTAAAAATGTAAGCCTGGTTCAACATTAAGAAACCAATCAATGCCCACCATATCAACAGTCTAAAGAAGAAAAAAATACATGATTGTTCAATTAATACAAAAAAAGCTTTTGACAAGATTCAAAATTCATTCATGATTTTTTAAAAACACTCTCAGTGACTAGGAATAGAAAGGGACTTCCTCAGCTCCCTATAATTTGGTAGATGATAAAGTTCATCATTTTTAAAAATCCCATAAATAAAATCATAACAGTGAAAGACTGAATGTTTTCCTCCTGTAATGGGAAAACAAAGCAAGGACAAACACATTCACCAAATTATTCATCATCATACTGGAAGTCCTAGCTAATTTAATAAAGCAAGAGAAAGAGATAGGAACGAACTAAATTGTCTCTGTTTGCAGATGGCATGATTGTCCATGAGGAAAATCCCAAGAAATCTACACCAAACTGCTACAATATCTGAATATAGCATGAGGACACAATACAACCAACATGAAAAATTGACCATATTTCAATATACTATGAATCTACAGTTGGAAAGCAAACTTTTTTAAGAAGTACCAAACATCTCCAGAAAATACTGAAATACTAATTATTTTTAAATGGTAAAGTGAATTCAGATCTCACCAGTTACATCAACTAATTTATGTGTCTGTGTATTCTATGCAATTTTATTACATGTGCAAATTCATATTACCACCACAGCAGTAAAAATATAGAACAGTTCCATTACAAGGACCTTTAGTGCTAGCCTTTCATAGGGACAGTCTTCCCCACCTGTTAGCAACCACTAATCTGTTCCCCATCACTACAATTTTGGCATTTCAGAAATGTTATATACATTGAATTATATAGTATATAACTTTTTGAGATTGGCTGTTTCCACTCAGCATACTGCCCTTGAGATCCATTCAAATTATTGTGTGAATAAGTTATTTGTTCTTTTTTTATATTAGAGTAGTATATCAACAACCTGAATGACTTTTAAAGATATTATACTGAGTGAAAGTCTACTTTCAAGAGGTTATATACTGTATTATGACATTTATGTGGTATTATCAAAAAGAAAAAATACATATATAGTGATTGAGAATAGATCAGTGGTTGCAAAAGGGAGGAAGATATGACTACGTAGAATAGCATGACAGAGTTCTTTGAGGGGTGATAGGAGGTACCACAGTTTCTTTAACCATTCACCTATCGAAGGACAATTAGGTTGTTTCCAGTTTTTGCTTATTATGAAAAAAGCTGCTATGAACATTTTGGCATAAGCTTTTGTGTGAACATAAGTTTTCATTTCTCTGAGATAAAAGCTTAAACATTCAACAGCTGGGTCATATGATAAGGAGTAATTTTCTGGGGAAAAAAAAATTTGCCCTATTCTATTCCAGAGAGGCTCTATGTTCCTACCAGCAACATGGTGTCTTCCATCATCATCAGCATTTGGTGTTATCACTATTTTTTTTTAACTTTTAGCTATTCTAATAGGTATCTAGTGATATATATTGTAGTGTTGTCATTCTCTAATGGCTAATGATATTGAATATATTTTCATGTGATTATCTTTCATCTGACTATTCTCTTTGATAAACCATCTGTACATATCTTTTGCCTACATTTTAATTGGGCAATTTTTTTCATCACTGCTGAGTTTTAAGAGGTATTTATATATTCTAGATACAAGTTATTTGTTAAATATGTGTTCTGTGAATATTCCCCCCCCCAGTATGTAGCTTGTTTTCATCCTCTTTACAATGTTTTTCAGATCATGAAAGTTCTCAAATTTGATAAAGTCCAATTTATAATTTTTTCCTTTTTTGGATTATGCTTTTTCCAAGTCTAAGGACTCTGCCTAGTCCTTGATCCCAAAGATTTTCTCCTATGTATGTTTCTAAAAGTTTTATAGTTTTATGTTTTAAATTTAAGTATTTAATCTATTTTTAGTTAATTTTTACATAAGGCATGAAGCTTAAGTCAAAATCTATTCAGCATATGTGTGTGGTTTATTTTGGGGTTCTCTATTCTGTTCCATTATCTATGTATTTATTCCTCCATTAAATACCACAGTCTTTATTACTGTAGTTATGTAAAGTCTGAGCATCAGTTATTCACCACATTTTACACTTCTTTACCAAAATTATGTGAGTCTAGATTTTTTGCATTTCCATATAAATTTTAGAGTATACTTTTTTACGTCTACAAAAACCTTTCTAGGATTCTGAAAGATACTAAATTAAACCTACAGTTCAATTTGGAGAGAAATGACATCTTTACTATGTTGAGTCTCCCAATCCATGAACATGGTACATCTTGCTACTTAGTTAAGTTTCCTTTGATTTCTTTCATCAATACTTTGTAATTTTCAGCATACATATTCTATATATACTTTGCTAGATTTGTACTAAGGCATTTCATTCTTTGAATAATTTGTAAGTAGCATTGTGTTTTTAATTTTGGTTTCCACATGTGCATTGTCAATATATGGAACTGTGATTGATTTTTGTAGCCTGCAACCTTGCTGAGCTCATTTATTAGTTCTAGAGATATTTTTTGTAGATTTCTTGGGAATTTTTTATGTAGACCTTCATGTCATCCACAAATAAGTATAATTTTATTTCTTCCTACCTAATCTGTATGCCTTTTTTTTTCTTGCATGTTGCACTGGCTAGGACCTCTGGTGTTGTATTGAATAAGAGAGGTGATAGCAGATTATCTTTGGTTTATTTCCAATATTGGGGAAGAAGATTCAGAAGTATGATGTTAGCTTTAGGTTTCTATAGATGTTCTTTATTAAGTTGTGGAAGTTTTCCTCTTCTTCAAATTTGCTGAGAATTTTTACCAAAAATAAGCAATTTGTAAAATGTCTTTTCTGCATCAATTAATGTAATTTTTCTTCTTTAGCCTGTTGATATAGTGAATTTTATTGACTGATTTTCAAATATTGAAACAGCCTTGCACACCTGGAATAACCATGATTGATCACGTTTTATAATTATTTTTATACATTATGAGATTAAATCTGCTAACATTTTGTTGAGGATATCTGTGCCCAAGTTCATAAGATATTGTTCTGTAACTGTATTGTTTTGCACTATCTTGTCTGGTTTTTGTATTGATGTAATAATACCCTCATACAATGATTTGGAAATGTTTCCTCCTCTTCTATTTTGTGGAAGAGATTGTACAAAATTGGTGTTAATTTTAAATTCAATGTTCAATAGAATTCCCCAGAGAAATTATGTTGGCCTAAAGATTTCTTTTGGGGGAGCTCTTAAATCATGAATTCCATTTATTTAAAGGTTATTGGATTAATATTGTATTTCATCTTGGATGAATTTTGTATTTTGTAGTTTTCTAGGAATTGATTCATTTATTCTAAGTTGTCAAATCAAATTTATCTATGTAGAG
Organism: Homo sapiens; assembly: GCF_000001405.40. NCBI lineage: Eukaryota > Metazoa > Chordata > Mammalia > Primates > Hominidae > Homo > Homo sapiens. The sequence goes on from NC_000005.10 coordinate 64,392,506, forward strand.
ATATTTGCTGTATTCCCTTACTATTCCGTTAATGACTACAGAATTTATAGTAATATCTTGTTTCATTCCTGATACTGGTATTTTGTGTCTTCTCCTTCTTTTATCTTTGTCTGTCTTGGCCACTGGTTTTTAACAGAGATGCAAAAAGAATTCAATAGGGAAAGGTTAGTCTATACAACAAATAGTATTGGAACAATGGGACATCCATATGGAAAATAAAATGAATTTCAACATATACAAAAATATCTCAGTATGAATCTCACAACTTATACAAAAAAATCTCAAAATAAATCTCAGATCTAAATGATGTAAAACTTTTAGAAAAAAATAGAAGATATTTTTGTTAACTGAAGTCAGACAAATAATTCTTATACATGATACCAAAAGCGAGATCCATAAAGGAAAAAAATAAATTTTATTAAAATTAAAATAATTTGTTTACAAAAGATATTCAATGAAAAGAATGAAAAGCTGCAGACTGATAGACATATATATAAATAACTTGGAATGAATTTCCTGTGTTCAGAACATTCCAAAAAGTATCAATACTCAACAGTAAGAAAATAAAAAATATATATATATAAATGGGCAAAAGATTTAAATGCTTCACCAAAGAGGATATATGGATAGAAAATAAATACATAAAAAGATGCTCAACATCATTAGTCATAAGAGAAATGCAAATTAAAACAACAATGAGATACTACTACTGACCAATTAGAATACATAAAATAAAAATACTGGTAAGAACAGCAAACAGTCAAAACTCTCATATAATGCTGGTGAAAATGTAAAAATACTACAGCTCCTCTGGAAAAAGTCAGCAGTTTGTTGTAAAAACAAATATACACTAGGTTACAAGGCAATCCCACTCCTGGCCACCTATTCCAGAAAAAAAATGAAAATTTATATTCACATAGACATCTGTACAAAATGTTTATAGCAGTTGTATTCATAATTGTCAAAACCTGGAAATAACGTAAAGGTCTTTCAGTGGGCAAACGGATAAACAAACTGGGATACATCCATACAATGGAATGCTACTCAACGATAAAAGGTAACAAACTTTTAACATTCAACATCTTGAATGAATGTCAAAAGTATTATGCTGAGTGAAAGAAGGCTACTTTCAAAAAGTTATGTGCTGTATAATTACATTTCCATAACATTATCAAAAAGAAAAACACTACTATAGTGATTGAGACTTGATCAGTGGTTGTAGAGCTTAAGAAGGGAGGAATATAGGACTGCATTATAAAGAATAGCATGAATGAGTTTTTTGGGAGATGATGGAACTTTTCTGATTGAGGCAATGGTTACATAAACCTATGCATGTATTGTTAAGCTTCACTGACATGTATAACAAAAAAATCAATTTTATTGATGATTTTTTGAATAAATAAGTAAATAAAACATGGGAGGAAAGAGAAGGCAGTCATTGCATGTGATGACAAAGATCACACATAACATGATAGAGTATTGGCTCTCAGCTAGTGTTGGTATTTAAAGCTATAGCTCAGTAGAGAACAAAAAGAGTTAAAGCAAGTGCTCTAGGAACTATACCTAAATTCTCAGTCCATCTTTTTTATACAGCAGCCCATACTGGAATAATTCTTAATGATGAAATTGGAAAAAATTAAAGCATCTGACAATACCAAATGAGAAAATTTGAACCTTATACACTGCAGGTGGGAGTGTTAATTTTTATGACCACTACAGGGTCATGAAATTTTGTAAAAGTGAATGTGTACGTGCCCAGCAATTCCATTTCTATGTGTACATCCTACAGAAAGTTGGTGCTTCTACAGACAATATTGTGTGTGAGAGGATATACCCATCAATGCTGTTTATAAAAGGAGAAAATTGGAAACAACTCACATGTCCACAATTAGGTGAATGGATAAATGAATTTTAGTGTATACCTATAATGAAGTAAGTTTCCAAAAAAGGACATCTGGCCCCAAGGGTTTTAATGAAGACTTTTATGAAATGCTTAAAAAAGAATTAACACTATTTCTACACAATCTTACCAAAAAACAGATGAGGAAGAATGCTTACCAATTCATGTTATGCAGCCAATATTTCCCTAATATCAAAACCAGAAAAAGATGATAAAAACAATACCTACAGACTATTATCCCTTCTGAATATTAAATATGGACACACAGATCTTTAACAAAATATTAAAAATAGAACTCAGTAATATATAAAAAAAGTATACCTTCATCAAGTTAAGTTTATTTCAGGGATGTAGGATGGTTCCCATTAACAACCTAAAGAAGCAAAATTACATGATCTTATGAATTGATGCAAAAAATGCATTTGAAAAAATTCAAAATTCAATCCTGATTAAACACTCTCCAAAAATTTAGAATAGAGCAGAATCTCCTTAACTTAATAAAGAGCATCTACAAGAAATCTACAGCTAACATCACAATGGTGAAAGCATGAGTGATTTTCCCCCTTAAATTAGGAGAAGGGAAGTATGTCTGCTCTCACCAACCTTATTCTACAGTGTTGGAAGTGCCAGCCAGTGCAATAAGGCAAGAAAAGGAAATAAGAGGCATACAGATTGTAAAGGAAAAAAATTTTCCATATTTACAGATGGCACATGGTTTAAATCTGAAGAAATACACAAATAAACTCCTGGAATTAACTAGTAAGATTACAGGATACAAGATCAACATTCAAAAATCAATGATATTTCTCCCATCCAAGTACTAATCAGGCCCAACCCTGCTTAGCTTCTGAGATCAGACAGGATCAGGTGCATTCAGGGTGGAATGGCCATAGACAAAATCAGTGATATTTCTATACAAACGTCACAACCTATGATGTTTTGACTTCCAATTGTGGAAATGATATGCATTCCCTATGCTCATTGACCTACAATGGGGTTACATCTGGATAAACCCATTTTCATCATAAGTTAAAAATACCTTAAGTAGAAAACGCAGTTTCAACTTACAGCATTTTCAACTTATGATGGGTTTATCAAAACAAAACCACATCATAAACTGAGGAGCATCTGTATAACAAAGAGCACACAGAAACAAAATTAAAAATACAAGACCATTCACATTTGCACATAACAATGAAGTACTTAAGTATAAACCTTAAAAAAAATTTACAGGACTTATATGCTGAAAACTACAAAATACTGATTAAAGAAATCAGAGAAATATATAAATAAAGTGGAGTGGCTTACCACATTCATAGATTGGGAGATTCGACATAGTGAAGAGTCAGTCCTTCCCAAATTGATACACAGGTTTAACATAATCCGTATTAAAATTCAGCAAAATTTTCTACTTGCTTATTCTAAAATTAATATGGAAAGGCAAAGGAACTAAAATAACTAAAACAATTTTGAAAAAGAAGGAAAAAGTGGTCTCAAGACATGTAAAATATAATAATCAAGACTATGTAGTATTGTTGGAAAAGAACATAAACCAATGAAACAGAATAGCAAACCCAAAAATAGACCCACATTATTATGGCTAACTGATTTTTTTACAAGGGTACACAAGTAATTCAATGAAGGAAGGATAGCAAAATAAGTTGGAGGAATCAGATATTCATTGGCAAAAAAAAAAAAAAAAAAAGATCTTCAACCTAACCTTCATGCCTTATACAGGATTTAACTCAAAATGAATTGCAGATTTAAATATAACACATAAAACTATAAAACTTTTGGAAGAAAACATAGGAGAAAATCTTCAGGTTGGTGAAGAGTTCCTAAACATGACACCAAAAGCATAATACATGAAAGAAAAAAAATCAATAAGTAGGGCTTAATTAAAGGTAAACACTTGTTCTCTGTGAAAGACCCTATTAAGAAGATGAAAAAGCAAGTTAAAAACTGGAAGAAAACATTTGCAAACCACATATCTGACAGAGGACTGATATCTAGAATGTATGAAGAAGTCTTGAAACTCAACAGTGAAAAAACAATACACTTTAAAAATGACCAAGAAAAACATGAACAGACATTTCACCAAAGAGGAGATACAGATGGTAAATTAGCACTGTAAAAGATTTTCAACATCACTGCCCTATTTGTGGGAATAGTACAGCCACATTAGAAAAGAGTTTGGCAGTTTCTTTCTTTCTTTCGTTTGTTCGTTCGTTCGTTCTTTCTCTTTCTTTCTTTCTCTCTCTTTCTTCTTTCTTTCTTTTTTCTTCCCTTCTTTCTCTTTCTTTCTTTTCTTTCTTTCCTTCTTTCTCTTTCTTTCTTCTTTCTTTTTTTTTTTTTTTTTTTTTTACAGTTTCACTCTTGTTGCCCAGACTGGAGTGCAATGGTGTAATCTCAGCTCACTGCAACCTCCGCCTCCCGGGTTCAAATGATTCTCCTGCCTCAGCTTCCCTAGTAGCTGGGACTACAGGCATGCACCACCATGCCCGGCTAATTTTTTGTATTTAGTACAGATGGCATTTCACCATGTTGGTCAGGCTGGTCTCGAACTCCTGACCTCAGGTGATCCACCTGCCTCGGCCTCCGAAAGTGCTGGGATTACACGCATAAGCCACTGTGCCCAGCCGGCAGTTTCTTAAGGAATAAAATATGTATTTACCATATGCTCCAGAAATTGCACTCCTGGGCATTTATTATAGAGAAGTGAAATTTTACATTCACACAAACACATACACAAAATTCTCATAGCAGATATATTTATAATAGCTAAAAACTAGAAATAAGAAACAATCAAAATGTTCTTCAATAAGTAAATGGTTAAACTGGTGTACAGTATTCCCCCCTCATCCACGGTTTTACTTTCCACAGTTTCAGTTACCTGCAGTCAATTGTGGTTTGAAAACATTAAATGGAAAATTCCAGAAAGAAAAAATTCACAGGTTTTAAATTACACACTGTTCTCAGTAGCATGGTGAAATCTTGCCTGTCAGTCACTTAGTTATCAGATTGATTGTTGCGGTATCACAGTGCTTGTAACACAGGCACCCTTATTTTAACCTTTACTTCTATTTGCTATTAGTAGCCCTACAGTAAATGAGTAACCCTTTTTTTACTTAGTAGCCCAAAAACACAAGAGTGCTACACCTAATTTGTAATTTATCATCAATCTGTATGTATAGGAAAAAACATAGTATATATAGGGTTTTGTACTATCTGTGGCTTCTCAGTCATCCACTGGGGATCTTGGAATGTATCCCAGTTGGATAAGAGGGGGATTACTATACATCCATACCATGCAATATTACTTAGTAAGGAAAAGAAATGAACTGCTGACACATGCAATAACTTGGATACATCTCAAGGGCATTATACTGAGTGAAAAAAAGCCAATCACAAAACATCACATTACTTATAATTCCATTTATCTCATATTCTCAAAATGAAAAAAAATGACAGAGATGGAGAACAGGGTAGTGGTTACCACGTATTAGAAATGGTGAGAGGGAAAGTGATGGGTGTGACCATACAGAGTAGGTAATATGAGGGAGGTCTTTGTGATGATTGAACAAACACTTCTCAAAAGAAGACATTTGTGCAGCCAATAAACATATTTTAAAAAGCTCAACATCACTGATCATTAGAAAAATACAAATCAAAACCACAAATGAGATACCATCTCATGTCAGTCAGAATGACGATTATTAAATTGTCCAGAAACAACAGATGATGAGGTTGCTTTTACACTGTTGGTGGAAGTGTAAATTAGTTCAACCATTGTGGAAGACAGCATGGTGATTCCTCAAAGATCTAGAAGCAGAAACCCCATTTGAACCAGCAATCCCATTACTGGATGATATGGTTTAGCTGTGTCTCCATCTGGAGCTCATCTTGAATTGTAGTTCCCATAATCCCCACATGTCGTGGGAGGGACCTGGTAGGAGGTAACTCAATCATGGGGATGGTTACCTCCATGCTAATCTCATATAAGTGAGTTCTCATGAAATCTGCTGATTTTATAAGGGGCCTTTGCCCCTGCTCTACACTTCTTGCACCACCATGTGAAGAAGGACAAGTTTGCTTCACCTCCCACCATGATTGTAAATTTCCTGAGGCCTCCCCACCGATGCTGAACTGTGAGTCAATTAAGCCTTTTTCCTTTATAAATTACCCAGACTTGGGTATGTCTTTATTAGCAGCATGAGAGCAGACCAAAACACTGGGTGTATACCCAAAGGAATGTAAATCATTCTGTTATAAAGATCCATGAACGCTAATGTTCACTGCAGCTCTATTCACAATAGCAAAGACATGGAATCAACCCAAATGCCCATCAATGATAGACTGGATAAAGAAAATGTGGTACATATACACCATGGAATACTATGCACCCATAAAAAAGAATGCGATCATGTCCATAAAAAAGAATGCAGGGACATGGATGGAGCTGCAAGCCATTATCCTCAGCAAACTAACACAGGAAAAGAAAACCAAACACCACGTGTTCTCTCTTGTAAGTGGGAGTTGAACGATGAGAACACGTGGACACATGGTGGGGAACAACACACACTGGGGCGTGTTGAGGAGGGTAGCAGGAGGGAGAGTATGAGGAAAAATAGCTAATGGATGCTGAGCTTAATACCTAGGTGATGGGTTGATCTGTGCAGCAAATCACCATGCCACACATTTATCTATGTAACAAACCTGCACATCTTGCACATGTACCCCGGAACTTAAAAGTTGAAAAAATATATATATATAACAAAATGATGATGAATGAAATGTTATTCAGGGATCTGCTGTACTGTTATTCTTGGGAGAGATATGTATGCATATGTATATGTACATAGATACAGATAGATATAAAATCTACTATATGACAAGCTCCTCATGGGCATAAACCATGCCCTATTTATTTTTTTTAATCTTCAGAACCAATTATAGTGCCTAGTACACAGCAGGGATTCAATAAATTTTTGATGAATAAAATAATAAATAATAAATTAAGATAATATTTTATCAGTGATTTTAATTGGCTTTTCTGAAATAATAATCTTTTCAGATTCATAAGCTTATCAAAGAATATCAAAGCTATTGTTTCATAACATAATTCTAGAATTTACTCCCAAAGCATTGTTAGTGACTAGGAATATTTTTTCCATTGTCCTGCCCCTCAGTGTTACCACAGTAATTCAACCTATGCAAAATGATACTATTCAAACTATGAAGACACTACATGAGATAATGGGTTCATCATGCACATACTATCCAGGACTTTCAATCTTACAATATTTCTTATAATATTTAGATGATTTTTTAAAATGGTGCTAACAAGTGAAAAATACACAACAGTAAAAAAAAAACAAAGATGGTAACATTCTAGAGGGAAAGCCACTTATGAAAAACTTCAGTCTTTGATCTGCTAATTAATTTTACAGAAAGGCAGCCATTCTACATTTTACACTGCCCAAGATAAGATGTCTTGCCAATGTGCATGCATAACTCCACCTTTATGAGAAACAAAAAGCAAATAATCAAAAAATAAGAGCCACTCCTACACTCCTAGGTAAATACCCAAAAGAAATGAAAACACAGACCCACACAAAAACTTGTACATTAATTTTATTACACCATTATCTATAATAGAATAAAAGCAAAAATAATCAAATGTCCATCAACTGATGAATAAATAAAATGTGGTTTATACATATAATGGACTATAATTCATCAATAAAAAATAATGAATTACTGATACATGCTTCGACATGGATAAACCTGAAAATATTTGGTGAGTGAAAGAAGACAATCACAAACATTACTTATAATGTTATTCCATTTACATGAAATGTGCAGAGTAAATAAATCTATACAGAAAGAGTAGACTGGCGGTTGCCTAGGACTGAAGGTGTTTTGTGAAAATGTGAGGCAATTGTTGATAAGTACAAAGTTTCTTCTTGAGATGATGAAAATATTCTAAAATGAACTATGGTGATAGTTCAGAACTGTGAATATACGATAAATCATTTAATTGTATACTTTAAATGGGTGAACTATGTGAATTATATGTCAATAGAGCTATTAAGTTTTTTAAGTGATATTTGGAACTTTTTCAAGAGAGCAAAATCCAAGTAAATTATTTCTGTGAGGACTTACATCACTGTTTGCATATAATTATATCTTCAGCACATTATAGTACCCACAGTTAATGATGACAACTTTGTGTCATTAAACAGGATAAACTTTAGTGATATATTTGAAGGCAGAAGACAAGATAGTATATTATACTAAGTTTTCACCCAAAAGGATAAAATTTAAGTTCTGGTATGAAAGAGTTAACCCTAACTGGAAAACTCAGGCTTTTCCTAAAGGCAGACTTGGAGTCTAAATCACTGATGATTTTCCTGCAAATATATTAGTAGTTAACACTAAATAATACAATAATTTATATACACAGCAGTTTCATGATTACCTGAGACAGGGCACATGCGAATGCTTGGCCGATAGCTGTTCACTAAGAAAAGCTGACAAAGTACTTCTACAGGTCTGAAGCTGGTTGATTTTGGCATTTTATCAGTTTCCCCTTCCCAGCCCAGTTAATTCTGACAGCCAGAACGATGCCTGTTTCAGTGAGCCCACTTCCAGGCAAACAGCAACACCTGTCAACTAGTTCAGGTTAGTTTTCATCCTAGAACACCCATTAGCCACACTGATAAGAAAGAACTAGAAAGCACTTCTACATATCTGACATTATCTCTTTGTAACTGCTTCATCCTTCCTAACACTATCTTAACCCTACTAAACTAACATTTTACAATTTGGCTGAAACTCAGTCAACCAAGACAAAGTCTGAAATAGTATAACATAATCTTTTAAAATGTTTTACTTTTGACTCCCAAAAATCTATCCTGCTCCTGCTATGCCTACCCCTCAGACTTTATTCCAGCAAAATAGGTGAAAATATTATTAATTATTGCCTGTAATTCCATATTATCATGTAAAATCAGCTAAGAATTTATGAAATGCCTTACTGTATGCAAGATACTATTTCGATACTGTAAATATTCAAAAACGAAAATGACATAGAATAATTTTACACCAGAAAGACTGCAAGAGAAAAAAAAAACTGCTTCCAGGATCAGAATATATGCAGTCCTCATAAAATCCATTTCTACCTGTGTTTGTAATTGTCCTGAAGGAAATGACCAATACTGGAAAGGAGGACATAGGATAAAGAGCTATAAAGTCAAGTAATATAACTAAAGGTTGAAGAAAAACCAAAAATCTAAATAAAACTGGTCTAAAATCTAGGCTAAATTAAAATCATGTTGGAAATCCCTTTGCAATACACACCAATAATGAATATCAAGAAATTGACTACTTGTGAAAAAAAACACTACTGGCTATAGCTTACTTTTCTTAACTGCACTTATTATGTGAAATTAACATTTCTACTTTTGAAAAAGAAGGTCCTTATAGATCTTCCTAAGCACTTCACTTTAAACTATATATACAGAAAGCCAGTTACACTATTGTAAATTTCTCCTTGAGTTTCTTCTCTACGTTAGTGCTAAGTTGGTTTGATGTTAAGACATAATTGACTCAATATATAAAACTCAATTGTATTTCTATATACTAACAATGAACAGTTAAAAAAATTAAGAAAACAATTCCATTTATAATACCATCCAAAATAAAAAAGTATTTAGGAATAAATGTAATAAAAGAAGTGTAAAACTTCTTAAAACTATAAAACACTGTTTAAAGAAATTAAAGAACTAAATAAATGGTAAGACATTCTGTACCATTACAGTAAAAGACTTAATATTGTTAAGATGGCAATACTCCCAAATTTACATATTCAATGCAATTCATATCAAATCCCAGCTGCCTTTTTTTGCAAAAATTGACAAGCTGATTCTAAAATTCACGTGGAAATACAAGGGACCCTGTATAGCTAAAACAATCTTGAAAGAAAAAAATCAAAGTTGGAGGACTCACATTTCCAGATTTCAAAACTTACTACAAAGGTTGAATAATCAAGATAATGTGGTACTGCCATTAATAAAAGACATACATAGGTCAATGGAGCACACTTGAGAGGCTAGAAATAAACCCTTACACTTATGGTAAATTGATTTTTGACAAGAGTACCAGGATAATTCTGTGGGTGGTGGGGGTGGGGTCAGTAGCCTTTTCAACAAATGATCTGAAATAACCGGATATCCATAGCAAAAGAATGCAGTTGAACTATCTTGTTACACCTTATGCAAAATTTATCTCAAAATGGATCAGAGGCCCAAAAGTAAGAGCTAAAATTATAAAACTCTTGGAAGAAACATAGACATAAATCTCTATGATATTGCATTAAGCGATGGTTTCTTACTATTACAACAAAAGCACATTCAACAAAAGAAAAACATAAATCAATTTGATACTAAAAATTAAAAACTTTTGTCCTTCAAAGCCCACCATCAACAGAGTAAAATAGCAAACTACAGAAAGGGATAAAATGTTTGCAAATCATATATCACTGATAAGAGACTTCTATCTAAAAATACCAAGAGTTCCTATAACTCTATAATTTAAAAAAAACAGTTTTTAAAAGAGCAAAATATATGAATAGACATTCCTCCAAAGGGGATATACATATGGCCAATAAGCACAAGAAAAGATGCTCAATATCAACAAACATCAGAGAAATGCAAATCAAAACCAAAATGAAATACTACTTTTCATCTATTAGAATGCTATTAGCAAAACGACAAATAAACAGAAAATGTTGGCAAGGAAGTAGAGAAACTGAAACCTGCATACACTGCTGGGAGGAATTTAAAATCGTGCAGCCACTTTGGAAAACAGTCTGTCAGTTTCTCAAAAGATTAAACTTAAGAGTTACCATATGACCCAGCAAATCTATTCATAAGATATAACCCAAGACATAAAATATATGTCCACATAAACATTTTTATATGAATTTTCATAGCTGCATTATTCATAATAGCCAAAAAGTGGGAATAATCCAAATGTCCACCAACTGATGAATGAAAAATGTTTTATATAATGAATGTTATTCAACAATAAAAAATGTGATACATGCTACAACATGGATGAACCTCGAAAACATGCTAAGTGAAAGAAGCCAGTTAAAAGGCCACATACTGTATGATTCTATTTGTGTGAAACGTACAGAATAGGCAAACCCAGAGACAGAACATAGATTAGTGGTTGCCTAGGGCTGGGGGCTTTGGGAGGAAATGGTGACTGATTGTTAATGGATACAGGGTTCCTTTCCGAGTGAGGAAAATATTCTAAAACTGATTGTGGTACTAACTGCACAAGTCTGTGAACATATTAAAAACCACTGAATTGTATACTATAAATGACTGAATTGTATGGTATGTAAATATCTCAATAAAACGTTTTAAACAAAACTTGGTGTAATATTTTATAAAAGCAAAAGATTTTTCTTTAAGCTTTCTTGCCAGATGGTTGGTCTCATTCTTTTTTCAGCACCTTAACTATTGCCACTTTAATACTCTATAATATATACAGTATAATGATACCATAGATTACAATGTTGAATTACTGGTTCATCATATATTTTTGTTTAAGAGTTAGACGAAGGGAGAGAAGTACCTTAACCCTTTAAATCTACTAGTTTTGCACCATTTACCTAAGAATTCTACAGCGGGATTTGGATATAAATCCAGCCAACAAGGTAGTACCTTATTTCTTAAACAAGGAAAAAAAAGAAAAAAAATTATGTACTTAAATATTGAAATTAAGGACTCACCCAAAATAACCATATACATCTAAAAATAATCCTAATTTTTAATACAAAGTATAATTTTTATAGACCAACACTTTGCCAATCTCACACTATTTAAAAAAGGATTTAAAAAGAATTTAAAAATTTAAAAGAGAATTTTAAAAATCACCTTTATGTACTAAAATTTTAAAGCTTTATATATTTAAAATTTTTAAATCTTAACTCACATTTAAATACAGAGTTTTCTTTCAGTTCCATGATACAAAAAAAAAAAAATAGTTGATGAGTACATCAATTAGTATATATACATACTTCCCATCTGGAGAGGGTACTTATAAACTCCATTTTCAAGTGTTTCAAGCAGCTAAGCACCTTGTCACTCTGACAACTAAACCTGTATCCACTATGGGAAGAATAGCCAAAAGATCATGCAAAGTGAAATTCCCCGCTGGACGTATTCGATCTGATCTGAGACGGCCTACAGCAATTTAAGAGAAAAAAATACGTATTTTAATATTTTCCATAAAATATCACCTTTATGACTCAATACTATGTTCAAAACTACAGTTATACACTACATTGCCAAAATTTCCTAATTATTTCTCCAATCCTTTCTCCACATTTACTTCCATCTTAATCATGTGATTATATCTAACCTATTCCTTTTTAGAAGATGTGATTTTATGTTAGCTACCATTTTCTCTTTACAGAATATTCCAACTGAAAAACTACTATTTCTACTCTGGCTTTCAGACAGGCTCATGCCAAAGCCAAGATGTTCTATTTTTAAAGATCTCCAAAGAAAGGAATTCCAGAAACTTCCTAAGTAAACAATACGAAAGCTTTACAAATTTCACTCTTAGGAAATTTTTCCATAAACTAACTTAATTATCCATGTGGAAGATTAAGATCACTTGTATTTTCAGTGAAAATGGCATTATAAGAAGTTTGTTGTTAGGATGTTACATGATGCAACATTCCACATTTTTTAAATAATCAGTAACCTTGTCACAGCATCTAAAGCTCTGGATTATGGCACATGAATCAAGGTTGCTTTCAACAAAAGACTTGGTTTTAATTTTCTATTCTCTACAGAGATTCTTAATACTTTATAACCCTAGCTAGGACAACTTCAGATGATTACAGTAGTACACAAAAATACTAAGATTAAGGAGGAGTCTCCCCATTCACCCTACAAGATTTCTCTTATCAGTTCCTCTTATTGCACAGGTAAGAAAAGAAAACTGGTAAAAGAGCAAGAACCTAAATAAAAGATTTTCAGGCAATATAGGGAAGAGACTCAGTCCTGAAAGAGAAGTGACATGGTAACCAAGGGCCTGATGGGCCTTACGTGTCCAAGCATATTCCCTCTCCTACCTTTTTTCCTCCCTTAACAAGCTTATTCATGTCACATAGCAGGAAAGGGGACCTTGTCTAACTTAGCTGACCAGGCTGAATTCCTAATTATAAAAGGAAGAACCTAACCATTTATCTCTTTGAGTCATGCCCTCCAAGGTCACTGAAATAAGACTGTAGCATTCCTGATGAGAACCTGACCAGATCCAGTGGCTGAAGACAAGATGGACTCCAGCACTGATATTTTACTGACTTTTTCCTCATTATAATCTCATTGTAATACTAAAATCTCTGCTCAAGATGGGGCATATCCAACACTTTCTGGTCATGTGATGCATGTTAAAGCATGATGTCCCACTACACAAGCATGGAAAAACCCTGCCTAAACATGCTTGTATATCATTGCTTTTCCCATCTCAACTTCCTTAAAATGAAAACAGCCTAGCCCCTTGGGGAGCTAGCACCAGGATCCCCTTCCTATATGCTGCTCCCTTGTGATTGTTAAAGCTGCAAGCCTATTAAACATTGCCTGAAGAAAGTTTATATTTGGCCTGGCATTAATTTCTATTTACATGAGGGCCAAGAACTCAAGGTCCAAGCTGCAGTAAAAATTTCAGTCCATTCCTTCCCATATAATCAACAATTCACTGCACACCAAGTTTAAAATGAATAACACGGGTACATCTTCATTCAAAATCTCACTGAATACAAAAGTCAGAATTTTTAAAACCTGATGCTTTAATTTTCAAATAAACAACTAATTGTGTATACTGTACCAGAGAAAAACAGAAAATGAAGAACTAATCTCATGAAGTTGATGGAATGGATTTCTAAACAGGACTTTGCATGTAATAAAAACAGTCTACTGCAACTATAAGTTTTAAAAACTAGTTTTAGTCCTTTAAAAAGTATAACTGTTTATTTTTAACAAACTGCATAACGAAATCACCTAAATTAAGTAGTGCTACATCTGCAAGAGTAGCTTCTAACATTGCCTTAGTTACCAAATTTCCAAGATTGCGCTCAGATTTTCTTACTGTAATTTCACAGCCATCTAATTGCATATCAGTTGGGCACAGAACTTCTTCTAACATATACCAAAAGAAAAAAAAGGGGGTCGGGGGAGATTCAAGGTGGCCAAATAGGAAGAGCACCAGTCTGCAGCTCCCGGTGAGATCAACGCAGAAGGTGGGTGATTTCTGCATTTCCAAATAAGGTACCCAGTTCATCTCACTGGGACTGGCTGGACAGTGGGTGTAGTCCACGGAGGGCAAGCCGAAGCAGGGTGGGGTGTCACCTGACCTGGGAAGCAGAAAGGGTCAGGGAATTTTCTCCCCTACCCAAGGGAAGCCTTGAGGGTCTGAGCCTGAGGAACTCTGGAAGAGATAACTGTGCTTGTCCCATGGTCTTCGCAACCACAAACCAGGAGATTCCCTCTGGTGCCTAGTCCACCAGGGCCCTGGGTTTCAAGCACAAAACTGGGCCACCAACTGGGCAGACACCGAACTAGCTGGAGGAGCTCTTTTTTTTTTTTTTTTTTTCCATACCCCAGTAGTGCCTGGAATGCCAGCAGGACAGAAACATTCACTCCCCTGGAAAGGGGTGCTGAAGCCAGGGAGCCAAGTGGTCTGGCTTGGCGGGTCCCACCCCCATGGAGCCCAGGAAACTAAGATCCACTGTCTTGAAATTCTCACTGACAGCAGAGCAGCAATCTGAGCTCCACCTGGGACATTCCAGCTTGGTGGGGGGAGGGGTGTCCACCATTGCTGAGGCTTGAGTAGGTGTATTTACCTTCACAGTGTAAACAAAGCCACTAGGAAGTTCAAACTGGGCAGAGCCCACTGCAGCTCAGCAAGACTGCTGTGGCCAGACTGCTAGATTTCTTCCCTCTGGACAGGACATCTCTGTAAAAAAGGCAGCAGCCCCAGTCAGGGGCTTATAGCAGACTTAAATGTCCCTGCCTGATGGCTCTGAAGAGAGCAGCGGACCTCTGAGCACAGCATTCCAGCTCTGCTAAGGGTCAGACTGCCTCCTCAAGTGGGTCCCTGACCCCCGTGTATACTGACTGGGAGAAGCCTCCCAGTAGAGGCCGACAGACACCTCATGCAGGAGAGCTCTGGCTGGCATCTTGCAGGTGCCCCTCTGGGTCAAAGTTTCCAGAGGAAAGAACAGCAGCAATCTTTGCTGCTCTGCAGCCTCCGCTGGTGATACCCAGGCAAACAGGGTTGGCAGTGGACCTCCAGCAAACTCAAACAGACAGGCAGCAAAGGGGCCTGACTTTTAGAAGGAAAAGAAACAAACAGAAAGGATTAGCACGTCCATTCAAAGACCCCAGCTGAAGGTCACTAACATCAAAGACCAAAGGTAGATAAATCCACAAAGATGGGAAGAAACTAGTGCAAAAAGGCTGAAAATTCCAAAAACCAGAATGCCTCTCCTCCTCCAAAGGATCACAACACCTCACCAGCAAGGGAACAAAACTGGACAGAGAATGAGTTTGACAAACTGACAGAAGTAGGCTTCAGAAGGTGGGTAATAACAAACTCCTCTGAGCTAAAGGAGCATGTTCCAACCCAATGCAAGAAATCTAAGAACCTTGAAAAAAGGTTAGTTGAATTCCTAACTAGAATAACCAATGTAGAGAAAAACATAAATGACCTGACCACAGCACAAGAACTTCATGAAGAATACGCAAGTATCAGTAGCCGAATCGATCAAGTGGAAGAAAGGATATCAGTGATTGAAGATCAACATAATGAAATAAAGAGAGAAGACAAGATTAGAGAAAAAAAATAAAAAGGAATGAACAAAGCCTCCAAGAAATATGGGACTATGTGAAAAGACCAAATCTATGTTTGATTGGCATACCTGAAAGTGATGGGGAGAATGGAACCAAGTTGGAAAACACTCTTCAGGGTATTATCCAGGAGAACTTCCCCAACCTAGCAAGACAGGCCAACATTCAAATTCAAGAAATACAGAGAACACCACAAAGATACTCCTCAAGAAGAGCAACCCTAAGACACAAAATCATCAGATTGACCAAGGTTGAAATGAAGGAAAAAAGATTAAGGGCAGCCAGAGAGAAATGTCGGGTTACCCACAGAGGGAAGCCCATCAGAGTAATAGCAGATCTCTCTGCAGAAATCCTACAAGCCAGAAGAGAGTGGGGGCCAATATTCAACGTTCTGAAAGAAAAGGATTTTCAACCCATAATTTCATATCCAGCCAAACTAAGTAAGCTTCATAAGCGAAGAAGAAATAAAATCCTTTACAGACAAGCAAACGCTAAGGGATTTTTGTCACCACCAGACCTGCCTTACAAGAGCTCCTGAAGGAAGAACTAAACATGGAAAGGAACAACTGGTACCAGCCACTGCTAAAACATACCAAATTGTAAAGACCATTGACACTATGAAAAAACTGCATCAAATAATGACAAAATAACCAGCTAGCATCATAATGACAGGATCAAATTCACACACTACAATATTAACCTTAAATGTAAATGGGCTAAATGCCCCCAATTAAAAGACACAGACCGGCAAATTGGATAAAGAGTCAAGACCCATTGGTGTGCTGTATTCAGGAGACCCATCTCACGTGCAGAGACACACATGGGCTCAAAATAAAGGGATGAAGGAATATTTACCAAGCAAATGGAAAGCAAAAAGAAGCAGGAGTTGCAATCCTAATCACTGATAAAACAGACTTTAAACCAACAAAGATCAAAAGAGACAAAGAAGGGCATTGCATAATGGTAAAGGGAACAATGCAGCAAGAAGAGCTAACTATCCTAATTATATATGTACCCAATACCAGAGCACCCAGATTCATAAAGCAAGTTCCTAGAGACATACAAAGAGACTTAGACTACCACACAATAATAGTGGGAGATTTTAATACCCCACTGTCAATATCAGACAGATCAACAAGACAGAAAATTAACAAGGATATTCAGGACTTGAACTGAGCTCTGGACCAAGTGGACCTAATAGACATCTACAGAACTCTCCACCCCAAATCAATAGAATGTACATTCTTCTCAGCACCTCATCGCACTTATTCTAAAATTGACCACATAATTGGAAGTAAAACACATCTCAGCAAATGCAAAAGAAGAGAAATCATAACAGTCTCTCAGACCACAGTGCAATCAAATTAGAACTCAGGATTAAGAAACTCACTCAAAACCACACAACTACATGGAAACTGAACAACCTGCTCCTGAATGACTACTGGGTAAATAATGAAATGAAGGCAGAAATAAAAATGCTCTTTGAAATCAATGAGAACGAAGACACAAGGTACCAGAATCTCTGGGACACATTTAAAGCAGTGTGTAGAGGGAAATTTATAGCACTAAATGCCTACAAGAGAAAGCAGGAAATATCTAAAATTGACAATTTAACAACAAAATTAAAAGAAATAGAGAAGCAACAGCAAACAAATTCAAAAGCTAGAAGAAGACATGAAATAACTAAGATCAGAGCAGAACTGAAGGGGATAGAGACACAAAAAAACCCTTCAAAAAATCAATGAATCCAGGAGCTGATTTTTTGAAAACATCAACAAAATAGATAGACTGCTAGCTAGACTAATAAAGAAGAAAAAATAGAAGAATCAAATAGATGCAAAAAAAACGATAAAGGGGATATCACCACTGATCCCACAGAAATACAAACTACCATTAGCGAATACTAGAAACACTTCTATGCAAATAAACTCCCACATGTGAGTGAACTCCCATTCACAATTGCTTCAAAGAGAATAAAATACCTAAGAATACAACTTACAAGGGATGTGAAGGACCTCTTCAAGGAGAACTACAAACCACTGCTCAAGCACACAAGAGAGGACACAAACAAATAGAAAAACATCCCATGCTCATGGATAGGAAGAATCAATACCATGAAATGGCCATACTGTCCAAAGTAATTTATAGATTCCATGCTATCCCCATCAAGCTACCAATGACTTTCTTCACAGAATTGGAAAAAACTACTTTAAACTTCATATGGAACCAATAAAGAGCCCGGATAGCCAATACGATCATGAGCAAGAAGAACAAAGCTGGAGGCATCAAGCTACCTGACTTTAAACTATACTACAAGGCTACAGTAACAAAAACAGCATGGTACTGGTACAAAAACAGATATACAGACCAATGGAACAAATGGAGGCCTCTGAAATAACATCACACATCTACAACCAGGAGGCCTCTGAAATAACATCACACATCTACAACCATCTGATCTCTGACAAACCTGACACACACAAGCACTGGGGAAAAGATTCCTATTTAATAAATGGTGTTGGGAAAACTGGCTAGCATATGTAGAAAACTGTAACTGGACCCCTTCCTTACACCTTATACAAAAATCATCTCAAGATGGATCAAAGACTTAAATGTAAGACCTAGGACCATAAAAATCCTAGAAGAAAACCTTGGCAATATCATTCAGGACATAGGCATGGGCAAAGACTTCATGTCTAAAACGCCAAAAGCAATGGCAACAAAAGTCAAAATTGACAAATGGGATCTAATTAAACTAAAGAGCCTCTGCAGAGCAAAAGAAACTATCAGCAGAGTGTACAGGCAACATACAGAATGGGAGAAAATGTTTGCAATCTATCCATCTGACAAAGGGTTAGTATCCAGAATTTACAAAGAACTTAAACAAATTTACAAGAAAAAAGCAAATAACCCCATTAAAAAGTGGGCAAAGCATATGAACAGATGCTTCTCAAAAGAAGACATTTATGCAGCCAACAACCATATGAAAAAATGCTCATCATCACTGCTCATTACAGACATGCAAATCAAAACCACAATGAGATACCATCTCATGCCAGTTAGAATGGTTATCATTAAACAGTCAGGAAACAACAGATGCTGGAGAGGATGTGGAGAAATAGGAATGCTTTTACACTGTTGGTGGGAGTGTAAATTAGTTCAACCATTGTGGAAGACACTGTGGCATCTTCCTCAAGGATCTAGAACTAGAAATACCAATTGACCCAGCAATCCCATTACTGGGCATATACCCAAAGGATTATAAATCATTCTATGATAAAGACACATGCACACATTATGTTTATTGTGGCACTATTCACACTTTGCTATCAAAGACTTGGAACCAACCCAAATGTCCATGAATGATAGACTTGATTAAGAAAATGTGGCACATATACACCATGGAATACTATGCAGCCATAAAAAAGGATGAGTTCATGTCCTTTGCAGGGACATGGATGAAGCCGGAAACCAACATTCTCAGCAAACTATAGCAAGGACAAAAAACCAAACACCACATGTTCTCACTCATAGGTGGGAGTTGAACAATGAGAACGCATGGACACAGGGAGAGGAACATCACACACTGGGGCCTGTCGAGGGGTGGGGGGCTAAGGGAGGGATAACATTAAGAGAAATATCTAATGTAGGTGAGGGGTTGATGGGTGCAGCAAACCACCATGGCACGTATATACCTGTGTAACAAAACTGCATGTTCTACACATGTACCCCAGAACTTAAAGTATAATAAAAATAAAATAAAATAAAAATAAAAATAAAAAATAAATTAAAAAAGAAAAAAGTTATCTAAAAACCAACATTTCTCATTTTTTAATTATTTTTTCTCCTCTTGATCATTTATTCACCTCCACCTCAAAATCAGATAAATTTATTACAATTCTTACTCTCCAAATACGAAAGTACGAAAGGGATACCAAAATACTGCATATTTCAACAATCATTTACTTTTCAGAGCCATTTAATGAGCCAGGTTATCATAAATTTTAGGAGCCCCTATCTATATTTTCAGGAACCAGAAAACTGTTATAAAATATCTAATATTCATGATACCAATCTGATCCAAACATGAAGCCATCCATTAATACTTAGACCCTAATCAAAACAGAGTGCGCAATTCCCACAGAGCTAACTGAGACACCAGAATTTATATGAGATAATGCATGAATAAATATAAATAGAATCTGGCTCATATTGCCCATCAGTTCTTAAAAATGTCACTCACACACATACACATGCACACGCACGCACACACACACACATACACACACATTGATTTTCCAATGTGTAGGGAGGCCTGGAAAAAAGACAAACCTCAAGGCTTCAAATGCGTATAAAAGTTTAAGTAGCATGATTACAAACCACTCAACATTTCAGGTAGTTAAGGAGAGAAGGCAAGAAAAAGTGCATTTTCTCATTACAAGCTGATGTAAAATTCACCTTTTCCATTGTTAACCCAGTACTTCTTAAATTTGAGTACTAATCCCTTTATTCAAGAAATAAATAATTGCAGAGTTTGAGTATTTAAAAATATTTTCATAATGATAGTTAATGTAAGTTCAAACATTAAAGTAGATCTAAATTCCTGTCACTTATAAAGCCAAAAGGAAGTATAAATTGAATATGAAAATTAAAATCCAATAAAGCTAAAACTAGCAATAATTTATTGTGGTTAAATATGCCTTCTACAGTGTTGGTTGGTCATTAGTCATATGCCACGATATTAATGTATTGTCCAATAAATGTGAACATGATCAATCTGTACTTTGCTAAATAATATAAGCAATATTCATGCACCTGTACATTTTGAGTAAAATCTTTTACTATTACTTGAATATATGAATCTTCTTCCAAATAATTCAAAATGTCCACTTTCTCAAATACATATTGGAAATATGCACCAAAGAGTCTTATATTTATTTTTGTTAAGTTTTTAAAATCGGATCCACTTTTGGCAATCCAAGTTTCATTCACCTTACTGATTCCATAATCATGGTCTTGGCCTCCAGGAATCAAACTGACCCCTTCTGCTCTTTGGGCAAGCCTTGTATCATTTCCCCATTTCATATGAGTTATTGCAATAACCAGATCTGCTCACTCTTCTTAAAGTTCTACTTCCCTTCCTTTTATTAGCAACTTAACATAATCTTTATAGTTTACTTTTGACTTATTAACTGTAGCCAATGTATCTGGCCAATCTTCTTCAATTAATCCCATTAAGACAACTTTTATATTGTTCCAATTAACTGGTTTTTTTTTTTTTTACTGCACCATGTCCAAGAGGTTCAGAAGTAAATCTGTTATAGACGTTACTGAGAAACCATGTAAAATGCATTTGTTTCATATACTCTTCCAAAATATCCACACCAAATCAAACTCACGGTTTCCTAAAAATAAACACAAAAAGTTTTAAAATTAATTCATAAGAATGTTATCCCATTTTCATATTTAAATATTGTTCTCCAAGTAGTAAAGTTTCCTATACTTGCAAGACTACATGTTAAGAAAATGCATTTTATCATACACTGCATTTACTTATGCCAGTATTTACTTACAAATGATAAAAAATTTTAGAAGCTTTTATTATACAAAATTTCTCTGTAATCCAGGTAGCACTACATTCTACAAAAAATTCTAAAGTAGGATGGAAAAAATGCCTTACAATATGAGGGAAATGCAATGATATGATGAATCTTAGGTAAATAACATGCTAACTTAAATATTATTTTTAGCTGGTGTAGGCACACTGGCCTACTTTATAAAAATACATATTGTTATTCCTAACTGAAATAATTTTTTAATTCATTCATAGTCACTGCAAATGACTAAAAAGAAATCCTGATGTTTTTCTCCTGCATTTTCTGAAATAGCTTTATTCCTTATAAGGGTAAATAAGTACTGATTTTGAAAATCAAAATCAGTGATGTTTTGAAATCACTAATATGAATTATTACTAAAAACTAATCCTGTGGTAGGGTCCTTTGTAAATTTTTTTAAAGACCAATAATATTCATTATTTTCCATTGATTGTTTTTATCATTTAATATTTTAAAGCATCAGATTTACATGAAGTAGGATGCTTGAGCAATAGAGTAAAAAAAGTATATGCATTTTTAAATTAATCAGCATGATATAGAAAACCAACTATTCCGAGAAAAATAAAAATAAAACATTAAAACAAATGATATGAATGTATGTTCACTTTCTTTTAAAAAGCAGAGACCTTTATGAATTATATTTGCCTTTTTACACCCTTAGGGAATTCTGTAATCATTAAGTTAGTTCCAATCTTTTATCACTGATACCTCTGGCATATATTTTCCCCACAGCACTTCCTGGGAAAACACTTCAGTGGGACCATTAGAGATTATGAAGTAGGAGTTGAAGAACTACTGACAATTACCTATAATAACACTTTTGATGTTCACAAATCTTATGAAGATATGAGTGTAAATAATGAGCAAGAGTGGAAATAATTATAGCAAGTTTGTAAGGTTAATATACGAAAGTCAGTCACTTGTCTATACACAGTAGTCCCCCTTTATCTGTGGGGAATACATTCTAAGAGTACTAAAACCTATATGTACTGTTTTTTTCCTATATATACATATCTATGAGAGAGTTTAATTTATAAATAATGTGTAGTAAAAAATTAACAACAATAACTAATAATAAAATAGAACAATTATAACACTATGCTGAAATAAAAGTTGTATGGGGTACATGTGGTATCTCTATCTCAAAATATCTCATTGTCTGTACTCGCCCTTCTTCTTCCTGTGATGATACAAGATAATAAAATGTCTACAGGATGAGATGAAGTGATGTGAATGATATAGGTATTGTGATATAGCATTAAGCTACTACTGACCTTCTGACAAGACATCAGAAGGAGGATCCTAGATCATCAAGCCATGACAGTGTTGATGCTTGGAAGTCAGAAGCAGACTATGTCCATGATGAAAGGGCAGGGAGCATATATAGCGTGAATACGCTGGACAAACGGATGATTCACATCCCAGAAGGGATGGAGTGGGATGGTGCAAAATTTCATTATGCTACTTAGAACACTTCACAATTTAAAACTTATGAATTATTTATTTCTGGAATTTTCCATTTATTATTTATAGTCCATAGTTGGCTACAGGTAACTGTAGCCACAGAAAGTGAAACTGTAGGTAAGAGGAGGCTACAGTGCTAGCAATGAAGAACTGGAATTTGAAATTAGAAACTCAATGCCATGTACTAAAATAAGTATAAAACTAACAAAATGTGTATAAGATGTATAAGATCTATATGAGGAAAACTACAAAACTCTGATGAGAGGAAAAAAGAACTAAATAACTGGAGAGATATTCCATGTCTATGGATAGGAAGACAATATTGTCAAGCTGTTAATTCCAGGCATTTAATAACATCCAATTCCAATGCCAATACAGAAGCAAACTGGCTTCAGTCTACCCCACCCCCTCCCAGAAAACCAAAAACAAATGTATGGCACAAGATTATAACTAGCAATATCACAGAACTCAAATATAAGGATAAGACAAGTCCCACTGTTATAAAAAAGTGAAAAAATTCTGAGCAGACAGTAAGAGAATCAGACTCCCACATCCACAGTGCTCCTACCCCCAATCTGCTGACACCAAGTGTGCAAAAAATGTCCCCCCCAATTCTATTTCTACACTGGAAAAATGATACTGAGTTAGACAACCAGCTTACCCACCATCTTGGGTTGCCTAGCAAGAGATCTGTCGTCACTTTAACTCGTGGGAATCATCAGGAGTGCCTGAAAGGAGAAATATCCCTGAGAATAATCAAAGTAGGGAGACAGAACCACCATCCTCTAGCCCTAGAAACTCTGCCCTGTAACTCAATCAAAGGAGATGCCAGATCAGAGTGACTGTTCAGTGATACCACACTATAGGAGGCTTGTTACACAAGTCCCTGGACACAAACTTCTAACCAGCCTTCCCACACTACTGGGATATCACAATTAGAACCTCCTCCATTTGGGACAGGAAGTACTCTGATTATTAACTATACTAGAACCAAGACAAACCTGGGCATAAGGTGCCATCTGTGCTAAGAAGGAGGAAGTGACCGAGCAGAAAGTAAAAACAATCAACAGATAAATTACAAAAAAAATCTCAAGGCAAACATAGTCAATAAAAAACAAACCAAGCCAAACAGAGAAAACTGGAATCACTAATCTTTCAATGAATACACAAATGTACATCCACAAGAAACAACGGCAAACAAAACCAAGACCTCCCAAAACAGACAAAGCAAGAAACCAGTAACTGATCCTAAGAAGATAGTGACATGTGAACTCTGACCAACTATTCAAAAAAAAAAAAAGTTTTAAGGAAACTTAGTGATCTCTAACATAATACAGAAAAGCAATTCCGAAATTGGTAAGAGAAATTTAACAGAGATTAAAATAATGGGCTGCGTGCAGTGGCTCAAGCCTGTAATCCCAGCACTTTGGGAGGCCGAGGTGGGCGGATCACCTGAGGTCAGGAGTTTAAGACCAGCCTGGCCAACATGGTGAAACCCCATCTCTACTAAAAACACAAAAATTAGCCAGGTGTGATGGCAGGCACCTGTAATCCCAGTTACTGGGGAGGCTGAGGCAGGAGAATCGCTTGAACCTGCGAGGCAGAGATGCAGTGAGCCGAGATTGTGCCACTGCACTCCAGCCTGAGTGACAGAGCAAGACTCCATCTCAAAAAATAATAATAATAATAATGTAAAAAAATCAAACAGAAATCTTGGAACTGAGAAATCCATTTGTTTAACTGAAAAATTCATTAGGGGCACTCAACAGCAGAATGAATCAAGCAGAGGAAAGAATCAGTGAACTTCAAAACAAGCTGTTGAGGGGGACAGAGCAAGATAGCCTAATAGAAGGCTCCACTCATCAGAAACACAAAATTTATCAAATATCTACAAGCACAAAAAAAAGTACCTTCATAAGTACCAAAAATGAAGTGAGCACTCGCAGCACCTGGTTTTAACATATAGCTGAAAGAGGCACTTAAGAGGGTAGAAAAACAGTCTTGAATTGCTGATGCCACCCCGCCCCCATTTCCTGGCAGCAGCCATTTGGCATGGAGAGAGAATCTGTGCACTTCGGAGAGGGAGAGTGCAGCAATTGTGAGACACTGTGTTGAACTCAGTGCTGCCCTATCAGAGCAGAAAGCAACACCGGACTGAACTCAGATGATACCCACCCACAGAGGGCGTATTAAAGCCAGCCCTAGCCAGAAGGGAATCACCCATCCCAGTGGTCAGAATGTGAGTTCTGGCAAGCCTCACCACCACAGGCTAAAGTGCTCTAGGGCTCTAAATAAACTTAAAAGGTAGCTTATGCAACAAAGACTGTAACTTCTACATGAGTCCTCCTCTTGAACTGGACTCAGAGCCAGTGGACATGGGGGGGATACACAACCTACTAAGATATCAGCTGAGGTGGTTAAGGGAGTGCTTGTGCCACCTCTCTCCCAACCCCAGGCCATACAGCCCACGGCCCCCAAAAAAGACCCTTTTCTTCCACTTGAGGAGAGGAGAAGGAAGACTAAGAAGACTTTGTCTTGCATATTGGATATCAGCTCACCACAGTAGGATAGGGCACCAGTCAGAGTTGTGAGGCCCTCTTTCCAGGCCCTAGCTCACAGACATTTCTAGACACATTATGAGCCAGAAGGGGACCCATTGCCTTGAAAGAAAGGAACAATCACCTGCCGACTAAAGAGCCCTTGGTCCCTGAATAACCAGCAGTAATATCCACATAATACACTGTAGGCCTTGGGTGAGACTCTGAGACTTGCTGGCTTCTGGTGAGACTCAGCACATTCCCAGCTGCGGTGACTACAGGACTAAATTCCTCCTGCCTGAGAAAAGCAGAGGACCAGGAAGCAATAATAAAGAAAAGGGATTTATTTATTTTCTTTTTAGAATTATTTTAGGAATTTCTCTCTAGCTTAGCTAATTATCTTCAAATCCCAAATACTATATTCTCAAATATCACACTAACACCAACTAAATTACAGAGCAAGTTTATGGTATGAAATAAAATAAATTTTCACTAATCCAAAGGGAAGACAGCTGGGAACTGCATCAAGCAAACTTGCTCCCAATTTATTACTAAATAAGATGGCTACAAAGATAAGGAAGCTACATACCTCCCTCACCATTTGCCCTTAGGGAATTTCCTTGTGGGCAAAGGATGAACAGAACACAATGCCATCTCTCCGCTCACCTGAGACAAATGCACATCTCATTGCTTCTTCTGCCCTATCATTTCACTAAGCCAGACTAAGACATAAGTGAAGATTCTTTTACCCTCCTCTCACATGTAAATTGTGTATTCAGAAAAAGGCTAATCAGAGACTCAAAATAATGCAACCATTTGTCTTATCTACTTATGACCTGGAAGCCCCCTCCCATGCTTTGAGTTGTCCCAGCTTTCTGGACAAAACCAATGTACATCTTAAACATATTGTCTGAGGTCTCACAACTCCCAACAATGTATAAAAGCAAGCTGTACCCCAACTATCTTGGGAACATGTCCTCAGGACCTCCATAGGCTGTGTCACATCCATAACCTTGGCAAAATAAACTTTCCAAATTCATTGAAAAAAAAGAAAAGCAGAGGTAAACTAAAAGGAATTCTGTCTTGCACCTTAGCTCAGCCACAGGGGGGTAGAGCAACAATTGGGCTCTAGCAGTCACAATTCCAGGCCTTGGCTCTTCGATGGCAATTCTGGACCTGCCTTGAGACACAGGGGAACCCACTGCCCTCAAGGGTGAGCCCTAGGCTTAGGAACATTCACCATGAGCTGACTGAAGAGCCCTTGGGCCTTAAGTGAACATTGACAGTAGCCTGGCAGTACTTCTCATGGGCCTGTGGTGGTGGTGGCCACAGGGTGAGGTTCCTCTACCTGTGGAAAGGGGACGGAAGAGTGGGAAGAATTGCAGTTCATAGTTTTAGTGCCAGCTCAGCCACAGTACAAGAGAACACTGGACAGATTCCTAAGGTTTTTTTACTCTAGTCCCTGGATCCCAGATGGCACCTCTGGAATCACCCAGGGCCTAAGGGAACTCACTGCCCTGAAGGGAAGGACACAAGCATGGCTGGCTTTGCCAACTTCTGTTTGTAGAGTCCCAGAGCCCTGAGCAAATATAGCCAATATCCAGGCAGTGGTTACAGTGGGCCTTGGGTGAGATCCAGTGCTGTGCTGGCTTCAGGTCTGACCCAGCACAGTCCCAGTGGTGGTGGTCACAGAGGTGCTTGTGTCACCATAACCCCAGCTTCAGGCAGCTCAGAACAGAGTGAAAGACTCATTTGTCTGAGAGAAAGTAAGGGAAGTAAACAAGTGTCTCTTCCTGGTAATCCAGAGAATTGTACTGGATCTTATCCAAGACCACCAAGGCAGTATCTCTACAAGTCTGCAAGAAATGGTGTTACTGAGCTTGGGGTGTCCCCTAATGTAGATATGACTGAGATCGCAACACCCAAGTCCATTCAAATATCTAGAAAGTTAGGATGGGTACAAACAAGCCCAGAGTAAGACTACAGTAAATACTAACTCTTCAATACCCAGACACAGACAAACACCAAAATGCATCAAGATCATCCAGGAAAACATGACCTCACCAAACAAACTAAATAAGGCACCAGGCACCAATCCTGGAGAAACAAAGACTTGTGACTTTGCCGACAGACCATTTTAAATAGCTGTTTTGAGGAAACAAACAAACAAAAAAACCAGAAGGAATTCAGAATCCTATCAGATAAATTTAACAAAGAGACTGGTATAATTTAAAAGAATCAAGCAGAAATTTTGGAGTTGAAAAATGCAACTGACATACTGAAGAATGTGTCAGAGTCTTTTAATAGTAGAACTGATCAAGAAGAAAAAAGAATTGGTGAGCTTGAAGACAGACTATTTGAAAATACACAGAGAAGACAAAACAGAAAAGAACAAAAAATAATGAAGTACACCTGCAGGATCTAGACAATAGCCTCAAAAAGGGGAATCGAAGAGTTATTGGCCTTAAAGAGAAGGGAGAGAAAGAGATAGGGATAGAAAGTTTATTCAAAGGGATAATAACAGGGAAATTCCCAAATCTAGAGAAAGATATCGATATTGAAGTACATGAAGGTTACAGAACACCAAACAGATTTAACCCAAAGACTACCTCAAGACATCTAATAATAAAATTCCCAGTGGTCAATTTTAAAGAAATGATCTGAAAGGTAGCAAGAGAAAAGAAACAAATAACATGCAATGGAGTCCAATATGTCTGGCAGCAGACTTTTCAGAGGAAAATTTATAGGCCAGGAGAAAGTGGCATGACATATTTAAAGTGCTGAAGGAAAAAAACTTTTACCCTAGAATAGTATATCCAGTGAAAATATCCTTCAAACATGAAGGAGAAATAAAGGACTTTCCCAGACAAACAAAAGCTGAGGGATTTCATCAACACCGGACCTGTCCTATAAGAAATGCTAAAGGAAGTATTTCAATAAGTAAGAAAAGGATGCTAATAAGAAGAAATCATCCAAAGGTACAAAACTCACTGGTCATGGTAAATACACAGAAAACACAGAATATGACAACACGGTAACTGTGGTGTAATATTCTCTTTAATTTATTTGTTCAAATAACTTCCTTATTTGAAGTTTTTCTTCTTTTCTTCATGTGGGCATTTATAGCTATAAACTTTCCTCTTAAGTACTACTTTCACCGCATTGCATGGGTTTTGGTGTGTTATATTTCCATTATCATTTGTTTCAAGAAACAAAATACAAAAGATTAATGAGACAAAAATATGTTTAAAAAATAAAATTGACAAACCTTTAGTCAGGCTTACTAAGAAAAAAAGAGAGAAGACTCAAACAAATCAGAGATGAAAAAGGAGACATTACAACTGATACTGCAGACATTTAAAGGATCATTAGTGACTACTATAAGCAATGATATGCCAACAAAATTTTTCAATTTCCTTGTTAATTTCTTCATTGACCTACTGGTCATTTAGGAGCATGTTGTTTAATTTCCATGTGTTTTTGTAGTTTCTAAAATTCCTCTTATTATTGATTTCTAACTCCATTGTGGTCAGAAAAGATACTTCATATTATTTCAGTTTTTTGAAATTGGAAAATCTAGAAGAAATGAATAAATTCCCAGAAACACACAGCCTACCAAGATTGAACCATGAAGAAATCCAAAACCGGAACAGGTAAATAACAAGTAACAAGATCAAAGCCGTAAAAAAACTCTCCCATTTAAAAAAAGCCTGGGCCCCGGTGCCTTCAATGCTAACACAAACATATAAACAAGAACTAATACCAGTCCTACTCAAAGTATTCTGAAAAAATATAGGAGGAAGAAATACTTCCAAACCCATTCTGTGAGGCCAGTATTACCCTCATACCAAACCATAAAAATATACATTAAAAAAAGGAAACTATAGGCCAGTATCTCTGATGAATATTGATGAAAAAATCTTCAACAAAATACTAGAAAACCAAATTCAGCAACACATTGAAAGAGCAAGCAGAATTTATCTCAGGGATTCAAGAATGATTCAACATATGCAAATCCATCAATTTGATACATCATGTCAACAGAATGAAGGACAAAAATCATATGATTATTTCAACTGATGCTGAAAAAGCATTTGATAGAATTCAACCTCCCTTGATGATTAAAAACCCTTAAAAAACTGAATATAGAATTAACATACCTCAACATAATAAAAGCTATATATATCAGACTCATAGCTAGTATCATGCAGAAAGAGGAGAAACTGAAAGCCTACTGAGGATGCCCACTTTCACCATTGTTATTCAACACAGTACTGGAAATCCTGGCTATGGCAATCAGACAAGAGAAACAAATAAAGGGCATTGGCAAAACTGAATCAGAAAGAAATTGAATCCCTAAACAGACCAATAATAAGCTCTGAAATTGAGGCAAAAATAAACAACCTACCAAACAACAACAACAAAAAAGCCCAGGACCAGATGGATTCACAGATGAATTCTACCAGATGTACAAAGAGCTGTACCATTCCTACTGAAACTGTTCCAAAAAATGAGGAGGAGGGACTCCTCCCTAACTCATTCTACAAGACCAGCATGATCCTGATACCAAAACCTGGCAGATAAACAACAATAAAGAAAATTTCAGGCCAATATCCCTGATGAGCAATGACACATAAATCCTCAACAAAATACTGGCAAATCTAATCCAGCAGCACATCAAAAAGCTTATCTACCATGACCAAGTAGGTTTTATCACTGGGATGCAAGACTGGTTCAACATACACAAGTCAATAAATGTGATTCATCACATAAACAGTACTAAAAACAAAAACCACATGATTACCTCAATAGATTCAGAAAAGGCTTTTGATAAAATCCAACATCTCTTCATGTTAAAAAATTCCCAATAAACTACTTACTGGAAAAACATGTCTCCAAGTAATAAGAGCCATCTAAGATAAACCCACAGCCCACATCATACTGAATGGGCAGAAGTTGGAAGTATTCCCCTTAAAAACTGGCATAGAACAAGGACGTCCTCTCTCACCACTCCTATTCAACATAGTATTGGAAGTCCTGGCCAAGGCAATTAGGCAACAGAAAGAAATAAAGGTGTTCAAATAGAAAGAGAGTAAGTCAAAATATCCCTGTTTGCAGAAGACATGATCCTATATCTAGAAAACCCCATCATCTCAGCCCAAAATCTTAAGTTGATAAACTCACCAAAGTCTGAGGATGCAAAACTAATGTGCAAACATCACTGGCATGTCTATACACCAGCAACAGTCAATCTGAGAGCCAAATTAAAAATGAACTCATGTTCACAACTGCCACAAAAAGGATAAAATACCTAGAAATACAGCTAACCAGAGAGGTGAAAGACCTCTACAAGAAAAACTATAAACCACTGCTAAAGGAAATCAGAGATGATACAAACAAATGGAAAGCATTCCATGCTCATGCATAGGAAGAATCAATATTGTTAAAATGGCCATACTGCCCAAAGCAATTTACAGATTCAATGCTATTCCTATCAAACTATCATTTAGATAATTCACAGAACTGGAAAAAATTATTTTAAAATTCATATGAAACCAAAAATGAGCCTGAATATCCAAGGCAATCTTAAGCCAAAAGAACAAAGCTGGAGGCATCATGCTACCCAACTTCAAATTACACTATAGGGCTACAGTAACCAAAACAACATGGTACTGATATAAAAAAAAACAGACACATAGGCCAATGGAACAGAATAGAGAACCCAGAAATAAGACCGCACACCTGCTACTAGCTGATCTTCCAGAAACCTGACAAAAACAAGCAATGAGGAAAGGATTCCCTATTCAGCAAAGGAGCTGGGAGAACTGGCTAGCCATATGCAGAAGATTGAACCTGGACCCCTTCCTTACACCATAGACAAATATTAATTCAAGATGAATTAAGGACTTAAATGTAAAACCCAAAACTATAAAAACTCTGGAAGACAACATAGACAATACCATTCAAGACATAGGCATGGGCAAAGATTTCATGATGATGATGCCAAAAGCAATTGCAACAAAAGCAAAAATTAACAAATGGGATTTAATTAAACTAAAGAGCACTGCACACCAAAATAAAGCGCTATGTTCTTTCATAGAAACAACTATGTTGTTACTATCAATATAGTAAACAAACAACCTACAGAATGGGAGAAAATTTTTACAAATTATGCATCTGACAAAGATCTAATACGCAGAATCTATATGGTACATCAACAAATTTGCAAGAGGAAAACAAACAACCCTATTAAAAAGTGGGTAAAGGACATGAACAGACACTTTTCAAGAGAAGACATACATGCGGCCAACAATTAGATGAAAAAAAAACCCAACATGTCTGATCATTAGAGAAATGCAAATCAGAACCACGATGAGATATCATCTCACACCAGTCAGAATAGCTGTTATTGAAAAGTCCAAAAATAACAGATGCTGGTGAGGTTGTAGAGAAAAAGGAACACTTTTACACCATTGGTGGGCATATGAATTAGTTCAACCATTGTGGAAGACAGTGTGGCAAATCTTCAAAGACCTGAAGACAGAAGTATCATTTGACCCAAAAATCCCATTATTGGGTATATACCCAAAGGAATAAAATTGTTCTATTATGAACACACATGCACATGTATATTCATTCTAGCACTATTCACAATAGCAAAGACATGGAATCAACCTAAATGCTCATTGATAACAGACTGGATAAAGAAAATGTGGTACATACACACCATGGAATACTATGCAGCCATAACAAAGAATGAGATCATGTGCTTTGCAGCAACATGGATGGATCTGGAGGCCATTATCCTTAGCAAACTAATGCAGCAACAGAAAACCAAATGCCACATGTTTTCACTTATAAATGGGAGTTAAATGATGAGAACACATGGACACATAAAGGGGAACAACACACACTGGGGCCTATTGGAGGGTAGAGGGTGGGAGGAGAGAGAGAATCATGAAAAATAACTAATGGGTACTAGGCTTAATACCTTGGTGACAAAATAATCTATACAACAAACCCCTATGACAGAAATTTACCTATGTAACAAATCTGCACATGTACCCCTGAACTTAAAAGTTAAAAAATTAAATTAAATTAAAAGAAAGCAAGGGTATCCAAATGGAAAGAAAGAAGTCAAGTTATTCCTCTTTGCAGTTGATATGATCTTATATTTAGGAAAACCTAGGCTCTACCAAAAAAACTATTAGAACTGATAAACAAATTCAATAAAGTTGCAGGATACAAAATTAACAGACAAGAATCGGTAGCACATCTATATGTGTACAGCAAACAATCTGAAAAAGAAATCAGGAAAGTAATTCCATTTATAATAGTTATAAGTAAAATATCTAGGAATTAACCAAAGAATTGAAAGATCTCTACAATGAAAATTATAAAACATGCAAGAAATTGAAGAAGACAAAAAAAGGAAAAATATTACATGTTCATAGATTGGAAGAATCAATATTGTTAAAATGTCCATACTACCCAAAATAATCTACAGATTTAATGCAATCCCTATCAAATTACCAATGACATTCTTCCCAGAAATACAAAAAACTATCCTAACATTTATATAGAACCACAACAGACCCTAAATAGTCAAAGGTATCCTAAGCAAAAAGAATAAAACTGGAAGAATCACATTACCTGACTTTAAATTATACTACAAAGGTATGGTAACCAAAACGAAATGGTATTGTATAAAAACCGACACATAGATCAGTGGAACAAGGTGCCAAGAATGTACGTTGGGGAAAGGAAAGTCTCTTCAATAAATGGTGTTTGGAAAACTGGATATCCACATGCAGTGGAATGAAACTACACCCCTCTCACTATATACAAAGATCAAGTCAAAGTGGATTAATGACTTAAATCTAGGACCTCAAAGTTTAAAACCTCTAAAAGAAAACACTGGAGAAACTCTCCAGGACATTGTGCTGGGCAAAGATTTCTTGAGTAACATCCCGTAAGCACAGGCAACCAAAACACAAATAGACAAATGGGATCACATCAAGCTAAAAAGTTTCTCCACAGCAAAGGAAACAATCAACAAAATGAAGAGATGACCTACAGAATTAGAAAAAAATATTTGCAAACTATTCATCTGATAAAGGATTAATAAACAGAATATATAATGAGATAAAACTTTATAGGAAAAAATATATAATAATCTAATTGAAAAATGGGTAAAAGATCTAAATAAGCATTTCTCAAAAGAGGACACAAATGGCAAAGAGGTATATAAAAAGGTGCTCAACATCACTGATCATCAGAGAAATGTAAATCAAAACTACAATGAGATATCATCTCACTCCAGTTAAAATGGCTTTTATCCAAGTCAGGCAATAACAAATACTGGTGAGAATGTGGAGAAATGGGAACCCTTGTACACAGTTGGTGGGAAGGTAAATTAGTAAAACTAGTATGCAGAGCAATTTGGAGGTTCCTCAAAATAAATAAATAAATAAATAAAACAAAACAAAAATAGAACTACCATATGATCCCTGAATCTCACTCTTAGGTATATACTGAAAAAAAAGGAAATCAGTATATTGAAGAGATTTCTGCTCTCCCATGTTTAGTGCAGCACTATTCACAATAGCCAAGATTTGGAAGCTACCTACGTGTCCATCAACAGATGAATGGAGAGAGAAAATTTGGTACATATACATAATGGGGTATTATTCAGCCATAAAAAAAAGAAATCCTGTTATTTGTAACAACAGAGATGAACCAGGAGGTCATTATGTTAAGTGAAATAAGCCAGGCACAGAAAGACAAACATCACATGTTCTCACTTATTTGTGGGAACTAAAAATTGAAACTATTGAACTCATAGAGACAGAGAGCAGAAGGATGGCTAAAGGAGGCAAAAATTAAAACTACTGAACTCATGAAGATGGAGAGTAGAAGGATGGCTATCAGAGGCTTGGAAGGGTAGTTGGGGATAGGAGGGATAAGCGTGGATGGCTAAGGGGTACAAAAAATTGAAAGAATAAGACCTAGTATTTGCTAGGACAACAGGGTGACTATAGTCAATAATAATTTAATTGTAAACTTTAAAACAACTAAAAGAATATAATTGGATTGTTTGTATCACAAAGGATAAATGCTTGAGGTGATGGATAACCCATATGTGCTGATGTAATTACTGTGCATTGCATGCCTGTAACAATATATCTCATGTAACCCATAAATATATACACCTAGTATGTACCCACAAAAATTTAAAATTTAAAAAACAGGCTATCTGAAAATACATGGTAAGAGGAGAAAAAAGAATAAACAATAAAAAGGAAGAGAAAAGGCTAGGTGAGGTAGCTCATGCCTGTAATCCCAGCACTTTAGGAGGCCGAGGCGGGTGGAACACTTGAGCCCAGGAGTTTGAGAACTGCCTGGGCAACAGGGTGAAACCCTGTCTCTACAAAAAATACAAAAATTAGCCAGATATGATGGTATACGCCTGTAGTCCCAGCTACTCAGGATGCTGAGGCAAGAGAATTGTTGACCCCAGGAGGCAGAGGTGGTAGTGAGCCAAGATCATGCCACTGCACTCAAGCCTGGGCGACAGAATGAGACCCTGTCTCAAAAAAAAAAAAAAAAAAAAAAAAGAAGAGAAAGCCTACACAAAATAGATAGAAAATTACCTCAAAATACCAAATATAAGAATTACCCGTGTTCAAGAGGGAGTTGAGCAAGAGCAAGGGGTAAAAAGCTTATTCAAAGTAATAATAACAGAAACATTTCCAAAACCTGGAGAAGATATAAATATCCAGGTATAGGATGATCAGAGGACACCAAATAAATTTGACCCAAATAAGCCTATCTGAAGGCATAAAATCAAATTCTCAAAGGTCAATGAAAACCAGAGGATCCTTAAAACACCAAGAGAAAAGAAGCAAATAACATATAAAGGAGCTCCAATTTGTCTGGCAACAGACTTCTTGATGGAAACCATACAAGCCAGGAAAAAGTGGGACAACATTTTCAAAGTGTTGAAAGAAAGAAAACTGGCATCTAAGAATAGTCTACTCTGCACAGCTATCATTCAAATATGAAGGAGAGGTAGTCATTCCCAGATAAACAAAAGCTGAGAGAATTCACCACCACCACCAAATCCATCTTGTAAGAAATGCTAAGTTCTTCAATCTGAAGGAAAAAAACACTAACATGCAAAAAAAACATGTGAAGATACAAAACCCACTGGTAACAGTAAGTACATGGAGAAATATACAATACTCTAATACTGTAGGTGTGGTTTACAATCCATTTACAACTTTAATATAAAGCCCCTAAAAAATTATCAAAAACAATAACAGCTACAGCAGCTTGTTAAGAGATAGACTAAAAGCATGTAAATTGAGACAACATAATGTCCAATGTTGTAAGGTGACGAAGTTAAAGTGAAAAGGGTTTTTTTTCCCCTTTTTCTGTTTGCTTCTATTTCTTCATTGTGATCTAAGATAAGGTGTCATCTCTTTAAAATAACTTTTTATATCTATAAGATAATTTTGTAAGCCTCATGGTAACCACAATGCAAAACTCTACAATAGCTTCATTAAAAATAAAAGACAATTATTTAAAATGTACTGCAAGAGAATATCACTTAACCACAAAGGAAGACAGTAAGAAAGGAAGAGAGGAAAAAAGAAGTTACAAGACAACCAAAAACCAAGCAACAAAATGGCAGTAATAAGTCCTTATCAGTAGTAACAATAAATGTAAATGGACTCAATTCTTCAATTAAAAAGCATAGAGTGACTGAATGGAGGAAGGAATGAGACCCAACTATATGCTGTCTACAGGAAACCTACTTCATCCCTAAAGACAGAGTGAAAGTGAAGGAATGGATAAAGATATTCCAAGCAACTGGAAACCAGAAAAAAAAAAAAGAAAAAAAACTCAGGAATATCTATGTTTACATCAGATAAAAATAGCCTACAAATCAAAGACTATAAAAAGAGACAATAATGGTCACTATATAATAATGAAGGGGACAATTCAGTAAGATGATATAACAATTATAAGCATGTATGCACACAACAATAGAGCCCCAAAGTATATAAAGCAAACATAAGTATATCTAAAGGGAGAGACAGACTGCAATGTAATAATAGTAGAAGATCTCAAGAGCCCACTCTTAGTAATGAATAGACAGTCCAGGACAAAAATCAACAAAGAAACATTGGTGTTAAGCTACACATTAGACCAAAGAGGCCTAATTGACATTTACAGAACATTTCACCCAAGTACTGCAGAATACACATTCTTTTCATCAACACATGTAACATTCTCCAAAATAGACCATATCTTAGGCCACCAAACAAGTCTCAACAAATTCAAAAAGGTAGCAATCACATCATGTATCTTTTCTGACAACAATGGAAGAAAACTAGACATTAATAAGAAGAGGAACACAAGAAACTAGAAAATCAAGAAAAAACTAAATGCAAAATTAGTAAACACTGACATCAAAAAGCATAAAGATTTTCAAATAAACCCAACAATGCATCACAAGAAACTAGAAAATCGAGAAAAAACCAAATGCAAAATTAGTAGAAAGAAAGAAATAATAAAGATCAGAGCAGAAATAAATGGTATTAAGATCTGAAAAATACAGAAAATCAACAAGATGAAAAGTTGCTTTTTGGAAAGATAAGCAAAATGAAAAACTCTTAACTGCACTAATAAAAAAAAAAGACAGGAAGGGGCCAAATAAGTAAAATTGTAAACAAAAAAACTGAGACATAATTGAGAAGACAGAAATATAAAGAATCATTAGAGGCTATTATGAACAACTGTATTTCAGCAAATTGGAAAACCTGGAAGAAATTCATAAATTCTGGGACATTCACAACCTACCATGACTGAACCATGAAGAAATAACCTCAACAAACCAATAACATGTAACAAAATGAGGCTGTAATAATGTCTTCAGTCAAAGAAAATCCCAGGACCTGATGGCTTCACTGTGAATTCTACCAAATATTTAAAGAAGAACTAACATCAATTCTACTCACACTGTTCAAAAAACAAATGACAGGGAAGGAATACTTCCAAACTAATTCTACAAGGCCAGCATTACCTTGATACCAAAACCAGATAAGGACTCAGTGGAAAAAAAAAATACAAACAAACAAAAACTACCAGCCAATATCACTGATTAACATATATGCAAAAATCTTCAACAAAATACTAGCAAATCAAATTGAACAAAACATTAAAAAGATTATTCACCATGATCAAGCAGGATTCATCCCAGAAATGCAAGGATGGATTGAAATATGCAAATCAATAAACATGATACATCACATTAACAGAATAAACAAAAATCACATGATCATTTCAATAGGTGCTGAAAAATCATTTGATAATAATTCAACATTCTTTATGATAAAATCTCTCAACCAAACTGGGTATGGAAGGAACATACTTCAAAACAATAAAGGCCATACACAACAAACCTATAGCTAACATTGTATTAAATGGAGGGAAATTGGAAACTTTTCCTCTAAGATCTAGAACAAGACAACGATACCCAATTTTGTTCACCGTTATGCTGGAAGTCCTGAAGAGGACAATTAGGTAAGAGAAAGAATTAAAGACATCCAAATCAGAAGGCAAGAAGTCAAATTAGCTTTATTCACAGACATGATCCTATACTTAGGAAAACCTAAAAAACACCAAAAAACTGTTAGGACTGATAAACAAATTTGGCAAAGTTACAGGATACAAAATCAACCTACACAAATCAGTAACATTTATATACAACAATAGCAAAAGAAAAATCAAAAAGAAATCAAGAAGCAATGTAATTTACAATAGCTAAAAAGAATATAAAAAATTTAGAAATAAATTTAACCAAAACGTGAAATTTCTATCCAAAGAAAATTTTAAAACATTGAATTTTAAAGTTGAAAAAGAACCAAAAAAAATGGAAAGACATTCCATGATCATGAACTGGAAGAATTAATACTGTTAAAATGACTATACTACCCAAAGCTATTAACAGGTTCAATTCAATCCCTATCAAAATACCAATGACATTCCTCACACAAATAGAAAGAACGCTAAAATTTATAATAGAGCCACAAAAGGCCCTGAAAGACTAAATCAACCTTGAGCAAAAAGAACAGATGGAGGCATCATACTTCCTGACTTCAAAATATACTGCAAAGTTCTAGGAACCAAATCAGCATGGTCCTGGCATGAAAATAAACACATAAGCCAATGGAACAGAATAGAGAACCCAGATATAAATCCATGAATTTACAGCCAAATCATCGTTTACAAAGGTACCAGGAATACACAATGGGAAAAGGACAGTCTCTTCAATAAATGGTGCTGGGAAAACTGGATATCCAGATGCAGAAGACTAAAACTGGACCTCCATCTCTCATCATAAACAAAAATCATATCAAAATGGATTAAAGACTTAAATGTAAGACCTGAAACTATGAAACTACTAGAAGAAAACTTAGGGGAAACACTCCAGAACATTGATCTGGGCAAAAATATTTTGTGTAGGACTTCAAAAGCATAGACAACCAAAGCAAAAATGGACAGATGAAATTAGATTAAACTTAAAAGCTTCTTCCCAGCAAAGAAAATAGTCAACAAAGTGAAGAGACAGCCCACAGAAAGGAAGAAAATATTTGAAGACTATCCATTTAAACAGGATTTAACAAGCAGAAGACATAAAGAGTTCAAACAATTCAGTGACAAATAATACTGATAATCCAATCAAAAAATGGGCAAAAGATCTGAATAAACATTTCTCAAAGAAGCTATGCAAATGGCCAAAGGATATATGAGAAAATGCTCAACATCACTCATCATCAGGGAAATGTGAATCAAAACCACAATGTGGTATCATCTTACCCCAGTTAAAATGTCTTTTATCAAAAAGACAAGAAATAGATGCTGGTGAGGCTATGGAGAAAAATGAACTCTTATACTCTATTGGTGGGATTGTAAATTAGTACAGCCACTATGGAGAACAGTATGGAGGTTCCCAAAAAAATTAAAAATAGAACTACCATATGATCCAGCAATTCCACTAGTGTGTACATATCCCAAAGAAAGGAAATGAACGTATCAAGAAGATATCTGCACTCCCATGATTACTGCAGCACTATCTACAATAGCCAAAATATGGAACCAACCTAAGTGCCCACGAAAGATTGAATAGGGCTGGGCATGGTGGTTCACATCTGTAATCACAGTACTTTGGAAGGCCAAGGCAGGTGGATTGCTTGAGGCCAGGAGTTTGAGACCAGCCTGGCCAACATGGCAAAGTCCCATCTCTATAAAAGTTAGCCAGGCATGATGATGCATGCCTGTAATCCCAGCTACTCGGGAGGCTGAGACATAAGAATCACTTGAATTTGGGAGGAAGAGGTTGCAGTGAGCTGAGACCATGCCACTGCACTCCAGCCTGGGTGACAGAGTGAGATTCTGTATCAAAAAAAAAAAAGAATAAATGGATTTTTTAACACGACATATATATATGTGTATATATATATGTGTGTGTATATATATATATACACACACACACACACAAAGGAATATTATTCTGCCATAAAAAATGATGAAATCATGTCATTTGCAGCAACATGGATGCAACTGGAGGTCACTATGTTAAGTGAAATAAGGCAAGCAAAGAAAGACAAATATTGCATATTCTCACTCACCTGTGGTTGCTTAAAAAAGTGGATCTCAGGAAGAGAGAGAGTAGAATAGTGGTTATCAGACCATTGGAAAGGTAGCAGGGAAGGAGAGATAAAGAGAGGTTAATTAATGAGTACAAATGTGTCAATGTAAGTTCATCAATTATAACAAATATACCACCCTGGTTAGGGATGTTGATAATGAGATGGCTAAGCATGTGTAGGGACTGGAAGTACATGGGAAATCTCTACACATTCCATTTGATTTTGCTGTAAACCTACAACGGTTCTAAAAAAAATCTGTATTGTAAAAAGATGTTAACAATAAAAATGTGTAAAAGTCTAGTAGACTGCTTTAAACACCACAATTTCATTGATTATAAATATGAGTAATCTCACTTAGAAGATAGTGAAGATAGTGACATGAAATATCCCCCATTATTACTTATGGCATAATTATTAAACCTGCATACTAACATTGCATAATTTATGACACACCTTGAGGTAATCTGAAGACCTTAAAAACAGTGAATAACCTGTAAATACCTTCATTTGAACAACTCCTCATGCCAGGCACTATTCTTGGTATTAGACATATCACAGACAAAAAATCTTTACTCTCATGGAATGAGGAGAGACAGACAATAAACAAAGTGATTAATTGAAATGTCTCCTCTATTAGAAGCTAGTAAGTGCTATGAATAGAAGCTAAACCAGAAAGACAACTACAGTGCCAGGGTAGAGGGTATTGTTTAAAATAAGGTCTTCTGAGGAAGCCACTCCAAGGTGACATTTAAGCAAGAAACGCCAGCTGTGTCAATATGTGAGAGAAGAGCTCCCTAGGCAAATGAAATAGCAAAAGCATAGACTTCAAGTTGATAATAATATAAAGAATATTTATAATATTTAAGAAATATAAAGAAGACTGACAAACAGCTGCGGCAAAATAAATGAGTTACAAGGCAGTAGTAGATGAAACAAAAGAAAAAGTAATGGAGACATATATCAGATAGGGTTTGATTGACTACAGAAGACTTTGATTTCTACTCTGAAAAAGTTCATCATAACCACAGTTTTTTATTTTAAAAATGACATTATCTGACATTTTTAAAGATGTATCTGGAAACAATGGTGGGAATAGACTATGGGAAGAAAAGGGCAGAAAAAGAGAAACCATTTGAGAAGGTATTATAATAATCCAGAAAAGAAAGAGACAGAGGTGCTTGGAGCAGGGTGAAAGAGTGGAGGTGATAGAAAGTAGACAGGTTTTAGATATTTTTAGAAAGCAGAGCCAATGGGATCTGCTAGCAAATTGGTAACGGGGTTCAAAGAAGGCTGTAAGAGTTCAAAGAAGTCAAGTATGACACCTAACATTTTTGACTTGAGTAACTGAAAGGATGAAGAAGATGGAGTTATATTAACTAAGAAAGGCACATCTACAGAAGAGAACATTTTGTCAGGAAATCAGAAGTTTATTTTGGACTTATTAAATATCAAAGTCAATATGTCAACTAAACATTTGGTTAATCAGTCTGGATTTGAGGGGAGAGGTCTAGGTTGAATATATGCTTTTGGAGTCAGCAAATATGAAATCAGAATTTGGATGACATCACTAAGGGAGTAAATATAGATAGAGAAAAGAAACAAGAACTGATTCCTGAGATGGTCCAACATTTAGAGGTTAGATAGATAAGAAGCAACCAGCAAAAAATATCAAGAAGCAGCAGCCAATGTGACTGGAAGAAAACCGGGAAAACTAAGTGAAGAAAGTGTTTCAGAGAGAAAGGAGGGATCATCTGTGTCAAATGCTGCTGATACAAAAAGTACTGAGAAGTGGCCATTGACTTTAGCATCATGTATATCACTGAAAACCCTGAAAACAGCACCTAAAACCTTCACCTCAGTTTAAATGTGTTCATTTTTCCTGCATCTAATATATTAGGAATTATATACCAGTGAGGGAATCCATGGCAGAATAAAGGAAAGTCCTAGGTAGGTAGGTGTGAATAAAAGTACATCTGACTTTCTTCTGGGTCAATATTTACCAAACTGTACTCTGTGAAATCTCAGCTCCTCAGGATATTTATAGATTCTACATAATTCTTCAGTCAAGTTTGAAAAACAACAAGTTAAGCAAGAGTTAATGTGTTTTCTTTATTCACCAACTTCTCTGCATTAATACACTATAATATTCAGTGTGAATCTCCAAAACCAGGGATAACTAATAAACAGTGTTTTGCAAATTCATTTGGAAATAGAAACCTGTTTTATGCAAAACACCTAGTGGTAATAATGTTTTGTAAAAGCTACTTTGAGAAATGTTACCCAAAGCCTCACAACTAATTCAATTTCTTGCCAAAAAAGAAAATAATATTTAAGCTACTCTATGTAAACTGGATTTTGAATTATTTCAGTACTTTACTAAAATTTACCCTAGCTACCCTCCACCAATAATGTGTCAAGTACTTTAAATACAATACTCCTTCAGGAGCCTGAGGCTCCCAAGCAAATCTAACTTTGTAACAAGATTTATTTATGTATTTATTTATTTATTTATTTATTTATTTATTTATTTATTTATGTTAGTTGTCTTTTTTTAAATTGACAAATGAAAATTTCATATACTTAACATGTTGAAATATGTATGCCTTGTGAGATGGCTAAATCAAGCTAATTCACATATGCATCAAAACAAGTCTTAAAGAATTTAAGAGGACTGAAATCATGTCAGGTATCTTTTATGATCACAATGGTATGAAACTATAAATCAATAACAGAAGAAATCTTGGGAAATTCACAATATGCCAGATTAAACAACATGCTCCTAAACAGCCAATGGTCACAGAAGAAATCAAAAGGAAATAAAAACTTTATGACAAACACAGAACCACAACATACTAAAACTGATAGGATCCAGTGAAAGCAGGCCTCAGAGGGAAACTTACAGCAATAAACATCTACATCAAAAAGATCTCAAATAAGCAGCCTAATTCATACCTCAAGAAACTAGAGAAAGAAGAACAGACTAAGCCCAAAGTTAGCAGAAGGAAGAATATAGCAAAGATCACAGAAGAAAAAAATGAAATAGACTATGAAAACAATTTTAAAATTCAATAAAACTATGAAGTTTTTTAAAGTAAATAAAATTGACATATAGTTAGCTAGACTAAGAAAAAAAAGACTCAAATAAATAAAATCAGAAATGAAAGTGGAAACGTTACACCTCACACCACAGAAATACAAAGAATAATAATAAACAATTATGAAAAATTATGCAACACAAAATTGTATAATCTAGAAGAAATGGATAAATTCCTGCACACATATAACCTACCAAGACTGAATCATGAAACAAAACCAGAACAGATCAATGATGAGTAAGAATATTGAATGAATAATGAAAAATCTCCCTTCAAAGAGCCCGGGACTGGATAGCATCATAGCTGAATTCTACCAAACATTTAAAAAAGGACAAATCCCAATCCTTCTCAAACTCTTCCAAAAAAAATTAAGGAAGAGGGAATACTTTTAAACTCCTTTTACAAAGCAAGGATTATCCTGATAACAAAGCCAGATAA
This sequence comes from Homo sapiens, assembly GCF_000001405.40. Lineage (NCBI taxonomy): Eukaryota > Metazoa > Chordata > Mammalia > Primates > Hominidae > Homo > Homo sapiens. The sequence continues at coordinate 64,436,209 of NC_000005.10, forward strand.
GAATAGTACAAAAAAAGACAATTACAGGTCAATATCCCCAATGAACATTGACATAAAATCCTTAGCAACATACCAGCAAACTGAATTCAACAATATATTAAAAGAACCATTCACCATGAATAAGTGAGATTTATTCCTGGGATGCAAGAATGGTTCAATATACACAAATTAATAAATATGATTCATCACATTACCAAAATGAAGGATAAAAACCATGTGATCATATCTATAGATGCAGAGAAAGCATCTGAAAAATTCAACACCCTTTCGTGATACACACTCTCAACAGAAGAGTTATAGAGGAAATGTACCTCAACACAGTAAAAGCCATATATGACAAACCCATAGCTAACACCATACTCAATGACGAAAAATCTAAAACTTTTCCTCTAAAATCAGGGACAAGACAAAGATGTCCACCTTCACCACTTCTTTTCAACATAATTTTGGAAGTTCTAGACAAAGCAATTAGGCAGAGAAAGAAATAAAAGTCATCCTAATAAGAAAGTAGGAAGTGATATTGTCTCTGTTTGCTGGTGACTTGTTCTTATATAAAAAAAATCCTAAAGGTTTCACAAAAAAAACTGTTACAACTGATAAAAAAAAAAATAAACTGATCAAAGTTGCAGGATATAAAATCAACAAACAAAAATCAGTAGCATTTCTATACACTAATAAAAAATAAACTGATCAAAGTTGCAGGATATAAAATCAACAAACAAAAATCAGTAGCATTTCTATACACTAATAAAAAGATTACTAAAAAGTAAGTTAAAAAACAATCCCATTTACAATAGCAATAAAAAATAAAATACTTAGGTATAAATTTAACTAAGGAGGTACAAGACATGTATATTGAAAACCATAAAACATTAATGAAAGAAACTGAAGAAAACAAAAATAAGTGCAAATATATCCCATGTTCATGGATTGGAAGAATTAATTTTGTTAAAATGTCCAGACTACCCAAAGTGACCTACAGAATCAATGCAATCTCTATCAAAATCCAATATCATTTTGCACAGAAACAGAAAAAATAATCCATAAATTCATATGGAATCACAAAAGACCTTGATAGACAAAACAATCTTGAACAAAAAGAATAAAGCTGGAGGCATCACACTACCTGACTTCAAAATATATTACAAAACAGTTGTAATCAAAATAGCATGGTGCTGGCATAAAAACAGACATGTGGACCAATGGGACACAACAGAGAACCTAGATATAAACACATAAATATATAGTCAATTGATTTTTTACCAAGACGACAAGATCATAGGAAACCAAGGGGTTAATCTGATCAGGTCTGCCAAACAGCCTGCCCTGCTTGCTTTTGGTCACTTTTTTTTTTTTTTTTTTTATCATTTTATTTTTCCATGAAGCTGAAGGCCACAGTAGCTAAAGGTCACATTGCTGAATACTGAAACTTAACTTTCACTGGCTACCTTATAGATAACATTTATAAGTCACCATGGTAATAGCTGCTTCAGTTGTTTTTCAGGAACTTGGGGTAGCTCCTGTCCAGTTCAAACTGGTTGATACTGGTGATCCTTCAACTGTGCCCATGCAAGTGCCCAAGAGGTAACTTTTTGACATCTGAGAGCCAAAAACTCCACCCTCAGATCATGCTAACACTGCTATTTTCTGTACATATGTCCTGTGAAATGCCATGTGATATAGTTTGGCTATGTCCCCACCCAAATCTCATCCTGAATTGTAGTGCCCATAATCCTCATGTGTTGTGGGAGAGAGCCAGTGAGAGGTAATTGAATCATGAGGGTGGTTACCTCCATGCTGTTCTCATGACAGTGAGTTCTCACAAGATCTGATGTTTTTTGTTTTTTGTTTTGAGACAGAGTCTCACTCTGTCACCCAGGCTGGAGTGCAGTGGCACGATCTCAGCTCACTGCAACCTCTATCGCCCAGGTTCAAGCGATTCTCCTGCCTCAGCCTCCCGAGTAGCTGGGATTACAGGCGTTTGCCACTGCACCCGACTAATTTTTTGTAGTTTTTAGTAGAGACGGGGTTTCACCATCTTGGCCGGTTTTATAAGGGACTTTTCCCCTACTTCCTCTGCACTTCTCCTTGCTGCAGCCATGTGAAGGACGTGTTTGCTTTCCCTTCTGCCATGACTTTAAGTTCCTGAGGCATCCCCAGCCCTGCAGAACTGTGAGTCAATTAAATATCTTTCCTTTGTAAATTACCCAGTCTCAGGTATGTCTTTATTAGCGACGTGAGAACAGACTAATATACCATGAATCCTGACTACACTAAAAAGGTTCTAAGATGACAGTTGTCGCTATTTTCTGTTTTATCTCCATGCTGACACTTGAAAGAAGGTACTAGAATCCCTCTAGCCAGATTGCTCAGTTTCTTGTTGGTAATCAAACAGCAGCTGTACCAAAGGAAAGCAAAGCTAGGACCCAAATCAGAATCATAGTTGCCACATATATGGTAACAATATTGTGTGAATTTGCTTTCTCAGTGATGAGTTGGGGGATGAGGAGAAATTATTTGACTGGCATTTTTCTGTAGTTGAATAGAAGACACCTTTTTTGCCTTTAGGTTTAGGAGAAACTACTAGGATACTGGATGTTTATCCTATCTTAGTTTGATTTGGAGTAATAAGAGAGGAGAAGAGGATGGACTTTGGCTTTTTCAGTAGTTTTTCCCCTAACGGGTGACATTGCCGATGTTTCTATCAATTTTACACATAATATGTGTCTATGAAACTATGTATCTCACTTAACTAACTAAAAATCATAGTCTATTATTTAAAGCCAACAAAATAGTTTTAAGCTCAATAATGTTCAGTATTGTATAGAATTATAGTGGAGGCAAAGTTCAGTTGATGACAATTGGGTATATGTTACTGATGCTCTATATTATGTTTAATAAGAAAATTGTGTTATCACAAAAAATATTTGCAATGCATACATCGAATAAAGGGTTAATATCCAAAATATGTATGAAACTCAAACAACTCAATAGCAAGAAAACAACCCAATTTAAAAGTGAGCAAAGAAGCCGGGCACAGTAGCTCACACTTGTAATGCCAGCACTTTGGGAGGCTGAGGCAGGTGAATCACCTGAGGTCAGGAATTCGAGACTAGCCTGCCCAAAATAGTGAAACCCTGTCTCTATTAAAAATACAAAAAAAAAAAATTATCCAGGCATAGTAGAGCATGTCTGTAGTCCCAGCTGCTCAGAAGGCTGAGGCAGGAGAATCGTTTGAATCCAGGAGGCGGAGGTTGCAGTGAGCCAAGATCGTACCATTGTACTCCAGCCTGGGCAACAAGAGTGAAACTCCATCTCAAAAAAAAAAAAAAAAAAAAAAGAGTGAGCAAAGGATCTGAACAGACACTTCTCAAAAAAAGACATACAAGTGGCCCAAAGATTTACAAAATATGCTCATCATCACAAATCATTAGGGAAATACAAATCAAAACCACCACAATGATATATCATATCACCTTACCTGTTAGAATGGCTTTTATCAAAAAGAAGAAAGACAACAAGTGTTGGAGAGTATGAGGAGAAAAGGGAATGCTTTTATACTGTTAGTGAGAATGTAAATTAGTACAGCCATTATGGAAAATGGTATGAAGTTTCCTCAAAAAAACTAAAATAGAACTATCATGTGATTCAGCAGTCCCCTTTCTGGGAATATATCCAAAGGAATTGAAATCAGTATTTCAAAGGGTATTTACACTCACATATTCATTACAGCATTATTTACAATAGCCAAAATATGGAATAAACCTAAGTGTTCATCAAAGGATGAATATATAAAGAAAATGTGGTATATAAAGAAAATGTGGTATATACAGACAATGAAATACTATTCAGCTTTAAAAAAGAATGAAATTCTGTCATTTGGAACGACATGGTAGACTCTGGTGCACATTATCATGAGTGACATAAGCCAGGCACAGAAAGACAAATACCACATGATCTCACTTACATGTAGAATCTTTTAAAAGTGAATTTACAGAAATAGAGAGGAGAATGACAGTTACAGGGGTGGGCAGGGAGGACAGGGAGTGAAGTTGCTGGTCAAAGGGTACAAAGTTTCAGCTAGACAAGAGGAGTAAGTTTTAACAATTATTGCACAGCAGCATGACTATAGTCCACAATAATGTGTTATACATTTCAAAATAACTGAGAGTAAATTTGAAACATATCACCATAAAAATGTTAAGTGAGTGAGGTGAGGGTTATGTTAATTAGCTTGATTTAATCATTCCACATTTTATACATATATCACATTTTATACATACATCACATTGTACTCCATAGACTATATTAGTCAATTAAAATATTAATTTTTAAATTAAAATTTTTCTTAAAAAATATGCATAACAATTTATAGTCAAAAATATATGCATAACTTCATATAATTATTTTTGTGATGAGAACACAAAAGATGAGGAGACTGATTTGAGTAATAATAAAACTCCAGTTTCCCACACAGCCAGCTCTGCATGAATTACTCTTGCTCTATTGCAATTCCCCTGCCTTGATAAATCGGCTCAGTCTTCTCTCCAGTGATGGATCCAGAGGCCAGCCCAAGTGGCTGCCTAGTTCTCTTAGACTGGGGGCTGACTCTGGTACTGTCTCTATGGGCTGGGCACTGCTGACCTAATGTGCATGGATTTAACCGAAAAACAGAAATAGTCCTGGGGAGATGTGCATAACTGTAGCCCTATCAATCACAGGATGTCTGTAGCCCCATGGTGGGGTGCCTGTCTGTAGCCCCAGTGCAAGGTGTCTGTCTTGACTCAGCTCCTTCGGAGGTTGAAGTTGGCTCTCCTTAATTAGTAGGAAGAGTCTTGGTTTGGGAGACTTCTCAATCAGGAAGATTTCGAGGAGGTTTCCCAGATGGAGAATAGGAGGATAATTTGGAAGGGAAACCTCTGGAATTCTTGGTAAGGAATATTGATTTGGAAGGCCTTCTGTCTGTCCTGTCTTTGTATGTGTGTTTGTAGATGTAGAGGGGCTCTCTGAAGGAGTTACCGACAGAAGTTCAGCAGGCCCAACTCAGAGAACCCTCATCTATCTGGTCACATTCAGTGAGTCCTGAAAGAAGTTTAACAGGCCTGATTTGGGGTGACCGCTCTTCATCTTGCCCAGAGACCACCCATTGAATTCCTGGTCAGAGGCCACCCCTCCCTGCTTTGAGTGAATGAAAGACAACAGGGACCAACAAAAAAAAGTTTGAGCCTTGCCAGGTCAATGTTGGGTGCTGAACAAGGTGACTACTGTCGGCTTTGTTATGTGTATTTTGCTTTGGCTGGGATGGAAAATGTTAATTCAGGTCCTCATGCAACCCATTGGGCAGCATCTTGCAAAATTGAGAATCTTTTGCCTGTGGTTCCCTAAAACAGGAAAGGGTGATTTTCTTCTGTAAAGTGGCTTGTACCCCACAGCTATGGTACAGTGGGCACTGTCATCAAAAACCACTCCATTCTTCTGGAAGCTGCAGAGAAAGAGAACCCAGGAACCTGGTATGCTGGCAAAAAGGGTAAGAAATTCTTACTAGCTATGTTCTTGGTCTCTCTCTCTCTGTCTTTCTGTGTGTGTATGTGTATATAAATGGTAAATGTCACTGTTTGTCTCCTCTGCAAGCATTTAGTAGAAAAAAAAGGTTTTGTGAGACTAGACTTAGGCTGTAGCAAATCTGGTGCACTTTGTACTAAGAATTTATCTTTCTGTAATGGAGAGAGGGGCATCACAGGATAGAACATGGGTTTAGGACCTCTAGAAGCCTACTTTTCAAGCCAGACTGGCATGCTGGTTACTTACAAACTTTGCTGTGGGTCCCTGAAACCAATACTGGATGAAATTTCTCTGTCTTGTTTTGTGTCCTTAAGAGTTTCACGTTATAACCAGGTGGGGACACTTTCTCCTGGTTTCTGCCATCCAGAAGACAGGAATTTGGGGGTTAATGTCATAGTTAGCCCTATAAATTATCATAAGCAGTTAAAAGCCTTTTGCAAGCTTGAAATTGGCTGCTCTAAACTTCTTCTGGGAGAGCAACAGAAACTGCTGAATGCTGTGTAGCTAAATAACTAAGGTTTTTGTCTTTTTGACAATGGCAGCCTGGGTTCAATTCTTGACTTAGGGAGTGAGCCCTTTCTGGTTTGTTGTCTGTGTAATTTTTTTTGCCATTGATTAATTCTTTTCCCCCATGGACCGCTTCTGATTTCCTGTCTTTATTTTTCCTTTCTCTGAATTAACTTTGGGTAGATTCTAATTCTTGTAACAAGGAAACCGCTTACCATTGCTTTGAGACAGCTTATCCATCCATGGTTAAGTCATAACCTTAGTTAAAACTTACTAATTTCAGGTGGGAAGTAGCCTGTGGTAGAATTCAAAAGCCAGAAACATTGTCTGTCCTAGCTGGAGTCTCATAATAAGAGATTTTAGAAGATTTTTTTTTTTAAAAAAAGAGCTCTATGGTTAAAACCCACTTAATTAAAAACGGATATCCAAGCTATGTGTATTTAAAAGGTCTTTATCTTTTTCCTCTTTTTGAACTGTGCTTTTCTAAAAAAAAATTTCTTTTCAGTTGACTGAATTGTTTTTCTCCATTTTATCTTCTTGCCACTGCTGATGCCCATGTGAGAGAACCTAAGATAATTACTAATAACCCGGGACTCCTGGGGAAAAACAGAGGAGGCACCACAGAGCCCATTCTTGGAAAAACCTCTGTTTTCCTCATGAAACTCCAGGGGCAAAAATGAAGGTTTAAACAAGTTGAAAATGTTTTGTGAGGGGTTGGTCTTGTAAAGAAAGTTCTGTGGGTAGAAGCAATTGGCTAAGGCTTGAAGGGGATTATTTAATTTATTTCAATAGGTTGAACATTAAAATAAAAGCACACTAATGCAGGGCCAGAATCTGGGCCCATGTGTCTGAATCACAGGGTTTTCTTAGAAAACTGATCTGCTATTTAACAGAAAATTGTAAGTTCTAAAAAGTTGATGAAAATCTTACCTTATGGTCAAACTAATTAAAATTGGATAGATTTATAAAATTTTATTTAAAAACTAGCTATAGCATTAAAGATGCACTAATGGAAACATGAAATCTGGTTTTTTCTTTTGAAAAAAATTTTTATGTCATATTGAGACAATGGAAGATTTTTGTTTGCCTTTTGAGTAAACTACAAAAAGTGGGGAGGGAGAGAAGAGACAGATTCAGCTGGCCTCATGCTATCTTCCTTGGGTCTTGTTATTTGGAAAGCAAAGTCTCCTCTATCAAGGTAAAGGCTCTGCTTTTCCAAATTTTTGGACTTATCATTTTGGCCAAATGAATGATGTATGATGATCTGGGATTCTATTTTATGACTTCTAGTGTTTTAAACCTTTGGTATTTGACAAACATCCCAAAATCAAATTATAAATTATGTCTCTTTCTAACCTAATCTTTTAGATATTAGGCTCTCTACAGTCCAAAAGTGACATCTGGCTTATGTGGCATAAAAATCATACAGGAAGCATTGTCAAATATGAAATGGTGTTTCACTTTCTTTGGGCTATATTTGTGTAAATATGTTATTGGTATATGTTCCAAAATTATGTGAAACTCATAATTGTTATATGACTTACTGTATGTTACCAGTAATAATTGTTATGTTAAATTATTATATGCCACAGAGGTAAGAAATTTCATTGTCAATTGTGTCTTTAACTGTGGCTGCCCTTTTTGTCATCCACAGAAAACTGTTGTCTTGTTTTGATCCTCTTTAAATGATGGTTTTAAAATCAGCTATGAAATTCTAACAGTTATTCTTAAATGCAAGTTTCTGATTGATAACTTGGGAGATTGTGACACTAGAATAGAGGAAAAATGTTCAAATAGAATACTGAAGTAATCTTTTTTGACTTTTCACTTAAATTTTTGCTAATCCTTTTTTGTTTTTCAGAGCCAAGAAAACTTTTCTTTTGAGCTATTTACAGCTTTTAACAATTGAGTATACTCCTGTGAAAAATTTTAAAGCATATTTGTCTCTCTCTACCTGCTTTCTCCAGAATTTGGAATCTATTTGTGAGTATTCTTAACTTATGGCAATATAGTTATTTGCATAAGTGCAATAAGAATGTTTTCTTTTGGGACAGGAAATAATTGGAGAAACTGGTTATTTTACCAAGGCTTTGACAGGAGTGGTGTGCTTTCCTTTAAGGAATCAAACTTGACTCATACAGCCAATAAAAGACCCTTGGGAAAACTGGCCTTATAACCTGTCTGCACAGTCCCTGAACAAGGTTCTTGACCAGTGGTAAGTACAGAATGTCACTTTCTAACAGCCCCAGGAGCCCCAGGTTTTCTTGGGACCTCAAGAGGAGAGGAATTTACCAAATTCATAGGTATTTGATGGTACAAAACCATGGCTGGGCTCAGCTGCAAAAAAATGTCTTATCTGAGATTCCTTATGACAGAGTTCCATCAAAGCCAACTTTAAATGCCTATGTAAAAAATAATTATTCTTGTTATGCTTTATGCAAATAATCCAGCCAAGTAAATATATTTTGCAAACAAATCAGTCCTATCTTGATTTGTTTTTAATAAAAATGGGGACTGGAGAAAAATTATGTTTCAAAAAAAAAAACTACAATACACCTGTTGTTAGCTGTTCTTGGGTTTTTTTCTCCAGTTTGGACTAAATCCTAAACTCTTTGTAAGCTACAAGTCCCCAAGTTGATGCTTTCAAATCTTTACTTTTAAAACCAGGAATTGCACTCCTTACCATAGTACTCATTATTTACCCTATAGTATGTGGTTCCCTTAAATGCTGTGCTAAGATGACACTACTAACGCCTTTGCCATGAAAGCCTTGGAACCCCACCCAGGTCTGCATGAGTGGGCTCAGACAGTTGCAAAGCAGTTCCAATCCTCTCACCTTGGAGTCAACACCTACCCCCACTATGCCCCTGGTCAGCAGGAAGAAGTTAGTTAGAAGTTCTTCAACTTCATTAGCCAACACCTTAAGGTTAAGGTGTTATAAAACCCAAAGGGACGGATTTGAAACTGCCATTGCAAAACAGTAACTGAGACAATGAAAGAGATCTGACCTAACCAACTCCATCTTGCTTCTAACCTCCAAGCTGCCCTTGTTCACTCCTGGGCATAGGCCGAACTAACTTTGTGAGGAACTTAGTTTATAATTTAAACAGAGATGATAACAGCCCTTTCCCCTAAACAAACCCCCATCTTGCCTGGGGACTAGGCTGACATTGTAGGACTAACAAATTAGCCACAAGATTAGAAGTTATGGTTTAAGAGTCAAGCAGCTGGAGGCTACAAGACTCTGACCCTATTCAAATTGCTCCTGGGAATAAAATCACTATTGTAAAACCTAAAACCAGTGCTTGAGATAATTTGCAGACCCTGCACTTGATGGATTAGCTGGCACCACCCACATCGATAAACTGGCTCATCTGACCTTGTGGTACCCCCACCCAGGAACTGACTCAGTGCAAGAAGGCAACTTTGACTCCTTATGATTTCATCTCTGACTTGACCAGTCAGCACTCCTAGCTCACTGGTTTCCCTTAACCCACCAAGCTGTCCTTAAAAACTCTGATCCCTGAATGCTCAGGGAGACTGATTTGAGTAATAATAAAATTCTGGTCTCCTGCAAAAAAAATTCTAAAGAAAAGATTTTAAATCTAAATCAAATTTACTTTTTATTTGGACATCAGACTTACTGGTAAAGTAGCTGAAGAATATAGTTCACTTTAGATATGAAGTTAGATACCACAAACTTGAATTTAGATATCAGTGTTATGTTTTAAATTTAAGTGTGTGGTTTTTTGCTTTATATTTTTTAAAGACTGATAGGTTACTTTTGTCTGGTCAGGTTTCTGAACCCTTGATCACTCTCAGTATACTTGGGGAGCTCATACCTTAATGCCAAGTCACTTTTATTAAAATCCAGACCTATACGGGCTAGTTTTAAAAAGGGAGAGACCAATGAATAACTCTCTGGAATAACCTGATTAAAGAGCATATGCAACATGTCATGCTACTACTTTCACCCACCAACACTTGCTGAGGTAAGTGCTTTTACTTCCCAAAAGAGAGGATGAGAAACTCAGTTTCCTGGGAATCCACAGGCCATAGGAACAACTCTAACTGCAATTCCCCATCATTTGCTTGCACTGAATCCTACCTGGCACCACATTGGTAAAAGAAAAAAGATAAGAAAGGCAGCAAAACTTACCAAAGAACAATTATTCAAAAAAAACTTCTCATAGTAGAGATTAAAATTTTGGTATAGCATTTCCTCAATAATTAAAATAAGAAGAAAGGAAGGTCACAAAGGGAAATTGTTTCAATGTAGGAAAAAGATAGTGAGAAAAGAGTGAATGACAAAAATATATGTAATATGCTCCATTTGTGTAATAAAGGGAAAAGTAAGCATCATTATTCACATTTGTTTATGTTCACTTATAAAGAAATCCTGGAAAGAAACCTAAAACACTGAAAAAAAAAAAAAAAAAAAAAAAGTTACCTGGACGCACAGGAACTGAGCAAAAGGGGCCAAGCATTAAAAAGAGACTTTTTTTTTCCAACTCCATAATTAAATTTTTTTTGGATTTGGAACCACATGGATATATAATTTATATGAGAAAGTTAAATACAATGAATAAAATAGTAACACTTAATAAAAACACAAATTCAGTTATCCCAAAAAACAGTTTGTTTCAGAGAACATAAATTATCATTTTTGGTCTTAAAACATTTTCAGAACTAAACATAAAAGGAACTACAGTTGAGTTTTGTCTCTCTACACATATCAATGAGCAGAACAATCATCTACTGAAACTTTCATATGCTGCAAGTTTATTTCTGAAATATGACTCATAAAAAGCAGAGTTAGGGAAAATTAAACAAAATGTAATGTCTATTCCACTAATTTTGAACTGAACAGATGTTTATATTGTAATGTCTATGATAAAAATACAAAGCAAAAATATACTGGAGGGTCACAGCTAAAGTTACCTGAAAACAAACTAAGGATTTTGAAGATGATAGTGTATTCTCCTTGAAGGTAAGAAATCATAATATATCCACATTGTATTTAACAGACACTCAGTTCTTCAGATAAGTGAAAAAAAAAGTCCTAGACAGCCTTTTAAGTCTTCTATTTACCAAACCTTCATCAACAAGTGATTCATATTATGTGTGCTTTTAATGAATAAAATTACATTTTTAAATGTTCTATCATTTAAAAGTGAAATATAATATTAAATTTCATCACCTTGGAATCAAGTTCCATTAAAATGAATTAATTATTCAATCCATATATCAGAATTAAAGCAATAAATGGAAACAAATTAAAGAAATACAACCCAATAAATCAAGGTTTTGTACTCCACTATCAGTTTAGACAGAAAAAATTTTAAATCTTAAAGAGAATGTTACCTTATATATGGGGATAAAGTAGGCAACATCAAAATTCTATTGATTTTCAAATTCTGGAGTACACTTTTAAAAACTCTATCAGTGAACTGCTTGATTGCTGTTTTAACCAAAAATTCAGTTTATCTTTTATTTATATTAAATGAAACTATATATCCTAAATAATTCCCATAATTAGGCTACATTACAACTTTCCCCAAAGCATTTATAATACAATATAACATAATACATAAAATGCAACGTGCAATCCTTGAAAATTAGATTTGCAAACATTTTAATGAGGCTATATGCTGGATATCTTCAGTAGACTCCTCTAGATTTACTCTCTACCTTTTTCTACTCTGCTCTGGATCAGGGTGGACTGCATCAACTGGCTCCCTTATCTGTTGGCTTCCTTTGGATTAAGCTAATGGTAGACACAGCCAGGAATTTGAGAGCAAATGGTCAAGGCAGAAAACAGGGTCATGAATTTATTCCTCAAACCTCCTTCTTCCATTTGGGTCAATGTAGATTGGCTGTAACCCTCTAATAAAGGTCATGTATCCTATCAGCTGACCTTTCCACAGGCTCCTGCCTTCGTTTTTCAGGCTCACAGCTGCCTCTCTATATATCCCATCCTAGCACTAATAAAAATAAAATGTAAGCAATGTGTGTAATTTTAATTTTTCTAGTAGCTACATTTTAAAATGAAATAGGCTAATGTAATATTAATATATTTTATTTTTAATATACATCCAAAGTATTATCATTTCAGATGTGATAAGTATAAAAATCATTAATGAGATATTTCACATTCTTCTGCTTTCATACTAAGTCTCAGAAACACAGTGTATATATTAAACTTAAAACACACCTCAATTTGGACTAGCTACATTTTATGTGCTCAATTATTTTATCCCCTCCTGATGATTTCCTTCCTCCTCCCCATTCCTTTGTAAATAGTCTTTTTATTAAACTTTCCTTAATTATCCTCATGGTTGTCTCAACTATTTTCCCCCAGGATGAAACTAATACACATGGGGAAATCCTTGAAATAATGTTCATGAAAAAGTAGTATGCAAAATTGTACAATTACACTATCATCTCAACTACACGAATAATGAACATAAAAGAAAATGAAAAGAAATATCACAAGATCTTAACCTAAACTAATGGCACCGTTTCTTGGTACATTTTTGCACTCTCCAAATTGCATTAAATTCATAAAAACAATTTAAAATGTCAAAACAAAAATGCAGTATAATACTTTATAAAACTGATCAGCTGAATATAACAAACAGGGACTATTTGTTCTCACCTTCTTATAATAGAACCTGCTCATAAAAAGCCTATAAAAGGAAATTGAAATCATTCAAATATAGATTTCTGGTATAAACAGAGTGTCAAATAAACTGAAAACAATATCACTGGCAGCAAATCTATACATTCCTCAGAAAGGGGAGTCAAACACTAAGGAGCTCAGAGTATCCAGCGAGTATATCAGGTTTTCAACATTTACAGGTCCCTTCTTTCACAATATAGGCAAGTAGAAAAAGTCAGGACGTATGGCCCAGTTCAATGTGTGGACTAAAATTGGTTACCAAATACACACTGGATTCAAACATGGAACATTTCTAGATTTTAACATCTTAATCCCCATGGTAATGAGTTCCAGAATTCTGTGGCAGACAAAACAAAGAACACGGTAAGTAGGTTAAGATGAAGAGAGAACAGTTATATCCCAGGGCTGATTCTACTTCTTTTCCTCAATCTTCTCTTTCACCCAAAGAAACAAAGTGCATTCAGGGCTTAAGAAGGATGGCATAAATGACAGAATTCTATGTAACCATTTCATTCTTTACCTACTTGGCTTTGCCATCCTACCTACTCTTAAAACAGACATTCCCTAATATATGTGTGAAATATTTCAACATCTTTTTGTTTCCTAGATCAGCCTCTCCAAACTCCCAGTTTTGTTCTAATAACAAAAAAAAACCAATCTGAACATCTAATAGGTTAAATAATGAAACATCACCCATTGAATGGAATGCTATGCATTTATAAATATTTTTTAAATTATTTCATATACAACAATGTGAAGCTACGTAATACCAGTAAATCTTATACATAAAAATGGTTAACATGGTAAATTTTATGTTATGTATATTTTACCATAATAAAAAATGATTATTCCATAATATGGAACCAAGTGAAAACATTATATTGCGATGAACCAATGGGAACAATTAAGTAAACATTGGGAATCAGTGGTTTACTGTATAAAATACAGAAAATCTCACAGAAAAAAAAACCTGTTATACTATTCAGATACAACCACTATTAATCACTATATATCCCTATAATGGGATGGTGGTTAGATACAGAGATCGATCCCTATTAATCTCAGTCTCTATCTAAATTCCCTAATTATCTCTTCACATTAGCCAAATAATGTCCAAACCGTTATCTTCTCATCAAAATCCAACACATTTCACCAACAGTTCAAATATCCTTTTTTTAAAACCTGTTATCTGTTCATCTTAATAAAAACAGCTAAAATGTACTGAGTGCTTACTATGTGCCTGGCATTATTTCATTTACTTTATTATCTTGTTTAATCCTCATAAATATCTTGTGAGGTAGGAACCATTATTTTCCTAATTTTACACCTGATAAAAATAAGGGTTTGAGTGATTATTCAGTTTTTAAAAAATAACTAGAGGATAGTGGAATCATGATTCAGACCCAGGCCCAGCTAACTCTAAAGTTCACAATCTTAACTATTCTGGTAATACTTTTCACTTTTGTATAGACACAATAAAATATCTTACCACATACAATTTTTTTTAATTACAAATTTTTAATTTGTAGGTTTAATTACAAATTTTTAGATTCATTGAACAATACTGTTAATGGGCTCCCAAATGCTCTGTCTCAGTACCTATATGCCAATAAACAGAATTATTCAATTCCTCTTACATCAAATAATCTAAAAGTAGTCCTTAGTTACATTATAAGCTTCAAATAGACAGTAAGAATAATAGCTTACAAATACCAAAAACTACAAAATGCACTCCCAATTTATTTAATATAGGAATCATATGCTTTCCTTTCATTATTGTACTTAAAACCAAAGGATTTCAGCAGTTGCCACTAAAAATCAAAAGTAGATTCAGGAAAATGAACTTTTTCACATCTGTTGCAAGTCTAAAAAATAATAATTTAATATGCTGTAAATGTATACCTTTATCAAAAATAAAGAAAATATTTTAAATATTAACATGAATTTTTTTTCTTAAAATTAGAATAAAAACTAAAGTAAGTTTGAGAACACTTTTTAAAAAAATTTTCTTAGAGGCAGGGTCTTGCTCTGTCACCCACGCAAGGGTGCAGTGGTGTCATCACAGTTCACTGCTCAAGTGATTCTCTTGGACTCCAGTGATTCTCCCACATCAGCCTTCCAAGTAGCTAGGACTACAGGTACATGCTACCACATTCAGCTAATTTTTTTTTTTTTTTTTTTTTTTTAGAGATAGGGTCTTGTTATGTTGCCCAGGCTGGTCTCAAACTCCTAGACTCAAGCAATTCTCCTGCCTCGACCTCCCAAAGTGCTGAAATTACAGGTGTTAGCTACCATGCCCACCCTTCAAAAATGTTTTTAATAAGATCACTTCCCACATAACCAACATACCTCACTTTTTAGCATATTTGCATTCTCAAAGGATAAGTTAAAAAACAAATTTCTTCAGTCAATCATATTTTGCATTGAAATATGAAATGTATTTATACCACAGAAGATATCCTTGAATTATAATTTGAAATCACTTAAAAGAAAACACCTTAAAATATACAGGAAAACTTCAACTATGTTACAAAATACAAATCCTTAAATATAAATTATGTCCCCTGAGAACAAGATGAAAGATTTTCCTGACATCTTACTAGATATTTAAAATTAACTTTATTGAATCAAGTTTGACATAAGATAATCCCTCTCTGCAACCTTATAATCCAATGTTCCAATGCTAAACAGATCTACTCAATTTCACTACTGAATACTTCTTTCATCCCACTGCTTCCCCCTGCTTTTCATTGAAATCTAAACATCCCCTGAGGACAGCATTAACTATGCTAGCCCTCTCTAGTGGCCACTACCCATTCTCTGATTCCTCACAATGGACAGAACAGGGAATGAACGGAGAGGGAGAAAAAAGGCAGGCATTCTCCAGTGCTAATTTCAGACTGGACAAAGACTCTCCTGCTTTGTATGCCTCAGAGTATCTAAATCTAACACTCTTCATGCCAGGGAATTCTGAAGTATATCTTATAACCGCCTTAGCTTTGGGGATCAACCTATAAATTTTGAAAAATCTACCCAGGTAATTCTTGTCTGCTGCTTTCTCCCAATGAAAACCACCCTTCACTTCCCCACATTTATGTGGCTTACACCTTTCCCTATACTCCATATTCTGCCACCAGCTTGGTGACTTTAATACCTTATAGAAGAAGCCTTAGTTGGCTCCTCTACCTTAATGACCAGCTCCAGTTCACTTCAGCAACTCACTTTTGTGATCACATTGGCTATCAAAAAGGGAAGATCAGGCCAGGCACTATGGCTCATCCCTGTAATCCTAGCACTTTGGGAAGCTGTGGTGAGAGGATTGCTTGAGCCTAGGAGTTCAAGACCAGCTTGGGGAACATTGCAAAACCCCATCTCCACCAAAAACACAAAAATTATCCGGGCATGGTGGCACATGCCTGTGGTCCCAGCTACTCAGGAGGCTGAGGTGGAAGGATTGCTTTAGCCCTGGAGGCAGAGGTTTCATTGAGCCAAGATGGCCCATTGCACTGCAGCCTGGGTGACAGAGCCAGACCCTGTCTCAAAAGAAAAGGTGGGTTGTTGGGGGAGATATTTTAAAGGTCCTACCTGGTTCCTACATATCTTTCCAGTTTTATCTCCTCCTTTAAAATGCGCTCTACTCACTGGAACCTTGGAGAAGCTCTCCAAAATCTCCATTTTATACTTGTTGCTCCTTCAAACCACAATATCCTTTCCCAATCCAATCCAGGACACTCTTACTTGGTCCCTAAGATTTCATTTAAGGCCTGCTAGCTCTGTGAAGTATCTGCTGATATCCTCATGATATAAGTATGGCATTTAATCTATTTACATGACTTCTTCCAGTCCCCTAAGACTATTCAGCTTCTGAGGATAAATGCTTTTGTTTCAGTTGACTTTAAATACCCAATGCTTTTAAATTTGTGGAATACCTAGCACTCAGTATGTATCCAATAATTATATCTTAATTTTACATTCCTCTGTTATAAAACTTATCCACTCACATGTTTTCAACTATGGTCTGTATTTCCAAAATTGAAATCTCAGCTCAATCACCAAATAATTAGTAAAGGCCAAGTACTATACTATAAAAGGTATAATGAATGCTACCTAAACTTGAGCTTAAAAAATCTGGTTGCAGCCAATGTAAAACGTCTGGTCTTAGGTAGAATGTGATAGGTTGTGACAGACCACATTCTCACTTCAACAAATAAACAAACAATATTTTTTAAGACATTATAGAACTAAGGCCGTAAAAAGAATTAAGTTACATGAAATTCCAGAAAGTAGAAAACCTTTCTGAGGTAAGCAGTCTATCACTGGATATTTTCTTCTTTGGGGATACTTGTCTTATTACAGATGGAAGGGAACAAAGGAATGAGCTTGGTCCACAAAGAGTGACTTTTCTAGAAAAAAAAAGAAGCCAGCAATGTGTTGGTGATCATACAAAGCTGGTATAACAATTTGGAAATTTCAAGTGTCCTAATGTGTGGCTAATTAATCACAATATATTTGCTATATTCTGATGCTGTCTGGAGAGGCAGGAAACTTCTATAAAATAGGATGAAATTTTCTGTAGTCTTGTAGTAGATAGGAGACTACTTTCTACTAAAAGAACAATACCTGCCAAATCTGTAAACAGTATGGGAGGCCAAAGAGTAAAGTTCCAAAGAGCAGACTGAATCACCCAATCTTTAGAGGTTAATGAGGTAAAGACCTAGCAAATTATCAGTCAAAAGTACAGAAGGGTTAAGTCTAATGAATAAGGAAGAACAAAAGACAGAATGAATTTTACTAAACCAGCAATCAAAACTGACTCAGCTGACAGAACAGAATTAATCAGCCCCTAATCTTATCCATATGACAAAGGAAAAGGGAATTCATTTCTAGAAGAAAAGCATCATCTAGAACTTATACAGTTCCTTTATGTGTGTCTGGCATACATTAAAGGTTACTAGGCACATGAAAAGGGACAAGACTGAGAAAAAATACAAATTACCAATAACAATTAAAAATGAGAACATCACTATAAACCTATAGATTTTCAAAAGGTAAAAAAGATATTATAAATACCATTCTATCAATAAACATAATTTAGATAAAATAGACAAATTCCTTGAAAAATATAACAGCAAAAATGGCACAAAGAGATATAAAAATCTGAAGTTTCCTGTATCTATTAAATAAATTAAAACCATAATTTAAAACTTTTCAACAACAAAAAGTCTAGTCCTAGATCTTCCTTGGTGAATTTTCTTAAACATTTTTAAGAGTAAACAATACTATTCTTACAGAAACACTTCCAAAGAAGACAAAAAGAGTAACACTTTCCAACTCAATTAATAAGGTCAGCATTATCTCAATACCAAAACCTGAAAGACATTTCAAGAAAAGAAAATTATAGACCAATGTCCCTTATGAACATAGTAATAAAACTCTTAAACAAATTCTAGCAAATTGAATCCAGTATATATAAAAATAACAAGACATCATAAGCAAGTAGGGTTTATTCCAGGACTTCGAGAATGGTTTAATATTCAAAAATAAATATAACTTTATCACATTAACATAATAAAAGATAAAATAATGATTTCCTGCACTTATCTTAAAAATGTACAGAAAAAGCACATGAAAAATTTCAATCCCTATGCATGATTTTAAAAAAAGAATTATCAGCAAACTAAGATTAGGGAGGTTTGGGGGTAGAAAACCCCTTGGCTAGAAACTGACCATATACATTGTTTATATCTCCATATAAAATTATATGAAAATGCAAAAGTCTAGTAGACAAGTAAATACTAAAGAACTAGAAAACAAACTCACATGGCTGTACATCAAGACTTTTTATAAAGCTAAAGTAATTAAGACAGTATAGTATTGTCTAAGATTAATGGAAGAGAGCAGAGTCCGGAGCTAGACAAATACACAGCCACTTGATTTATTACAAAGGCACCCCTGCAATTCAGTGTGGAAAATGACAGTCTTTGCAATAACGGTGCTGGTGCTAGTAACTATAAATATATAAATATGGATATAACTATAAATATATATGAACGATGCAAAGGAAAGAAGGTGACCCCTACTTCAACCATATACAAAAATTAACTTAAGGTGGATCACAGATCTAATGTAAAAACCAAAACAATAAATGTTCTAAAAGAAATCATGGAAGAATATCTTCATAACCTTGGAGCAAAGATTCCTTAAGCCAGACCAGAAAAGCACAAACCATAAAAGACAATATTGGTAAACCAAAGTTCACTTAAATTAAGTACTTCTGCTGATCGAAATACACCATTAAAAGAGTGAAAAGGTAAACACCAAGTAGAGAATATATCTGCAAAACACACATTCAACAATGGAATCATATCCAAAAAATTAAGAACTCTTACAAATCAACAAAAAAGATAACCCTATTTTTAAAAGTGGGTTTTTTTTAAAAAAAAAAAGGCTTAACCAAAATACAAATCCAACTGGCCAATAAACATGAGAAAAATGCTCAATATCATTACTCAATGGGAAATGCAAATTAAACCCATAATGCCATGCCACTGTACAGTCATCAGAATGGTAAAATTAAACAGACAATATCAAATGGCAAGGATGCGGAAAAATTAAAACTCTGATACATTGCTGATGGAAATATAAACTAGTAAAACTATTTTGGGAAAATGTTTGGTGACATCTACTAAAGCTATACATGTATCTACGTATGATACAAAAATTCCACTCTTGGGGATATACCCAACAGAAATGATTGCTTCTGGCCATCAAAAAAATTACTCAAGTATGTTGATAGTAGTAACTCCACAATAGCAAATACTGGAAACAATCCAAATGCCCTTCAACAGAACAGATAAATAGATTACAGTATATTCATAAATCAGAATACAATTCAGCAATTAAAAAAAGAACAAATTACTAATACAGGCAACAATATGGATGAATCTCAAATATATATTGTTGAGTGAAAGAAGCCAAACATAAAAGAGCACATGGTATATGACCTACAGTGATAGATAAAAGAATAGCAGTATATGACTGGAAGGACATAAGGAAGTCATGTAGTATAATATTTCATATTCTGGAAATATTTCATATTTTGATCTAGGCATTGATTTTATTAGTAAAAAAATTATTGAGCTCTACACTTAAGATCTGTGTCCTTCAGCATATTTAAGTGATGCCTCACTTTTTAAAACTGAGAAAACAGAAAATAGTACATATGTACTATGTAAGACAGTAGAAAATATATGAATACAAAAACTGAGCAGTATAGAAATTCAAGACAGTTGTATCTAAGGTGGAAAGTGAAAGCCAAGGGTATGGCCTGAGTCTTGAACAAACAGGAACTGGATAATAAAAAATACTTAAAATATAATCAAAATTATATAGTAAAGAAGTACAAGGCATATGTGATGACTGATGAGTGTTTCAGCTAAAATGGTATGACTCAGTTGCTCCTAAAGTTGGCTCTTTCTATCTGAGGAATATATTTTAAAAAACAAACAAATGACTGAGAAGAGTGGACTGCTGCAAATCTCTTTTATGTCTAGCTTAATAGGGACAGGTGAAGTCTCATATCTGCTGCTGCATTCAATCTATTGGAATAAGTTGTTTTGGTTAAAACATATGAAGAAAATCTGGTCTTATACAAATAGTTAAATAGAAAAATATTTCAATAACATTTCCAGATAACTGTGGATATTTTTCTTTGACATGATACCAAAATTCAACAAGACAATTTCTCAACAAGTAGTTTCAATGTGCTAATCTCAAACTACATCAATTAAATTTTCAAACTCTGTACACACATGAAAAAATGGTAGTGGATAAGGTGAATAGCATCTGTTAGGTCTGTTAATAAAAATAGTTTCAACTTTGAGGTTTCTCTCTAAAAGAATCTCACAGAGCACTCTAAGGGTCCTTGGACTATGCTTTGAGAACTGCCAGTTTATATTTACAATCCAGGTGATAGCTTGAAAGAAAACAAGCACATGCTCTACATGGTACACATTTTGTCTAAATAACCCATACTCATCCGTCAACCCTCAGCTTAAACATTCCCCAGAGAAACATTTCCAGATCCCTCTCCATCAAAGAAGTGCCATATTAGGCATTCTCATTGCACTTAGCACATGATAATTTTACTTTTACTTATGAGATTTTTTTGTCAGCCTAATGCTAGTCTGTATTTTCCACAAGGGCTGAGATCATTGAGATAATGTCTAATTTTGTTCATGGTTATATCCCCAGAATCTCTCTCTCTCCCTAAGATCTATTCTCAATATAGCAGTCAGAGAGTTCCTTTCAAAATCTAAGTCATTTATATCATTCCTCTGCTCAAACCTTCCAGTGGCTTCCCAGCTCATGCCAATTAAAAGCCAAAATTGCCAACATGGCCTACACAGCTTTGTATGACCTGATTCCTGTTGCCTCTCTGATCTCACCTTTTACCAATATCTCCACTACTCACTCTGCTGCAGCCACCATGGCCTCCTGATATTCTTGGAACCCACTAATCACATTCCTACCATAGAACCTTTACTCTTGCAATTTTCTCAGCCTGAAACACTTTCCTATAGACAGCCAAATGTCTCATACTACCTCATTTCGCTCAGATCTCTCCTCAAATAACACGCTATCAGTGAGGACTTATCTAAACAAGCTTTTTACAAATAGCAACTATCCCTGCCCTCAACTCTCCACACTTCCTATTCTTACCCTGCACTATTTTCCTCCATAGCATTTATTACCATCTGACATATTACAGTAGTCTCCTCTTATCTGTGGGGAATATGTGGATGCCCCAGTGGATGCCTAAAACAGTAGATAGTACCAAACCCTATATATACCATGTCTTTTCCTATACATACATATGTTTGATAAAGTTTAATTTCTAAATGTAAGCAAGCACTAATAATAAAATAGAACAATTATAACAGTATGCTAGCATCACTACTTTTGTGCTTTGGAGCAATTATTAAGTAAAATGAGGGTTGCTTGAATACAGGCACTGCACTACCACAACAGTTGATCTGGTAACCAAGATGACTACTAAGTGACTAACAGGTAGGTAGCATATAAGGTGCAGATACACTGAACAAAAGGATGATTCACATCCCAGGCAGAGCAAAGCAGGATAGCACAAGAGTTCATCAGGCTACTTAGAATGACCCTCAATTTAAAACTTACAAATTGTTTATTTCTGGAATTTCCCATTTAATATTTTTAGACCACGGTTGACCATGGGTAACTGAAACTATGGAAAGCAAAACTACAGATGGTGGGGGGTGCTTTATGCATTTTCTTATTTATGGTCTGCTTCCTCAACTAAAACACACACTCTATGAAAGGAGGGATTTTTTTTTCTTTTCCATTCCCTGCTATATCCCCACTGCCTAGAAGAGTGCCTAGTACTGTAAGTTCAATAATTTACACATATTTATTGAATTCTTACCAAGTACTCTACACCTAGTAAATGGTATGCTCTCAATGAATATTAGTTGAACCAAATGAATACTGGATGAATCTGTTTCAATACACAGATAAGTAAGCCCAGTATAGAAAGCTGCCAGAAGTCTATGCACCTAGATTTCTCCAGAGAAAGAACTCACACTGGGTCACCCCAATCCTCTGGGACCCAAGCTGCTACAGCACAGCACTATTTTGAGAACAAAGCCACTGCTGCAGTGTATACTGCCCTGGGGTCGAACAGCCCCTGCAACTCCACATCCCTGGGGCCCCACCAGCATCCCACCATAGCCACACAAAAAGCTGCAGCACCACGACTCCAGCTAGACCCAGCAGTATAGCAATCACATGGCACCCAAGCTTACCCAGCACCCTAAACACACAAGGAACAGGTGATCCAGCACAGCAGGAAAGCCACCCCCAAGACTTGGGGAGCCAATGCAGGTGCTCCCCAGAACCTGGCAGTTGGCTGCCAGCTGCCATCATTGATCCTGCTCCCTAAACTAGCAGAGCTGCCCATGCATTGTATGCATGCCCCAGCGACAAAAAACTAGCCCACCCAACATTTAAAGCTGCCAGTGATCCTTCCCAGGTGACTGGCAGAGCATGACCCCCAGCGACCAAGAACCAGCCCACTTTATATTCACCACCACTGGCAACTCCAGTTCCATAACCAGAGGAGCCATAAAGGCCAGCACACACCCCCTTCAGGGCCTGAGAACCAGCCCACCTGGCAGCTGCCAGTTTCAGTAAAGGCATGCTGCTGCCTCCACAAACACCCACAGTCTAAGCCACTGAGACATTCACAGACACCACTGACATAAATTACAGCTGAAGAAATCCCATGGAGACTACACGTTGGCACCCACCCAGAATCAAAGCCAAAACACCCTACCCAACCAACACTATAGGACACATCTACAGGAAAAAGTCTTTCCCTACAAAAGCTACTCCCATAAAATTAGAGGAGGTGATTGCAGATGCATAGCTATCAACATAGAAACACAAAACACACGAAAAAGCAAGGAAACAGGACCACCCCAAAGGAACAAAATAATTATCCAGTAACTGATTTCAAGGAAAAGGAAATCAAAATAACGATCTTATGGAAATTCACTACGATATAACTGAAAAGGAATTCAAAGTAATAATCTTATGGAAATTCACTGAGATACAAGACAACTCAGTGAAACCCAGAAAACAATTCATGATTTTAATGAGATATTTAACAAAGAGATAGGGAAAAAAAGGCACAAGAAAGGATATCTGAACTTGAAGATAGGTCTTCTGGTATAATCCAGCCAGGCAAAAACGAAGAGAGAAAGAATTTTAAAAGCATGAAGAAGGCCTAGGGCTTATGGGACACCATTAAGTAGACAAATATCCACATTATGGAAGTTCCAGCGGGAGAAGAGACAAGGAAAGGCAGATAAAGCTAATTTAATGAAGTAATAGCTGAAAACATCCCAAGTCTGGGGAGAGATATGGATATCCAGATCCAGGAGCTCAAAAGACCTCAAATAGATTCAACCCACCCATATTTATTGAACTTTTACTAGGTACTCTATACCTAGTAAATGACATGCTTTCAATGAATATATGTTGAACCAAATGAATACTGGAAGAATGTTTCAATACACAGATAAGTGAGCCTGGTATAGGAAGCTGCCAGAAGTCTATGCATCTAGAATCAAAGCACATTAGAGTCAAATTGTCAAAACTCCAAGACAAAGAGAGAATTCTAAAAACAGCAAGAGAAAGCAGTTAAGTCACATATAAGGGAATCTCCTTTGGAGTAACAGTGGATTTCTCCACAAAAACCTTACTGGTCAGGAGAAAATGCAAAGATATAGTCAAAGTATGAAAGAAAAAATGTCATCCAAGCATCTAAGGATACTATATCAAGCAAAACTATCCTTCAGGAATTAAGGAGAAGTAAAGTCTTCAGACATGCAATAACAGAGAATTCATTACCACTAGACTGGCCTTATAGGAAATGCTGAAGGGAGTCATACATAGGAAGAGAAAGAACAATAACTACCATCATGACAACACATGAAAGAGTAAAGCTCACTGGTGGAGCAGATATACAAATGGAAAAGAGTTAGGAATCAAACCTTATCACTAAAGAAAACCACTAACCCACAACGATAAACAATAAGAGATGAAGAAAAGAACAAAGGATGTACAAAATAAACAGAAAACAATTAACAAAATGATAAGACGAAGTCTCCATTTATCAATAACTTTAATGTAAATAGATTATATTCCCCCAATTAAAAGGCTGGCTTAATGGATTTAAAAAAGAAAAAAAAAAACAGGAGTTCGAGACCAGCCTGACCAACATGGTGAAACCCCATCTCTAATAAAAATACAAAAATTAGCCAGGCATGGTGGTGCATACCTGTACTCCCAGCTAGTTGGGAGGCTGAGGCAAGAGAATTGCTTGAACCCGGGAGGCAGAGGTTGCAGTGAGCCAAGATCGTGCCACTGCACTCCAGCCTGGGTAACAGAGCTAGACCCCCGTCTCAAAAAAAAAAAGAAAGAAAAATCAAGCTCCAACTGTAGGTACACATAGACTGAAAGCATAAGGATAGAAAAAGATATTCCATACAACAGAAACCAAAAATAAGCAGGAATAGCAACATTTACATCAGGTAAAATAGACTGTAAGTCAAAAACTTTTATAATGACAGATATCATAAAATGACAAGAAGATTAACCCAGCAAGATGATGTAACAATGTTAAGTATATATGCACCCAAAACCAAAGGACCCAGATACATAAAGCAAATATAATTAAATCTAAAGGGAGAGGCAGACTCCAATATAATAACAGTTTGCGACTTTAATACCTGAATATCAGCATTGGAAGATCACGTAAACAGAAAATCAAAAAAGAAACATCAAAGTTAGAGTGCACTTAGACCAAATGGACCTAACTGACACTTATAAAACATCTCAATCAACAGTTGCAGAATGTACATTCTTCTCATTAGCACATATAACAATCTCCAGGATAGATCATATGTTAAGCCAAAAAACAAGTCTCAACAAATTCAAAAAAGTAGAAATCATATGAAATATCTTTTCTGACCACAATGGAATAAAACTAGACATCAATAACAAGAGGAACTTTGGAAACTGTACAAATACATGAAAATTAAACAACATATTCCTGAATGATGAATAAGTCAAAGAAAAAATTTTAAAAGATTTTTAAATTTTTCCCAAAATAAATGAAAACAGAAACACAACATACAAAAACTTACAAGATAAAGCAAAAGCAGGACAAAGAAGAAATTTTATAGCAATAAATGCCTGAATTTAAAAAGTGAAAGGTTTTAAATAAGTTATCCCTTTAGGATAAAAAAAAACCCTCAACAAATAGGGTACAGAAGGAGCATACCTCCAAATAATAAAGGCTATATATGACAAACCCACAGCTAACATTGTACTGAATGCTAAAATAAAGTTGAAAGTTTTTCTACTAAACCCTGGAACAAGACAAGGTTGGCCACTTTCACCACCTAAATAACGTTTTTGATGCACCTCAAAAAACTAGAAAAGTAAGAAAAAACAAACCCAAAATTAGTAGAAGGAAAGAAATAATAAAGATCAGAGCAGAGATAAACAAAACAAAGACTAAAATCATCAACAAAGCAAAAAGTTGGTTTTTGAAAAGATAAAACTAACAAACGTTTATTCAGAATAACTAAGAGAGAGAAGATTCAGATAAATAAAATCAGAAGCAAAAAAGAAGATATTACAACTGATAACATGGAAACACAAAAAAAATCATTACAGACTATTATGAACAACTATACACTAGCAAACTGGAAAACCTGGAGGAAATGGATAAATTTCTGGATACATACAACCTACCGAGATTGAACCAGAAAGAAACAGAAAACCTGAGCAGACCAATAACAAGTAGCAAGATTAAAGCAGTAATAAAAGATTCCCTAGCCCCCGTGACCCAGGAGGCTGAAGCAGGGGGATCAGTGGAGCCCAAGGGTTTAAGGTTGCAGTAAACTATGATTGAAACACCGAACTCCAGCCTGCGTAACAGAACAAGATCCTGTTTCAAATTAATTAATTAATTAAATAGTCTTCCAACCAAGAAAAGCCGAGGAACAGATGGCTGTCACAATTGAATTCTATCCAACTTGGAAGAGGAACTAACACCAATTCTTCTAAAACCACTCCAAAAAAATTATAGGGAAAGGAATTCTTCCAAACTCATTGTACAAGGCCAGCATTACCCTGATAACAAAACCAGACAAGAACAGAACACAAAAGAAAATGAAAAGCCAATATGCCTGATGAATATAGATGCTAAATTCCTCAATAAAATACTAACAAACTGAATCCAACAACACATAACAACGTTATACACCACAATCAAGTGGGATTTAGCTCAGAGATGCAAGGATGGCTCAATATATGCAAATCAATAAATGTGACATATCACAGCAAAAGAATAAATAACAACAATCATATAATAATCTCAATAGATGCCAAAAAGCATTTGACTTAAAAAAAAAAACTCAACAAATTTGGTATAGAAGGAGCATACCTCCAAATAATAAAGGCTATATATGACATACCCACAGCTAACATTGTACTGAATGCTAAAAAAACATTGAAAGCTTTTCTACTAAGCCCTGGAACAAGACAAGGATGGCCACTTTCACCACTCTTACTCAGCATAGCACTGGAAGTCCCAGCCAGTGCAATTAAGCAAGAAAAAATATAAAGGACATCCAAATTGAAGAGGAGGAAGTCGAAATATCTGTTTGCAGAAAACATGATCTTATATATAGAAAAAGCTAAAGGCTCCATCAAACAAACTCTTAGAGCTAATAAATCAGTAAAGTTGCAGAATACAAAACCAACATACAACAACTACCAGCATTTCTATACACCAATAATGAACAAGCTGGAAGAGAAATCAAGAAAGCAATCCTATTTATAGTAGCTACAAAGAATATAAAATATTTAAAAATAAATATCAAATTTTATCTGATAAAATTTATTTTGCCAAATTTTATCTGATAAAATTTATTTTGCCAAATTTTATCTGATAAAATTTATTTTGCCAAATTTTATCTGATAAAATTTATTTTGCCAAATGTTATCTGATAAAATTGATTTTGCCAAATGTTATCTGATAAAATTTATTTTGCCAAATGTTATCTGATAAAATTTATTTTGCCAAATTTTATCTGATAAAATTGATTTTGCCAAATTTTATCTGATAAAATTGATTTTGCCAAATGTTATCTGATAAAATTTATTTTGCCAAATTTTCTACAAGAGATCTTGTAGAAAGATCTCTACAATGAAAACTATGAAACACTGATAAAGGAACTTGAAGAGGACACCAAAAAATGGAAAGACATTCCGTGATCATGAATTGGAAGAATTAATATTGTTAAAATGACACACTACCCAAAACATTCTACAGATTCAACTCAATCCCCATAAAAATACCAATGACATTCTTTGCAGAAATAGCAAAAACAATCCTATATTTTGCATACAATCACAAAATACCCCAAATAGCCAAAGAAACCCTGAACAAAAAAAATGAAAAATGAAAAATAAGGCCAGGGGCATTACACTACCTAATGTCAAAATATACTGCAAAGCTAAAGAAACCAAAACAGCATGGTACTGGCATAAAAGCAGACACACAAACCAATGGAACAGAATAGAGAACCCAGATTTAAATCCATGCATTTACAGCCAGAGAACTTTTTACAAATATGTCAAGAAGACTCACTGGGGAAAGGACAGTCTCTTCAATAAATGGTGCTGGGAAAACTGGATATCCATATGCAGAAGAATAAAACTAGATCCCCATTTTCTGTCATATACAAAATTCTAATTAAAATGGATTACAGACTTAAATGTAAGACCTGAAACTATGAAACTACTAGAAGAAAACATTGGGGAAATATTCTAGAACATTGGTCTGGGCAAAGAGTTTTTTGGGTAACATCTCAAAAGCACAGGCAACCAAAGCAAAAATGAGCAAATAAGATTATGTCAAGCTAAAAAACTTCTACTCAGTAAATGAAATAATCCACAAAGTGAAGAGACAGCCCACAGAAAGGAAAAAAATATTTGTAAACTATCCATCTGACAATGGATTAATAACCAAAATATATAAGGAATTCAAACAACTCAACAGCCAAAAAAAAAAAAAACCCAAATAAATGGATTTTAAATAGGCAAAAGATCTGAATAGGCATTTCTTCTTTTCAGAAGAACAGGTATATGACCAACAGGTATATGAGAAAATGCTCAACATTACTAATCATCAGAGAAATGTGAATCAAAACCACAATGTGATATCACCTGAACCCAGTTAAAATGGCTTTTATAAAAAAGATAGGAAATAATGAATGCTGGTGAGGATTTGAAGATAAAGGAACTCTTGTACACTGTTGGTGAGACTGTAAATTAGTACAGCCACTATGGAGACAGGCTCCAGTGTGTTATGTTCCCCTCCCTGTGTCCATATGTTCTCATCGTTCAATTTCCACTGATGAGTGGGAACATGCAGTGTTTGGTTTTCTGTTCCTGTGTTAGTTTCCTGAGAATAATGGTTTCCACCTTCATCCATGTCCCTGCGGAGGACATGAACTCATCTTTTTTTACGGCCGCATAGTATTCCGTGGTGTATATCTGCCATATTTTCTTTATCCAGTCTATCATTGATGGGCATTTGGGTTGGTTCCAAGTCTTTGCTATTGTGAACAGTGCTGCAGTAAACATACATGTGCATGTCTCTTTATAGTAGAATGACTTATAAACCTTTGGGAATATATCCAGTAATGGGATTGCTGAGTCAAATGGTATTTCTGGTTCTAGATCCTTAAGGAATCACAACACTGTCTTCCACAATGATTGAATTTACACTCCCACCAACATTGTAAAAGCGATCCTATTTCTCCACATCCTCTCCAGCATCTGTTGTTTCCTGACATTTTAACAATTGCCATTCTAACTGGCATGAAATGGTATCTCATAGTGGTTTTGATTTGCAGTTCTCTAATGACAAGTGATGATGAGCTGCTTTTCACGTTTGTTGGCCACATAAATATCTTCTTTTGAGAAGTGTCTGTACATATCTTTAACCCAATTTTGATGGGGTTTTTTTGTTTGTTTTTTTTTCTTGTACATTTGTTTAAGTTCTTTGTAGATTCTGGATATTGGCCCTTTGTCAGATGGATAGATTGAAAACATTTTCTCCCATTCTGTAGGTTGCCTGTTCACTCAGATCATAGTTTCTTTTGCTGTGCAAAAGCTCTTTAGTTAAATTAGATCCCATTTGTCTATTTTGGCTTTTGTTGCCACAGCTTTTGGTACTTTAGTCATGAAGTCATTGCCCATGCCTATGTCCTGAATGGTATTGCCTAGTTTTTCTTCTAGGGATTTTATGGTTTTAAGTCTTATGTTTAAGATGTTAATTCACCTTGAGTTAATTTTTGTTTAAGGTGTAAGGAAGGGGAGCAGTTCCAGTTTTCAGCATATGGCTAGCCAGTTTTCTCAACATGAGTTATTAAATAGGGAATCCTTTCCCCATTGCTTCTTTTTCTCAGGTTTGTCAAAGATCAGATAGTTGTAGATATGTGGCATTATTTCTGAGGGCTCTGTTCTGTTGCATTGATCTATATCTCTGTTTTGGTACCAGTACCATGCCGTTTTGGTTACTGTAGCCTTGTACTATAGTTTGAAGTGAGGTAGCGTGATGCCTCCAGCTTTGTTCTTTTGGCTTAGGATTGATTTGGCGATGCGGGCTCTTTTTTGGTTCCATGTGGACTTTAAAGTAGTTTTTTCCAATTCTGTGAAGAAAGTCATTGGTAGCTTGATGGGGATGGCACTGAATCTATCAATTACCTTGGGCAGTATGGCCATTTTCACGATATTGATTCTTCCTACCTATGAGCATGGAATGTTCTTCCATTTGTTTGTGTCCTCTTTTATTTCATTGAGCAGTGGTTTGTAGTTCTCCTTGAAGAGGTCCTTCATGTCCCTTGTAAGTTGGATTCCTAGGTATTTTATTCTCTTTGAAGCAATTGTGAATGGGAGTTCACTCCTGATTTGGCTCTCTGTTTGTCTGTTGTTGGTGTATAAGAATGCTTGTGATTTTTGTACATTGATTTTGTATCCTGAGACTTTGCTGAAGTTGCTTATCAGCTTAAGGAGACTTTGGGCTGAGACAATGGGGTTTTCTAGATATACTATCATGTCATCTGCAAACAGGAACAATTTGACTTCCTCTTTTCCTAATTGAATACCATTTATTTCCTTCTCCTGCCTAATTGCCCTGGCCAGAACTTCCAACACTATGTTGAATAGGAGTGGTGAGAGAGGGCATCCCTGTCTTGTGCCAGTTTTCAAAGGGAATGCTTCCAGTTTTTGCCCATTCAGTATGATATTGGCTGTGGGTTTGTCATAGATAGCTCTTATTATTTTGAGATACATCCCATCAATACCTAATTTATTGAGAGTTTTTAGCATGAAGGGTTGTTGAATTTTGTCAAAGGCCTTTTTCTGCATCTATTGAGATAATCATGTGGTTTTTGTCATTGGTTCTGTTTATATGCTGGATTACATTTATTGATTTGCATATATCAAACCAGCCTTGCATCCCAGGGGTGAAGCCCACTTGATCATGGCGGATAAGCTTTTTGATGTGCTGCTGGATTCGGTTTGCCAGTATTTTATTGAGGATTTTTGCATCAATGTTCATCAAGGATATTGGTCTAAAATTCTCTTTTTTGGTTGTGTCTCTGCCCGGCTTTGGTATCAGGATGATGCTGGCCTCATCAAATGAGTTAGGGAGGATTCCTTCTTTTTCTATTGATTGGAATAGTTTCAGAAGGAACGGTACCAGTTCCTCCTTGTACCTCTGGTAGAATTCGGCTGTGAATCCATCTGGTCCTGGACTCTTTTTGTTGGTAAGCTATTGATTATTGCCACAATTTCAGAGCCTGTTATTGGTCTATTCAGAGATTCAACTTCTTCCTGGTTTAGTCTTGGGAGGGTGTATGTGTCGAGGAATTTATCCATTTCTTCTAGATTTTCTAGTTTATTTGCGTAGAGGTGTTTGTAGTATTCTCTGATGGTAGTTTGTATTTCTGTGGGATCAGTGGTGATAACCCCTTTATCATTTTTTATTGCATCTATTTGATTCTTCTCTCTTTTCTTCTTTATTAGTCTTGCTAGTAGTCTATCAATTTTGTTGATCCTTTCAGAAAACCAGCTCCTGGATTCATTAATTTTTTGAAGGGTTTTTTTGGTCTCTATTTCCTTCGGTTCTGCTCTGATTTTAGTTATTTCTTGTCTTCTGCTAGCTTTTGAATGTGTTTGCTCTTGCTTTTCTAGTTCTTTTAATTGTGATGTTAGGGTGTCAATTTTGGATCTTTCCTGCTTTCTCTTGTGGGCATTTAGTGCTATAAATTTCCCTCTACACACTGCTTTGAATGTGTCCCAGAGATTCTGGTATGTTGTGTCTTTGTTATCATTGGTTTCAAAGAACATCTTTATTTCTGCCTTCATTTCGTTATGTACTCAATAGTCATTCAGGAGCAGGTTGTTCAGTTTCCATGTAGTTGAGTGGTTTTGAGTGAGTTTCTTAATCCTGAGTTCTAGTTTGATTGCACTGTGGTCTGAGAGATAGTTTGTTATAATTTCTGTTCTTTTACATTTGCTGAGGAGAGCTTTACTTCCAACTATGTGGGCAATTTTGGAATAGGTGTGGTGTGGTGCTGAAAAAAATGTATATTCTGTTGATTTGGGGTGGAGAGTTCTGTAGATGTCAATTAGGTCCGCTTGGTGCAGAGCTGAGTTCAATTCCTGGGTATCCTTGTTAACTTTCTGTCTCGTTGATCTGTCTAATGTTGACAGTGGGGTGTTAAAGTCTCCCATTATTACTGTGTGGGAGTCTAAATCTCTTTGTAGGTCACTCAGGACTTGCTTTATGAATCTGGGTGTTCCTGTATTGGGTGCATATATATTTAGGATAGTTAGCTCTTCTTGTTGAATTGATCCCTTTACCATTATGTAATGGCCTTCTTTGTCTCTTTTGATCTTTGTTGGTTTAAAGTCTGTTTTATCAGAGACTAGGATTGCAACCACTGCCTTTTTTTTTGTTTTCCATTTGCTTGGTAGATCTTCCTCCATCCTTTTATTTTGAGCCTATGTGTGTCTCTGCACGTGAGATGGGTTTCCTGAATACAGCACACTGATGGGTCTTGACTCTTTATCCAATTTGCCAGTCTGTGTGTTTTAATTGGAGCATTTAGTCCATTTACATTTAAAGTTAATATTGTTATGTGTGAATTTGATCCTGTCATTATGATGTTAGCCGGTTATTTTGCTCGTTAGTTGATGCAGTTTCTTCCTAGCCTCGATGGTCTTTACAATTTGGCATGATTTTGCAGTGGCTGGTACCAGTTGTTCCTTTCCATGTTTAGTGCTTCCTTCAGGAGCTCTTTTAGGGCAGGCCTGGTGGTGACAAAATCTCTCAGCATTTCCTTGTCTGTAAAGGATTTTATTTCTCCTTCACTTATGAAGCTTAGTTTGGCTGGATATGAAATTCTGGGTTGAAAATTCTTTCCTTTCCTTTAAGAATGTTGAATATTGGCCCCCACTCTCTTCTGGCTTGTAGAGTTTCTGCCGAGAGATCAGCTGTTAGTCTGATGGGCTTCCCTTTGTGGGAAACCCGACCTTTCTCTCTGGCTGCCCTTAACATTTTTTCCTTCATTTCAACTTTGGTGAATCTGACAATTATGTGTCTTGGAGTTGCTCTTCTCGAGGAGTATCTTTGTGGTGTTCTCTGTATTTCCTGAATCTGAATGTTGGCCTGCCTTGCTAGATTGGGGAAGTTCTCCTGGATAATATACTGCAGAGTGTTTTCCAACTTGGTTCCATTCTCCCCGTCACTTTCAGGTACACCAATCAGACGTAGATTTGGTCTTTTCACATAGTCCCATATTTCTTGGAGGCTTTGTTCATTTCTTTTTATTCCTTTTTCTCTAAACTTCCCTTCTCGCTTCATTTCATTCATTTCATCTTCCATCACTGATACCCTTTCTTCCGGTTGATCGCATTGGCTCCTGAGGCTTCTGCATTCTTCACGTAGTTCTGGAGCCTTGGCTTTCAGTTCCATCAGCTCCTTTAAGCACTTTTCTGTATTGGTTATTCTAGTTATACATTCGTCTAAATTTTTTTCAAAGTTTTTAACTTCTTTGCCTTTGGTTTGAATTTTCTCCTGTAGCTCGGAGTACTTTGATTGTCTGAAGCCTTCTTCTCTCAACTCGTCAAAGTCATTCTCCGTCCAGCTTTGTTCCATTGCTGGTGAGGAACTGGGTTCCTTTGGAGGAGGAGAGGCGCTCTGCTTTTTAGAGTTTCCAGTTTTTCTGCTCTGTTTTTTCCCCACTTTGTGGTTTTATCTACTTTTGGTCTTTGATGATGGTGATGTACTGATGGGTTTTTGGTGTGGATGTCCTTTCTGTTTGTTAGTTTTCCTTCTACCAGACAGGACCCTCAGCTGCAGGTCTGTTGGAGTTTGCTAGAGGTGCACTCCAGACCCTGTTTGCCTGGGTATCAGCAGCGGTGGCTGCAGAACAGTGGATTTTCGTGAACTGCGAATGCTGCTGTCTGTTTGTTCCTCTGGAAGTTTTGTCTCAGAGGAGTACCCGGCCGTGTGATGTGTCAGTCTGCCCCTACTGGGGGGTGCCTCTCAGTTAGGCTGCTCCAGGGTCAGGGGTCAGGGACCCACTTGAGGAGGCAGTCTGCCCGTTCTCAGATCTCCAGCTGCGTGCTGGGAGAACCACTGCTCTCTTCAAAGCTGTCAGACAGGGATATTTAAGTCTGCAGAGGTTACTGCTGTCTTTTTGTTTGTCTGTGCCCTACCCCCTGAGGTGGAGCCTACAGAGGCAGGCAGGCTTCCTTGAGCTGTGATGGGCCCCACCCAGTTAGAGCTTCCCAGCTGCTTTGTTTACCTAAGCAAGCCTGGACAACGGTGGGTGTCCCTCCCCCAGCCTCGCTGCTGCCTTGCAGTTTGATCTCAGACTGCTGTGCTAACAATCAGCCAGACTCCATGGGCGTAGGACCCTCTGAGCCAGGTGTGGGATATATTCTCCTGGTGCGCTGATTTTTAAGCCCATCGGAAAAGCACAGTATTAGGGTGGGAGTGACCCGATTTTCCAGGTGCCGTCTGTCACCCATTTCTTTGACTAGGAAAGGGAACTCCCTGACCCCTTGTGCTTCCCAAGTGAGGCAATGCCTCGCCCTGCTTCAGCTGGCACACGGTGCACTGCACCCACTGTCCTGAGCCCACTGTCTGGCACTCCCTAGTGAGATGAACCCAGTACCTCAGATGGAAATGCAGAAATCACCCATCTTCTGCGTCGCTCACACTGGGAGCTGTAAAGCAGAGCTGTTCTTATTTGGCCATCTTGGCTGCCAGACCCCTCAACATTCTTAAAGAAAAGAATCTTCAACCCAGAAGTTCATATCCAGCCAAACTATGCTTCATAAGTGAAGGAGAAATAAAATCCTTCACAGATAAGCAAATGCTGAGAGATTTTGTCACCACCAGGCATGCCCT
Source organism: Homo sapiens (assembly GCF_000001405.40). Classification (NCBI taxonomy): domain Eukaryota; kingdom Metazoa; phylum Chordata; class Mammalia; order Primates; family Hominidae; genus Homo; species Homo sapiens. The sequence continues at coordinate 64,471,062 of NC_000005.10, forward strand.
AAAAGAGCTCCTGAAGGAAGCACTAAACATGGAAAGGAACAACCAGTACAAGCCACTGCAAAAATACGTGAATTGTAAAGACCATCGATGCTAAGAAGAAACTGCCTCAACTAAAGGGCAAAATAACCTCCTAACATCATAATGACAGGATCAAATTCACACATAACAATATTAACCTTAAAGGTAAATGGGCTAAATGCCCCCAATTGAAAGACACAGCCTGTCAAAATGGATAAAGAGTCAAGACCCATCAGTGTGCTGTATTCAGAAGACCTATCTCATGTGCAGAGACATATATAGGCTCAAAATAAAGGGATGGAGGAAGATCTACCAAGCAAATGGAAAGCAAAAAAAGAGCAGGGGTTGCAAGCCCAGTCTGTGATAAAAAAGACTTTAAACCAACAAAGATCAAAAGAGACAAAGAAGACCATTACATAATGGTAAAGGGATCAATTCAACAAGAAGAGAGCTAACTATCCTAAATATATATGCAACCAATACAGGAGCACCCAGATTCATAAAGCAAGTCCTGAGAGATCTACAAAGAGACTTAGACTCCCACACAATAATAATGGGAGACTTTAACACCCCACTGTCAATATTAGATCAATGAGACAGAAGGTTAACAAGGATATCCAGGACTTGAATTCAGCTCTGCACCTAACAGACCTAATAGACATCTACAGAACTCTCCACCCCAAATCAACAGAATATACATTCTTCTCAGCACCACATCATACTTATTCCAAAATTGACCACATAGTTGGAAGTAAAGCACTCCTCAGCAAATGTAAAAGAACAGAAATCACAACAAACTGTCTCTCAGACAACAGTGCAATAAAATTAGAACTCAGGAATAAGAAACTCACTCAAAACTGCACAACTACATGGAAACTGAACAATCTGCTCCTGAATGACAAAAAAAAATGAAGGCAAAAATAAAGATCTTCTCTGAAATCAATGAGAACAAAGACACAACATACCAGAATCTCTGAGACACATTTAAAGCAGTGTGTAGAGGGAAATTTATACCACTAAATGTCCACAACAGAAAGCAGGAAAGATCTAAAATCAATACCACAATTAAAAGAACTAGAGAAGCAAGAGCAAACAAATTCAAAAGCTAACAGAAGGCAAGAAATAATTAAGATCAGAGCAGAACTGAAGGAGATAGAGACACAAAAACCCTTCAAAAAATCAATGAATCCATGAGCTGGTTTTTTGAAAAGATCCACAAAATTGGTAGACTGCTAACAAGACTAATAAAGAAGAAAAGAGAAAAGAATCAAATAGACACATTGAAAAATGATAAAGGGAATATCACCACTGATCCCACAGAAATACAAACTACCATCAGAGAATACTATAAACACCTCTATGCAAATAAACTAGAAAATCTAGAAGAAATGGATAAATTCCTGGACACATACACCCTCCCCAGACTAAACCAGGAAGAAGTTGAATCTCTGAATAGACCAATAACAGGCCTGAAATTGAGGCAATAATTAATAGCCTACCAACCAAAAAAAGTCAAGGACCAGATGATTCACAGCCAAATTCTACCAGAGGTACAAAGAGGAGCTGGTACCATTCCTTCTGAAACTATTCCAATCAATAGAAAAAGAGGGAATCCTCCCTAACTCATTTTATGAGGCCAGCATCATCCTGATACCAAAACCTGGCAGAGACACAACAAAAAAAGAGAATTTTTAGACCAATATCCCTGATGAACATTGATGCAAAAATCCTCAATAAAATACTGGCAAACCGAATCCAGCAGCACATCAAAAAGCTTATCCGCCATGATCAAGTGGGCTTCATCCCTGGGATGCAAGGCTGGTTCAATATACACAAATCAATAAATGTAATCCAACATATAAACAGAACCAATGACAAAAACCACATGATTATCTCAATAGATGCAGAAAAGGCCTTTGACAAAATTCAACAAACCTTCATGCTAAAAACTCTCAATAAATTAGGTATCGATGGAATGTATCTCAAAATAATAAGAGCTATTTATGACAAACCCACAGCCAGTATCATACTGAATGGGCAAAAACTGGAAGCATTCCCTTTGAAAACCGGCACAAGACAGGGATGCCCTCTCTCACCACTCCTATTCAACATAATGTTGGAACTTCTGGCCAGGGCAATCAGGCAAGAGAAAGAAATAAAGGGTATTCAATTAGGAAAAGAGGAAGTCAAATTGTCCCTGTTTACAGATGACATGATTGTCAATTTCTGCAAAATAACATGAATGGATTTTAATAGGAATTGTATTGAAAACCCCATTGTCTCACAAAGGCAAGAGAAAGAGATAAGGGGTATTCAATTAGGCAATGAGGAAGTCAAATTGTCCCTGTTTGCAGATGACATGATTGTCAATTTCTGCAAAATAACCTGAATGGATTTTAATAGGAATTGTATTGAATAGATCAGTCTGGAGAGAGCTGACATCTTAACAATACTGAGCCTCAAATCCATGAATATAGACTATCTCTCCATTTATTTAGAATTTCTCTAATTTTTCTCAATGATATTTTGTAGTTTGTGGTATACCAGTCAGCCCCACCTTTTGCTAAATCTATTCCTAAGTATTTTGTTATTTTTGATGCTATTATGAATGAATTTGTTTTCTTAATTTCATTCTCAGATTGATCACTGGTAGTATAAAAAAAAGATGATATACCTGGGCAAGATGGCTGAATAGGAACAGCTCCAGTCTGCAGCTCCCAGTGAGATCAATGCAGAAGGTGGGTGATTTCAACATTTCCAACTGAGGTACCAGACTCATCTCAATGGGACTGCTTAGACAGTGGATGCAGCCCACGGAGGGTGAGCAAAAGTAGGGTGCAGTGTCACCTCACCTGGGAAGTGCAAGGGGTTGGGGAACTCCCTCCCCTAATCAAGGGAAGCCCTGAGGGACTGTGCTGTGAGGAACAGTGCACTCCATCTCAGATACTATGCTTTTCCCAGGGTCTTTACAACCTGCAGACCAGGAGATTCCCTTGGGTGCCTACACCACCTGGGCCCTGGGTTTCAAGCACAAAACTGCACAGCCATTTGGGCAGACACTGAGCTAGCTGTGGGAGTTTTTTTTCATACCCTAGTTGTGCCTGGAATGCCAGTGAGACAGAACTGTTCACTCCCTGGAAGGGGACTAAAGCCAGGGAGCCAAGTGGTCTTGCTCAGTGGATCCCATCCCCATGGAGTCCAGCAAGCTAAGATCCACTAGCTTGAAATTCTTACTGCCAGCACAGCAGTCTGAAGTAGACCTGGAATGCTCCAGCTTGGTGGCGGGGAGAGGCGTCCACCATCACTGAGGCTTGAGTAGGCAGTTTTCCTCTTAAGGTGTAAACAAAGCCTCTGGGAAGTTGGAACTGGGCTGAGCCCACCACAGCTCAGCAAAGCCGCTGTAGCCAGACTGCCTCTCTAGATTCCTCCTCTCTGGGTACGGCATCTCTGAAAGAAAGGCAGCAGCCCCAGTCACAGCTTATACATAAAATTCCCATCTCATCTTCTTGGGACAGAGCACCTGGGGGAAGGGGCGGCTGTGGGCGCAGCTTCAGCAGACTTAAAGATTCCTGCCTGCTGGCTCTGAAGAGAGCAGTGGATCCCCCAGCACAGTGCTCGAGCTCTGCTAAGGGACAGACTGCTTTCTCAAGTGGGTCCCTGACCCTCATGCCTCCTGACTGGGAGACACCTCCCAGCAGGGGTCGACAGACACCTCATACAGGAGAGCTCTGGCTGGCATCTGGTGGGTGCCCCTCTGGGACGAATCTTGCAGAGGAAGGATCAGGCAGCAATCTTTGCTGTTCTGCAGCCTCTGCTGGTGATACCCAGGAGAACAGGGTCTGGAGTGGACCTCCAGCAAACTCCAGCAGACCTGCAGCAGAGGAGCCTGACTGTTAGAAGGAAAACTAACAAACAGAAAGGACCAGCATCAAAATCAACAAAAAATAGTCCACACAAAAACCCCATCAAAAGGTCACCAACATCAAAGACCAAAGGTAGATAAATCCATGAAGATGAGGACAAACCAGCACAAAAAGGCTGAAAATTCCTAAGACCAGAATGCCTCCTCTCCTCCAGAGGATCACAACTCCTTACCAGCAAGGGAACAAAATTGGATGGAGAATGAATTTGAAGAATTGACAGAAGTAGGCTTCAGAAGGTGGGGAATAACAAACTCCTCCAAGCTAAAGTAGCATGTTGTAACCCAATGCAAGGAAGCTAAGATCCTTGAAAAAGGTTAGAGAAATTGCTAACTAGAATAACCAGCTTAGAGAAGAACATAAATGATGTGATGGAGCTGAAAAACACAGCATGAGAACTTTGTGAAGCATACACAAACTTCAATAGCTGAATCGATCGAGCAGAAGAAATGATATCAGAGATTGGAGATCAACTTAATGAAATAAAGCAGGAAGACAAGATTACAGAAAAAAGAACGAAAAGTAATGAACAAAGCCTCCAAGAAATAAGGGACTATGTGAAAAGACCAAATCTATGTTTGATTGGTGTACATGAAAGTGATGGGGAGAATGGAACCAAGTTGGAAAACACTCTTCAGGATATTATCCAGGACAACTTTGCCATCCTAGCAAGACCAACCAACATTCAAACTCAGGGCATACAGAGACCACCACAGAGATACTCCTCAAGAAGAGCAACCCCAAGACATATAATTGTCAGATTCACCAAGGTTGAAATGAAGGAAAAAATGTTAAGTGCAGCCAGAGAGAAAGGTTGGGTTACCCATAAAGAAAAGCCCATTTGACTAACAGCAGATCTCTCTGCAGAAACCCTATAAGCCAGAAGAGAGTGGGGACCAATATTAAACATTCTTAAAGAGAAGAATTTTCAACCGAGAATTTCATATCCAGCCAAACTAAGGTCATAAGTGAAGGAGAAATAAAATCTTTTACGGACAAGCAAATGCTGAGAGATTTTGTCACCACCAGGCCTGCCCTACAAGAGCTCCTGAAGGAAGCACTAAATATGGAAAGGAAAAACCAGTACCAGCCACTGCAAAAACATACCAAATTGTAAAGGCCATTGACACTATGAACAGGATCAAATTCGCACAAAACAATATTAACCTTAAATGTAAACAGGTTAAAGGCCCCAATTAAAAGACACAGGTTAGCAAATTGGATAAAGAGTCAAGACCCATCAGTGTGCTGTATTCAGTAGACCCATCTCATGTGCAAAGAAACACATAGGCTCAAAATAAAGGGATGGAACAATATTTACCAAGGAAATGGAAAGCAAAAAAAGCAGAGGTGGCAATCTTAGCCTTTGATATAACATACTTTAAACCGACAAAGATCAAAAAAGACAAAGAAAGGCATTATGTAATAGTAAATGGATTAATGTAACAAGAAGAGCTAACTATTCTAAATATACAGGGAACCATTCAGGGCACCCAGATTAATAAAGCAAGTTCTTAGAGACCTACAAAAAGAACTAGACTCCCACACTATAATAGTGGGAGATTTTAACACCCCACTGTCAATATTAGATAAAAGAGACAGAAAATGAACAAAAATATTCAGGACTTGAACTCAGCTCTGGACCAAGTGGACCTAATAGACATCTACAGAACTCTCCACCCCAAATCAGCCGAATATACATTCTTCTCAGCACTACATCACACTTATGCTAAAACTGATCACATAATTGGAAGTGAAACATTTCTCAGCAAATACAAAAGAACAGAAATCATAACAAACTGTCTCTCAGACCACAGTGCAATCAAACTAGAACTCAGGATTAAGAAACTCACTCAAAACTGCATAACTACATGGAAACCCACTCCTGTATGACTACTGGATAAATAATGACATGAAGGCAGAAATAAAGTTCTTTGAAACCAATGAGAACAAAGACAGAATGTACCAGAATCTCCGGGACACAGCTAAAGCAGTGTTTACAGGGAAATTTACAGCACTAAATGCCCAAAGGATAAAGTGGGAAAGATCTAAAATTGACACCTAACATCACAATTAAAAGAACTAGAGAGCTGGAAGCCAAGATGGCTGAATAGGAACAGCTCTTACACTGGGTCTACAGCTCCCAGTGTGAGCGACGCAGAAGATGGGTGATTTCTGCATTTCCATCTGAGGTACCGGGTTCATCTCACTAGGGAGTGCCAGACAGTGGGCTCAGGACAGTGGGTGCAGTGCACCGTGTGCCAGCTGAAGCAGGGCGAGGCATTGCCTCACTTGGGAAGCACAAGGGGTCAGGGAGTTCCCTTTCCTAGTCAAAGAAATGGGTGACAGACGGCACCTGGAAAATCGGGTCACTCCCACCCTAATACTGTGCTTTTCCGATGGGCTTAAAAAACAGCGCACCAGGAGAATATATCCCACACCTGGCTCAGAGGGTCCTACGCCCATGGAGTCTGGCTGATTGTTAGCACAGCAGTCTGAGATCAAACTGCAAGGCAGCAGCGAGGCTGGGGGAGGGACACCCACCGTTGTCCAGGCTTGCTTAGGTAAACAAAGCAGCTGGGAAGCTCTAACTGGGTGGGGCCCATCACAGCTCAAGGAAGCCTGCCTGCCTCTGTAGGCTCCACCTCAGGGGGTAGGGCACAGACAAACAAAAAGACAGCAGTAACCTCTGCAGACTTAAATGTCCCTGTCTGACAGCTTTGAAGAGAGCAGTGGTTCTCCCAGCACGCAGCTGGAGATCTGAGAACGGGCAGACTGCCTCCTCAAGTGGGTCCCTGACCCCTGACCCTGGAGCAGCCTAACTGAGAGGCACCCCCCAGTAGGGGCAGACTGACACATCACACGGCCGGGTACTCCTCTGAGACAAAACTTCCAGAGGAACAAACAGACAGCAGCATTCGCAGTTCACGAAAATCCACTGTTCTGCAGCCACCGCTGCTGATACCCAGGCAAACAGGGTCTGGAGTGCACCTCTAGCAAACTCCAACAGACCTGCAGCTGAGGGTCCTGTCTGGTAGAAGGAAAACTAACAAACAGAAAGGACATCCACACCAAAAACCCATCAGTACATCACCATCATCAAAGACCAAAAGTAGATAAAACCACAAAGTGGGGAAAAAACAGAGCAGAAAAACTGGAAACTCTAAAAAGCAGAGCGCCTCTCCTCCTCCAAAGGAACCCAGTTCCTCACCAGCAATGGAACAAAGCTGGACGGAGAATGACTTTGACGAGTTGAGAGAAGAAGGCTTCAGACAATCAAAGTACTCCGAGCTACAGGAGAAAATTCAAACCAAAGGCAAAGAAGTTAAAAACTTTGAAAAAAATTTAGACGAATGTATAACTAGAATAACCAATACAGAAAAGTGCTTAAAGGAGCTGATGGAACTGAAAGCCAAGGCTCCAGAACTACGTGAAGAATGCAGAAGCCTCAGGAGCCAATGCGATCAACCGGAAGAAAGGGTATCAGTGATGGAAGATGAAATGAATGAAATGAAGCGAGAAGGGAAGTTTAGAGAAAAAGGAATAAAAAGAAATGAACAAAGCCTCCAAGAAATATGGGACTATGTGAAAAGACCAAATCTACGTCTGATTGGTGTACCTGAAAGTGACGGGGAGAATGGAACCAAGTTGGAAAACACTCTGCAGTATATTATCCAGGAGAACTTCCCCAATCTAGCAAGGCAGGCCAACATTCAGATTCAGGAAATACAGAGAACACCACAAAGATACTCCTCGAGAAGAGCAACTCCAAGACACATAATTGTCAGATTCACCAAAGTTGAAATGAAGGAAAAAATGTTAAGGGCAGCCAGAGAGAAAGGTCGGGTTTCCCACAAAGGGAAGCCCATCAGACTAACAGCTGATCTCTCGGCAGAAACTCTACAAGCCAGAAGAGAGTGGGGGCCAATATTCAACATTCTTAAAGGAAAGGAAAGAATTTTCAACCCAGAATTTCATATCCAGCCAAACTAAGCTTCATAAGTGAAGGAGAAATAAAATCCTTTACAGACAAGGAAATGCTGAGAGATTTTGTCACCACCAGGCCTGCCCTAAAAGAGCTCCTGAAGGAAGCACTAAACATGGAAAGGAACAACTGGTACCAGCCACTGCAAAATCATGCCAAATTGTAAAGACCATCGAGGCTAGGAAGAAACTGCATCAACTAACGAGCAAAATAACCGGCTAACATCATAATGACAGGATCAAATTCACACATAACAATATTAACTTTAAATGTAAATGGACTAAATGCTCCAATTAAAACACACAGACTGGCAAATTGGATAAAGAGTCAAGACCCATCAGTGTGCTGTATTCAGGAAACCCATCTCACGTGCAGAGACACACATAGGCTCAAAATAAAAGGATGGAGGAAGATCTACCAAGCAAATGGAAAACAAAAAAAAAGGCAGTGGTTGCAATCCTAGTCTCTGATAAAACAGACTTTAAACCAACAAAGATCAAAAGAGACAAAGAAGGCCATTACATAATGGTAAAGGGATCAATTCAACAAGAAGAGCTAACTATCCTAAATATATATGCACCCAATACAGGAACACCCAGATTCATAAAGCAAGTCCTGAGTGACCTACAAAGAGATTTAGACTCCCACACAGTAATAATGGGAGACTTTAACACCCCACTGTCAACATTAGACAGATCAACGAGACAGAAAGTTAACAAGGATACCCAGGAATTGAACTCAGCTCTGCACCAAGCGGACCTAATTGACATCTACAGAACTCTCCACCCCAAATCAACAGAATATACATTTTTTTCAGCACCACACCACACCTATTCCAAAATTGCCCACATAGTTGGAAGTAAAGCTCTCCTCAGCAAATGTAAAAGAACAGAAATTATAACAAACTATCTCTCAGACCACAGTGCAATCAAACTAGAACTCAGGATTAAGAAACTCACTCAAAACCACTCAACTACATGGAAACTGAACAACCTGCTCCTGAATGACTATTGAGTACATAACGAAATGAAGGCAGAAATAAAGATGTTCTTTGAAACCAATGATAACAAAGACACAACATACCAGAATCTCTGGGACACATTCAAAGCAGTGTGTAGAGGGAAATTTATAGCACTAAATGCCCACAAGAGAAAGCAGGAAAGATCCAAAATTGACACCCTAACATCACAATTAAAAGAACTAGAAAAGCAAGAGCAAACACATTCAAAAGCTAGCAGAAGACAAGAAATAACTAAAATCAGAGCAGAACCGAAGGAAATAGAGACCAAAAAAACCCTTCAAAAAATTAATGAATCCAGGAGCTGGTTTTCTGAAAGGATCAACAAAATTGATAGACTACTAGCAAGACTAATAAAGAAGAAAAGAGAGAAGAATCAAATAGATGCAATAAAAAATGATAAAGGGGTTATCACCACTGATCCCACAGAAATACAAACTACCATCAGAGAATACTACAAACACCTCTACGCAAATAAACTAGAAAATCTAGAAGAAATGGATAAATTCCTCGACACATACACCCTCCCAAGACTAAACCAGGAAGAAGTTGAATCTCTGAATAGACCAATAACAGGCTCTGAAATTGTGGCAATAATCAATAGCTTACCAACAAAAAGAGTCCAGGACCAGATGGATTCACAGCCGAATTCTACCAGAGGTACAAGGAGGAACTGGTACCGTTCCTTCTGAAACTATTCCAATCAATAGAAAAAGAAGGAATCCTCCCTAACTCATTTGATGAGGCCAGCATCATCCTGATACCAAAGCCGGGCAGAGACACAACCAAAAAAGAGAATTTTAGACCAATATCCTTGATGAACATTGATGCAAAAATCCTCAATAAAATACTGGCAAACCGAATCCAGCAGCACATCAAAAAGCTTATCCGCCATGATCAAGTGGGCTTCACCCCTGGGATGCAAGGCTGGTTTGATATATGCAAATCAATAAATGTAATCCAGCATATAAACAGAACCAATGACAAAAACCACATGATTATCTCAATAGATGCAGAAAAAGGCCTTTGACAAAATTCAACAACCCTTCATGCTAAAAACTCTCAATAAATTAGGTATTGATGGGATGTATCTCAAAATAATAAGAGCTATCTATGACAAACCCACAGCCAATATCATACTGAATGGGCAAAAACTGGAAGCATTCCCTTTGAAAACTGGCACAAGACAGGGATGCCCTCTCTCACCACTCCTATTCAACATAGTGTTGGAAGTTCTGGCCAGGGCAATTAGGCAGGAGAAGGAAATAAATGGTATTCAATTAGGAAAAGAGGAAGTCAAATTGTTCCTGTTTGCAGATGACATGATAGTATATCTAGAAAACCCCATTGTCTCAGCCCAAAGTCTCCTTAAGCTGATAAGCAACTTCAGCAAAGTCTCAGGATACAAAATCAATGTACAAAAATCACAAGCATTCTTATACACCAATAACAGACAAACAGAGAGCCAAATCAGGAGTGAACTCCCATTCACAATTGCTTCAAAGAGAATAAAATACCTAGGAATCCAACTTACAAGGGACATGAAGGACCTCTTCAAGGAGAACTACAAACAACTGCTCAATGAAATAAAAGAGGACACAAACAAATGGAAGAACATTCCATGCTCATGGATAGGAAGAATCAATATCGTGAAAATGGCCATACTGCCCAAGGTAATTGATAGTTTCAGTGCCATCCCCATCAAGCTACCAATGACTTTCTTCACAGAATTGGAAAAAACTACTTTAAAGTCCACATGGAACCAAAAAAGAGCCCGCATCGCCAAATCAATCCTAAGCCAAAAGAACAAAGCTGGAGGCATCACGCTACCTCACTTCAAACTATACTACAAGGCTACAGTAACCAAAACAGCATGGTACTGGTACCAAAACAGAGCTATAAACCAGTGGAACTGAACAGAGCCCTCAGAAATAATGCCACATATCTACAACTATCTGATCTTTGACAAACCTGAGAAAAAGAAGCAATGGGGAAAGGATTCCCTATTTAATAAATGCTACTGGGAAAACTGGATAGCCATATGGAGAAAGCTGAAACTGGATCCCTTCCTTACACCTTATACAAAAATTAATGCAAGATGGATAAAAGACTTAAATGTTAGACCTAAAACCATAAAAACCCTAGAAGAAATCCTAGGCATTACCATTCAGGACATAGGCATGGGCAAGGACTTCATGTCAAAAACACCAAAAGCAATGGCAACAAAAGCCAAAATTGACAAATGGGATCTCATTAAACTAAAAAGCTTCTGCACAGCAAAAGAAACTACCATTAGAGTAAACAGACAACCTACAAAATGGGAGAAAATTTTCACAACCTACTCATCTGACAAAGGGCTAATATCCAGAATCTACAATGAACTCAAACAAATTTACAAGAAAAAAACAACCCCATCAAAAAGTGGGCAAAGGACATGAACAGACACTTCTCAAAAGAAGACATTTATGCAGCCAAAAAACACATGAAAAAATGCTCACCATCACTGGCCATCAGAGAAATGCAAATCAAAACCACAATGAGATACCTTCTCACACCAGTTAGAATGGCAATCATTAAAAAGTCAGGAAACAACAGGTGCTGGAGAGGATGTGGAGAAATAGGAATATTTTACACTGTTGGTGGGAATGTAAACTAGTTCAACCATTGTGGAAGTCAGTGTGGCGATTCCTCAGGGATCTAGAACTAGAAATACCATTTGACCCAGCCATCCCATTACTGGGTATATACCCAAAGGACTATAAATCATGCTGCTATAAAGACACATGCACATGGATGTTTATTGTGGCACTATTCACAATAGCAAAGACTTGAAACCAACCCAAATATCCAACAAAGATAGACTGGATTAAGAAAATGTGGCACATATACACCATGGAATACTATGCAGCCATAAAAAAATGATGAGTTCATGTCCTTTATAGGGACATGGATGAAATTGGAAATCATCATTGTCAGTAAACTATCACAAGGACAAAAAACCAAACACCGCATGTTCTCACTCATAGGTGGGAATTGAACAATGAGAACACATGGACACAGGAAGGGGAACATCACACTCTGGGGACTGTTGTGGGGTGAGGGGATGGGGGAGGGATAGCATTAGGAGATATACCTAATGCTAAATGACGAGTTAATGGGTGCAGCACTGCAGCATGGCACATGTATACATATGTAACTAACCTGCACATTGTGCACATTACCGTAAAACTTAAAGTATAATAATAATAAAATAAAATAAAATAAAACATGTATTAATACTCCCTTGAAAAAAAAAAGAATGTTGAATATTGGCCCCCACTCTTGTCTGGCTTGTAGGGTTTCTGCCAAGAGATCCACTGTTAGTCTGATGGGCTTCCCTTTGTGGGTATCGCGACCTTTCTCTCTGGCTGCCCGTAGCATATTTTCCTTCATTTCAACCTTGGTGAATCTGATAATTATGTGTCTTGGGGTTGCTCTTCTCAAGGAGTATCTTTGTGGTATTCTCTGTATTTCCTGAATTTGAATGTTGGCCTGCCTTGCTAGGTTGGGGGAGTTATCCCGGATAATATCCTGAAGAGTGTTTTCCAGCATGGTTCCATTCTCCCTGTCACTTTCAGGTACACCAATCAAACAGATTTCGTCTTTTAACATAGTCCCATATTTCTTGGAGGCTTTGTTCGTTTCTTTTTACTCTTTTTTCTCTAAACTTCTCTTCTTGCTTCATTTCATTCATTTGATCTTCAATCACTGATACCCTTTCTTCCACTTGATTGAATCAGCTACTGAAGCTTGTGCATGTGTCACTAGTTCTCGTGCCATGGTTTTCAGCTCCATCAGGTCATTTAAGGTCTTCTTTACACTGTTTATTCTAATTAGCCATTCATCTAATCTTTTTTCAAGGTTTTTAGCTTCCTTGTGATGGGTTCAAACATACTCCTTTAGCTCAGAGAAGTTTGTTATTATCGACTTTCTGAAGCCTACTTCTGAGAACTCATCAAAGTCATTCTCCGTCCTGCTTTGTTCCATTGCTGGCAAGGAGCTGCAATCCTTTGGAGGAGAAGGGGCGCTCTGGTTTTTAGAATTTTCAACTTTTCTGCTCTGGTTTCTCCCCATCTTTGTGGTTTTATTTACCTTTGGTCTTTGGTGATGGTGACCTACAGATGGGGTTTTGGTGTGGATGTCCTTTTTGTTGACATTGATGCTATTCCTTTCTGTTTGTTGGTTTTCCTTCTAACGGTCAGGTCCCTCAGCTGCTGGTCTGTTGGAGTTTGCTGGAGGTCCACTCCAGACCCTGTTTGCCTGGGTTTCACCAGCGGAGGCTGCAGAACAGCAAATATTGCAGAACAGAAAATATTGCTGCCTGATCCTTCCTCTGGAAGCTTCCTCTCAGAGGGGCACCTGTCTGTATGAGGTGTAAGTCAGCCCCTACTGAGAGGTATCTCCAAGTTAGGCTACACGTGGGTCAGGGACCCACTTGTCCATTCTCAGAGCTCAAATACCATGCTGGGAGAACCACTGCTCTCTTCAGAGCTGTCAGACAGGGACGATTAAGTGTGCAGAAGTTTCTGCTGCCTTTTGTTCAGCTATGCCCTGCCTCCAGAGGTGGAGTCTACAGAGGCAGGTGGGCCTCGTTGAGCTGTGGTGGGCTCCACCCAGTTCGAGCTTCCCAGCAGCTTTGTGTACCTACTCAATCCTCAGCAATGGTGGACGCCCCTACCCCAGCCAGGCTTGCCACCTGGCAGTTTGATCTCTGCCTAGGAGTGAACAAGGCTCCATGGGCATAGGGACCCGCTGAGCCAGGTGTG